>NC_000001.11:36428835-37053835 GCF_000001405.40 Homo sapiens
TTGGGAGGCTGAGGCAGGAGAATTGCTTGAACCCGGGAGGTGGAGGTTGCAGTAAGCCGAGATTGTGCCACTGCATTCCAGACAGAGTGAGACTCTGTCTCAAAAACAAAACATTTTATTTTAAGGACAGAGTCTCACTATGTTGCCCAGGATGGTCTTGAACTCCTGGGCTGAAGTGATCCTCCTGCCTCAATATCCCAAGTAGTTCAGACTACAGGCACTCGCCACTGTGGCCAGCTCTGGAGTTGAGATTCAAAGAGAAAGGTGAAGCTGGGCACAGTGGCTCACACTTGTAATCCCAGCACTTTGAGAGGCCAAGGCAGGCAGATTGCTTGAGCTCAGGAGTTCAAGACCAACCTGGGCAACAAAGCAAGATTCTGTCTCTACAAAAAATACAAAAAATTAGCCAGGCGTGGTGGCATGCTCCTGTAGTCCCAGTTACTCGAGAGGCTGAGGTGGAAGGTCACTTGAGCCCAGGAGATTGAGGCTGCAGTGAGCCATGATTGTGCCACCATACTCCAGTCTGGGCAACAAAATGAGAACCTGTCTCAAAAAAAAAAAAAAAGAGAAACATGTCTGGCTCCAGAGCCTGGGCTTGTTTTACCATATCATACCATCTTTCCCACATCAGTTGGTTAAATTGTGGCAGGAAACAAAGCCCTGTCCAAGAGAGACACATTCAAAATTCAGAAGCTTAGAATTTTTTTTTTTTTTTTTTTTTTTTTGAGACATGGTCTCGCTCTGACACCTGGTCTGAATCATGGATCCACCATGGCTCACTGCAGCCATCCTCCCATTTCAGCCTCCTAACTGGGACTATAGGCATGCGCCACCATGCCTGGCTAATTTTTGTTTTTGTAGAGATGGGGTTTTACCATGTTGCCGAGGCTTCAGAAATGTGTTTTTATTTTATTTTTATTTATTTATTTATTTTTTTGAGACAGGGTCTCAGCCCAGGCTGGAGCACAGTAGCATGATTTTTTTTTTTTTTTTGAGATGGAGTCTTGCTCTGTCGCCCAGGCTAGAGTGCAGTGGCACTAACTCAGCTCACTGCAACCTCTGCCTCTCAGGTTCACGCGATTCTCCTGCCTTAGTCTCCCGAGTAGCTGGGATTAAAGGCGCCTGGCTAATTTTTGTATTTTTAGTAGAGACGGGGTTTCACCATGTTGGCCAGGCTGGTCTCAAACTCCTGACCACGTGATCCACCCGCCTCGGCCTCCCAAAGTGCTGGGATTACAGGCGTGAGCCACTGCGCCCAGCCTAGTAGCATGATCTTGGCTCTCTGCAGCCTTGACCTCCTGGGCTCAAGTGATCCTCCTACCTCAGCCTCCCAAATATCTGGGAATACAGACACGCACCACCTTGCCCAGTTAATTTTGTATTTTTGGTAGAGATGGGGTTTGTCATGTTGCCCAGGCTGGTCTCAAACTCCTGGGCTCAAGTGATCCGTCCACCTTGGCCTCCCAAAGTGCTAGGATTACAGGCATGAGCCACTGTGCCTGGCTAGAAAATGTGTTTTTAAAAGTTAGGATGTAGAATTGCCTAGCTATGTAGGCAAGGCAGGAGGAGAGGGGCCCAGTTGGGAAGCATAGCCCACAAGAGTATGAGGGCCTGAGCCAGGATGGTGGCAACAGGGATGGAGAGGAAGGCGTGCCAGGGCATGGTGGCTCACACCTATAATCCTAGCACTTTGAGAGGCTGAGGGAGGAGGATCATTTGAGCCCAAAAGTTAGAGACCAGCCTGGGAAACATAGTAAGACACTGCCTCAAAAAAAAAGGAAAAGAGGGTGTAGATATTGACAAGGCCGACTCTATTTTTGTTTGTTTGTTTGTTTTTGAGACGGAGTCTCCCTCTGTCGCCCAAGCTGGAGTGCAGTGGTGCGATCCCGGCTCACTGTAACCTCCGCCTCCTGGGTTCAAGCAATTCTCCTGCCTCAGCCTCCTGAGTAGCTGGGACTACAGGTGCTTGCCACCATGCCCGGCTCACTTTTGTATTTTTAGTAGAGATGGGGTTTTACCATGTTGGCCAGGCTGGTCTCAAACTCCTGACCTCAGGTGATCTGCCCACCTTGTCCTCCCAATGTGCTGGGATTACAGGCGTGAGCCACTGCGCTCCGCCGACTCTATGGGTCTTAGAAGCAATTGGATGAAGATCAGGGAAGGGGAATCAAAGGTGACATTCTGGTTCTGAGTCAAGTGAGTAGGAGAATGGTGGTGGTGCCCTCAAAAGAAATGAGAAAGTCAGGGCAGCACCTGAACTGTGGAGATTAGTTTAGCTACAGACAGCAAGTTGTAGGCACTGGTGGGCATCCTGGTGGGAAGTTTCAGCAAGGTGGTGGAGATGTGAGTCTGGAGGGCAGGGGTGGGGCCAGGGTAGAGTAGAGGTTAGACTCAGGAGTCACAGGCAGAGGAGTTGGTAGACAAAAGGGTGAGGAAGGAGATGCCTAATTAGCAGGAGGTGGGTAGAGACAGGAGTAAGGTTTGGAGACAGATGGCGGGAGAGGAAGGAGTAAGAGGCATTGAGATGGGAGAGGGAAGGGAAGGGAAGCCCAGGATGGTACAGAGCCATGAAAGACCTGGAAAGGTGAGAGTTCCATGGAGGAGGGGCAGCCTTCTGACAGTGTCAGTACTGGAGAGGTCAAGGAGGATACAGCTCAACAAAAGGTTTTGCAGTTGAGATCAGGCTGTTGACTTGACAGCATATTTCCTCTGGAGAAGTAACAGAAGAAACTATATTTCCAAGAAACTCACAAGGTAATCAAAAAAGAATGGCAGCATCACTGTCTTCCTTGGTCCATTTAAAAACTGCTGAGATGTATTATCAATATCTTTATCATTAGAGAGGCAAACCCTGAGGACATCACTAACTGGGCAAAATCTCCGTCCTTGTTTGCCCTCATGACTACCAGGGTTGTTTCCCTGGTACAGCAGCTCCTGAGTGTTCCCAGGGCTGCCTATTGACTTACTCGGATGTGCAGGTCTTGGAAGAAGATGAGGAGTGTCTGCCGGATCAGCTGGAACTCCCCTGCAGAGAGACCACCATATATCTGCCAAAGGCAAGCAGAAAGCAGCACTTCACTTTCCAAGAGGGATGAGTAGTACGCACCGGCAGGGCAGATGGGTACTCAGGGATGGGAGCCAGATAGGTAAGGAGAGGACTGGGCTGCTGGGCAGGAGGGGCAGCGGGGAGACCAGCAGTGCTGCCTCTCCACGGTGACAAAGCCTGTTACCCCACACCTGAGCAGGGGTACACTTCCTGTCTCCCATTCTCCACAGACCTGGAGAGCCTGTTCCCCAAGATTTAGCAGAACATCCACCACCAAGTCCCTTTCCGAAAAGTGAGGAGAAAATGGCTATGCTCTGTATATTGCTTTTCCAATTGTGAAGGCATCAGTAAGAGGACATAAGATGATGATGCCTGTTACATTACCAAAATGGACACGGATTGCTTTTCAGAATGTTCTGGGAGAGTGGCAGGCTTTGCCATTCCTCATCCTGTTCTCTCTGTCATAGATCTACCTGTTCTTAACAGAGGGATGAGAAAAAGTACTGGGGCTGAGAGGCGAGACACTGATGGCACTCTTACTTCTGTCAGCTGCCGCAAAGTCTCGTCCACTTGCTGCAGGATGGTTGGGGAGTCTCGGATGAATCCCTTGATGGTATCCAAGTGATTGAAAGTGACCAGCAGCACATCCTTGGGTCGGGGACACAGCAATACTTGATATTTGAAAGCCATGGTCATCAGGTCATAGAGCTGCCAACCCACACACAAGCAAAAGAAATGGGATCATATCAAAATCAGGTGTGAGAATCTCCAAACAGTGATTCAGTCAAGCATTTACTGAAAACCAACTCTGGGCTTGCCATACAGCTCGGGGGACCATATCACTTATCACCCAAACCAAGACACTTCTGAGAGTCAAGGCGGGTGCTTTTAATAATTAAGCCAGGAAAACAGGAGTAAGCCAGCACATTCCTGGGCAAACCAGGATTTCTGGTCACCTGATGTGTATTGTTAATGGGATACGTCTGAAATAATATTGGCAGCAGCGGAGTCCCAAAGTGAGCACTGGATCTGGAGAAAGAAAATGCAAATTTAAGTACTCCTTTCCTCCTAACTTATTGTATAACCTTGGCCAAGTTTCTTAACCTCTTTGGGCCTGAGTTTTCTCATCTGTAAAAAAATACTCTCTAATTTCCCAATGTTGCAGAGGTGCTGAGAGCAATAAATGAGGCAATATGTGTGCAAGTGGCAAGCATAGAGTTCTACAACTTTATAAGAATCATTTTAAATGATGAACTATGTGGATATCAACAAGCCATCTCCACATAGGTGTGGTATGACCATACATGAAAGATCAGAAGGGAGGAACTGGTGGGGACCAAAGTGGTGAAGGCAGGCTTTGTGGTACAAGTGGCCTTATATAGCCCTCGAGGCAGCTGCAGGATTTAAATTGGCTGAGGGCAGAGGAAAGACATTCCAGTTGAGGGAAACAGTACATGTGAGGGCCTGGAGGCAGCAATGAGTATGTTATTTTTCTGGGAGAAAGAGGAGAATGGCCTGAGGACAGTTTGTGTTGGGGATGGCAGGTAATAAAGCTGGGTAAGTATGGCAAATGAAGATGGCAACAATAGAAACTGGGGACTGCAAGAATGGGGAGGGAGGGAGGGAGGTAGGGGTCAAGGGCTGAAAAACTAACTATTGGGTACTATGCTGACTACCTGACTGATGGGCTCACTTGTACCCCAGACCTCAGGATCACGCAATATACCCATGTAACAAACCTGTGCATGTACCTCCTGAATATAAAATAAAAGCTGAATTATTAAAAATAGAATAAAGTTTTTGGGGAGATACACAATATAATTTAGACTAGATGTAGTAGAAGTTAGGGGGTTAAAGTTTTCTGGGCTGACATGATCAAAGTGGTGACTGAACGAGATCTGGCAATGATGAGCTGTGACAGAAGGGAGAGACTAGTTAGGGGGAGTAGCTAGCACCTGGTTCCTGAAAAGATTACAATAAATATCTACTGATTGCATGAATGAAAGAAATGTTGTTGGAGCAATCCAGACTTAAGGCCTGGAAAAAAGATAGTGGGAACGGAGAAGTCAGGGAAAGGAAGATCACGCGATATTTAGAAGGAAAAGCTGTCAGTAGGTGGTGACTGCCTAGATTTGGGGGATGATGATCAGGGTTGTCCAGAAGGACTGCACCTTTTCAGCCTAGTGCGGGTGGGGAGGGATGATGCTATTGATGGAGGAAAAGACGTCTGAGGGATGTGGGAGCGGAAGAGCCAGGAGAGAAGATGGACGGTTAACTTAAGGACATGTCTGGGGCAGGATTGAAACGATAAACAACTACCATCTGAGTGTCATGCCAAGCACGTGTATATATATTACCTCATTTGATCCCATTTATTCTTCACAAGAACTCTATGAGGTAGGTATTAGCCCAGTTTAATAATGAGGAAACTTGCCTAATTTCATATTGCTGGTAAGTGCAGAATGATATTTGACCTCAAGACTATCAGATTCTAAGGCACTTGCCAGGACCCTGCTACACAATCCCATTTCTCCTACCTGCAGCCAAACATTTCCACTTAGAAGGTGGCATACAACCAGAATAGCTAGCCAGATGCAGTGGCTCACGCCTGTTATCCCAGCACTTTGGGAGGCCGAGGTGGGTGGATCACCTGAGGTCAGGAGTTCGAGACCAGCCTGGCCAACATGTTGAAACCCCATCTCTACTAAAAATACAAAAATTAGCCGGGTGTGGTGGTGCGTGCCTGTAATCTCAGCTACTCAGGAGGCTGAGACAGGAGAATTGCTTGAACCTGGGAGGCAGAGGTTGCAGTGAGCCGAGTTAGTGCCACTGCACTCTAGCCTGGGTGACAGAGTGAGACTTTGTCTCAAAAAAAAAAAAAAAAAAAAAAGAAATTAAAACAAGCCCCAGAAAACAGGAATAGCCTGGTGTGTGTGCATGGGGATTGGGAAAGTACAATACTGGAGATACAGATTTGAGACTCTGCCATCATTGTCAAACATTAAGTGCTCGTATATAGGAAACCATGCTAGAAATAAAGAATAAAAACAGGTATAAGATGAAGGAATGCCAGTTCAGAGTAATTCAGTAAATTGGGTCTCACAGCTAGTAACTGGTAGAGCTAAGGCTTAAACTCAGCTTTTTTAATTCTAAGTTCTGTGTCCTTCCTCTATGGAAATTTAAACTTCCTTTTCTTTTCTTTTCTTTTTCTTTTTTTTTTTTTTTTTTTTGACATGGGGGTCTCACTCTGTTACCCAGGCTGGAGTACAGTGGCGTGAACACAGCTCACTGAAGCCTCAACCTCCCCTGCTCAAGCTATCCTCCTGTCTCAGCCTCCTGAGTAGCTGGGACTACAGTTGTGTGCCACTGTGTGACCAGCTAGTTCTTCTAATTTTTAGTAGAGATGAGGTCTCACTATGGTTTTTTTTTTAATATGTTAAAAAATATTAGAGACGGGTTTTTGCTATGTTGCCCAGGCTGGTGTTGAACTCCCAGGCTCAAGTGATTCTTCCACCTGGGCCTCTCAAAGTGCTGGGATTACAGGTGTGAGCTACTGTGCTCAGTCTCTAAACTTTTTTAAAGGCAGAGAGAGAAGAGCAAGCAGAACTGAAAATATAATTAATATTTATTGAACAGCTATATGCCAGGCCTAGGTATGTTTCTCACTTAATTATCCTAATAATTGATGAAGTAGCATTTATTATCCTCATTTTACAGATGAGAAAATGAAGGCTCAGAGAGTTAAAGTAACTTTTTTTTTTTTGTTTTGAGACAGAGTTTTGCTCTTTTTGCCCAGGCTGGAGTGCAATGGCGCGATCTTGGCTCACTGCAACCTCTGCCTCCCGGGTTCAAGCAATTCTCCTGCCTCAGCCTCCCAAGTAGCTGGGATTACAGGCACTTGCCACCATGCCCAGCTAATTTTTTGTATTTTTAGTAGAGACGGGGTTTCACCATGTTGGCCAGGATGGTCTCGATCTCTTGACCTCGTGATCCGCCTGCCTCGGCCTCCCAAAGTCCTGGGATTACAGGCATGAGCCACCGCGCCTGGCCGAGTTAAAGTAACTTTCCAAAGGTAAGTGGCAAGAGGTAAGAGGGCCCAGTTAAAGGCAGTCTGTCTCCCTGAGTCTTCTAAGTACCAGTAATAAGTGAGTGCTGACTCTGCAAGTCTAACTCCCACCATCAGTCATCATGATTTTTAAAATTTTTCTTTCTCTCTCTCTCTATTTTTTTTTTTTTTTTTGAGATGGAGTCTTGCTCTGTCCCCCAGGCTGGAGTGCAGTGGCGTGATCTCAGCTCACTGCAAGCTCCGCCTCCCAGGTTCACGCCATTCTCCTGCCTCAGCCTCCCGAGTAGCTGGGACTACAGGCGCCCACCACCACACCGGGCTAATTTTTTTTTTTTTGTATTTTTAGTAGAGACGAGATTTCACCATGTTAGCCAGGATGGTCTCGATCTCTTGACCTCATGATCCACCCGCCTCAGCCTCCCAAAGTGCTGGGATTACAGGCGTGAGCCACCGCGCCCGGCCCTCTCTATTTTTTTAGAGACAGGGTCTTGCTATGTTGCCAAGGCTGGTCTTGAACTCCTGGGCTCAAGCGATCCTCCTGCCTTGGCCTCCCTAAGTGCTGGGATTACAGGCATACGCCATTACACCTGGTCTTTTAAAATTTTTTTGTAGAGATTTGGTCTTGCTGTGTTGCCCAAGCTGGTGTTGAACTCCTGGCCTCAATCCCAAAGCACTGATATTAGAGCTGCAAGACACTGTGCCTGGTAGTCCTCTTTCACATGGTGGGAGAAGTTGTAAAGGAATTATTATTATATTTTACATTAACTAAAGACCAAACTTTAAAGATTTCATTAGTTTCCCCCTGACATCCTATTTCTGTTCTGAAATCCCATCCAGGACACCACATTCTATTCTGCTGTCCTGTGTCCTTGGGCTCCTCTTGGCTGGACAGTTTCTCTGACTCTCCTTGACTTTGGTGACCTTGATAGTTTTGAGTACTGGTCAGGTATTTTGTAAGCATGACCAACCAACAGTATTTGTGTGATGTTTTTCTTATGGTTAGCCTGGGGTTTGGAGTTTTGGGGAGGAAGACCACAGAGGTGAAGTTCCATTTTCATCACATCATGTCAGGGTACATACTGGCAACCTGACTCATCACTGTTGATGTTACCTTGACCATCCGGTTGGGGTAGTTTATCAAGTTTCTCTACTGTAAAGCTAATTATTTCTTCCCTCCTTTCCATACTGTACTCTTTAAAGTGCAGCCCCCACCTAAGGAGGGGGAGTTACACTCTCCCTCCCTGAGGGCAGAGTATCTACATAAATCATTTGGAATTCTTCTAAACAGACTTGTCTGTCCTCTGCCATTTATTTATGTGGAATTATTATTATTATTATTATCATTATTATTCAGAGGTAGATATATTCTTGAAGGAATTATTATTTAAAAAATCACAGCATCCCAATACTTTGTTTCCCAAAGAAATAGATATGTTCACATTATGAGTAAAGACTGTTTTTGAACTTGCTCTAAAAAATATCTGGTTTCTACATTGCAGAGCTGAGATTTGTGAAGAATGAGGCAGAATTAAAGTTTTGGGGTTGAGTGCTTTTTAAAAATTGTTTATTTATTTTACTTATTTATTTTTGAGATGAAGTCCTACTCTGTCGCCCAGGCTGGGGTGTAGTGGTGTGATCTCATCTCACTGCAACCTCCGCCTCCTGGGTTCAAGTGATTCTCCTGCCTCAGCCTCCTGAGTAGCTGGGATTACAGGTGCATGCCACCACACCCAGCTAATATTTGTAATTTTAGAAGAGATGAGGTTTTACCATGTTGGCCAGACTGGTCTCGAACTCCTGACATCAAGTGATCCGCCTGTCTCGGCCTCCCAGTGCTAGGATTACAGGTGTGAGCCACCATGCCCACTCAGGGTTGAGTGCTTTTATTGTGTTAAGGCATGTATTCCTGGGGTTCATAAATATGGGCATGAAAGCCAGCACTCTTGTCTGGGTGCAGTGGCCCACACCTGTAATCCTAGCACTTTGGGAGACTGAGGCAGGAAGATCACTTGAGCCCAGGAGTTCCAGACCAGCCTCGGCAACAAAGTGAGACCCCATTTCTACAAAAATTTAAAAATTAGCCAGTGTGGCCAGGCGCGGTGGCTCATGCCAGTAATCCCAGCACTTTGGGAGGCCAAGGCGGGTGGATCACCTGAGGTTGGGAGTTTGCAACCAGCCTGACCAACATGGAGAAAACCTGTCTTTACTAAAAATACAAAATTAGCCTGGCATGGTGGCGCATGCCTGTAATCCCAGCTACTTGAGAGGCTGAGGCAGGAGAATCGCTTGAACCCGGGAGGCGGACGTTGTGGTGAGCCGAGATCACGCCATTGCACTCCAGCCTGGGCAACAAGAGCGAAACTCCATCTCAAAAAAAAAAAAAAAAAAAAAAAATTAGCCAGTGTGATGGCATGTGCCTGTAGTCCCAGCTACTTGGGAGTCTGAGGCAGGAGAATTGCTCAAGCCTGGGAGATCAAGGCCGCAGTGAGCTATGATTGTACCACTGCACTCCAGCCTGGACAACAGAGTGAGACCCCATTTCAAAAACAAAAAAACACCCAAAACAAATCAAACAAATAAAACCCAGCACTCTCTTTGGGCAGGTGGAATGTCATAAACAACAGAGGGGTTGTTGTGGATGATTTCTGAGGTCTTTCCCACTCTGAAACTCAACAACTACTAGTATTTACACATGCCTGTTTCTTGCAAGGACCATTGCATACATCATCTCATGTGACCCCAGTCTATGATCATCCACAAAAGGTACAAAAAATGCAACCAAGATGACAAAGGCAGCTGTCTGCTCACCTTATCCATGCTGGCCTGGTTCAGTTTCATAATGGAGGCATGAGCCAGGCGCTCATAGACAGTCCTCAGGGCCTTCTTGGAGTAGAGCTCTTGAGGCTTGAATAATTCCTCCATAAACTTTCTATTGAACATGGTGGAGATGATGTCATTCAGAACTGCAGAGACAAGAGAGAACACAGCTGAGCAAAGTACTGAAGCAAGCCTATCCCGAAATGCTCTTTGTGTGCAGGTACAGGAGCTGAGCGTGTACAGTACAGAATTGGGATGCTGTATGCTTGGTGAGATCAGCTCCCTGAGGGGACCACACAGGTGTCCCGGTAGAAAGCAGGGCTCTGAGAGTGCTTTATGACACCATTTCAGGGAAGACATAAATGAAGACAAGGCACTAATGTGTTGTGCTTCAGAGATTATAAACTCCTTATATAAATATTATCTCACTTGATGATAAGAGGAATATTTCTTCTTTCTTTAAAAAAGATTACTGGCTGGGTGTGGTGGCTCACGCCTATAATCCCAGCGCTTTGGGAGGCCAAGGCTGGAGGATCACTTGATGCCAGGAGTTTGAGACCAGCCTGGGCAACATAGTTAGACCCTGTCTCTACCAAAAATTGAAAGCAATTAGCTGGGTGTGGTGGCGGGCCTGGAAGCTGAGGCAGGAGGATCACTTGAGCCCAGGAATTCAATGCTGCAGTGAGCTCTGATTGTGCTACTGTACTCCAGCCTAGGCAACAGAAGGAGATCCTGTCTAAAAAAATAAAATAAAATAAAAATAAAAATTCCTATAATTTTTAAAACCAAATCTAAACATTTTTACTTAAAATTAAATATTATAAAAATGGGACCAACAATGGTAATTGACTCTTAATAATACCTCCTGAAAATAGACAAGTCTACCCACTGGTTAGAGATTAAAACACTTGTAATGTTGCTATAAGACATGTACTTTGAATAGCACCATTTTTGAATGCCTTAATTTCCACATTTGATCTATAATCTTGATACTACAGTGTAGTGCTATATCTCACACTGCTGTTCAAATGGAAAATTTCCCTCTGGTGAGAAAGAAGTGTACAAACTAAAGTGTCTATAGTTTTAGGTCTTCATTCATCTAGATATTTTGCACTACTGAAATGAAATATCACTAGTTAAGGGCCAAGAAAACCCTCAGGTATGAGAAATAGGAAGAGGTATGGTTGAACATAGATTATCCTTAATTAAACCAGTTATCCTCGCCTAAATGTGAGCATATGTGGATACTGAGAATATACACTTACAGAAATTCAAATTTGAAAGAAAACTGGGTTACTTAAAATAATTATACAAAATCACTTATTAAACATGAGTGGTTATTATTGAAATATAGAAATTCCTTCTTCTTTTGCTGAACACAAAGGACACTCCAGATGACTGCCTGTGGCCATGTCTCTTTAGAGCAGAGGCAAGGTAGAGCAGTGAAGTGATTATTTTAGGCACTCTCAACCTGTAAGTAATTGACAGAAGTACCCGGAGGGCTCAGGCCCGCATTTTAAAGCATTTCAACACATTTTATGGGGGAAGGGGGAGCTGAGGGCTGGTTGTACTTAAATCTTAAATGGAAGAGCTACAGAGAGAGGGGAGAGGGGATACATCCCCAACACACACACCCCCGGTGACACAAATGAACTGACTGTGGCTCCATACAGAAATGCTAAACTCACACTTGACCTTTAGATTTTACACTAGACTTGATCCTATTACTCAGTGAGGGAGAACCAAATCCATTACCAACACAGGATGTCCCTGACATCTGACAATTTCAAACCATCCCAGCTTGCCCTTGATGTGCCCTAACATTTCCCCACCGTGGACAGCTTGGAGAGACATAGAACTCTGTCAGGTTTGCCTCATGCCTGACCACCTCCATTGCACTGAAACAAGAAAGAACCTGCAATAAACTGGGTTTTCTAACCTTTTTCTTACCATAGCCTACATAAAATGTAGCATTTGCAAGGAAACAGGCACAATTGAAAAGCCACACATAAGTCCTCAAAAGAGAGAATATGAAGAATTTTCCACAGACTTACGTAAGCCAGGGAGGAGGAGTGCCAAAGAAGAATTCAAGTTGAAGCATCACATCAACTCTGGTTAGGTTAATGCTTACAAAGGGCTGCTATTCACCTAGGTGCTGAGTCATTTCTCTGGGGTCTTTGAGCCCTTATTAGGAGCTAGGGAAATAGCTTACACCCAGATAAATCAGTTCTGGACGAAAGAATACCCCAAGGTGATTGTTAGCTACTCGGGCAAAGTGAAAAGCAAAATGAAGTCTTTCCCCGTGGGAAGTGAAGAAGCTCTGGAGCACCATGGCTCCTGGCGCCAGCATCCAGACAGTTCACCTGCTGGGAAGAGGACGGCGGGGTCTGTCCTTGTGGGCAGAGCAGTGAGTACAAATGCCCCCAAAGAGGAAATGGCAGTTTAATGGTTGGGCCACGACACCTAGGGCTCCCTCTTCTCGTTTCACTCTTTGGAAATAAGATGGAGGCACACGTTAACATGTTTTTGTCTTACAATTTGCTTCACCCAGCCCTTGGTTGAGGCAGACCTATTAGGTACCAGACAGTGAAATAAACACCACAGGCACAAAGAGGAAGGAGATGTTATCCTGGCCCTAGAGAAGCAGCACATCATCTTTAGGTTAAACCTGAGAAATAGTTTTTTTAAAAAATTTAATTAGCGTACGGGCGCGGTGGCTCACGCCTGTAATCCCAGCACTTTGGGAGGCCGAGGCGGGCGGATCACGAAGTCAGGAGATCGAGACCATCCTGGCTAACGCTGTGAAACCCCGTCTCCACTAAAAAAAAATACAAAAAATTAGCCGGGCGTGATGGCGGGCGCCTGCAGTCCCAGCTACCGGGAGGCTGAGGCAGGAGAATGGCGTGAACCCGGGAGGCGGAGCTTGCGGTGAACCGAGATCGCGCCACTGAACTCCAGCCTGGGTAACAGAGCGAGACTCCAGCTCAAAAAAAAAAAAAAAAAAAAAAGTAATTTGTTTTTTATTTTTTTCCCTTCATCCTAACATCCCTGAAGAAATAGTTTTAATCAGACCCGCCCATTAGTCTAAGTGTTGGTTTTTGGCATGCAAATGAGTTCTGCATACTTTTCACGAGGCCGGAATATACTAGGAGCCGGATTTCAATAGGAAGAGGCTAAGGGGGGCCGGGCGCAGTGGCTCACGCCTGTAATCCCAGCAGTTTGGGAGGCCGAGGTGGGTGGATCACCTGAGGTCGGGAGTTCAAGACCAGCCTGACCAACATGGAGAAACCCCATCTCTACTAAAAATACAAAATTAGCCAGGCGTGGTGGCTCATGCCTGTAATCTCAGCTACTCAGGAGGCTGAGGCAGGAGAATTGCTTGAACCTGGGAGCGGAGGTTGTAGTGAGCTGGGATCGCTCCATTGCACTCCAGCCTGGGCAACAAGAGCGAAACTCCGTCTCAAAAAAAAAAAAAAGGAGGCTAAGGCAGGGGAGGGAAGGGATTTTTCACAGGAGCCTCAGAAAGTTGGTAATTGGGTTCTCAACATAGCAAGCTTCTAGTCCTGGGTTCAGATTATGAAGCCAGTTTCTGTTCATTATTTTTGAACATTTATGTTAAAATAAATTTCAATGATTCAATTATGTATATGAAAAGCTCTCAAAATCCACACTTCATACCTGAAATTCTGCTATGCATCAAGGGAGGGACGGGTCAAAAATTGCTCAAGAAGTGTCAAACGATGGTTGTGAAATGTAATAAAGTGTACCAAGTACTTCAATTGGGCTTTTTTTCGAGACTGGTCTGATGAAATAATTATCTTGATGAAAGCAATCAAGTTTTTACCAATTACCTCTGCTCTAAATTGACTTGTTTATGGGAATATGAAATTTGGAGCCAAGAATTTAGAGAGAGGCTAGGAAACCCTCCTGAATAGTTACCATGTTTCAATCCTTTCTATGTCCCAGGCACTGGGCTTAGAACTTTATATGCATTATCTCATTTAAACTCCAAGACAACTCTGAATTATTATCCTCATTTTTTTTTCCTGCCAGACCACTTATCGTTTTATATTATCCTCATTCTATTAAGGAGGAAAACTGAATCAGAGAGTTTAAAGTCCAAGGTCACACAGCTGGTGATGGAGCTGAAATTAGAATTAGGTCTGTTTGATTTAATGCCTGTGCTTTTAAATATTATTATTATTATTATTATTTTTGAAGTGGAGTCTCGCTCTGTCGCCCAGGCTGGAGTGCAGTGGCAAGATCTCGGCTCACTGCAACCTCTGCCTCCCAGGTTCAAGTGATTCTCCTGCCTCAGTCTCCCAAGTAGCTGGGATTATAAGTGCCCACCACCATGCCCAGGTAATTTTTGTATTTTTAGTAGAGACAGGGTTTCACCATGTTGGCCAGGCTGGCCTCGAACTCCTGACCTCAAGTGATCCTCCTGCCTCAGATTCCCAAAGTGCTGGGATTACAGGTGTGAGCCACTGCACCTGGCCTCTTAAATATTATACAGGTTGTCTTCCCAGCATACTTGGTGTGGTGAGAGCATTTAAAATATTGAGGAGGATGGCTGATGATAGGCACACACCACACCCAAATGTCAAATGACAGAAGGTATCTGAGATTTATTTAAAGGCTGAGAAAGTCTAAGGCTTTATTCTGAGGAGTCGACAACTTTTTCAGGTTTCCTGCTTGCAGTAGGTAAGGGGAAACTGAAGCTTTTGCATGATGAGGCCACACTGCATGCATGATGTCATGCCTTCTGCCCACAGTCCTGGCAGCCATGCAGTTACATGCTTCAATTTTTCTCGGTTGCTCTGTGAGCTTAGGAGAATGGCTCAGGGAGGGTCACTCATGTTGAAGCACAATTCTTTGGTTACATGACAAAACAAAGTTGTTTTAAGGACTACCAAATAGGATGACATACCCCAAAGTATGGCTATTGCCCCAGCTGTCCCAGCAAAGCTTGGAACTGAGAAAAGGAGACATATCCCTCAAGTACAGTGTGGCTTTTTGGTCAGAGTTTGCTTAGTTTTCATCTTAACATGCTGTATTTCTTCCTCTTAAGTAAAAGATTCAAATGTATAACCAATATCTCAGCTAAAGACAAACTCATGCCTATTTTCTTACTTTGACTTTGAAATGTTTCAAGCGGTCCCATTTTAAGCCCTGCTGATAAAGGCCTGAGTGAACCTGTGGATGCACACTGAACACATGCAGCCCGGAGATAGCATACCTCGTTTTCTGTCCACCTCTGTCCATTCATCTACATGAAGCATACAAAAAGAAAACACCAGTTCATGAAGCAAGAACATTATTTTCAAGGAGGCTTTAAACATACCAATTCCAATGATCTTATCTATGAAACTTTACTTTTCACGTTGGCATTTAATGTCTAATGTGAGCACACTGCCTTCTATTTGAAACCTTTAAAAGGATGATGGATAAACAACATATTTCAAAAAAGCTCAAGAAAGGCTATGTCTTACAGAGACTGGCCTAAGAAGAGAGTAAACTGAGGAGGATTAGCTATCCTGTGGTTCATCTTGAAAGGCCCAAGAAGCCCCGCTCTCTAATGCTACAAGAATACATATCATTCAGTAGTAGGCTTTTAAAGACGCTAGCCTCCATGAGGAAGAATAATTCCAAGAACAGGCAGAGAAAAGAGTTTCTTTGTATACAATCTGAGTTTTCTTTTCTTTTCTTTTTTTTTTATTAATGTAAGATTTCCCTTTCTAGAGGACAGATGGAACTGCTCAAATTAGAAAACTTGAAATGTGAATTAAAAGGAAAATGTCAGCATTTGTTTCTGTTTTACTTTTTATATATATAGATGCATGATTTCCATGTAAAAAGAAGCGAATAATGATGGGACCACTATGAAGAAAGCTTCTGAGGACAAAGGCAGCTGGGGAGATCCCAAGAGGAGACCAAATAAGGAAAAATGCAGTTGGCTAGAGAAATCGGTGAGAATCAAGACTCTATGGGTTGAAACCTGGCTCTACTTACTGGCTATATAAACTTCAAGCAACTTGTTTAACCTCAGTTTCCTTCGTAAAATAGGGATCATAATAGCACCTATCTTACAGGCCTATTGTGGGGATAAAGCATAACACACATCAAATACTTAGCTGGCTTCCCTTTGAGTTCTGTTTCCTCTACTGAGGGACATTAGACACCACCCATAAAGGATGGAAGATGACTTTTTTCCTTTCCTTAATTTTTGATGGAGATTTCAATCTAGAAGAACCACCCCTAGATAAAAAAGTTCTATACACATCTGTATTTCAAAAACATTTTGGCGAGGCACAGTGGCTCATGCCTGTAATCCCAGAACTTTGGGAGGCCAAGATGGGCGGATCACCTGAGGTCAGGAGTTCGAGACCAGCCTGGCCAACATGGTGAAACCTCATCTCTACAAAAAATACAAAAATTAGCTGGGTGTGGTGGTGCACACCTATAGTCTCAGCTACTTGGGAGGCTGAAGCAGGAGGATTGCTTGAACCCAGGAGGTGAAGGTTGCAGTGAGTGGAGACTACGCCACTGGGCGACAGAGCAACACTCCATCTCAAAAAACAAAAACAAACAAACAAAAACCCCAAAACCATTTTGTAATTAATAGTTTCTTTTGGAAACATTTGCCACTAGATTGTGGTATTAGGGGTGATTTCTGAAGTTATAATCAAAGTATACACATGGCTTCAATACATAATACCAAAAGCTCCCAAGAGAGCAGTCTGAAAGCATGGCCAGTGCCATGTCCTAACCGGCTGCAAAGGGTTTCCATTGCAAGATCACACTCCTCTGGGAAAATTCACCATCTTCCCCCATCAAGAGTCATGGGCTTTTGAAAAGAAAATATTGGGAAAGCAGCACCAAAAGTTTGGCAGATACTGTTTTCTTTGGCACAATGTCCACATCTATCTTTCTGTGGCATTTATTTATTTATTTATTTATTTATTTTTGAGACAGGGTCTTACTGTGTTGCCCAGGCTGGAGTGCAATGGTGCGATCTCGGCTCACTGCAACCTCCACTTCCCAGGTTCAAGCGATTCTCCCGCCTCAGCCTCCCGAGTAGCTGGGATTACAGGCACCTGCCATCATGCCGGCTAATTTTTTATTTTTAGTAGAGACGGGGTTTCTCCATGTTGGCCAGGCTGGTCTTGAACTCCTGACCTCAGGTGATCTGCCCACCTTGGCCTCCCAAAGTGCTGGGATTACAGGTGTGAGCCATCACACCCGGCCTGGCATTTATTTTTTATTTGTTTATTCTGAGAGGGAGACTTGCTTTGTCGCCCAGGCTAGAGTGCAGTGGCGTGATCTCAGCTCACTGCAACCTCTGCCTCCCGGGTTCAAGCGATTCTCCTGCCTCAGCCTCCTGAGTCGCTGGGATTACAGGCGCCTGCCACCACAACAGGGTAATTTTTGTATTTTTTGTAGAGATGGGTTTTCACCATGTTGGCCAGGCTGGTCTCGAACTCCTGACCTCAGGTGATCCACCCACCTCGGCGTCCCAAAATGCTGGGAATATAGGCGTGAGCCACTGCGCCCGGCCCCTGCAGCATTTATTTAACTGGTGGTATAGTGTGATAGACTTGTGGGAATTCAAGGAGGTGGAGTTTTAATCCCCTTGCAGGTGTGTTTGGGGAATAGTGGTGCTGCAAGGGGGTCATCTCTGAAGGACAGTGACTCTCGCTGATAAAATGGAACTGGCAGATGCTCCCGAAGGCAGGCAGGCTGAACGCCAGCAGGGGTCTCTGTAGTGCTGTGTGCTCCCCTACTCCTTTCCTCCTGAGAATACAGGGAAGAGAAACACCCTCTTTTTCTATTATTTCTCCAGATGACTTATTTGTGACAACTCCACTTTAGTTCTGTTTTGAGTGGGGGCAGGCCCAAGGCTATTCAGAGCTAGTCGTTAAACTGGAACTAGAAAAATAAAACCAGAGTCTCACTGCCCTTTGGTTGCTTGTGCTACACTGTGATTGGCATGTCTTGGAAAAATCACTTTGTGGCCACATGCCTCAGTTTCCTCTCCTGTAAAATGAGGAATGTAAGCAAAAGATAATAAGGTCTTATTTATAAATATTTTTAAGAGGCAAAGGTAGCTTTTATTATTCTCGCCATTGCTTTAAACAGGAGACAACATTCAATATGCAACACTCGATAGTTGCCTCATAGAGAGAGCACTTCCTTTCTGTTGAATGCTAAACTAGAGGCTGCGTTGTGGGGGAAGCTGCAACATCTGCCTTGGCCTTGTGGGAACAGGGATGGCCTCCAGGAGACCAATTAGTCGTATAAGATAATGAAAACATCTAGAAGAAATATGATTTCCACTCAAAGCTTCGAAGAGGACTAGTTTACCAAGTCTAGTGTTTTATAGGCTCCTGTGTACAGGGATCTGTTACAGGGGCTCTCGCTCCTGTGGCCACAACAACTTTAAATGGTGGAATAGGTGGAAGACATGAGTATTTCTCAGCCCGTTGAATCCTATGCTCTCTACCCTGTTTTCTCACTCTATCTTCTACAGATCTCCAACAGCCAACTATTTTGTCATTTATTTGATAAAATCAGTGGGTATATTGGATATATATTTTTCAGACTCCTCCCTCTCCTCCTGACCTACCAACCCCCACTAAGATTCTGATATAGTCCCCAAGGTATGGCAGCAGAGTATAGTGGTTATAGTAAGGGGACTAAGTGGTTATAGTAAGGGGACATTGGCTGAGTATGAGGACATTGGTTATATGAGGGGACATTGGTTATAGTAAGGGGACATTGGCTGAGTATGAACTTTGGAGCCTGATGCCTTGGGCTCAAATCCTTTACTTTTCCTCCTACCAGCCATGTAACTCTGGGCAAATTAGTCTTAGTTTCTCCATCTGTAAAATGGGGATAGTAATATTACCTATGTGTTACAATAGTTGGGAGGATTAAGGTGTTTAAGAGGAGCCCTTGGTACAAAGTAAGTGCTTGATTTTTCATTGTTTTATTGTTGATTGCTGTCACTAGAATCAGTTACTGGAGTGGACTGATCAATAGCCCTACCTCCAGTGAATGTCCAGAAGGGCTGCATCAGGCTCCATATAGTATCTCACATAGTGTTTGACACTCAGTCAAAATCTGTGGAATGAATGAGTGTGCGAATGTAAATTACTAAAGATGGCCGAAACTCCCAAAACCATATTTAGCAAAAGCAGAAAAAAGGCTATAACTCCTAAAGGTAAAGCTGTCCTCTAGTATTCCAAGGGCCTTGTCCAGACCTCCTCTTGAAAGATACCTATTACTCATTGTGTTAAACATATTAAATACATTATTTCATTCAATCCTTACAACTTTGCTTTAACATATATGTATTATTACCATTTTATGGAGAAACAGGTTTATAGAGGTTACACCCAAAGGGCATGCAATTAGTTAAATGGTAAAGCTGGAATTGGGATCCAGGTCTGTAAGACTCTAGAGAGTATGTTCTTAATTGCTAATTTACACTATCTTCCAAGATGCAGACTACCTACCAGTCTGAGGACTCCAGCATGTCACCTCATTGGTGCCACTAGCCTGAATGAAATCAGATCACACAGGCACCAAGGAAAACAGAACCCTCTCAAAGGAAAAATGACAATGCTATATAAAACTGCCAATTTAGATAATCAGTTCAAAAAACATTTTGTGATCACTAATTTATTCTGGTCTAGGAATTATGGTAGGTGCTGGAGTACAAAGATGAATAAGACAATCAAGCGGGAGATAGACATATACACAGATCATTTCAGTATAGCATGGCCAGTGGTAAGGTACTGAGGAGCAGGCATGGGGTGCTATGGGAGCACAGGCTGCTATGAGAGCATGCACAGGCCCTTTCTGCATATGGGGAGGATTCCTGAAGGAGATGATTCTTAAGCCGAATAATGCAGGATTGAAGGGGAAGAATGTAGGGATGGGAATTACTAGCACAGAAATACGAACAAACATGGTTTAAGCGGAGATCTATGAGCAGTTTGGTATTATTGGGAAACAGGAGGCAGGCAGTGGTGGAAGAAGGGACTGCAGAGGAAGACAGAGATCAGATAAGGAAGGGCCCTGAAATGGCCTGTGCAAGGACTTGGTCTTAACCCAGATGGCAGTGGAAAGCTGACAAAGGGTTTTAGGCAGGGGCAAGTTTGGACAGATACACATTTTAGAAAGCTCATTGGCGGCAATGTGCAGAATGAATGGAGGGGGTATGTTATAGGGAGTTATTTTTAGCTCTTTATGCATGGACTTGCACTCAGTCACACACACACAATAGTTAATATCTGAATATGTATGCTTAGCATCTGAATATGTATGTTGAACATCAATTGAGCATACAAAGATTAATGGAGAGAATGTTTTAATTGGCGGCCATGTCAATTGCCTTTTCAACTTTTCCTCCTCCACTTTGAAATATAATATTTCCTTCATACTTAATCCTAGGAAATTTGGTATAAGCAAGTTGTTTGCCGAGAAGGGAGGAAAAGAGGAAAAGGAACAGAGTGGCAGAGTGTTCTGAGTCGTCATTTTTCTGGGGATTAGTGTGGTGTCCATGGGAGGCAGATTTTGCATTTTCGAAGCTCTCATATAATTATTTTCACAATTGTATTCCCCTCCAACACTTGTGAGGAGATTTATAACTTTCTTATTTTTTTCATATTTATCTATATTATTTTAGAACACCAAATTTCTAGAAATACTTCTGAGATGAGTAAGACCAATCTCCAGCTTATGTGGGAAGATACTACCATAAAGAAATTAAGAATCTGAACCTGGGCTGGACGCGGTGGCTCACGCCTATAATCCCAGCACTTTGGGAGGCCGAGGGGGGCAGATCGTTTGAGTCCAGGAATTGAAGACCAGCCTGGGAAACATGGTGAAACCCCATCTCTACTAAAAATACAAAAATTAGCTGGGTGTGGTGGTGCATGCCTGTAATCCCAGCTACTTGGGAGGCTGAGGCACGAGAATCGCTGGAACCCAGGAGGCAGAGGTTGCAGTGAGCCGAGATCGTGCCACACACTCCAGCCTGGGCGACAGAGCGAGACCCTGTCTCAAAAAAAAAAAAAAAAAAAAAAAAAAAAAAAAATCAGAACCTGTTCCTTGGGGGTAAAGAGGATGCTTGGACTAGCAAGGGGTATGATACTAGATGGTGGGCAGCTGGGACTCCTACATTTGGAAGGCACTGATTGACAAGAGAGACTGGGAAATCACCTCTCCCATTTGAAGAGATGGGGAAATTAGGGAGGTCAGGCACCCTAGTGTCCACTGGGAGTATTAAGTTCCTCTGCTGTGAAAAAAGCTTTTGGGGGGATTTGACTCCCGAGGGGCTCCAAATGGATGTGGCTTGTAAGAAAGGTCCCTGGTTATAAGAGTGAAGTGTGTAGGGGTGCGGGTCTGGCTGTGGGTGTTAGGGCGATGATGAGAGGGCCGGGCTGCTGGCTGCGGGTCTGGCTGAGCGGGCCGGGGGCCTCTCACCTTTGCGGGCCTTGTCTCCC
Organism: Homo sapiens; assembly: GCF_000001405.40. Lineage (NCBI taxonomy): Eukaryota > Metazoa > Chordata > Mammalia > Primates > Hominidae > Homo > Homo sapiens. The sequence continues at coordinate 36,450,278 of NC_000001.11, forward strand.
GGGATGTTCTGGGCCCGCAGCCGTTGGTCGAGGATGTAAAGCATCTCCCCGCCCAAGTTCAAGAAGAGCAGCGGTAGCGTCCGCACCGACATGGTGCTGGAAACGAGCTGGACTGGTGAAGAGCCCCGGGGTTCGGTAGCCAGTGGCCTGAAGGCCAGGCCGCAGCGTCCCAATAGTCCGGTTGCTGGGGCAACGCCGTGACGGGAAGAGCGAGCCAATCAGAAGGCGGTTTGGTGGGAGGTGCCCTGAAGACGGGAGCTAATTGGTCTGGGTGGTGGACCGTCCCGGGGGGATTGGTCCGAGCCAGAGGCCGGCGCGGCGTTGGGCGCGGCTGGGGAGCTGTGCTTCTGAGAGTAGGTTTCCCTCGAAAGGGCGAGGGCCGGGCCAGGGCTGGGGGTGGTCTCGACACAGCCAGCCCGGCGCTTGGGACCCCGGCCGCTGGCGCGGGGCCTCAGGTTCCTATAACAGAGGAAAGCCCAGGCAGAACGGCATTAGAGCAGGCTCGGGTCAGACGGACCTGGGTTGGAATCACGGCTCGTGATTTCTTGCTGTGTGACTTCGGGCAGGGTTTGAGCCTTGGCTTCCTCTTACGTAACATGGAGCTGGCACTCACATCACAGGGCGGCTGAGAGGAATCAGTCAGATCATGGAAAGGCCCCGAAAGCACTCAATAAAAATGGTAACTGACTTTTCTTTTAGACGAGGGAAGGATCAGAAGTCCTGAGTCGTTTGCATCGCCTCCCAAAAGTTTACTTGAAGTGAAGCCCCTCCTGGTTTCATACTCCATGAAGCAAACCAGTCCCGTCCGTCCCCGTGTGTCCAGTTCCCAGAGGATGCGCCTGGGGGCTCTGGGAAGTTCCCTCCTCGACGCTGTTCCGAAGGCCTCCCAACCATTTCTTTTTTCTTTTTTTTTTTTTTTTGAGACGGATTTTGCCCTTGTCGCTCAGGCTGGAGTGCAGTGGCGCCATCTCGGCTCATTGCAACTTCCGCCTTCAGGGTTCAAGCGATTCTCCTGCCTCAGCCTCCCGAGTAGCTGGGATTACAGGCGCCCGCCACCATGCCCGGCTAATTTTTGTATTTTTAGTAGAGACGGGGTTTCACCATGTTGGCCAGGCTGGTCTGGAACTCCTGACCTCAGGTGATCTGCCCGCCTGGGCCTCCCAAAGTGCTGAGATTACAGGCGTGAGCTATCACGCCCGGCCCCAACCATTTCTCTTTGAGGGCAGCGACTCCCTTCCTTACCTCCATCTTAAGCTCCAGGATTACTTTTTGCCATCTGCTGTATATTTTTACTCTGATGAACAACCATTTCTGTAAATTTCAGTACTTCCAAAACCTACTAATTATCTTTCCCTCCAGCTACTCAAACTTGAAACTTGGGCCTTGGCTTCCAAATCTGTTTCCCAGGGTCTTTTATCAGTCATCATATTATGCTTTTTCCTCCAACACCTTTCTTACATTCATCCCTTCATTTGTTTTTCTGTCTGCATTGCTATGTTCCTCTGTATCACTGTTCTTTTCTCTCTTCTACCTTGCACTGGCTGCTAAGCTAAATGTCAGAAGACATCACTTTTTTTTTTTTGAGATGGAGTTTCACTCTTGTCGCGCAGGCTGGTGTGCAATGGCACGATCTCGGCTTACTGCAACCTCCGCCTCCTGGTTTCAAGCGATTCTTCTGCCTCAGCCTCCTGAGTAAGCTGGGATTACAGGCATGGACCAGGGCACCATGCCCGGCTAATTTTGTATTTTTAGTAGAGATGGGGTTTCACCATGTTGGCCAGGCTGGTCTCGAACTCCTGACCTCAGGTGATCTGCCCGCCTCGGCCTCCCAAAGTGTTGGGATTACAGGCATGAGCCACTGCGCCCGGCCAGCATCACTGTCAACATGACACATCCCTTCAGTGGTTTCCTACTCTTTGCCAGATCACAGTCTAGATGCCTTGGCATGGCATTCCAGGCTCTCCACAGGCTCCAGCTACCTTTTTTTTTTTTTTTTTTTTAAAGAGATAGGGGTCTTACTTTGTTGCCCAAGGTTGGAATGCAGTGGCACCCTGGTGGCTCACTGCAGCCTAGAACTCCTAGCCTCAAGTGATTCTTCCACCTCAGACTCCTTAGTTGTTGGGATTTCAGGTGAGAGCCACCATACCCGGCCAACTACCTTTTTAAAGCCATCTCCTGCACCTGGCCACCTCCTCTCCCCCAGTCCAGTTGAACTTGTCAGCAGGCTGCCTCTTCCTCATTACCACACCACTGAAAAGTCTTGTCCTGCCATAACTGAGCCCAAGTCCTTCCCATATTAACATTCTCCTTCCATCCCTGCTAGTCTGTTTTCCTTCCTTTCCTTCCCAGTGAAGTGTTTTGAACGAGTTGACAACACTCACAACTGGAACCTCCTTAACATCCTCACTCCCCACCTCATTGCAACTGGTATTATGCTCCCTGAACCCCACTGAAACTGCTTCACCATGAATACTTTTTGGTCCTTCCCTTAACTGATATCTCAGCATCAGGACTATACAGTATCCCATGGCTGGCAGCCCAAGGCTTTGTTTAATTTGGTTATTTTGCCTGCTCTGTGCTCTGTTTTAAAAGGGAATACAGGCCAGGCGCAGTGGCTCACACCTGTAATCCCTGCACTTTGGGAGGCCAAGGCCAGCAGATCACTTGAGGTCAGGAGTTCAAGACAGGAGTTCAACACCAGCCTGGCCAACATGGTGAAACCCCATCTCTACTTCGCTGGGTGTGGTGGCACACACCTGTAATCCCAGCTACTGTGGACGCTGAGGCAGGAGAATCGCTTGAACCTGGGACGGGGAGGTTGCAGTGAGCCAAGATCACACCACTGCACTCTAGCCTGGGGGACAGAGCAAAAACTCTGTCTCAAAAAAATTAAAATAAATAAATAAGAGGGAATACAACTAGGATAGGAATGTAATAAACACCTTAGCATCATTACTTCATGTTAGGCCTTCATGCATTTTTGTTACCTGCCTTGCTCCCAAAAGCATTTGAGTTTGCTGTAGTGTACTCTTCCCTTAGCTTCTCAGACCTTTTTCTTGGTCCCTAAGCAGTGTGGTATAGTGAACAGGACATAGGCTCTGGAGTCAAGACAGAGCCAGCTTTGAATCCTAGACCTTTCTCTTCCCAGCTATATGAATTTGGACAAGTTACCTAACCTCTCTGAGTCTCAGTTCTCTCATGACTCTCTCATCTCTCATGGCTAAAATGAGGATAATTAGCCAATGTGCAGAGTAAAGGTGGCTGTGAATATTAGATAATGTGCCTAAGGAAGCAGTTAAAACAATGCCTTTTGACCGGATGCAGTTGCTCGCGCCTGTAATCCCAGCACTCTGGGAAACCAAGGCATTTGGGAGGGCAAGGATTGCTTGAGGCCAAGAGTTTGAGTAACCTGGGCAACATAGTGAGACCCTCTCTACAAAAAATAAAAAAATTAGCTAAGCGCAGTGGCTTACACTTATAGTCCTAGCTACTTAGGAGGCAGAGGCAAGAGGATTGCTTGAGCCCAAGAATTTGAAGTTAGTGAATTATGATCAGGCTACTGCACTCCAGTTGGGGCAACAGAGCAAGATCCTGTCTCTAAAAAAACAACCAGCCAAACCAACCAACCAACCAACGAAAAACACACAAATGCCTTTGCAGTAGGGCCTGATCCATTAAAATGTGTTCCTTTTTCTTTCCTTCCCCTTGGCTAGCCCCCTTAACTGTTAGTACCTGGCCCTCTGACACACTACCTCTAAGTAGCCGTGGCCACTTGGAAGTCCTGGCCCATTAAAGGCCTTCCCTACAATTCCTGGAAGTGATATCTGAATAGTGGATCTTCAGTTCTGAGCCTCTCATTTCTGCTTCTGCAGACACCCAGGCTCTGTTCTACCCCTACTTCACCTTCTCCTCCAGCTCAGCTGCTCCTTCTGACTTAGGCTAAGCTCTCAGGGATCATCCTTCCCATCCAGACATGGTCCTTTTTTCTTATACACTCCATCCCTGGGCAGTTTCACTTATGCCCATGGGCTCAATCACCCAACAACTCGCAAACCTCTCTAGTCCAGACCTCTCTACTGAGTCCTAGATCTAAACTTCCAACTGCTCTTTGGATAGCACTTTAGCACACCTTTCTCCCTTTTTGGCTTTCCTCAGTGGCTTCCCTTCCCAGAGTGAAGTCCAGTGTATTTCTCCAGTGTTATGGGCCGAATGTGTCCCCGACCAAATTCATATGTCGAAGCCCTAACTCCAATGTTACAGTATTTAGAGATGGGGCTTCTCAGAGTTAACTAGGGTTACATAAGGTCGTGAGTACGGCCCTCATGATGGGATTAGTGGCCTTGTAAGAGTGAGCTCTCCCCACTGCATGGACCAAGGGAAAGGCCATGTGATGACATTGAGAAGGTGGCTTTTCCAAGCTAGGAAGAGTCCTCACCTGAAACTGAATTGGCTGGTACTCTGATCTTGGAATCCCCAGCCTCCAGAACTGTGAAAAAACGAACTCAAAATAAAAATCCTGTGAAGTCACCTAATCTATGGTATTTTGTTATGGCAGGCTGAGACACCCAGAAAGCTCTACATCACCTGGTATTTGCCTACCCCTCTGACCTTGTCTTCTTACTATTCTCTTTGTTCTGTTTTAGACACATTGTCTTCCTTGGGTTCTTCAAACATACCAAGCATGCTCAGGCTTCAAGGTGTTGGCACTTAACTTGGTGTAAATGGATGGGCTTTATGGGGAACGGGGATCCATAACTCCCTAGAATTTATAAGCAATGCTTTTGCATATGCTTCCTGGGGATAGGACTTGTAGTTTTGATCAGATTCTCTACGTGAACACTGATATCCTCCAGCCCCAGTACACTGCTCTGATCTCTCCTCCTCCCATCTACCATCCACACAGCTGTTGCTTAACTATCTAAAACACAGACCTGTTAATTGCCATCACTCCTTCAGTTTTAAAACTTGAACTGTCTCCCCACTCCCTAGTGGACAGTGTACAATCTTCTCAGCCTAGCATATAAAGCTTCTCACACTTCAGCTTCAGCTTACCTTTCAAGCTTTATTTCTCATTCTCCCCGTTCTCTGAATACAGCATGCCTCTCTAGACTTCCTTGCCTTTGTACTTGCAATCCCTTCTGCCCAGGAGGCCTTCCCTTCCTGTCTCTATATAGTGAATTCCTACTCATCCTTTAGGACCCAGTCCAGAAGGCAGCTCCTACAGCAGTTCTTCCTACCCAGCCGGCCACACTTCCACTGTGCTGTCACATGCTCTGTCTTGCCTCCACTGACACACATCACCTGGATGACAGGTACTTGTTTGTATGAGTGTGTGGGAGGCATGTCATAAGTGTGTATCCTCTGGTGGGTGAGGCAGGGACTCTGCCTCAGAAAACTCTGGGATCTCAGAGCTGAATGAAAGAATAAATTCCTTCTCCTCTTCAGGCCAAAAAGAGCCCCATCATCTCTCCTATCATTCTTCAAGACAGAAAGAAATGATTGAACAGAATTTATTGGCTGTCTTTGAGTGTCTTTGGTATGGCTTTGGCAGGGCTGTCTGGGTTCCTCCGCTTTGCTTGTTTTTGGGCTGCTGCTGCAGCCTTTAAGGCTCTTCTTCGCTTCTTCAGCTTTTGAGTCTCCTGGAAAACCTGGGGATGAAAAGGGGCAGAAAAAGACCTTGTAATCCTGTGCAAAACCTCAGACTTGGAACAAGTGGGATGGGAACTATTTCCCCCAGATGGTAACCCCAGCCTTTCTCCATGGGGTTGGTGGCCTGTGACCTCCCTGGATCCATTCCAGGGCCTGGGGCCAGTTCCATGCCTCTAACAGAAACAGATGATCCCTCCCTTCTGCTTCCTCCATCCCAGTCCCTGAGTGGGGCCAAGCAAAGCCGCAATTCTGACTCGTACCCGAATGCACAGAGCCTTCTTGGTCACGAATCGGCGGTGGGCTCTTCGGTAATACAGAGGGGGGAAGGTGTACTCAATTCCCAGCCCCCAGCATATCTTCTCAAAGACATCATAGTTGGTGTTACGGAGGTTTTTGAGCATCTTTTTCCTCTGGTCAATGCTCATTAGCAGATAGCGTTTGTGGGCTTTGTCCTGCAAGAGATTCTCATTACTTTTAGTATTATATAAGTGTTACTGTTGTTCACAGTAACAAACAATGGTCATTTTATCATTTCACTGAAATTTCTCAGTAATCTTATGCAAATATTAATGCAATTCTGAAGGAGGTATTATCATTGTTATTCCCATTTTACAGATGAGAAAACAAAGGTTTAAAGATGTTATCTGATTCACAAAAGGTCTTTAGAACTGTGAGTGCTGAGATAGGGTCTTGAATCTCTATCTATTGGTCTGACTTCAAACCTCATGCTCTTTCTCCTACACTACCCACTCAGACTCTCCATAGCTTAGCAAACTGTCAGCTGGGGTAGAGAGGAAGGAAGGCCTTGTGCTCTTCCTGGAAATGCCTACCCACAGCTGGCTGCTGCCCTGTGAAGGACCTCTGCAGTAGGGCTGCTGTCCCACACCTCAAATAAGCAAAACTGTGATCTTTAAGAAGCAGGCTCCAGGGAACACTGAGGTGCCAGGCATGGTGCTGGACCAGTCTGTATTCACAATCATTTGTTTATTAAAAATAACAGCATTTGCCTAATTACAGCAGCTCTGTGCCAGACACTGTGCTGAGATATGGTATAATGGTTAAGAATATGGCTGGCCATGGTGGCTCACACCTGTAATCTCAGCACTTTAGGAGGCCGAGGTGGGGAGATCACGAGGTCAGGAGATTGGGATCATCCTGGCTAACACGGTGAAACCCTGTCTCTACTAAAAATACAAAAAATTAGCTGGGTGTGGTGGCATGCGCCTGTAGTCCCAGCTACTCAGGAGGCTGAGGCAGGAGAGTTGCTTGAACCTGGGAGGCGGAGCCTGCAGTGAGCCGAGATCGCACCTCTGCACTCCAGCCTGGGTGACAGAGCAAGGCTCCATCTCAAAAAAAAAAAAAAAATATATATATATATGGGTCTTGGAGCAAGACTGCCTTGTTTCAAGGTCTCAGTACATCACTTCCCAGTGCTATGCCTTAAGGAATAACTTAATCATTCCATGACTAGATTATTCCTCGTTAAGATGGGAAAAAAAAGTCATGAGAGTCAAATAAGAAGATGCATGTGAAGTACTTAGCACAGGGCCTAAAGACTTTATATGCATCACATTGGCTGTTATTATTATTTCACATAATCCTTGCAATCCTGTGAGCAAGTATTTGTATGATCTCCATCTTATTGAAAAGAAAACTGAGGCTGAGACCTGTACTTCCCTAATATCACACAGCTACTTAAGTGGAAGTGGCAGAGCTCGGATTTGAACCCAGGGCAATCTGACTCCATTCATGCATTCAACAAATATTTACTGAGCACTCAGCATGTGCCAGACACAGTGATCATGCTCTCAAGTTTGTGTTCTTAACCCCTGGTGACACTCAGCATGGCCTTGTAAGGCTCCAAGTCCTCTGGAGGCAGGAGGGAAGCATTTTCAGTGGCTTCTAAGCCTCCTTCTCTGGACCCAGAGCCCTTCCCCTCCGGACCCCTTTCCCCCAGGCTGCTGCTGTTTAACTGTGAATGACGTCCAGAGTTTACCTTTCGATGTTTCTCCAAGTGTTCTTCATAACTGCGGATCTTGACAGACAAGGCAATAACTGAAACCACAAACCACAGAGGATGAGAGTTGGGCACAGAGGAAGGAAGGGCCCAGGCCTGGTTTACGTTTTAAGAACTCAAGGAATAACAATCACCAATGCTCTGTACAGCTCTCTATAAATCCCAAATCACTCTGAATTTCAAGATTTCAAAGGCTTATCTTAGACATTACCTTCCCTTAAAAAGCAAAATCCAAGGAAGGGACATCCCTTAATATTATAAAGATATCATCCAAAAATCATAGCAAATAGCATTCTTTTTTTTGAGACGGAGTCTCGCTCTGTTGCCCAGGCTGGAGTGCAGTGGTGCGATCTCGGCTCACCGCAGCCTCTGCCTCCCAGGTTCAGGTGATTCTCTTGCCTCAGACTCCAGAGCAGCTGGGATTACAGGCGCCCGCCACCACACACGGCTAATTTTTCTATTTTTAGTAGAGACGGGGTTTCACCATGTTGGCCAGGCTGGTCTCAAACTCCTGACCTCAAGTGATCCACCTGCCTTGGCCTCCCAAAGTGGTGGGGTTACAGGTGTGAGCCACCGTGCCTGGCCGCAAATAGCATTCTTAATGGTAAGACTAGCCATTCAATTCAGGAATTAGACCAGGATACAGTGCTATCATGGTTAACAATTCAACATTGTATTAGAGGTCCAAGCCAATGCAGTAAAGTATTTTGGCACAAATAAGATTCTAAAACTGTCACGGGTCTACTCCTTGCCTCTCCCCTTCCTGCTGCCACCTTTATCTCCATGCTTTGACTAATGAATTTTCAGAATTATCAGCTCCCACTTGTCTCTCAAGAACCCAGGATATCGTTCATTCAGGCATCCTCTTGTTTAATTTACCCCCTGTACTGCAAAGATGGGGGCAAAAGCAGAAGCTGGCCCCAAAGAGAGGCTGTCACGACAGCAGGCCCTTCCCAGTACATACTGAGTTCTGGGAGCACTGCAGAAAGTGCAGTGGGAACCCTGACCCCGACCACATGGCTCCATCACAGCAACTTAGGTGTAGAGTGGAACAACACAGAAAGATAGGCCTTGGTTCCTGAGGGGTTCTCTAGAGCAGGCACTATGCTAGAAGCAACTGGCATTCAGAAAACTGAGTAATAATGGAAAGGCAGAAGTGACATCTGTGGGCTGGGCGTGGTGACTCATGCCTGTAATCCCAGCACTTTGGGAGGCTGAGGCAGGTGAATTACTTGAGCTCAGGAGTTCGAGATCAGCCTGGGCAATATGACAAAATCCTGTCTCTACCAAAAACACAAAAATTAGCTTGACATGGTTGTGCATGCCTTTGGTCCCAGCTACTTGGGAGCCTGAGGTAGGAGAATTGCTGGAGCCCCAGAAGTTGCGCTGTAGTGAGCCATGATCACACCTGCCACTGACTGCATTCCAGCCTGAGTGACAGAGTGAGATCCGGTCTCAAAAAAAAAAAAAAAAAAAAAGAATCAAAACTTGTGCTTAAAGACGACCCCAGTAACCACCTTGCCAGTCCAGGCCATTTGTTCCTGCCAACCTGGGGATTTCAGTAGTGATAATGCAGAAACAGGTGAGGAAAGATAAGCAGGCCTTTTGTGGCTGAGCTGGTCCCTAGCCCAGGGCTTTAGCAGGGCAAGGGAAGCTGAAACTCATCTTCTCAAAAGAGGCTATGGAGGACCCTTGAGTCCAGTTCTCAATGGGGTTTTAGTATCCAAGATGAACTCACCAGACTTTAATCCCTGGCAGAGGGAGAAGAAAAGAATGAAGGGAGAAGAATGAAGGCAGGAGGGTGGAAGAGGAGGAGGAGGCTATAATATAGGCCAATGGCAAAGGAGAGAAAGTGTGCAGATCCTCTGCAGGTCCACTAGTCTACCTCACTTGCTCTCAGTGGGCAATGAAGAGAAACTGCACCCAGAGAGAGGGGGAAATGGTGGTGCTTTTCACTCACATCTAATGAGGACTACTGCCAGTTCTAGCCTGAACCAAAGTAGCAACATTATTCCCTTGGGAATGCACCATGGTGTCTGTCTGGCACAAGAGGGTTCAAAATGTTGGTCTTATTTTTTTATTTTCGAGACGGAGTCTCGCTCTGTTGCCCAGGCGAGAGTGCAGTGGCGCGATCTCGGCTCACTGCAAGCTCCGCCTCCCAGGTTCACGCCATTCTCCTGCCTCAGCCCCAGTAGCTAGGACTACAGGCGCCCGCCACCATGCCCGGCTAATTTTTTGTATTTTTAGTAGAGACGGGGTTTCACCGTGTTAGCCAGGATGGTCTTGATCTCCTGACCTTGTGATCCACCTGCTTGGCCTCCCAAAGTGCTGGGATTACAGGCGTGAGCCACCGCGCCTGGCCTAGTCTTACTATTATTATCACACATCGTGAGCTTTAGTTTCCAAGGTGTGTTTACATCCCCTAGCTGCCTCTCACAATGCTGCCATGAGGTGGGTAACATTACCTCTGCTCTGCTCTCCCTTATTCCCCCATTTCCAGATGAGGAAGCAGGGGCTCCAAGAGAGGGTTGGTGACTTACCCAAGCTCACACAGTGGTACAAGGTCCAACTGGGTGTTGACTCCAGCATCAGAGCTTGGGATACAGGGTCCAATTTTCATTGCCCTAGGTCCTTCATGTCTCTCCCTTTCCCCAGCCCATGTGCATGTGCTTGTAGACAAGAGCCCTAGATCAGGTCCCAGCTAGCAGGCTTCCCTACACCCCCACTCCCCAAGGGTCCCCGACCAACTTCGAGCCTCCAGGGATCTGGTGTCCTCTGGGTTTGCAACAATCTTCTTCATAAACTGTTCTTGCTTGATTTTTAGCATCTCCTTCTGTTGAAGACAGAGACAGAGAAAATCTGTGGAGTCTGCCACCCTCTAAGAACTAGCCCTCCTCCCCCCAAGGGCCCTGGCTACAGTTATAGCAACTAGGGCCATAAGGCTCAGGGCCTGACTTCACTCTGCTCACTGTGGCCTTGACCAACCACATGGCTATCCACATCCAGGTGAGCCCAAAGCCAAAGCCACTGACAGAGGAAATGACTTGTTGCATGAATGTCCCCAAAGCTTGCTCATTCATTTATGCTCATTCATTCATTCACTGAGCACCTGTTTGTCAGGTGCTAGGGGTATGGTGGGGGAACAAAAGTGTCCCTGCCCTGAAGATGCTCTGTCTAGGGATATTGACAAATGGAGGCAGAATGACAGTGGGCTAAGTGCTGTGACTGGAGAAGCATGAGATGCGGGGTGCTAATCAGGGTAGAAGGGAGTCCCAGAGGAGAAGACTGCGGGAGGCTGAGGCTTGGCAGAGGCTGCTCACCTTGTTGGCCATTTCCAAAGACAAGAGTCTTTTCACGACATCATCAACCCTGTGGATAAACCACAGCAATGAGACAGACATTGGGGGAGAAGAGAGGAAAGCAATGCTGGTTTCATTTTAGTTTGAAAAGCAAAGATGATTGAAAAATTCCTTCTGTAGCAAATGAATCTCCCTGGAGGTGGGGAGCCATTTCCCAGGGATTAAAAGTCAGTGTGGATCTGGCTTGCTGGGCTGAAACTACAGAAACTGGGGCTGTCAGCTCGACTGTTCCGGTCTCATCACAGGGAGGGCAAGGAGAGGATTTCCATTTTAGCTACAACATGGTTCAATCTGTTTTGAGACATTTCAAGTTAAATTGCACAGTGGGAGGGACTGACCAGCTCCCACCACACTGCATAGGAGCTGAGCAGAGGGCCTCTGGCTTTGGTGTCAGTCAGCCCTGGATTCAAACTCTAGCTCTGCCCTTTAGAACTGTATGACACTGGACAGCTTGAAAATCTATAAAATGGGGACATACAGCTTTTGTGAGGAACAAGAGATGAGAGATTTCTACAAAGACCTGTGAAGTATGTTAGCTCCTTGGAATCTAGTGGTACAGGGTGTTCATCTAGAGTACAAAAAAACCCCCAAGTAGCCGAGCTCCATGAGTGCCATCTGCCTTGCTGACCACCCACCCTCACCACACCTGGACACCTGGGCCCCTGCCTCCTTCTAGATCAAGCTTCAGCTACAGCAAGCCAAGTCTCAAAGCCACTGTCTTTCCCCACTCCCCGACAATCCTCCCAGGGCCCCCTGCCTCCTCTACTAGGTTTCTTCCTGCTTACTTCTCAATTCCAGGGACATTCTGGTAGTCTTTGAGCAGCGTAGAGGGAGGTGGGTCATCATCCAGCCTAGACTGGGCTGTCAAGTAAATATGGGGATAGAAAACACCCAGAGTCAACTCTCGCTGCCCACCCTCCCAGACCTGGCTCTTTTCACCCACTCTCCAACTCCAGAAGGGACATTCAGGGTCTCAAGCAAAGCACTGGATATCTCTCGGCTCAGTTTCTCCTTTGCAAACTCCGTGGGCACCTGCTTTGATATTTCATGTTGCGAGTAGGTGGCTTTTCCCAAGACCCTACACTGTGCCTGCACCTTTCACACACCTATCTGGCTCTACAGTTCTCAGATCCCCCACTAGGATGGGTCCTCCTGTGGATAGGACAGAGTTTGACTCCCTTGGAATCCACCATAGTCTGGCCCATGGCTCAGCCTAGACTAGGCACTCAACAAACACTTGCTGGCTGACTGCATGTATGAATTAAGGGGGTTGAGGAAAGGCAGCTAGCTGTACGATGCCTGAAATGTAAGCACCAAGTAGAGATCACAGGAAAACCTCAGTCTTGGTGTGTGCACCCCTGCTATCCCTTGGAGATGAGGAAGAGGCATAGAGTAGATGGACTTATCCTCTCCAGTCAGACCCTGCTATGCAAATAACATTAATGGGCCTCTTCTGTCTGTAACAGCTCAAGTTGATTCTGATAGGGAGGCAGAAAAGAATTATATTAAAAATATATTAATAGCAATAAATTCTACTTATTTTATTTTTTGTAGAGACTGGGTCTTGCTATGTTGCCCAGGCTGGTCTTGAACTCCTGGCCTCAAGTGATCCTCCAGCCTTGGCCTCCCAAAATGTTGGGGCCATGTCCAGCCAATAATTTCTTTCTTTTTTGTTTTTTTGAGATGGAGTCTCGCTCTGTCACCCAGGCTGGAGTGCAGTGGCACGATCGGCTCACTGCAACCTCCACCTCCCAGGTTCAAGCGATTCTCCTGCCTCAGCCTCCTGAGTAGCTGGGATTACAGGCGCGCGCTACCACACCTGGCTAATTTTTTTCTGTATTTTTAGTAGAGACGAGGTTTCACCATGTTGGCCAGGCTGGTCTCGAACTCCTGAACTCAAGTGATCTGCCCACCTTGGCCTCCCAAAGTGTTGGGATTACAGGCGTAAGCCACCGCGTCCGGCCCCAGATAATAAATTCTAATATATACTATCAATATATTTAATTGAGCACAGCGTTAAGGGTGCTTTTCGTGTATTATCGCTGAATCCTAACAATCCTTGCAAATGGATACTTTCACACTCATTTTAGAAATAAGAATCAGAGAGAGGAAGTACCTTGCCCCATATCATTTACCTAATAAGAAGGATCTTAACTACTATGCATACTGAGTTGCAATGGGAAATTACATCCTGCATCTCAGAAGCGCAGACACAAAGTGCCATACTCTAGGTAGGCCTGGGTGGTGCCAGCCATGCACTCCCTCTGGGAAGCTCATTTTCACTCATTCACCTGGAAAGCTCCTGCTCCCGCCCTTCACACCCCTCTGTCCCCATACAGGCTGCAGGCCTAGGGCTTTGTGTAAGGTGGACGTGGGGTCTTTTGCTCAGGACCTCTGGCTCACCTCATCTAGTGGCTCTAATTCGCCACATCGGTCCCCTTACCCACCCCAGCCTTCCAGGAGGTCTCTCTTCCGCCCCAAGTCCCACCTTAGGAACTCCTACCTGGTTTCCGGACGACATATCCGCGCGCGGCCTGGAGGAGGAGACCTACGCAGAAAAGAGAGGGCTGAGGACCATCTCCTTAAATAGCCCACCCCTCAGTTCCTTTCTGTGCCCCTCGCATTGCCCGTCCGCCACGGTCTATGCGCTTCTGAACCTAACCGCTGCCCCATTTCTTCCCTACCCCTTGTCTCTCACATCTTGTTTCACCTCTTGCGCAACCACCGCCCTTTCCCCCTTATCCTGACCGCTGTATATCTCCCCTACTCCTGTGCTTCCTTATTCCCTATCTTCGCCGAACCCTGTTTCCCTACGCCCGCCGTCCCATTTCTCAGCTCCTCACTTCGAGGCTGCAGGCCCCACTGGTTGAAAGGAAACTTGGCGCTCCCACCGCCCGGCAGCCCGGGTACTAGGACCTGGGTAACTGCCCGGGTCCGAATCAAACTCAGCGTCCTCCACGCGACCCTCAGCATGGTGACCTCTAACCCCCGCGGGGCCCGCGCCGCGGCCGCCGTTCGCTTTGCGGCACGGACCGGGTTACATGGGCGCCGCCATGCTGGCCCAGGATCGACCAATCGAGGCAGTTGCAATACCGGAGCAGACGAAGACCGAGAGAATGGATTAGGTGGCGTGACTCTGATGACGCAACGCACGGGGCGGAGCTCAGAGACCGGGTTCCCGCTGCGCGTGATCGGGCCGTGGTGGTTGTGTGCCCACGTTTAGCAGCGTGCTGGGGTGCTGTATAAATTCTAAAATGCCACTTTTTGGAGGGCATGCGTTCCGTCCTTAATCTCATTCCTGGCCCTCGGGCCAGGGTTATTTTGGGAGGTCCATGGCGCCTGCGGTAGCCTTCTACCCCCAACCCAATCCCCTCTCCACCCCACCTCACCCCTCCCTTAGACAAGGATGGGACCGTGTAAGAACTACTACTGGGTTTCAGCCATGTCTCTGGCAGCCTCGTAGCCTGGAGACTAAAGTCGCTGAGTTTGGAATCGCACAGTCCTGGTCTGGAATCCTAACTCAGCCATTTACTCAACATGTGATCTTGTGGGCAAGTCACTTAACCTATGTGGGCCCTGTAGGGATAGTAATAACAATATCTCTCTTTTAGGTTGTTGAGAGGATTAACTGAGTTGTATGCAGACCACCTGGTATATAGTGAGCATTTAGTAAATCTTTACGGTGACGTTATTTGTGAAATGAGTGGTGTAAGGGTGGATACAAATTAGAAGAAAAAGAAAATTTAATTTTCCCTGGCGCAAAAAGGGAAAAGACTCCTTCCCCTCACTTTTCTGAGAGCATTTACTTTAGAAAACTTGTAATTGTGAATACTTTCTCTACTGCTTTGCGATGAATGTAAATCTTCTTAAAAGGTAAATAAACCTCTTGCCAGTTTTACAACCCCGGAATGTTTTTCTCAAGGACCTGGGGGCCAACCCTTTGAAATGTAATAATTAAGGAAGATAGTGCTCTCTCTCAGTTCCTGTGGGAGGGTAGGAGCCTAACTTCAGTTGGTGCCTAGCTCTTAGTTGCAACCTACCCTTTGTTATAAAGATAGGGGAAATCGATTTTTCCTTTGGATAAAGGCAATTAGCAGACACAGGTGGCTTCCCACTTACCAGGTAAATTTAGAGTGAGGTGCAGCCAAGTCCTCTTGCTTGAGGACCAGTTATTGTTTATCTTGAGAAAATGGATACAGTAAGTTGTATTCACTTTGCTACATAAAAGAGTAAGATTTTTGTCTCTTTGCAGTCTCTTTAGTGGATCACCAGTGTATCACATTCCGGTTTAATGCTTATTCAATAATAACACTGTTTTCTTTCTTTTCTACCCTTGTGAAGAGGTTTTCTGCGTTGGCAGGGGATTTTGTCTTTAATTTTATTTCCCCAACAGGGGTTAGTTTTTCCAAAGTCTCTTCACCGTGTCCCACCGCACTGTCACTCCCCCCGTGTAACCCATGCCACTGTGCCCTAAGGATCAGTTTTCAAGTCTCCACCACTAGAATGCAGCTCTCTGAGGGTGAACTGAGCTGAGTCGTTTGCATAGGGCCTAGATACTGAGAGCTAGCAGAAGGAAGCAAGGGAAGGAAGGAGGGAAGGAAGGAAGGGAAAGGAAGGAAGGGAGGAAGGAAGGGGGGAAGGAAGGGAGGGAGGAAGGAAGGGAGGGAGGAAGAAAGGACCAACTCTGAGAAGTTTCCCCCTGACTGCTGGGCCCTGAAAAATAAATAACAGAGACTCAGGTACACCCAAGAGTGTCTATAAACAACAACAAAAACTGCAAACCAAAAACTAGTTTACAATACTGAAGTTATAGGAAACAAGCACAAAAGGCCATTGGGTGGGGCTGGATGGAGCATGATCTGGTCCTTAAAGTATGCAGATCGCCTGGGAGGCCCAGCCTATGGAGATTGGGAGGAGAGGGAGATGCTGGTGACTGGAGATGGTGAGAGCCTGGGCTGGGGTAGTTTTTAGTCATGGGCTTATGGACCCTCCCCTCTTCTCCAGCTAGCTCAGGCCTTTAAGAGGCAGGCCCAAGAAGGGAACCCCAGGAAGCCCTAGAAGCTCCCCAGCGCCTCCATCCCATGGACCCGGATCCCCTGCAGGAGGGGGAAGTTGAGCAGTGGCCCAAAGACACAGTCGTCCTCCTGGCTTGGGGCTGGGGTTACCAGGGTCCCCAAGGGGCTGGCCTGGAACCAGAGGTTCTCATAGGACTTGGGGCTGGGGGTGAGGCCCGCCAAGAGGGGCTGAGTGGAGTCACAGCGGAGATAGTGCCCTGGCCCTGGGCTTGTGGGGCTGCCCAGCAGCTGCCCATAAAGGACCTGATCGCTGGTGCCAGACTGGGATTGGGGCTGGGTGGAAACTGCTCTTGGGTCCCCCTGGAGCACATAGGTCTGGACCAGAGTGGGGAGGCCACAGGTCTCTGAGCTGTTATGGGACTCCCAGGGCACCGGCTTCTTTTCATCCTCCTCCAGCACTGTGAGCTTGGTGATGGGTGGCGTGCCAAGGCCGGGCAGCTGGAAGGCATCCTGCACACAAGGATGTGGGGTGAGAGCACGGCTCATTTCAGATGTCTGCCCCAGCCACTGTCCCTGTCTGGGTCCGGGCAGCTGTGGGGACATTCAACTGTTGTTACTGGTGGAACACAAAGGGTACCACTTGCAAAGCACTAGTATGTTCCTCACACATGCCTGACACATGCCATGCACCGTTCAGACTCAGCATGGTCAGTTTTTCCATATCACAGGGAGGTGACTGAGGCTTTGAGATGGACAGAGGTGGGATTCAAAGTTGGGTCTGCTTCAGTCCAAAGGGACGAGATGTTGCCGGAAGTGACAGGAAGGCCTGAGTACTTGGCTTCAGAAGGTGTCCCTTCACTGAGCCTGGGCCGACATCCCCATCTCATTTCCCTCTCCCTCCTGGATTCTCACCTCCTCCATGATTGTGGGCACCCAGGAGCCCAGGCTGCTGTGAGCTGGGTCTGGGACACTTGGCCAGAGGGGATTCTTCCTGCTGGAGAAGGGGGCAGGTGGAGGCTGAGTCAGACACACCCTCCGATCTTTCCATTTTTTGTCCCACCCACCCCACCTGAAGAGGTGCAGCTGCCCTTAGTGCAGAGAGAAGAAGCTGGGGGCTGGGACTCTCAGACATGGGCCCCAAAGTTTGGGAAGGCTGGAAGGGACTTAGATGGGCCCATCTGGACCTGAGGTTCCCTGTGGGTGGGGGAAGCAGGATCTCAGGTCTCTCAAAGGGACTCACTTGGGGCTGCAACAGAGCCAGGCAGTTCCACAGAGGCAGGTGAGCAACAGCAGGAGGCCGAACAGGCCCAGGATGATGTGTAGCTCCGACCCCTCTGCAGTGAGGGCAGGGCCGGAAGAAGTTAGAATGCATGTTGGGAAGGCTGGGTCTCCTCCCTCCGACCAGGGGATTCAAAGTCAGTCCCCAGCTACTCTCAAAATCAGCATCCTTTGGGTGGGGTACCCTCCAAACAGCCATCTCTGCCCAGCCCCCGTCTCCCCTTACCTGGGGTCAAGGTCATCAGGGTGAGGACTGTACTGTTGGTGGCCCCAGCCTGGCTGGCAGCCATGAGGTGGATGTGATACAGACTGGCGGGCTCCAGGCCATGGAGGACAAAGCCACGGGAGGAGGCATTCAGGATGGCGGCTGGGAGGGGTGTACGGTCAGCATAGGCCTGGATGGTAAAGCTGCCTCCGTGGCAGCTGAGCACCCCCTTCCAGGCCTTCTGGGGCTGTGGGGGAACTGAGGATAGACTCACAGAAGGACTGGTTCTGAGCGTTGGTCCAGAAGATGGTGTAGTGGGTAAGGGGGCTCTTCCCCAGCTCAGGGGGCTCAGGCACCCACTCCAGCTGTGCCCAGGTCTTGCCAATGTGCTTTAGATGCAGCTCTGGGGCATGGGAGGGAGCTATGGGAAGAGAGAGGTGCGGGGGCTGAAGGGAGTGGGGCAGAGCAAGAGCCCGGTTGGACTTCTTGTGGCTTCCCAGACACTGTGGGGTGGGTGAGAAAAGAGTCCAAGGGGACTCATGCCCAAGCCTCATTTTTCCCAGGGATTTAATCCAGATTCCATCTACTGCTAATAAGTGTCTGAGCCAGGATTTGAACCTGGCTCTGCTTGACTCTAAAGCCTCACTTTCTGATTTCTACCAGGCCTGATTTCATCTGATTTACTCTCTGATTTCTGCCACTCACTCTCCGAATTTATGCCAGGTCCTCTGTCCAATTTCTTTTTGTTTTTGAGACAGGGTCTCGCTCTGTCACCCAGGCTGGAGTGCAGTGGCGCCATCTTGGCTCACTACAGCCTCGACCTCCTGGGCTCAAGCCCTCCGATCCTCCCACCTCAGCCTCTCAAGTAGCTGGGGTTACAGGCATGTGTCACTGCACCCAGCTAATTTTTGGTTTGTTTGTTTGTTTATTTATTTATTTATTTATTTTTCTGTAGAGACAAGGTTGCCTAGGCTGGTCTCAAACTCTTGAACTCAGGGGATCTGCCTGCCCTGGCCTCCCAGAGTGTTAGGATTACAGGTGTGAGCCACTGCACCCGGCCCCTCTGTCCAATTTCTGTTACATATAACACCTTATTTTTGTCTGGGAAATGGTTTGATTTTTGCCAGGTTTGCTCCTTGAATTGTGCCAACTCCCTACTCAATTTCTATCCCAGCACCTGATTTCTGTCCAGCTGTAGGGATCCAGTGTAAGCCAGGGGATTGGGAGAGATCCTCTCCAGGGCTGGAAGTATGGTAGGAAGGCAATGTTCCCTATACTTCTGATTGCTGGGGACCAGGCAGAGCCTTGGGAGAGAGAGGAGAGGATTCTGGAAAGGGGCCTGATAGTTGACAAACCCATTTCTTGAGAGTAGGCATAGACATGCTGGGAGGGTCCCATGGTGTCCTGGTACAAGGGAGTCACGATGATCTCATAGAGCTGAAAGGGCCTGATGTTCTCTGTAGAGAGAAAATGGGGTAGGCACTTCTGTTAGGGCCTAACCTGTGCTAATGATCAGGAGCTAGCCTCAGACCTCTAGTGAGGGCTAACCTGGCCTCATGATTCAGGGTTAACCTCCACAATATCTTCTTTAGATCATTTGATGAGAATTAGGGAAGAAAAGTGGAAGAGAGAGCTAGAAGGGTGGCAGAGTCAGGGCTATAGAAAAAGGATCAGGTTAGACTGTAGGAAGAACTTCCTGATTATGAGGATATGAAATGAGAACAACGAAGGATCAAGAAAGGCTGGAGAATCCATGTCTCTTGGGCAGTTCAGGTTGTCCCATGCCTATTGTCAGATAAGCACTGCCTCCCTTTGTCCCTGGCCCTGCCCAACTTTCCAGGCCAGCCTCACCCTTCAGCAGAAACCCCGTGGCTCTCCCATTCTGTTCCATCCTCCAGGTCTTGTTGCTATTGCTCGCGCTGGGGGGGCCCAGGCCCCACTCAATCACATAGCCCTGAGGCCATGGATTGGGGGGCTCCCAGCCTACCCAGAGGCTGTGAGGGTCTCGGGCCATGGCATGGAGTCTGGTCAGAGCTGGGCCTGGAGACAGGGTGGGAAATGGTGGAATGAAGGTGAAAAGAATGCAGGCCCTTGAGCCAGAAGCCTGGGTTCAAATCCTGGCTTTGCTATTTACAGGCTGGGTGACCTTTGGTAGGTCAACATCTTAGCCTCAGTTTCCTCATCTGTAAAGTAGAAATGATGATAAAAGTTCCTAACTCATAGGGTCTTAGTGCAGATTAAATGACTTGATGCACGAAACAAGCCTGGCATAGCGCCTGGCATGGAGTAGTTCTTGTTAGTGATAACAGCTAACACTCTATTGTTCTTGGTATGTGTCAGGCGTAGTCCTTGATATATTTTATTTTATTTTACTTTACTTTACCTTACTTTATTTTATTTTTTATGCAGAGACTTGCTCTGTCGCCCAGGCTGGAGTGCAGTGGCGCCATCTCGGCTCATTGCAACCTCCACCTCCCAGGCTCAAGTGATTCTCCTGCCGCAGCCTCCCGACTAGCTGGGATTACAGGCAACCGCCACCATGCCCGGCTAATTTTTGTATTTGTAGTAGAGATGGGGTTTCACTATGTTGGCCAGGCTGGTCTTGACCTCCTGACCTCAGATGATCCGCCCGCCTCAGCCTCCCAAAGTGCTGGGATTACAGGCGTGAGCCACCATACTGGACTCCTTGATACATTTTAATTCACTGAGTCCTCTAATAGTCATACCCAGGAAGTACTACTCTTTTCCCCATTTTACTAATGAGAAAACTGAGAGACACAGAGAGGTTAAGAAACTTGTCTAAGATCACACAGCTAGTAAGTGGGAATATTAGCTATGATTATTGTTATTGTGATTATTAGTCCCACCTTGCGAGGACCAATGTTTAGGGAAAGCAGTGGGTGGTGGCAGCTGATTTCCTGAGAATGAGCAATGAACTCATAGACCAGGTTCCAAGTGGAAAAGCCTGGGGCTTTCTCTCTTGGCTTTCTTGGCAGAATGGGCTGTGAGTGTGTGTGTGTGTGAGAGAGAGAGCTTAACCTGGTCTGGCTAATGATAATAACAACAGCAGACACATGCAGAGCAGTTACTTTGTGCCAGGCACTTGTCTTAACTCATGTACACCCCATGGCACCGCTCAGTAGGTGCTGTTATCATCCCCATCTGCTGGATGTGTAAACAGAGGCCGGGGATGGGAGGTAACTTACTCAGGTCACACTGTTAGCAAGTGATAGGACTCGTTTTTTGTTTTTTTTTGTTTTTTTGAGATGGAGTCTCCCTCTGTTGCCCAGGCTAGAGTGTAATGGCGTGATCTCAGCTTGCTGCAACCTCTGCCTCCCAGGTTCAAGCAATTCTCCTGCCTCAGCCTCCGGAGTAGCTGGGATTACAGGTGCCCGCCACTATGCCTGGCTAATTTTTGTATTTTTAGTAGAGACAGGGGTTTCACCATGTAGGCCAGGCTGGTCTTGAACTCCTGACCTCGGATGATCTGCCCACCTCGGCCTCCCAAAGTGCTGGGATTACAGGCGTGAGCCACTGCGCCCGGCCAATAGGACTAGATTTAACCCAGGCAGTCTAGCCTTTGAATTGATGCGCTTGACCTCTGTGCTCTTCTGGCTGCCAGCCCCCTTTACCTCTGCTTTCTGAGAAGACCACCGGAGTGGGACGAGAGGTCCCGGCTGAGTTATAGGCCACAAGGGCCACCTCCTGGGCTTCTGAAGGCAGGTGGAAGGTGCAGCTGAGCTCTGTGGTGTTGCAGAGGGGCAGGATGGCCCCAGCCTGGCCTGAGGGTCTCCAAGAAACCACATAACCTTGGATCCGTCCGCTGTCTTCCTCCAGGGGCACTGGCTGTGGGGCACAGGAGGAAAAAGAGAAGGGGATGTGCAGCTCATCTTGAGTCAAGGAGAGCCTCTAGGTGGGGTGGATGGATCATACAAACGGAGCCTCCCCAGGCTGGGGTCCAGGCTTCTCACCCCCCTCCCCTTTTCCCTCTGTTCCCTTGTGCTAGGTTCTAGGAAGGAGGGCAGGAAGAAACAAGTTGGTGGACACAGCAGGCTCTTAACTATTCACTGAACCACACTGTGACGTGCGTTACAGTCTGTCCAAAAGCTAACTCAGCTCCCTAGGCACATGCAAAGTGCATGCAAATCACATATAAATGCGTCCACGCCTCCCAGACCTGTTGGAGTCCTAAGCCCCGGTTTGTAGGGATCTGTTTGGACTGCGGGAGGTGTCGAGGTGGAGGGATGGCCTTCAGAGGGAGTCACCTTCCAGAACAGCTGCACTGTCCTGGGGTCCAGCTGCCTCTGCCGCCACCATGTGTCCAGTCTGACAGTGGGGGCTGTGGATGGAACAAGAAGAGGGGGTGCCAGTTGGGGAGGGGCCTGGGGCCTGGACTGGATACTGTTGGCTGCTCCCAGCCTCTCATCACCTCCTTACCCCGTTCGGTAGTTCTCAGCTCCAGGCTGGGGCTCCAGTCGCTCCAGTGGCCAGGCAGGGGCCAGCGGATGCAGCGTATCTGCAGGGTGTAGGCCGTGGCTGGGAGGAGCCCGCAGAGCTCATACTGAAGGGCCTCCAAGGGGAGGGGGCCCACCTGGTGAGGGGTGGACAGGACTCTGAGCCTTGGATCGCTGGGCCATTCTAGGGCCAGCTCGAGCCCGACTTACCCTGCCCCCTGCCCCCACCACCTCAGGCTCTCCAGGTTGCCCTCTGCCTCACCAGTGCCCAGCTGGCTTCTCCACGCTGCGGCTTGTGGCGCAGCTCACACTTCTGATTTATGTGCAGGCCTGGCTGCCATGGCTCCCAGCACAGCTGTAGGCAGCCTGCCTGGGGAGGGGCCGCTTCAGGGCTGGGGTCCATGGTCCGCAGCATGGGGGGCTCCAGTTTCACTGCAAGGAGTGGGGCTGTCAGAAGGTCTCCCTATCCCACCCTAGAGGGCTCTGCCTTAGCTCCCTCTTGTCTCCCTGTCTGTGGTTCACCATCTGTCCACGTTGCCAATGACACGTTTCTGTGGTTCGATCTCTATGTGTCTTTGTTTCTCTCTAGGTCTCTGTTTCCGCTCTTGCCCCAGGGCCTTTGCACTGGTTGTTACTTCTGCTTGAAATGTTTTCCCTCCAGATATCCAGCGGCTTGCTCCCTCATTTCCTTCAAGGATCTGCTCAATTGTCACCCTCTTAGTGAGGCCTTTCTTGACCAGCATATTAAAATAGCCAGTGCTCCCCTTCCCCCCTCTCTCTCTATGCCCTTCTCCTCCTTTAATTTCTCCTTTCTGCTTATTGCTATCTGAAATTCTATCTTATTTTCCCCCCCACTTGAATCTAACATTCTGAGGGCATTTTTGATGCTTTGTATCCCCAGTACCTAGAGCAGTGCCTAACATGTAGTGGGTGCTTTAGGAAACACGCTGAAAGCATGACTGAATGTGTCTCTTTGCCTCTGTGTCTCTTCCTGTCTCTGGGTCTGTGTCCCCATTTCTCTGTCTCCAGCTGCACCTTTCTTTGTCTCTGTCCCTCTTCTGTGCCTCTGTCTCTAGGTCTTCCAGTGTCTTCTTGTCTGTCGCTAGTTCTGTGTTTCCCTCTCCATTCCTCTCAGTGTCTGCCCATTTTGGGGATCCCCTCCCTCCCCTGCATCACCCACCAACATCCATGGGATCAAGACACAGTTGTGGGGACATGCTGGTCCCCAGCGCATTCTCTGCCTGCACCCAGATGCCCATATTCTGGTACAACAGCAGGTGTTTGCGTGGGATGCAGCAGTGGCTCTGCCCGTCCTTGGGCACGCAGTCCAGGATGGAGTCCCCTTGGGTCTGACAGTTGCCCCGGCTCCTGCCAATAGTCCAGGCTTGGGTGCCAAGCAGAGGAAGAAAGCGAGGCTCCCTTCTCCCTCCCAGAGGCATGCCCAGCATCCTACCCATGCCCTACCCCAGAATCCAAAGGGAGGGGACCAAGGTGGGGGCCCCTCCTCACTTGAAACTCTTCAGAGTGAAGCTGGTGGGTAGGTGGGTCTCAGGTCCTGGCTCCCACTGGCAGATGAGGCTGCTGGTTGTGAGGTTCATGAGGCAGGAGAGGTTGTGGGGTATGGCTGGAGGGTCTGCATGTGGGTGGGAAGAGTGTGAGGGCTTTGGGTGGGACCACTCAGAAAGCTTCCTCTGGGACCAGCTGGCCCTGTTGCCTTGCCCTGGCTTGGTTCCTCTGTTGTCACCTTGTCTGTCCCCCTGTCTCCAGGCAGAGTGGCTCTGGAAGGGCAGCCCTGGGGGAAGCTAAGTTGCAGGCATGCACCGGGGCAAGCATCACAGACTCCCAGCAGCCCAGTGGTGGCCCACTTCCAAGGCCCCCAACTCTAGACCCTTTGTCAGTGACAGTGTAGTGTTTGAGTTTTCATCCTGGTCCTGCCATTCATTAGCCCTGTGATCTTGAAGTTATTTAACTGCTCCATGCCTCAGCATCCTCATCTGTAAAATGGGGATAATGGTAAAATCCCACCCCCTAGCGTTATCACAAGGGCTAAATGACTCACTCTACATGAAGTGCTCAGAACAGTGCCTAACTTACAGGAAATGCTATGTAAGTGTTAGCAGTGGCCATTACTGGTGCTTTTTTTTTTTTTTTTTTTTTTTTTGAGACAGAGTCTCACTCTGTGGCCCAGGCTGGAGTGCAGTGGCGTGATCTCGGCTCACTCGGCTAATTTTTGTATTTTTAGTAGAGACGGGGTTTCCCCATGTTGGCCAGGCTGTTCTCAAACTCCTGACCTCAAATGATCCACCTACCTCAGGCTCCCAAAGTGCTGGGATTACAGGTGTGAGCCACTGCACCTGGCCCATTACTGATTCTTAAACAAGAACCTCGGTCTTTGTTTTTTCCTTATGCCTCAGCTTGGCACAAACTCCATCCTGCTCAGTTTGAAAGGAAGTTTGAAACTGGGGTGGGGGACAAGCCCAGCTGGTAGAGGATGTTCTCCCTGGAGACACCCTCAGATGGCTGAGGACTTGGGCTATGTAGAGTAGTGGTCACAACACTGGCTTTAGAGCCACACTGCCTCCATCCTTATTAATGTGTGATAAGGGCAAGTCACTTACCCTCCCTGAACCTCAGTTTCATCATCTGCAAAGTGAGGCTACATAGTAGTACCAACTGGTACTACTGTTACCTGATATCATGCCCATAAAGTGCTTATTAGATAAGAGCTCAATAGGTAGTACTCTTTTTTTTTTTTCTTCTTTTTTTTGAGACCAAGTTTCGCTTTTGTTGCCCAGGCTGGAGTGCAGTGGTGTGATCTCAGCTCATTGCAACCTCCGCTTCCTGGGTTCGAGCAGTTCTCCTGCCTCAGCCCCCCGAGTAGCTGGGATTACAGGCACCCGCCACTATGCCTGGCTAATTTTTTTGTATTTTTAGTAGAGGCGGGGTTTCGCCTTGCTGGCCAGGCTGATCATGAACTCCTGACCTCAGGTGATCCGCCTGCCTCGGCCTCCCAAAGTGCTGGGAATACAGGCGTGAGCCAACGTGCCCGGCTGGTAATATTCTTATTAGTATTGGCAGGAGGGTGTTGGAGGCAGAGTAGTTGGATGGCTGGAAGGACTTACAGCCTGCGCGCAGCTCAACCTGGTCCAGGATCTGCAGGCTGTTGCCCCAGTTCAGGCAGCAGGAGAGAAAGGCCTGAGTGTGGTTGAGGTGGGGCAGGGTGATGATAGATTCCTGGGTCCCATCAGACAGACGCTGCTGCCTGCCCCCGGGCTGAAGCTCTGCTCCCAGTCTCCACAGAATCTGTGGCTCCGGGTCCAGATGGCTGCAGTTCTGCTTGATGATGCAGGAGGCTGTGATGGGATCCCCCAGGTGGACGATGGGGGCTGAGACACTGATGTGCCCGCACTCCTCCAGACCTGGGGTGGAAGAGAATGGGCCAGGAACGACGCCTCTGCCTAGCAGAGCTGGGCTATAATCTAGGCCTTTGTACTCCTAGACTCAGAGGCCTCACCTTCCTGTCTCACCCTTCAAGATATGGGGGCTGGAAATGGAAGGATGGGGACGGAGACTTCGAGAGGCTACGGGGGTGACACAGAGATAGTGATGTGCTGGTAACCGTTTATCAGCCAGCTTGGCAGAGAAAAGCAGACCCTGGTTTGTAGTGTGTGCCTTTCCGCGGTGTAAGTGCTCTCACTGTAGCTGATTTCAGCCTATTGATGTGACATCATTGATCGGGGAGTTGGGAAGAGATGTGCACAATTAGTTTTTGCAAGCCAGCACCAGCACACCACCAGATGGAGACTGTTAACTCCCCAGTGCCCTCCCCAAGGATGGTGCAAGCAGTGATTAGAGTGATAAGAACCCATAGCCACAGCAATCTTTTCACAATTCAAATCTGATTCTGCTACCCCATCTCCATCGCAGCACTTCAATGGCACATTATTGCTCTGAAAGGCAGTGTGGTGTGATGGATGAGTGTGGATGTTGGAACTAGACTGCCTAGGTTTAAATTCTGGTTCTATTGCTTATTAATTACATGATCCTGGTATATTTCTAAGACTTCCTGTGCCTCAGTTTTCTCATCTGTAAAATGGGGATAAAAATCGTCCCTACCTTAGTGTTGCTGGAAGGATTACATGCGATAACATATGGAAGGCATTTAGAGCAGTGTCTGGCATGTGAGTATTTGCTGCCATCATTAGGATAAACACTCAAATCCTTCAATAGCTCCTGTGGCCTGGCCCCTGCCTGACCCTCTCAGTTCCAGCTTATACCGGTCTCTCAGCTCCAGCTATTCTGGCTCATTCTTGCTATTCTTTGAAAACTCCAAAATCTTTCTAATCTCTGGATCTTTGTCCCTGCTGTTTTTTTTTTTTTGTTGTTGTTGTTTTGTTTTGGTTTTCTTTTTCTTTTCTTTTTTTTCTTCAAGTTCTTGCTCTGTCACTCAGGCTGGAGTGCAGTGGCACGATCACGGCTCAGTGCACCCTTGACCTCCTAGGCTCAAGTGATCTTCCCACCTCAGCCTCCTGAGTAGCTGGGACTACAGGTTCATGCCAGCACACCTTGCTAATTTTTTGATTTTTTTTTTTTTTGGTAGAGATGGGGTTTCACTATGTTGCCTAGGCTAATCTTGAGCTCCTGGGCTCAAGCAATCCTCCTGCTTCAGCCTCCCAAAGTGCTGGGACTACAGATGTGAACCACTGTGCCCGGCATGCTGTTCTTTTTGGAGGGACTCTTCTTTCTCTCTCCCACCCCTGTTTCACCTGGTTAACGCTTAGGCATCTTGAAGAAACCAGACCAGGCACTAACGAACTGGAGGAGGCCAAGGTCCCTGTACTTCCTCAAAGCTCTTATTATCCTTCATAATTATAGAGTCTTATGATTATTTACTTATCTATCACTCCAGCTAGACTATAAATTCTGTGAGGCCAGCAGACCTTGGCTGTTTGCTTATTACTGTATTCCCAGTGCCTAGTACAGAGTAGGACCTTGGTGAATATTTATTATTATTATTATTTTGAGAAGGAGTTTCGCTCTGTCACCCAGGCTGGAGTGCTGTGGCACAATCTCGGCTCACTGCAACCTCCGCCTCCCAGGTTCAAGCGATTCTCCTGCCTCAGCCTCCCGAAAAGCTGGGGCTACAGGCACGCACCACCATGCCCGGCTAATTTTTTTTTGTATTTTTAGTAGAGATGGGTTTTCACCATGCTGGCAGGCTGGTCTCGATCTCCTGACCTCGTGATCCACCCGCCTCAGCCTCCCAAAGTGCTAGGATGACAGGCATGAGCCACTGCGCCCGGCCGATGAATTTTTTTTGATAAATAAATAAACAAACAAATCAACATACACTTTGCCCGCAATGCTTTCTGTCCTCTCTCAGGTGTTCTTAGGCCCGTTTTACTGATGGGGATGCGAAGGCCCTAAGAGGAGAAGCAGTTTGCCCAGGGTCACAGAGCAAGTTCATGATTCTCAACAAAGGGCTTCTACTGCTTCACAGGCTCAGGATTTCTTTTTTTTTTTTGAGACGGAGTCACTCTGCTGCCCAGGCTGGAGTGCAGTGGCGTGATCTCGGCTTACTGCAAGCGCCGCCTGCTGGGCTCACGCCATTGTCCTGCCTCAGCCTCCCGAGTAGCTAGGACTACAGGCACCCGGCACCATGCCCGGCTAATTTTTTGTATTTTTAGTAGATACAGGGTTTCACTGTGTTCACCAGGATGGTCTCGATCTCCTGACCTTGTGATCCACCCGCCTAGGCCTCCCAAAGTGCTGGGATTACAGGCGTGAGCCACCGCGCCCGGCCCAGACTCAGGATTTCAGGCTGGAAGAAACTTTACAAGGTTGTTTGCTTCAAAACTCTACCTGATGCTCTGCCCTCTACAGCAGGGCTTGAGTGGCCTATTTTTGTATAGCCTAACAACTAAAGATGTTTCTTACATTTTAAAAGAGTTAAAAACAAGCAAAGCAAAAACCAAATAAAAACATGCCACAGGGCTGGGCGCGGTGGTTCATGCCTGTAATCCCAGCACTTTGGGAGGCCGAGGTGAGTGGATCACCTGACGTCAGGAGTTTGAGACCAGCCTGGCCAACATGGTGAAACCCCATCTCTAGTAAAAATACAAAAATTTGCAGGGCCTGGTGGCAGGTGCCTGTAATCCCAGCTATTCGGGAGGCTGAGGCAGGAGAATCGCTTGAACCCGGCAGGCGGAGGTTGCAGTGAGCTGAGATCCCGCTACTGTACTTCAGCCTGGGCAAGAGAGTGAGACTCCATCTCAAAAAACAAAAAAACAAAAACCAAAAAACATGCAATAGGCAGGGCGTGGCGGGTCATGCTTGTAATCCCCATACTTTGGGAGGTCAGGGCAGGTGGATTGCTGGAACCCAGGAGTTTGAGACCAGCCTGGGCAACATGGCAAAACTACATCTCTACAAAAAAATACAACAACAAAAAAAAATTAGCTGGGTGTGGTGGCATGCCCTGCACTACCTTGGAGGCTGAGGCGGGAGGATCACTTGAGCCCAGGAGGTTGAGGCTGCAGTGAGCTGCGATTGTGCCACTGCACTCCAGCCTGGGCAACAGAGGGAGACCCTGTCTCACAAACGAACAAACAAACAAACAAACAAACAAACAAGGAACAGAGACAGTATGTGGCCTGCAAAGCCTAAACATTACTGTCAGAAAAAGTTTGCCAACCCCTGCTGCACAGCATCTTTATCAATCCTGGCTTTAGCTTGCATACCCCTGGGGATGGGAAGTTCTCTACCTCTCAAGACAGAGTTTCCATGGTTGGAAACCAAGCTCTGCCTGGGCTTCTTTATTTCAGGATGAAACCTGTCCCCTTGTAGCTTCCATCCTGATCCCTTTGCTGCCCACCAAGGCTGCATAGGACCCATGGGTTGCTTCTGACAGCTTGGTAGAGATTTGCGGACAAGATCTGCGCCTCACTGGCCTTTTCCAGGATGACCAGCCCGGGTCGTCTCACCATTCCTCTTGGGTGGTGGTTTGCCTGTGGAAGTCTGTGGGTGGGAGACCAGCTACCCCACATCTGTGGCTCAGACTTGAATCTTGTGGGATTCTCTGGGAATCCCAGGAGCCATGTGGCAGTGCAAGGAAATTCCCAATATCTCTCCTTGTAGCTTCCCCTCCCCACTGCACCCTCATCCTTGGCCATACTCACTTCCGGGGAGCAGCAGGATGATCAGGGCAGCCCAAGTCAGGCTGCAGTTTCCCAGCCTTGCCATAGCACCAACTTGATGTTCACCTGTAGGCAGAAGGGTTGTTTAAGACCATGGGCTTTGGAGTCAGAGCTGATCTTAATCCTTGTCTGTCACTGTGCAGCTTTGACTAGGTTGCTTGACTTCTCTGAGCCTTCGTTTCTTTGCAAAATGGAAGTAACAGCAGCCTATACTGCATGGGACTTTGAGAGGAAGACACAAAATGATGCAAGTCAAGGGCTTTTCACAGTGCCTGGAACATAGGAAATGACAGTGACAGCCACAGTTATTATACTTGCCTTCCAGGAAAGAGCAGGGAAAGGAGCAGTGAGGAAGAGCATTCTTCCGCCTTCCCAGCTATCTAAGCTAGGCTACCCCTAGAGAGCAGAACCTGAGATGAGGAATTGCATGCTGGTAGTTTATTTTGAGAAGATCCTAGCAGCAGATAAGGGACTGGGGAGAATGAAACAGGGAAGGAGAGAAAGCCAGCACAAAGTTACATCATCATGTTGGTCACCTCTATGGACAACTGGGGCTCTATCCTGCTGGAACCTTCCAAAGAGCCATGTAGAACACTTCTCAGAGCTGTCCACTGGAGGGTCAATTTATCCCTTGGATGGGAGGGAAGATGGAAAGATTTACCCACTGACTCCTGCCCCCCATTGGTCAAGGGATGCCTCTTGGGGTGTTCATTCCCTGGCACATCCAGGTTGGGCATGCATGAGTACTAGGCAGGTTCTCCTGGGGAAGCCATGCCAGTGTTGTCAGGGACACTCCCTGGAAGAAAGGGAGAACTCTATGGAGCAGCTGAGGCAAGGGGCTGTCAGGTTATGCCTGCAGGAAGCTGGCTGCCTCAGCCATGTGGGCTGAGAGAATATCAAGTGGGGCACCCGAAGGGTCCAGTGTGCCCCCAATTTTGGGCACAGACCTCTGGTGGCCTTCTGGGGTCAGGCATCATGAGGTCACGGCCATAGCACCTGGATGGAGGGTGCCTTGGCTCCAGTCTTAGGAAGTATGCAGAGGTTTCTACCACTTGGGTGGGTGTCCAGCCTCATCTTCACCCTGCTCCCATTGGGGTCTTGGAGCCAACACCTGATCCTCCAGCACGAGTTGGTGCTCTTGGTGGCAGATCAGTGGGAATCGCTGGTCAGCTTGCACGTACATATCTGGACACATACACGCAGGTGGTGTCCCAGCAGATCCCTCGTGCTCAGCAGGGAGAAAGGTAGGAGAATCCTTTTCTCTTCCTCCCAGACAGAGGTGTGGATAAGAACTGCCCAGATACCCAAGGTTGTTACTGCTCACAGGGGTCTTACCCAAACCCCCAGTCTATCCATGTATATATTGCAGTATCGGAATACCCAGTGACTGCTAGCCCGTAAGTCTCCTTTGTGCAAATCAGAAAGAAAGCACCCCTTCCTCTGGATGGATGCAGCACCACACTAGGACCTGGCAACTAGGGAACAGCCTGGATTTCGGCTCCAGTTACTCCTCAGTTTTGTGCAGTGAGAAACCTGTACAAGTATCCCGAGCATCTGTCTACCCATCGGTGGTTGGTAACCTTCTTACTATAGCATACCAGTTTGATTATCCCCCCGCAACACTGGTTGGGGAAGATTTAGCCTCCAAGGCCCAGATTTTGGGACACTGGTTTTCATCTCCATGTGCTTTTGATCCTATCCCAGCCCTGTTGCCCTAGCCAGGGTCAGCTTCAGGCCCAGCCTATGCCCCGTGCAGTACCACCCTATCCGCCTCCACTGGCTCCTGTCCAGAGTAGACAACCTAACCCCAAGAGGCCCCGGCATCCTTCCCCTGGGTGCTGGGTGTTGGCCTGCTTGGCCTCAGTCTCTGGTCCTCCACTGCAGCCCTGGACGTCCCCCAGCCTGGTTAAGTGGGCCTAGGACCTGTTGGAGCATGGTCTCACTCTCTGGGGGGCCGATATGCAGAGAGGTTTGGAGCCCAGCTCAGATTCAGGTCACCTGACTTGATCTCCAGCTCCGCCACTTACCAGCTTTGTGATCTTGGACAAGTTACTTCACCTTTCCGAGCCGAGCCTCAGTTTCCCCATCTGTGGGAAAGAAATAACATTAGCACTCACTCCTCAGCGTTGTTGTGAGGATGAAATGAGATTATTTTGGTAAAGGCATTTAGCCCTGTGCCTTGCATGGAGTTGGCACTCAGCAACCATAGGTTATTTTCACGAGCCATAAATAGCAGGTCAGCAGCTCACAGAATCCAGCACAGTTCAGTTTTCCCCTCACCCCTGCCTCCCTCACAGCCTGTGTGGTCACACCTCCCAGGACTGCCACCTTGCTTTTGTCTGTGCCACACTGCGCAGTTCCAAAGCCCCCTTTCTGGATCCTCTCCTCCTAACTCCTGGGCCCCCTGGCCCTCCTGTCACTGCGGCCATCTCTGCTGGGCTCTGCAGGTGCTCACTCCTGTGGCCCAGCACAGCTCGATGTCTCCTGGGCTGGCTGCCTTCACATTCCCTCTTTCTGTTTCTCCCTCATCACGCTCAGCCCTCTCCCCTCACACTCTCTTCCCCACTTCACACCCCTCGCTCCCTTGCTGTTTCTACTCTCACCTCGAGATTCTTTCTGTGGGAAGGGTGGGGAGGGAGGAGGGGGCTGGGAATAAACAGAGGGGAGAGGCATTTCCAGATATGCTGCAGATAAAGAAAAAGAGAGAGCAACAGGAAGAGTGACAGAGTGAGGCGGTGACTGAAATCCACACAGACTGAAACGACAGAGAGACTCGCCAAGAGGACGATTGAGGCCAGAGAGATATCGAGAGACAGAGAAAAAGGGCCCAATGTACGCCGACCCAGAGAGTGGGCGGGGGGGGGGCACTCGGAGGCCTGGAGCCCGGGAAGCGTCTGTTACCGAGAGTTTAAGATTCAAGAGATAGCAGGAAATATGCGAGACAGAGAAACTCAGAGAGATAGCAAGCCAGAGAGAAGCTGAGGAGGAAAGATGGAAACAGAGAGTGAAATAGAGACCCAGACGGGGAGGGGTTGCGCGGCTGGAACTCACAGACACACACGTCCTGAGAGACAGAGGCATGGGGAGGGGAGAATGATTATGCCTGTCCCCAGCCCAGCTCAGTGTCCCCAAGGAGATACTTGGCTGTGAGTGACTTCCCTGGTGCAATACCCCCAAAAGTAGGGGCATCCTGTGAAAAGAGACTCAGTGTCCAGGGCTGGGGTTCCAAAGGACGAATCCCGGGCCCCAGGCCTAGGACCCCGGACATGAACACTTGGCAGAGCTGTGGGGAGTGGCCCCAGGATTCCAGCTCTCCATCAAGCCCAAGGCTCAGCCCCTCTCTAGGGATCCCCTACTCACGTTGGCACCTCTGGCCCAGCCCCTGCTTGGCCTCCTTGGTCTCTCTTCTCGTCAAGAGAAGTTCCTGAAACCAGCTGCAGTCCAGCTTCTCTCCCCGAGCTCTGTCGTTAATGGCTCAGCCTCTGACAGGCCCGGGGGCTGGGGATTGCAACACCTTCCGAGCCTCCCTCCTGCCCTCCCTTGCGCCTTCGAGGGCACAGGCAGCCCCTTCCTCCCAGGAAGGAGCCTGTGAGGGAAGCTGGTGAGGCCCGGGCAGCCTTCCTGCCTTGGGGGTCTTAAAGGGCTGGGGAATGTGGCAACGATGTCCCCCTCCCCTGCCTCCGGATTTCCTGAGCTCAAAGCTTTGAGGCTGGGCAGGGCCCAGGCTCCCACCTGGCTGGGTGCCATCCTTATGCCCCCTGCCCTGGGGGAGCATCACTTGGAGGCAGGCCCTGGCTGGAAGGCTCACCCGGCCCTAAGCCTCTTTTCAGCTCTAGCCTTGGGGACCACATCTTCACAGTACTCAGAAGGGTGTGTTCCAGGTTCCAGGGAATTGTGTAACCCAATACTCACTGCTCCCCTCTTCATTACGTATTCTGTGCATTGCCCATAGACCAGGCAGATGGAGAAACAGGAATTCTGGGGGCAAGACAGGAGGACGTCTTGGTGAGGCACGGGGTCTTTATATGTTCACTAAAAATTAGGAATGTTTACCCACAATGGTTCTGCAACACTGAATATTTTGTAATTGAGTGAAATAGACTACATTTTATGTCTTTTATTGTCTGTATTCATGATTCTTCTAAAACTACAAATAATTTTCTTTGCATTTTCTGAGAAAGGTTCAAACTGCTCATAGTTTATTGGATTCATAACCCAAAAAAGGTTAGGTGCCAACAGACCAGCAGACTGTCCTTAACATATAATCCTTTTGAGGCATCTGGGTCTGGTGTGATGCTGCAGACCAGGGCTGTAGTTCTAGTTCCAAGTCAAATGACCTGACTGCCTGCTGCAACCCTCCCAAGATATCCCACAGGCTCTGCTCGCTCAGTGAGTCCCATGGACTCTCTTCTTTCCAAATATAACCAGAATCCTGGGTATTCACTGTAAAGTTCAACTTGGCTCTACGTTTGAATATTTTTATGATAATATTTGGAAAATATAAATATAACTGAAACCAATACTAGCCAGCTCCAAGCTACCCTCATCTATTGCCTAGATAATCGCAATAGCCCCCTGCCTGCTCTCCTGCTTCTATTTCATCCTTGTTCCCGCACCTGTCTGTAATTCCTTCAGCAGCCAGTGCGATATCAATCAAACAGAAGTCTGATCAGCCCATCCTCGTCCCAACCTTTCCAATGGCTCCTGTCTCATTCAGAGTCAAAGTCAAAGCCCTTTGGATGGTCTACAAGGCCCTACAAAACCTGGTATCCCTGTTACCTCCTGGATCCCTCTCCTGTTATTCTCCCCCTTGCTGCCTTGCTCCAGCTACTCTGTGTTCTTTGCTTCTTGAACTTGTTATGCTGTCTCTTGCCTCAGGGCCTTTGCACTTGCTGTTTCATTTGCCTGGACTCTTTCCCCCGCAAATAGCTACATGGGCTGGTCCCTCCCCTTCTTCAGGTCTTTGCTCAAATGTCACTTTCTCATTGAGGCCTTCTCTGAGCACCCTTTTCAAAATTTGCAAGCCCCTTCCCTCCCACTCCCTATCTCTCTCTCCCCCAAATCCCTTTTCACCATCTGATATTGGCTGTCTCAATCCCCACTAGACTGAAAGTTCCATAAGAGCAACAGTTTTTATCTGTTTTGTTCAAAACTTTATCTCCAGTGTCTATAACACTGCTTGCCACACAGTAAGGCCTCCATGCGTGTTTGTTGAATGAATGATCAACTGGATGAATCTTCCCCCACTTCACCAAATCTGTCTCTAATCCCCACGTACCTTGTCATGGTGAATTAACCACCATCCCCTCCTCTCCCTAGTCATGCAGCTCAGGGACTCAGGAGTCATTCCTTACAACCCTTTCTCCACATTCCCATGTCCAGTCAGTTCTTTTAGTTCTTTTTTTTCTTTCTTTCTTTTTTTTTTTTTGAGACAGAGTCTCACTTTGTCACCCAGGCTGGAATGCAGTGGCGCGATTTTGGATCACTGCAACCTCTGACTCCCAGGTTCAAGTGATTCTCCTGCCTCAGCCTCCCAAGTAGCTGGAATTACAAATGCCTGCCATCATGCCTGGCTAATTTTTGTATTTTCAGTAGAGATTGGGTTTCACCATGTTGGCCAGGCTGGTCTTGAACTGCTGACCTCAAGTGATCCGCCCACCTCAGCCTCCCAAAGTGCTGGTTTTATAGGCGTGAACCACCGCACCTGGCCTTCTGGTCATTTTAAATTTATTTTTTATTTTTATTTTCATTCTTTTTTTTTGAGATGGAGTCTCGCTCTGCCACCCAGGCTAGAGTGCAGTGGCGCGATCTCGGCTCACTGCAACCTCTGCCTCCCAGGTTCAAGTGATTCTCCTGCCTCAGCCTTCTGAGTAGCTGGGACTACAGGCACGCACCACCACGCCCGACTAATTTTTTTGTATTTTTAGTAGAGACAGGGTTTTGCCATGTTGGCCAGGCTGGTCTCGAACTCCTAGCCTCAAGTGATCTGCCTGCCTCGGCTTCCCGAAGTGTTGGGATTACAGGCATGAGTCACCGCGCCTGGCCCCAGTCAGTTCTTAATGAAGGAGAATGGGCCTTTTGTTCATCATTCAGAGAACTTGCTCCTGGAGCAGGTGCAGGGACACAATGGTGAGACACAGTTTTAGTTCCTGCCTTTATGGAGCTCCCGTCTCAGCCTTGCCAATGGCCCTGCAATCCTTCTCCTCTCCCTGTCTTTCTTCAGAGGCCCGTCGTCACATCCTAACTCCTGAACCGGACATGCAAGTTACCCTCGCCTCCCTCTCCTGCCTCACCAGCCCCTGCTTCCTCAGATCCAGCCCGTCATGCTCCGGTCATGCCAAATTCACTAGTATTTCCCTGCCTGCCCCAGGCTCTGGAACAACCCTGTGCCTTTCTTCTGCGGAGCGCCTGTCACCTCCTGCTGGCTGAGTCCTGTTCCTGACCCAGTTCAAGCATCCAGCCTGAGCTCAGCATCCCTCTGGGCTTCCACACCTTAGTCAAGCTGAATTAGGGGCCCTTCTCCCCATTCATCCTGTAATACTGTAGTAGGCTGTTGGCCGCCTGCCTCCTCCATTATACTGTGAACTCTTTGAGGGCAGAAACTGTATTCTCACCTCTGCCTCTCTAGCCTCAGTACAGTGCCGGACACACAGAGGATACTCAATGCATATCTGTTGGGCTGCAGAACCTTGGAGATGGTGTTTACCTCTTCCAAGCCTCTGTTTCCTAATCTGTCACAGTGATAATAACTCCTCCCAGGGATTTTGTGATAATTAAATTAGCTATCAGAAATACAATGCCTAGTATGGTAACCAGCGCATAGTAGGTGTTCAATAAAGTTGCTTTCCTTTGTTCCCTTCTGCATAATTCAATATTTAGGAGGGAGATTCTACTATTCTCCTTTGTGCTCCATTCTCTGTTGAGGACCTGCACCAGGAAATGGAGCTGCAGCAGCCAGAATAAAAGTTAGATTTAAGGAAATGAAAGTTAGATTTAAGGAAGAGCTTTCTTTAGAGTGTACTGAGGTTAAGATGATGAGCTGAGGAGTCAGGCTGCTTCAATTTGCCACTTGCTGCCTGTGTGACTCCAAACAAATGTTTAATCTCTTTAAGCCTCGGTTTTGTCATCTGTAAAATGGGGCTAACAGTATTGGCTTCATAGGATTCTTGAGAGAAATCAGTGACCGTAAGGCTTGTGGAACACAGCCAGGAACACAGTAAATGCTTAATAAGTGTTTACTATGGTGCACTGAAGAGCACAAGACAGACGAGGAGTCATCCCCTCTACCCGCACCCAGTGTCGGCTTTGTGGATACTTCCTCTTCCAGCTGTCCTGCCTCCCGCCCCTCCTCCATCAGACAAGGCCTCTGTGTGTTGGAAACCCTGGGTAAGGGAGTGCTGGTGAGGGAACCCTATTCTTGGCAGCCTAGCTACTGAGCCCCGAGTTGTTTCTGTTTCTGTTACTGCCTGTGATGTGTGGGGCTTCTGGGTAGGTCAAGGAGCAGCTTGTTTCAGAGGGGCCGGGGCGGGGTCCAGGTGGGCAAGCTGGGGTGAGTGCCCGGAAGTTGAGGCTGTGGTGCTCAGCTGCCAGGGCCGGGGTTGGCTGGAATACAGCAGGCAGCTAAGATTGTGCAAACAGGTCATTGTGCAAACGCGCCCCTGTGTGTGACCTCGATTGTGCAAACAGGTGTTTACTGGAGGCTGCTCCGCTTGGACAGCCCACTTACAAAAAGCCCTTGAGCTGTTGACTTAGAAAGAAACTGGACACTCCTTCTTCCCTGAACCCACCCTGAACTTTCCGCCTCCTGGCCTTTGCTCAGGCTGTTCTCTCTGCCTCGAGTGCCCTCCCTCACCTCCACCTCAACTTGCTGAAATTCTACTCATTCTTCAAGGCTCAGAGAAAATGCCACTAAGTCTTTTTTTCTTTTTCTTTTCTTTTTTTTTTTTTTGAGACAGAGTTTCATTCTTCTTGCCCAGGCTGGAGTGCAGTGGCGCGATGTTGGCTCACTGCAACCTCCTCCTCCCAGGTTCATGCGATTCTCCTGTCTTAGCCTCCCAAGTAGCTGGGATTACAGGCGCCTGCCACCATACCTGGCTAATTTTTGTATATTTAGTAGAGAAAGGGTTTCACCATGGTGGCCAGGCTGGTCTCGAACTCCTGTCCTTAGGCAATCCGCCTGCTCGGCCTCCCAAAGTGTTGGGATTATAGGCGTGAGCCACCGCACTGGGCCACTAAGTCTTTTTTCATAAGCTTTCTCCTCATTTGTAGAGTGTGTCCTGTGGTATACCTTCAGTGTCCTGATGATGTTTTACCTTATGGCGCTTTCCAGATCTGTAACTTCAAGGATCTTTCCTTATTCATCCCTGAAAGGTTGGGAAGCTGAGGCCCAGAGAGGGAACGTGACCTGCTCATGTCCCACAGCCATTTTGAGGCTGAGCTGGGCTCTAAATAAGGCTTCTGCATTTTCTGCCACACTCACCACCACTCTTTCAGGCCCCATCCACCTCTGACCTCGGACCTTTGCTCTAACCACTTGGTTGAGGTGGGAACTGAACAGATGGGTGGGACTTGTATGGAAGAGGGGAGGTATGCTGGGCAGGGGAACAGTGAGAACAAAGACATGGAGGCTGGAATGGGTGCCATAACAGAGGTAGAAGGTGGCCCAGGCCTGGGAATGACGGTGGTGGTGGTGGTGGGGAGGGAAGGCCTGCATTCTAGACCCACAGATGATATTGATGCTGCATGACCCTGAGTAGCACCTCATAGTCCTGCCTCTCAGACCCCCAGCTCCCCTTGAAGCTCCACACACATCAAAACTAAACACGCCTCCCAGCTGAGCTCCTCCATGTTTTCTCCTAAAAACCTGCTTTTCTGTCCTGGTGAATCCAGAAACTTAAACTGGTCCTGAACACCTCCCTGCTGGTCACCCCCTACATCCAGTCTGTCGCTCCTTCCAGTGCGATTTGTCCCTTCTCTCCCACCTTATGGCCCCTGCAGGAAGCCAGTCCATCATTGTTGTCTCCTTGGATGACGTCTCGGCTTCCTCCTGGTCTCCCTGCCTTCATTCCTGGGATACACCCTTGCTATACTTAGCTGGAGTGCTTCTTCCAAATTGTGAATTCCAGTATGTCACCACCCAACAGAAAATTGGCTGGACGCTGTGGCTCATGCCTGTAATCCCAGCACTTTGGGAGGCCAAGGCAGGTGGATCACCTGAGGTCAGGAGTTCGAGACCAGCCTGGCCAACATGGTGAAACCCCATCTCTACTAAAAATACAAAAATTAGCCAGGCGTGGTGGTGGGCACCCGTAATCCCAGCTATTCGGGAGGCTGAGGCAGGAGAGTCACTTGAACCCGGGAGGTGGAGGTTGCAGTGAGCTGAGACCATGCCACTGCACTCCAGTGTGGGTGACAAAAGCAAAACTCCTTCAAAAAATAAAAAAAAAAGGCATCCATCCATTGGTTCCTCGCTGTCCATGGGCTAAATTTCTAAGTCTTCCTCATGTCCTTTGAGGCCCTTCAAAACCAGACCCTGAAGGGGTGGCCTGCCCCTCCACACCTGTGGGTGTTTCTCATCGGACTGACAAAAGAGAGAGACACAGAAACAAAGTATAGAGAAGGAAAAGTGGGCCCAGGGGACTGGTGCTCCAGAGGACCCGCGAAGGCACGGGTCTCTGAGTTCCCTCAGTATTTATTGATCATTATCTCTACCATCTCTGAGAGGGGGTTGTGGCAGGACAGTAGGGTAATAGTGGGGAGAGGGTCAGCAGGAAAACATGTGAACAAATGTCTCTGTATCATAAATAAGGTTAAGAAAAAGGTGCTGAGCTTTGATGTGCACATACATAAACATCTCAATGCATTAAAGAGCAGTATTGCCACCAGCATGTCTCACCTCCAGCCTTAAGGCGGTTTTCTCCTATCTCAGTAGATGGAACATACAATCGGGTTTTACACCGAGACATTCCATTGCCCAGGGAGGAGCAGGAGACAGATGTCTTCCTCTTATCTCAACTGCAAAGAGGCCTTCCTCTTTTACTAATCCTCCTCAGCACAGACCCTTTACAGGTGTCGGGCTGGGGGACGCTCAGGTCTTTCCCTTCCCACGAGGCCATATTTCAGACTATCACATGGGGAGAACCCTTGGACAATACCTGGCTTTCCTAGGCAGAGGTCACTGTGGCCTTCTGCAGTGTTTTGTGTCCCTGGGTACTTGAGATTAGGGAGTGGTGATGACTTTTAACAAGCATGCTGCCTTCAAGCATTTGTTTAACAAAGTGCATCCTGCATAGCCCTAAATCCATTAAACCTTGAGTCGACACAGCACATGTTTCTGTGAGCACAGGGTTGGGGGTAGGGTTACAGATTAACAGCATCTCAAGGCAGAAGAATTTTTCTTAGTACAGAACAAAATGGAGTCTGTTATGTCTACCTCTTTCTACATAGACACAGTAACAGTCTGATCTCTCTTTCTTTTCCCAACATTTTCCCCTTTTCTTTTAGACAAAAACACCATTGTCATCATGGCTTGTTCTCGATGGTCGCTGTCTCTTCGGAGCTGCTGGGTACACCTGCAGACTGGGGCCTGCCTCTGGGGAAGGATTAATATGAAATTTACAATAGTAGTACTTCCGATGGTCTTAACCCACGTGACAGGGTTAAGATTTGTGAGGCCATCAGCAACTCCCGCGATTACCTCAGTTCCTGGTACCAAATTTAAATGGGCTTTTGATGCTTCGAAAATTTGTTCTTTTAATTTGGAAATGTCTAAAGTGGGATTATCTTCTCTTCCCTGCAGATGGCGTCTAACCATGTCCCAGTGATGCTCAGACTCATTATAAACTCGGGGTGTAATACAAAAATCTGATGTATCCCAGTCACACTGTAACTGGAAACGATGTTCTAGGCTCATGAGCCTATCTCCCATCAGGATTATCCATCCATGTGACTGCCTGAATTAAGGGCGGGAAAGGCACATAGGCCCAGTAGGTATAATTAGCTGCAGCTGCTCCTGCAGGCATGGGGAGACTTACCACAGTTGATACAATCATCAAAGCTGCAAGCAGCATGTTCTCTGGAGTTTGTGTCACCTTTGTGTTCTCTAGGCTTTTTTTTTTTTAGTTAACTGTGTCAGCTTCTTTAATTGTGCCCAAGTCGGCGCCTCCACCTTCTTGGTGGATGGCAACTTCATCTGTTCTTCTGACATCACCATTCTGTTCATCTTGT
Organism: Homo sapiens; assembly: GCF_000001405.40. Classification (NCBI taxonomy): domain Eukaryota; kingdom Metazoa; phylum Chordata; class Mammalia; order Primates; family Hominidae; genus Homo; species Homo sapiens. The sequence continues at coordinate 36,490,677 of NC_000001.11, forward strand.
GAGTTGATGGTGCTTGATTGCAGTGTCTCCGTCTCCGTGGAGGCGCTTTTCTTTGCATCTCCAATGGGTTCATTGTAGAACTTCAAATGTCTAGTGGGTATCCAAACAGGAAGCTGATTTTCTCCTGGTGAAACACAAGCAAAACCTCTCCCTTACGTTACCACCTTCCCTATTTCCCATGTCTTATTTTTGTTGTCTTTCCACCAAATCAGTTTTCCTTCATATGGGCTCTTCTTTTTAGTAAGATGTTGTTCTGCAGAAGTAGTAGTCTGATTTCTATAAATGTTTAAAAAATTTAAAGTATAGAGGGCTAGATTAAGTTGCATCTGAGGAGTGGTACACTCCTTACTGTCTTCCCCTTCTTTCTGTTTAACTAATTGAGTTTTGAGTGTTCTATTAGTTCTTTCAACTATGGCCTGTCCTTGGGAATTATAGGGAATTTCTGTTGTATTTAGGTTGCAGTGAGCTGAGACTGTGCCACTGCACTCCAGTGTGGGCGACAAAAGCGAAACTCCTTCAAAAAAAAAAAAAAAGAAAATCATCCATCCATTGGTTCCTCGCTGTCCATAGGCTAAACTTCTAAGTCTTCCTCATGTCCTCTGAGGCCCTTCAAAACCAGACCCTGAATCCTTCCTCACCCTGCAGCCTCATCTCTCTCTCTTTTTTGTCCAGGTCCTAATCCCTGGAACCTGTGAATATGTCACCTTACATGTCAAAAGAACTTTGAAAATGTGATTAAGCTTAAGGATGTTGGGATGAGGAGATTATCTTGGATTATCTGGGTAGATCCAAGAGCCTCATCTCTTGATACTCCCTTTCCCAACTCCTCTTCTTCATTTTTAAAAAAATTAATTAATTTTTTATTTTTTTTGAGACAGAGTTTCGTTCTTGTTGCCCAGGCTGGAGTGCAATGGCTCAGTCTCGGTTCACTGCAACCTCTGCTTCCTGAGTTCAAGCGATTCTCCTGCCTCAGCCTCCCGAGTAGCTGGGATTACAGGCATGTGCTACCACGCCCTGGTAGTTTTGTATTTATTTATTTATTTTTTGGAGACAGAGTCTTGCTCTGTTGCCCAGGCTGGAGTGCAGAGGTGCAATCTCGGCTCATTGCAACTTCCACCTCCCGGGTTCAAGCGATTCTCCTGCCTCAGCCTCCTAAGTAGCTGGGACTACAGGCATGTGCCACCACATCCGGCTAATTTTTTGTATTTTTAGAAGGGATGGGGCTTCACCGTGTTAGCCAGGATGGTCTCGATCTCCTGACCTCGTGATCTGCCCGCCTTGGCCTCCCAAAGTGCTGGGATTACGGGTCTGAGCTACCGCGCCTGGCCCTCTTCCTCTTCATGAACCTGACACTTCAACCATTCCAGTTACTATCATCGTCTAATCATGTGCTGCTTTTTTCATGGCTCCAGGCCTCTTCTCATAGTTTCCCTCTGCTTCAGAATGTCCTTCCCTTATTTCTATGTCTGAAGAAATCTCTTTCATCCCTCAAAATCCAGCTGGCATGTCACCTCTTCTGTGAAGGCTTCCCAGATTTCCCAGGCTGCATTAGGCGTTGCTCCGAGATGCTCTGTGAAGCCTGGGATGGATCCGTTACCTCAGTACCCAACATGAGGTCTGGCATGGAGGAGGTGTCCATGAAAGGTTGCTGTACAGTTTGGATGTTGGACCTGGATTTTCAGGCCTTGGGGCCCCTGTGGCCATCCAGTTACCTACTGAGAGATCTGGAGGTCTCTTCCAACATGTGGCAGCCAGCACTGCATTCTCCTGCTTCCCTGGTGCTCAGCTGAGCAGGATTTCCTTCCTTTGATTGGTGCCCCAAAATGAGAAATGAATTAATTAGGACGTCGTTGATACCGAATACTGGTGGGCAAAACACCCCAGCCTCTCTCCCCAGGCTGCAGAGAGGCTGGGATGGCTGCCCAGATGCTCTCCCGGGGCCTGCCTCTGGGGAAGGAAGCAGAATTCTAGCTTTGAGTGGGCAGAAGAGAAGACTTCCCCTCCCTCTTATCCCCTGCTTGTGGTCTTCTGGTCAGGAGGGCCTTATCTCTGCTCTCCGGGCCTGGCCTGCCGTGGTATGGCTGGGGAGGGGCATGGTCCTGGTGGTCGGGGTGATGCGGAATCAGAGACTGAAGGGAGATGAAGCTCGTATGCTTATCTTGGCTCAGAGGAAACCTATTCCCTCTACAACCCTGTGGCAGGAGGATGGGGATGGGTGCGGGAAAGAGTCCCTAGGCCAGGCCAGTTACTGCCCTATTAGTGGGCTTCCTTGGGTGAGGGAGCTGGACCCATCTTTCTGGGGTCTGAGGCCCCCTTTCCCATCGGGCAGCTGGTTTATGTCCCCACAGCACTGGGGTGGGCAGGTGGAAGGGAGAAGACAGGGCCATTTTTCCTAAAATTCTTGCCAGGAAGAGTGGCCAAGAGAAGTCAAATGACCTGTGTAAGGACAGAGAGAGGCAAAGGCAGGTTCAGAGATTCTGGGATCAGAGCCTAAGGCCAGCATTCTCCCCTGCTTCCTGGGGAGTCTGACCTGGATCCTGAGAAGGAAGAGGAGTTTCCAGAGGTAGCCAGTCTGCTCCTTTGGTCCCATGTCCTCTGCCATTGCAGCCTGGAACCAGGGGACACAGATGGGGGCTCCTGCCCATAGATAAGCCTCTAGGTTGGGGGGCACAAGGGAGTAGAGGGATGGTGGCTTTTGCAGCCTCCTTGTGGTTATACTGTTCTTATGAGTGGTCTAGACTGCTGAGGTGAGGCTGGATGTGTTATCTCTATCACATCTCTGACCTCCCAGGCTATTCTATGTTTCCTGGAATGTCCAGTTTATTCAATTCATGCACTTATTTATTTACCCACTCCCGTGCCCCATGAGCTCTTCTTTCTATTCACCCTCTCACTCACCCATTTATTCACCCATCTACTTACCCATTCATTCATCTATGCACCTACCCATCCATCCATCCGTCCGTCTGTCTGTCCATCTGTCTGTCCATCCATCTGTCCGTCCGTCCGTCCATCCATCCTTCCATCCAACCATCTAACTATCAACTCAGTCATCCATCCATCATCTACGCATCCATCTGTCCATCCGTATATCTATCCACCCTACCATCCATCCATTCACCCACTAATTCATCCATTTATTATCCATGCATCCATCTGTCCATAAGTCTATCCGTCCACCCACCACTTATCCATCCATCCATTTACCCATCATACTCATCCATTCATTCATCCAGCCACCACCCATGCACTCACCTATCCACCCATTCAGTCATTAATCCAGTAAAAAATTTTGAGCACCTACTACCAATCAGGCCCTGCACTTGGACCTTAGGGTAGTGTGTAAATAAAACCCCAGGCTGTAATGGTCTGTGGCAAGCAAACTTTCTCACAGGACCTCTGAATGCCTGCCATCCCTAAGGATACCACACTATCACCCTGCAGCCCTTATGAATGGAGGCAGCTCCTTCTCCCAAACTCCAGGAACCAGAAATGACAGGATCCAGAAATGTGGTTGGATTTCCTCTTGATTCCAGATGTGTTACATGCAGATGTGACTCCAGTATCCTCATTTAAGGCTCTTGCTCTATGAAGCTGCACCACCTTCTACGACTCCCCATCACCCTCCTGCTGGCCTCCAGTTACTTGGCTTCTGTCTTTTTTTTTTCAGATGGAGTTTTGCTCTTGTCACCAAGGCTGGAGTGCAGTGGCACGATCTCATCTCACTGCTACCTCCGCCTCCCGGGCTCAAGTGATTCTCCTGCCTCAGCCTCCCGAGTAGCTGGGATTACAGGTGCCTGCCACCATGCCTGGCTAATTTTTGTATTTTTGGTAGAGATGGGGTTTCACCATGTTGGCCAGGCTGGTCTCAAACTCCTTACCTCAGGTGATCCACCCGTCTCGGCCTCCCAGAGGGCTAGGATTACAGGCGTGAGCCATGGCACCCGGTTGGCTTCTGTCTCTTGACATGAGTAGCCCCTCACAGTCTTTCTCTCTACTCCCATCCTGCCACCATCTGGGGGAACTTTACTGGCCACAAGTGTGCTGTGCTGACCCACTGGTTTTCAATTCCTTGACTGGGTTATCTCTAAGGGCTTTTCCATTTTAGACACCCAATATCTTGTTTACATCATGGACCTTGCCATCACCTGGATCTGCTCAACCTCTAGAACCTTCCACTCCAACACCTCCTCTTTGTCCATGGGCCTCCCTCCGTCCATCTCTCACCCCCTCACCCCCACAGCTCCTGCTCTCTAAACTCGGAGAGGCCTCCAGGCTCTGCTCCCTCTATTTCCTCATCTATCACCTCCTCCTCACTTCCCTTCCTTTCTCTCCCCCTCGGGATCCCGGCATTAATTCACTGAAGATTCTCTTACCTGTGCTCCAGGATTTGTGCAGTCCTGTCCATCCATCTCCCCGCCCAGCAGAGCTTCACGGGTTGGATTATTTCTTTTTGGACTGGGTCTCATCCTGTCACCTAGGCTGGGGTGCAGTGGCACAAACATGGTTCCTTGTAGCTTCGACCTCCCTGGCTCAAGTGATCCTCCCACCTCAGACTCCTGAGTAGCTGGGACCTCAGGCACACACCACCAAGCTTGGCTAAATTAAAAAAATTTTTTTTTGGAGAGATGGGGTCTGGCCATGTTCCCCAGGCTGGTCTTAAACTCCTGGACTCAAGCAATCCTCCTACCTTGGCCTCCCAAAGTGCTGGGATTACAGGTGTGAACCATCTTGCCTGGCCTGGATTGGATTCTTAAGGTAAACTTTTTATTGACAAATGATGTATATACACCATTGTAAAATTCTAATTGCAATTTTTAACCTTACCATAAGTGTATATAACTATATACACATATGATTTTAAGTGCTTAATTTTGACATAACTGAGGTTTATATAAAATTTGCAAGGGCTGGGTGCAGTGGCTCATGCCTGTAATCCCAGCACTTTGGGAGGCTGAGGCGGGTGGATCACGAGGTCAGGAGATTGAGACCATCCTGGCTAACATGGTGAAACCCTGTCTCTACCAAAAAATATAAAAAATTAGCCAGGCATGGTGGTGGGCGCCTGTAGTCCCAGCTACTCGGGAGGCTGAGGCAGGAGAATGGCGTGAACCCAGGAGGCGGAGCTTGCAGTGAGCTGAGATCGTGCCACTGCACTCCAGCCTGGGCGACAGAGCAAGACTCCGTCTCAACAACAACAACAAAAAAATTGCAAGACTAGTGGGAGAAAACTCCTGTATACCCCTCACCCAAATCCTTAAAATGTTACCAACATTGCATCAAATTTGCTTTCTCTCTTTCTGTGTGTGTGTATACACGCGTTCACAGGTATACACTGTGAACTGTTTTTTTCTGAACTGTTTGAGAGTAAGTTGTATGTGTGATCTTCCTTTACTCCAAGTTCTTCCATTGCGTGTTTCCTAAAAAACAAGGACATCATCTTACATATGACCACAGTACAGAAGTTACCACTGCTACAATATTACTAGCTGATCTACGGATTTTATTCAGATTTCAGATCTTATTCAGATTGTCCTAGATATAGATTTTAAAATGTATTATGTAACATTTGATATGTAAGAATGCTTGAAAACGATGAAATGTAATAATAAAATGGTCATCTGTCAACCAATCACCAAACTTAAGATCTAGAACAAGGTCAAGAAACTACGGTCTGCAGGCTAAATCCAGCCCACTGCCTGGTATTGTGGCACAGTCACATCCATTCATTTACACCTTGTTTATGGCTGTTTTGGAGGTACAAAGCTGCAGAGTTGAGTAGCTGTGACAGAGACCTTATGTTCCATAAAACTAAATCATTTACCACCTGACCCTTTACAAAAAAGTTTGCCAACCTCTGGTCTAGAGCAGAGCTGTCCAGTAGAACTTTCTGTGTGATGGAAATATTCTATAAATCTGTGCTGTCCGATACGGTAGCCACTAGCCACATGTGATTAGCATTTGAAATGTACTAGTGTGTCTGAGGAACTGAGTTTTATTTTTTTAATTGTTTAAAAAATTAAAAAAAATTTTTTTATATTTATAAAATAGAGACGGGGGTCTCACTGTCTTGTCCAGGCTGGTCTTGAACTCCTGAGCTCAAGCAATCTTCCTGCCTTGGCCTTCCAAAGTGCTGGGATTATAGGCATGGGCCACCATGCCTGGCCCTGAATTTTAAATTGTATTTAATTTTAATTAATTTAGATTAATTAATTGACTAATTAATTATTTTTTTTGAGACAGGGTTGAGCTCTGTCCTCCAGGCTGGAGGGTAGTGGCGCCATCATGGCTCACTGCAGCCTTGACCTCTCAGGCTCAATTGATCCTCCTACCTCAGCCTGTAGTAGCTGGGACTACAGGCATGTGCCACCATGCCCAGCTAATTTTTGTATTTTTTGTAGAGATGAGGTTTCACCCTGTTGCCCAGACTGGTCTTGAACTCCTTGACTCAAGTGATCCTCCCACCTTGGCCTCCCCAAGTGCTGGGATTACACATGTGAGTCACCGTACCTGGCCAATTAATGTAAATTTAAGTCAAAATGTCTACATGTGGCTAATGCTATCATATTGGAAAGCATAGTTCTAGAATGTCACTTGTATCTTTTCATCCACTCGTAAACTCCTTCCTATTGTACTTCCCTGTCTCCTCACTCCCAGAGACAACAACAATGGATTGTGTTTATCATTCCATTTCTATTGCAACATATAATTATCACATTTGGTTTTGAACTTTATAAAAATGCTATCATTCTGTACGTAGTGTTTTGCAACTTGCATTTTTTCATTCTGACTTACATTTCTGCCATCTTGTGATGGGTAATTGAAGCTTACTCACATTTCTTCCCTGTATGGTTCACTGTGTACCTATACCAAAATATAGTTTTACCCATTTTCTGTTAATGCCTGTTGGGATGGTTTTCATTTTTTGTTACTGGGGACATTCTTGTACATTTTTTTCTGGTGTCATAAGTTCATGAGTTTCTTTAGAAGAAGAATTGCTGGGCAAGTAGAATATCAAATGTTCAGACTTACAAATGGTATCATCTTGTTTTCCAAGATGTTTGTTTATGCTTATTTATGTTCCCACCAAGCAGGGTATAAAAGTTCCTATTGATCCGGATCTTTACCAACCATTGGTGGTGTCAGCGCCTTCTTCATTTTGCCAACTTATTGGGTGTAAAATTGTATCTCGTGTTGTCGTAATTTGCAGTTTTCAGATTATTAATGAAGTTGATCTTCTTTTCATGTGTTGATTGGTCTTTTGTGTCCCGCTTCTGAGAAATGCTCTTGTTCATGTCTTTTGCTCATGTTTTCAGCTGGGCTGTCAGCTGTGTATGTTGCAAATAACTACTCCCAGTTGGTGGCTTGCCTTTTCATTTTCTTTATTATGTCTTGACAGAGAAAATTGCTTAGTTTTAATGTAATTGAGTTTATGAATATATTCTTTATGGTTGGTACTTTTTATCTTGTTGAAGAAAGCCTTTCCTATTCTGAGGTCATAAAGATATTCTTCTATATTTTCTTTTATGAGTTTAAAAGTTTTGCCTTTCCTGTTTGTTTTGAATCCACCTGGAATAGATATCACTTATGATTTGGTGAATGGATTCGATTTTATGCTTTTCTGTGTAGATATTGAACAATTCATTTATTGAATAGCTCTTCCCTTCCCCAGTGATCTGCAGTGCTACCTCTGTGTCATATATCACATTTCCATATATTTGTGGCTCATTTTGAGGCTCTTCATTCTATTCCATTGGTCTACTTCATCATCCCTGTGTCAATCTCATTCTGTCTCAATTACATTACATTTATAAGTCTTGATATCTGATAGGGCATGCTATCCCACCTTGTTTTTCTCCCCAGTTTTGCCTATTCTTGTGCCTTTGCTCTCCCTAAGGTATTTTAGAATTAGCTTGTCAGGATCCACACAAATTCTGTTGTGATTTTGATTGGAGTTGCATTGATTTTATAGATCAATTTAGAGGAAATAGATATATCCAAATACTGAGTCTCCTTATTCATGAAGGATTTTTAAAAGTTATTATTTATTGTCTCTATTTATTTTTTCTTTTTTTGAGATGGGGTTTGCTCTGTCGCCCAGGCTGGAGTGTAGTGGCATAATCACAGCTCACTGCAGCTTAGAGATGAGGTCTCGCTATGTTGCCCAGGCTGGTCTCCAACTCCTGAGCTCAAGTGATCCACCCTCTTTGTCGTCCCAAAGTGCTGGGATTACAGGCAGGAGATATTGCACCCAGCTGTGTCTTTAACGTTTATAATTCTTTCCATCCAGGTCTCACATATCTTTTGTTAGCTTTATTCCTGGTTACCTTATTTTTTGTTGAAATTGTAGATGATATGTATTTTTAAAATGCATCTCTTAAATATAATTGCTTTAACTAAAGGTATTTTTCTCCTTTCCTCTTATATATTGTTTTTAAAATCTAGCGACTTTGTTAAATCTCTTATTCTAACATTTTATTTGTAGATTTTGGGGTTTTTCTATTTCTTTCTTTCTTTTTTTTTTTGAGATGGAGTCTCGCTTTGTTGCCCAGGCTGGAGTGCAGTGGCACGAAATTGGCTCACTGCAACCTCTGCCTCCCAGGTTCAACCAATTCTCCTGCCTCAACCTTCCAAGTAGCTGGGATTACAGGCGCCCACCACCATGTCTGGCTAATTTTTGTATTTTTAGTAGAGATGGGGTTTCATCATGTTGGCCAGGCTAGTCTCGAACTCCTGACCTCAGATGATCCGCCTGCCTCGGCCTCCCAAAGTGCTAGGATTATAGGCATGAGCCATCACGCCTGGCCTGATTTTGGGGTTTTCTAGGTAAATAAACATAGAATCCATGAATGATGCACATTTTTTCCCTTCCAACCTTTATATGTTTTATTTCATTTTTTTTTTTTTTAGTTTCACTGCATTGGCTAGAACTACCAGTCTGGCTTTGAAGAGAAGCAGCAGTGGTGAGCATCTTTGCCTTTTCGTTATTTTAAAGGGAATGATAATGTTTCCCATTAAGAATAAAGTTTTCAAGCTGGGCATGGTGGCTCATGCCTGTAATCCCAGCAGTTTGGGAGGTTGAGGTGGGAGGATAGCTTGAGTTCAGGAGTTCAAGACCAGCCTAGCCAATACAGCAAGGCCTCATCTCTACTAAAAATAAAAAAATTAGATGGGTGTGGTGGTGTGTGCCTGTAGTCCCAGCCCCCACTCTGGAGGCTGAGTCAGGGGGATTGCTGGAGCCCAGGAGATGGAGGTTGCAGTGAGCTGTGATCACGCCACTGCACTCCAGCTGGGTGACAGAGTGAGGCACTGTCTCAAAAAAAAAAAGACATTTTCCTTCTATTCTTAGTTTTCCAGGAGTTTTAAAAAAAAAATCATGAAGGTTAAATCATATAAAATACTTCTTCATCTATTAAAATGACAGTTAATAATGTATTGCACATTTCAAAATTGCTAAGAGAGTAAATTTTCAATGTTCTCACTACAATAAATGATATGTATTTAAGGTGATAGATATGTTAATTAGCTTGATTTAATTATTCCACATTATATTTATAAATCATAATATCAGTTTGTACTCCATAAATATATACCATTATAAGTTGTCAATTTACAATAAAACATTTAAAAATTTTTTAAAAAGAAAAAATAATGTAGTGTTTCTCATGTAGTCTGTTAATGTGATGAGTACATTTATAGCTTTATAATATTGAAACTTCCTTGCAGTTCTAGGATACACCCAACTTAGCCATAAAATATTGTCATTTTTATGTACTGGTGGATTCAAGTTGATATTATCTTGTTTAAGACTTTGGTGTCTATGCTATTGAGTGAAATTGGCCTGTAATTTTTCCTTTCTCACACTCTCTTTGTTAGATTTTGGAATCTAGGTTGTACTGTCCTCATGGAAGGGGCTGGGGAGTGCTCTGTCTTTTTCTATTCTCTGTAAGGGCTTTTTAAGTTGGAATGATCTGTGCCTTGATACACAGTTGATCACAGTATTTCACTTTCTATCTTTCTAGTATCTTCTGTATCTGTAAATATGTTGCCTCAAAATTTTTTAATAAGAATTTTTGGTGACTTCTCTCTTTTATTTTCCATCAATCTTGCCAGAGGTCTGTCTTTTATTAGCCTTTTTGAGAAACCAATTTTTGACTTTGTTGTGTGTGTACATTTTTTTTTTTTTTTACTGCACCTTCACTTTGATGTAATTAATTTTTCTTCTTAGTTTTATTATTACTTCCTGTGGACTTATTTTATGGTTCTTTTTATAAGCTCTTAAGTTGGGGCTTCATTTATTAATTTTTGGGCTAAACTTTCAAGGCTCTATATTTTGTTAGAAGTGCTGCTTTGGCTCTCTCTGTTTCGATAAGCACTGTTTTCTTTCTCTCTTTCTTTTTTTTTTTTTTTCTTTTGAGACGGAGTTTCACTCTGGTTGCCCAGGCTGGAGTGCAATGGCGTGATCTCGGCTCACCGCAACCTCTGCCTCCCTGGTTCAAGCGATTCTCTTGTCTCAGCCTCCTGAGTAGCTGGGATTACAGGTGCCCACCACCATGCCCAGCTAATTTTGTATTTTTAGTAGAGACAGGTTTTCTCCACGTTGGTCAGGCTGGTCTCGAACTCCCGACCTCAGGTGATCTGCCCACCTCAGCCTTCCAGAGTGCTGGATTATAGGCATGAGTCACCGTGTCTGGCCGATTAGCACTGTTTCCATTATCATTCTGCTTTAAGTGCCTTAAAATATATAGTTATTTCTTTGACTTATGAATTACTCAGAAGAAAGCTTTAAAGTTTTCAAATGTATGTGAATTTTAAATTTATCTGTTTCTCACTGAGTTCTAATTTAAATGCAGCACAGTTAGAGAAAATGATGTGTGTGATGATGATTCTTTGGAATTGAGTCTTGCTTGATAACCTAGTACATGGTCAATTAAAATAATTTTTATAATCTCAGTATTTTGGGAAGCAGAGGTGGGAGAATCCCATGAGACCAGGAGTTTGAGACCAGCCTGGGCAACATAGTGAGACCCTGGCCAGGCATGGTGGCTCATGCCTGTAATCTCAGCTCTTTGGGAGGCTGAGGTGGGCGAATCACGAGGTCAGGAGTTCAAGACCAGTCTGCTGAAACCCCGTCTCTACTAAAAATATGAAAATGAGCCGGGCGTGGTGGTGCGTGCCTGTAATCCCAGCTATCCGGGAGGCTGAGGCGGGAGAATTGCTTGAACCCAGAAGGCGGAGGTTGCAGTGAGCTGAGATCACACCATTGCACTCCAGCCTGGGCGACAGAGGGAGACTCAGTCTCAAAAACAAAAACAAAAACAAAAACAAAAACAAAAACAAAAACAAAAACATAGTGAGACCCTGTCTCTAAAAAAAAATTAGCTGGGCATGGTGGTATGTGCCTGTAGTCCCAGCCACTGGAGAGGCTGAGGTGGGAGGATTGCTTGAGCCCAAGAGTTCAAGGTTACAGCGATCTATGATTGTGCCACTGTACTCCAGCCTGAGCGACATAATGAGACTCTGTCTCTGAGAAAAAAAAAATTAAAAAAATTAAAAAAAATGTGTGCTTGAGAAGTTTAGTCTCTAGATGCAGCGTTCCATAAACTTCCATTCCACCTTGCTTGCTATATATTATTCAAATCCTGCTTGACTAATTTTCTGTCTGCTTGACCTGCCAGTTATGGAGACGTGAGTCTTCAAATCTCTCTCCATGAGGGTGGGTTTTGTATTTTCCCTGCAGTCTCATCAACTGCTGATTTATAATTTTTGAGGCTACTTTACATGTAGATTAAGAATTGTGTCTTCCAGAAAAAGCTAACTTTTCTATCCCTTTTAAGATGCTTTGCATCTTAAAGTCTGTTTTTCTTCTGATTTTAGTGTAGCTCTCCCAGCTTTCTTTTTTAAAAAATGTCGTAAATTTTTTTTAGAGACAGGATCTCGCTCGCTCTGTCACCCAGGCTGGAGTGCAGTGGTGTGATCATGGCTTACTGCAGCCTCAAACTCCTTGGCTCAAATAACCCTTCCACCTCAGCCTCCTGAGTAGGTGGAACTATAGACACACACCACCATGCCTGCTAATTATTTTTTATTGTAGAGATGGGGGTCTTGCTATGTTGCCCAGGCTGACCTCAAACTCCTGGCCTCAAGCAATTCTCCCACCTCATCCTCCCAAAGTGCTGAGATTACAAGTGTAAGCCACTGCATTCGGCCTCCAGCTTTCTTTTGATTAGTGTTTGTGTGGTCTTTCAATCTATCTCCTTATGTTTCAGTGTTTTAGATATGCCACCATATGCAGCATAGAGCTGGATTCTAAAAAATCCAATCTAACAATATGTATTTTAAATAGCACACATAGACTTTTAGTTTATTGTGATTATAGATACATCTCGAGTTATTTTTGTTATCTTTCTTATCCTATTCCCCCTCCCCCTATTCTTTCTCTTCCTACTGGTTCTTCCTTTGGATTTATTGAGTTTGTTTATTTTCTTACTCTATGCTTTTCTACCTCCTTTATTGATTTGGAATTTATATACCCTACTTGTATATTTCTATTGAAATAGATAGATTGCTTCTATATTTCTGTTGAAATAGATAGATTCTATTGATTGCTTTTGAAATTCTATCCTGCATACCTAAAGAAATCTCAGATTATGAGTTTCTCAACCACCTTCCTAAATAATAGACTGAACTTTGAACCCTTTGGCTGTGATCTTCCCCTACAGGTTTACATACTCTCTTTTTGGTGCAGTTTTTGAATTATTTCCTTACTGTTCCCGTCTGTTGTCATTATTTTATATAATATTTGTATAGATTTATTTGTTTATCAATTTCTTTGCTTACTATTCTTTTGTGCATACCAGTCCTTCCTTCTGGGGTAATTTCCCTTTTTCTTGTAGCATATTCTTCAGTAAAGATTTGTTGTTGGTAAATGCTTTTTGCTTTTCTTTCTCTGAAAAAAATCCAGATGTTTCCATTTCACCGTCAGCTTTGGAAGATGGTTTTGCTAAGTTCACAATTCTAGGTTGACAGTTATTTTCTCCCAGAACTTTGAAGCTCGTCCCTGTCTTCTGGCTTTCACTGTTGCTTTTGAGAGGTGTGCTGTCATTTAATTATCCTTCCTTTGTGGGTGGCATGTCTTTTCTGTGTGGCTGCTTTTAAGATCTCTGTCTTTGGTGTTATGCAGTTTCTCCACACTGTGATTAGCTGTGAATTTCCTTTTATTTATGTTGTTAGATGTATGTTACGTTCCCAGTGTCTGTGAAGTCATGCCTTTCATCAGTTCTGGAAAGTTCTCAGCCATTATCTCTTCAAATATTGCCTCTCCCTCTTTCTCTCTCTATCCTCTTTCTGGGACTTTTATTCTACCTGCTATTGCTTTTAACCTGTCTTTCATATTGTCCATTTGCTTGTCTCTGTGCTGAAAATTGTGTAATGTCTTCAGATTAATCTTCCAGCTCACTCTGTCTCATCAACTGTGTCTAATATGCTGTTTAACCCATTTGTTGAATTTTTGGTTTCAACAAGTTATTTCATTTCTAAAAGTTCTCTGCTGTTCTTTTCCAGATCTATTTTTAAAAATTATCTCTTGTGATTTGATCACTTTTGTGATTTCATTTTTTATTTCTTTAAAATCTTCAATTATAGTTATTTCATTTACTGTAATTATGATAATTACAATTTCTGTTATCCTTAGGGATCTATATCTACTGTATGTTATTTCTGCTAACAATTGCCTCTTGTGTGTTTGGTGATTTTTTTTTTAATTGTGGATTTATATGTATAGTTGGTCCTCTGTATCTGTGGGTTCTGCATCTTGGATTTAACCCATCGAGGATGGAAAATACTTGGAAAAAAAATTCCGCTAAGTTCCAAAAAGCAAAACTTGAACTTGCTGTGTGCCAAGTACTATTTTCCTGTGTGCCAAGTACTATTTTGAATCCATTAGAACAAAGTGATGTGTATGCATTGTATTAGGTATTATAAGTAACCTAGAGATAATTTAAAGTATATGAGAGGGTGTGTGTATGTTATATGCAAATACTATGGTGTTTTGTTCTGTTTTGAGACAGACTCTCACTCTGTCTCCCATGCTGGAGTGCAGTGACACAATACAGTTGCTCACTGTAGCCTCCACCTCCCAGGCTCAAGTGATCCTCCCACATCAGCCTCCCAAGTAGCTGGGACTACAGGGGCACAGGTGCACACCACCACATCCAGCTAATTTTAAATTTCTTCTTATGTATGTATGTATGTATTTATTTATTTTGTATTTTTAGTAGAGACGGGGTTTCACCATGTTAGCCAGGATGGTCTTGATCTCCTGACCTCCTGATCCACCCGCCTCGGCCTCCCAAAGTGTTGGGATTACAGGCATGAGCCACTGCGCCTGGTCTAATTTCTTTTTAGAGATGGGGGTCTCACGATGTTGTCCAGTCTAGTCTGGAGCCCCTGAGCCCAATCATCCTTTCACCTCGGCCTCCCAAAATGCTAGGATTACAGGCATAAGCCACCATGCCTACCCCACTGTCACTTAAGATAAGGGACGTGAATATCCACAGATTTTGGTATCTGTAGAGGTCCTGGAACCAATTCCCCATGGATACCAAGGGATAACTGTATATTCTTTGGCAATCTTGAGTGCCTAAGTTGGGGATGCTATCCTTCAGAGAGGCTTTGTTTGCTGCCTGGTGCTATGTTGTGGGTAGCAATAATAGTGCTTATTATATAGGATTGTTAGAAATATTAAATAGGGCTGGGCATGATGGCTGACTCCTGTAATCCAAGCACTTTGGGAGGCCGAGGAGGGCAGATCATTTGCACTCAGGAGCTCAAGACCAGCCTGGCCAACATGGTGAAACCCCATCTCTTACTAAAAATACAAAAATTAGCCGGGTGTGGTGGTGCACACCTGTAATCCCAGCTACTCAGGAGGCTGAGGCATGAGAATTGCTTGAGCCTGGGAGGTGGAGGTTGCAGTGAGCCGAGATTGTACCACAGCACTGCAGCCTGGACGGCAGAGAGAGACTCTGTCCCCCGCCCAAAAAAAAGAAACAATAAATGAGATACTAGATGCGAAGCACTCAGCTCGATGCCTGACACATAGTAGCTGCTCAAAAAATATGTTTTTTTTTTCCTGTTAAGGATTGAATTATTTGAGGTTAGGAGCCCTGTTATTTTTTATTTTATTTGTTGAGATGGAGTTTCACTCTTGTCACCTAGGCTGGAGTGCAATGGCGCAGTCTCAGCTCACTACAACCTCCGCCTCCCTGGGTTCAAGTGATTTTCCCACCTCAGCCTCCCGAGTAGCCAGGATTACAGACACATGCCACCACGCCTTGCTAATTTTTGTATTTTTAGTAGAGACCAGGTTTCACCATGTTGGCCAGGCTGGTCTCAAACTCCTGACCACAGGTGATCCACCCACCTCGGCCTCCCAAAGTGCAGGGATTCCAGGCGTGAGCCACTGCGCCTGGCCAGAATTCTGTGTTATTTATTTCACTGGTCTCCATTCCACCCAGTGCAACACCTGGCACAAAGGGACCCTTAATAGAGATCTGATAAGTGAATGTGTACATGACATCTCACTTTTCCAAACAGAACTACCCTTCTTGGAGCATTTCTAGTTTCCATAGCCTGGGGTTCTGCAGCCCCCACCCCGCCCCTGGAAGTATTTTGAAAGCTGTCAGAAGACCAACTACAGTTGTCTATTCTCAAAAGATAAAATCTAGCCAAGAGCTGAAACATGTAGAGAAAATTCTAGCTTTTCTGAGCTCTAGCCAACAGGCAGTCCATATGCTGGGGTCCCTGAGTCTGTTATCTCCAAGCTCGCCTGACACAGTGCCTACCCTGTGCTTACACTGAAAATTCTCCATCTGTTCTTTTTGTCAAATTGTTTAGAAGATTTAGAAGATTTTATGATGTCACACCATGTCCCGATATGAAGCCCCATGTGAGAAGCCTCTTTCAGAATTTGTTCCTGGAAATATTTGTCCCTGTGGAGGAACTGATCTGCTTCCTCTTTTCTGATAGTAAGAGTGTTTCAGTTTTTGCCCCGGCTGCCAGGAAGCTCAAGTCCAAATTTCCAGATTAATCACAGCATCTATGGCAACCCTTAAGATTGCTATTTTTTCTCTTGAGCAATAAGAATCCATTGAATGAACGAATCTTTCCTATTATAATGCCATTTCATGTCCTTTTGGGAAAAAGATGAAGCATACATATTTTTCAAAATTATGACAACAGCATGGTCAATGGAAGCCATGTAGGATACTATTGAGAGCTGCAGCTCTGGAGCCAGAATGACTGTGTGCAAATCCTAGCTCTGCCTTTCACTCACTTAGGGCTTGTGTGCAAGTGTCTGGTGGAGCCCCAGCCCTTCAGCTAATGTACCAGGGAGCAAGTAACTAGTTGCAGCCCCCTCTGGGCCTCAGTACCTTTATAAAATGAGTTCTTAGAATTCTGAAGTGAAGCAAAGGATGTTAAAGACAAAGAGAAAGCCTTTGGTGAGGAGCAGGTGACTTAGGCAAGAGCCATTTCTGGGCACGGAAGGGGAGGAATCAGGGGTCACAGGTGCTGACCTCATGGGGCAGGGGAGGGAGGGGAAGGGGAGGCAGAGAGAAAGTCCAGAGCTCCTGCTAGACAGGGTGTGGGGAGTGGGCATTTGGAGTGAGTTGCCCCTCCCAGCCTGTGCCCTTCAGCCCTCCTGGAACTCCTGGCTGGGCCACTGTTTCTTGCTGGGGGTGGATAATGGAGAGTCAGTCACTCCTCATCTGGCCTTGGGTTTGGTTTTTGATTTTGCTACAGCTGCACCAACGGCTCTTTCAGTGGTGTGGCCAAGATATGTGGGGGTGGTGGAGGGGATGGACTTGGGGGGACAGGTACATGGAAAGGTAGAAGGCAGTCACTGCCCTTGAGGGCAGTCTGCAGTCTCACTGGGCAACCCAAGGCAGTCTCTGGAGGGACCAAGCAACAGACACCATAGGCTGAGTCCCTAGGTGCCCTCAGGATTTGGAGGAGACGGGCAGCTAAGCAAAGCTGGCTTTTTGAAGGAAGGCTTCTGGTACAGGTGGGAGAGGATGTGGGGCAGTAGAACAGAGGGGAGTGGTCCACGCCAGGCTCAGAGGGGACAAAAAAGCTGTGGTGATGGGGTAGGTGATTTGTTTCAGGGGCAGTTTGGGGTGTGGTCCCTGCTCCCTGAATGTGTGGCCCAGAGTAGGTGCCCTTCGAACCTGCTGAGCACTGAGATGGAGGACTGTGAACCCCATTTGGTAGGGGTTCATTTAGAAAGATTGCTGGTATTGGGGAGGGCAAGTTGAGGACTGACAGAGAGAGCGAGGCCTACATCATTCTGCTCCTGTTTCAACAGTCCCTCCCCTATTGCCAGTGCCCCAGCGGAGGGGCTCAGTCCCATGCCCCAGACCTTCCAATGGCTCCCCATGGCTGCAAGCTCTTCATGGTCTGATGGTGGATGGGGATCTAGAGAAACCAGGAAGACCAGCATGGGACACTCCTCTGACTGGCAGCCTGGTGGGGTGGGAGTGGTGGGGGGTGGTGGAGTAACTCTGAGAAATCGAGAATGGGATTAGGAGTCCCTTTGGGCCCAAGCCTGGTACTGAGAAGGCAGAATTTTTCTAACAGGTGACATGTGGGGGAACAAAACCATCAGAGAGGTCCTTGCTGGGGCAGAGATTGGGCGCTCCAGGGCAAGACACAGGGGAGAAGAAAAAGAGCTGGGTGTCAGAGTGGATCTGAGCAGTGTGAGCCACTGCACTGCAGAAAGACAGTGAGGGGGAGCGTGGGGCAGGGTGTGTAACATGAGGAGGACTTCACCTGCCCAGAGAATTGTGGGGGCAGGGATAACATAGGAGCTCAGAGTCCTCTGTTACCCTGCTGTCTGGAATTTTCCATAATAAAAAGTTTTTTGAAAAGAAGAGCGCACATTTTGCTACAATCACTGTCATTATTTCTAGGCCACTGAGATGTTCCATCAGCCTCCAGAATGTCCCGGGGGAGCCCCCTGCAGCATCTTGGTAGCCTGTCTGCCCTAGACAGGGTCCAGGTGGCCTCCCCTGGAACTGGAGTGATGCTTCTTGAAAAATGTTTTCTTGGGATGGAGAAGGCCTTTCTAAGCAAGGCACAAACTCAGAAGCCATAAAGGAAAGTACTTTCAGGTTTGACCTCATAAAAATAAAAATCTTCAATAAGACAAATAACACCATAAACAAAGTTAAAAGACAAGCAACAGACTAGGAGTTGAAGGGTAAAAAAGAAAATAGCCTCAATATTCCCCACAAACATCTCTCCGTATGAGGAGAGAAGTCAAGAGGAATAATTCCTCTGAGGGAGGTCTTGGTGCAGTGGTGTCTCCACTGGAACAACTATGAATTAATACAACAAAACTTCCTCTATCAGCCAGAAATGAAATCACCCTTTTTAGGTGGACCACCTGCATTAGTCAGTTTTCACACTGCTGATAAAGACATACCCAAGACTGGGTAATTTATAAAGAAAAAGAGATTTAATGGACTCACAGTTCCACCTGGCTGGGGAGGCTTCACAATCATGGTGGAAGGCAAAAGGCACGTCTTACATGGCAGCAGGCAGAGACAGAATGAGAGCCAAGCGAAAGGGGTTTCCCCTTATAAAATCATCAGATCTCGTGAGACTTTTTTTTTTTTTTAAGACGGAGTCTTGCTCTGTCGCCCAGGCTGGAGTGCAGTGGCACGATCTTGGCTCACTGCAAGCTCCACCTCCCGGGTTCATGCCATTCTCCTCCCTCAGCCTCCTGAGTAGCTGGGACTACAGGCGCCTGCCACCGTGCCCGGCTAATTTTTTTTTGTATTTTTAGTAGAGATGGGGTTTCACCATGGTCTCGATCCCCTGACCTCGTGATCCACCCGCCTCGGCCTCCCAAAGTGCTGGGATTACAGGCGTGAGCCACTGCACCCGGCCAAATTTTTTTTTTGTGCTTTTAGTAGAGATGGGGTTTCATCGTGTTAGCCAGGATGGTCTCGATCTCTTGACCTCGTGATCTGCCCACCTCGGCCTCCCAAAGTGCTGGGATTACAGGCGTGAGCCACTGCGCCCAGCCCAGAGACTTACTACCGTTGAACAGTATGGGAGAAACTGCCTCCACGATTCAGTTATCTCCCACTGGGTCCCTCCCACAACACGTGGGAATTATGAGAGCTACAACTTAAGATGAGATTTTGGTGGAGACACAGCCAGACTGTATCACCACCTCAACAGGGAAGAGTTTGTAGTTCATTTTTCATGGCTTCCCATTTAACAGATTCCTGGGTAGGTTTATGGGGCCAATAGCCTGACACACCTCACATAGAGCCCTGCAATTCACTAAGTGGCTAGTACCTCCTGCCACAAGCTAGTTCCAGTGGAGAGTTTGCACGTCTCTACTCCCTCCCAGACATGATTCTCGTTAGTTGATTCCCTGCCACCAGCACAACATGAATAATGCCATCCCCACTGCCTGCCCATCTTCTAGTGATCAAAAGCCCAGCTTGAAGGAAGCAAGGAGGATGGTTCCATGCAGGGGACACTATGGGCAGGAGAAGGGGTGGTGGCAAGATGTGCACATTCATGGTCATTTGGATGGCCCTCGGGATCCTCAGGTGCCCTAACAGCCCAACTGTGGCACCTGTGATGGATACAGTGATCCTCCCCTCCAGCCACCCTGCCAAGTGGCCGCTGATACCCTTAGGGTATGAGTGCCTGGCGAGTCCTGCCAGGCTGTCCTCTAGGGAGGCCAAAGAGCTTAAGCAGCAGGGACTTGACACATGCAGACAGCGTGGATTCCACTCAAGTGAGGACTAGAAGGATGGAAGGGTGATGGTTCCACTCACTTCACGGGCATACTGGAACTGAGGGTTCTTAGGTCCAGCAAGCTCCTGGGCTGTCAAACATGTCAGTGTAGGCTCGGGAATGGGGGCGCCACCGCTCTGTCCTGCTGGACTCATTCACAGGCCACTTATGGAATCCCCAGGGTAAATGGGGCTCTTGAAAGAGTGAGAGTTGGCTGGGCACGGTGGCTCATGCCTGTAATCCCTGCACTTTGGGAGGCCGAGGTGGGTGGATCACCTGTGGTCAGGAGTTTGAGACTAGCCTGGCCAACATGGTGAAACCCTGTCTCTACTAAAAATACAAAAATTAGCCGGGTGTGATAGAGGATGCTTGTAATCCCAGCTACTCAGGAGGCTGAGGCAGGAGAATTGCTTGAACCTGGGAGGTGGAGATTGCCATGAGCCAAGATCGTGCCATTTGCACTCCAGCCTGGGCAAGAAGAGAGAAACTCTGTCTCAAAAAAAAAAAAAAAAAAAAAAAAAGAAAGAGCGAGAGTTTCAGGAGTGGTCAGACAGCAGCTGCTCAGAGCTGCCAGACCCCCTCGTGCTCCCATCTGTTCTCAGTGTGCGGATCAAAGGGAGGAGGGACAGGGGCCCTGCTAGAAGGCTCAGGACCCTCCTTAGGTGCACTGCCATGTCATTGTGGGCACTGGGGCAGACAAAGTCACACAATGAGAAACTGTGCCAAGGGTGGTGGGAACAATGGAGATGCCCCCAAATACCATCCTTTGACCTTATGAGCCCCACAAGATGACTTTGACCATCTAAAGAGGGACAGAACTCCAGTGAGTTCAGCCTCAGTTTTTCTGTTCCCAGGTGGCAGAGAATGTCAAGCACAAATGGGAAGAAGCCTGACTTCCTCTTTTTTTTTTTTTTTTTTAAGACAGGGTCTTGCTCTGTTGCCCAGGCTGGAGTGCAGTGGCACAATCACGGCTCACTGCAGCCTTGACCTCCTGGGCTCAAATGATCCTCCTGCCTCAGCCTCCCCAGCTGGGATCATAGGCACATGCCACCACACCTGGCTAAATTTTAAAAAGGAATGGAAAACTAAACATCGTATGTCCTCACTGATATGTGGGAGCTAAGCTATGAGGACCCAAAGGCATAAGAAGGATACAACGGACTTGGGGGGAAGAGTGGGAGGGGCGAGGGATAAAAGACTATGAATAGGGTGCAGTGTACACTGCCTGGGTGATGGGTGCACCAACATCTCACAAATCACCACTAAAGAACTTACGTAACCAGACACCACCTGGATCCCAAAAACTTACAGGGAATTTTTATTTTTATTTTTATTTTATTTTTTGTGGAGACGGGGTCTCCTTATGTGGCGCAGGCTGGTCTTGAACTCCTGGCTGAAACGATCCTCCCATTCTCAGCCTCCCAAAGTGCTGGGATTGCAGGCATGAGTCACCGCGCCCAGCCAAAACCCGACTTCTAAAGGCAGAGGCCCACGTGAGAAACTCTTTGAGGGAGTGAGCCACAGAGGATGAGTCCTTACATTTCTCATCTGTGAGAGTCAAAGCCCATGGGTTGAGGTGGATTGCTTGCCTACAATGCCCAGGCTTGTCCTTCCGGGATTCAGAAGGCATGTGCAGTACCTCCTGTGGTGTGAGAGAGTCGTCCTTTGGTGTGTGGGTTCCCGACTGGCATTCTCAGCTGGAGTGCCCAAGTCTGGGGCCACTGTTTTCATCTTCATGGCTACTGGGAAAGTGTATTTGCTTGGGGGCTTAAACAAAAGGAAAGTTTCTTTCTGTGTCATGTAGAAGCCCATTTGGAGCAGCCCGGGGCTGGAGAGGGGCTCTGCAGTGTCCGGGGCACAGGCTCCTTCCAGCTTACTGTTCTCATCCCCAGGGTGCGGCCTCATTCCTGTGGTTGCAGATGGCAACTCCAGAAACAGCTTGGAGGATAGGGTACAGAAGGGGTGCAAAAGGCCAGCCCCAGCCTTCTTTGCAGTAAGGTTCCAGAAATTGCCACACAACACTCAGATCCAGGTTGGGCATGGTCGCTCACACCTGTAATCCCAGCACTTTGGGAGGCGGAGGCAGGAGGATTGCTGGAAGCCAGGAGTTCAAGACCAGACTGGGCAACATAGTGAGACCCCATATCTACAAAAATAAAACACAAAAACTCCCCAAATTAGCCAGGCAGGGTGGTGCACCTGTAATCCCAGCCATCTGGGAGGCTGAGTCAGGAGGATCACTTAAGCCCAGGAATTAGAGGCTACAGTGAGCCATGATCATCCCCACTGCACTCCAGCCTGGGTGACAGAGCAAGACCCTTCCCCCAACCCCCCCAAAAAACCCCAAAGAACAAAACACTCAGATCCAGGGGCATGGTGACATGACCAGACCTAGTTGCAAGAGAGTCTGGGACATGTGGGTTTTATGTGGGAGGAGAGCACATGTGTCAACTGGGCGAGTTTAATGGAATTTTGATAAATAGGTAGAAGACATATTCAACAAAAAGAACAATGGGACCTGTTGCCACATTTTTTATTCATGTGATGTTCATATATTGCTTGCTATGTGTTAGTCATTCCAACTAAGCCCTTTCCATGTATTAACCTGTTTAACCTTTTCAAGAGTCTGTGGAACAGTTAGCAGTGGCTCCTGTTTTTTTTCTTTTTTAGTTGGAGTTTTGTTCTTGTTGCCCAGGCTGGAGTGCAATGGAGTGATCTTGGCTCACTGCAACCTCTGACTCCTGGGTTCAAGTGATTCTCCTGCCTCAGCCTCATGAGTAGCTGGGATTACAGGTGTCTGCCACCACGCTCAGGTAATTTTTTTTTTTTTTTGTATTTTTAGCAGAGACAGGGTTTCACCATGTTGGCCAGGCTGGTCTGGAACTCTTGACCTCAGGTGATCTGCCCGCCTCGGCCTCCCAAAGTGCTGGGATTACAGGCGTGTGCCACTGCGCCTGGATGGCTTAACCCTTTTGAACGGAAGTGCCCACCTAGGTGGATGGGAAAATAGGGGAACTCACGGCTGGTAGGGGAGTCTTTCCTCACAGTGAGAATGAGGAAAGGCCTCCAGATCAGGGAGCCAAAAAAGCCAGCAAGGATCCTTCTCCTCCCCTTGGCCTCCAGGCAGAGTGGCCACACTGCGAGGTCCTCTGTTTTGGGTGGCAGTGATGTCTTGGGGGACTCAGCTGAGAACAGGGACTCTGGTGTCCAGCCTGGATGACCACCCCTTTTTGCTCTTTCCTCCCAGGGCCTATGGGAGAGGCAGTGGACATTCTGTGCAGGGTGCTGAGATGATATCTTGCAGACAGTCTAACGGGGTGGGAGCATTTTTCTTCTCTTCCAGAGCCCTTTCACCTGTCCTGGTCGGGTGGTGGTGGCAGCAGCGGCGGTAGAGAAGCAGCAGGAAGAAATGGAAAGATAATCCTTTACTTCCATCGAGGAGCCAGGACCCTTCCTGTTTCTAAGGGTCAGCTTTCCCTCGGCACTCAGGGAGCGAGTGTGTGCGTGTGCACACCCATATTGGGAGGAGTGGGGGTTGTGGGGGGTTTCTGATGGTCCTTTAAATTCTCTCTTTTGGGCATTTTTGTGAGAGGAAAGAAGCAGAACTAGGGTTGTGTGTGGGGCAGCTCTACAGAGGGAAGGACCAATCAGGGGACAGAGAGACAAACCCAGAGGCCATGAACAGCTGGAAGCCATGACCACTCTTAGGCGGGAGAGACAAAGGGCGGAGGCCAGGTTCCTGGAACTCAGGGGCTGAGTTAGCCTTGTGGTGAGCCTGGCAGCGAGGAGGAAAACAGTGGCTGTCAGAGGTGCTACCTGAGGTGGGAGGGAAGCTGGGACATGCCCTGGCCCTTCCTCCCATCCTCCAATCTCCCACCAAGGCCTCTTTCTGATTGGCCAAATCCAGGCAGAAGCCCGTAGACCAGGACCCTGGGACACACAGCCTGCAGGGGTCAGCCCCCCACTGCAGAGTACAGGAAGGGCAAGGAGGGGTTCTGTGGGCCAACAGGTCTGGCCCACATGGGGAGAAACAGGAGGAGAAGCTGGTGGGGAGACTGGGGGTGCGGGCTATCTCCCGACTATGCTGCAGAGCAGGGCATTACCTGTGGGCTGCTGGAGCGTCCTGCCAAGGCCTAGGACCAGAGGACTGACTCGGCCCCGTGTCCGCGGTGTCTTGTGAGTGCCCTGCTCCCTGGTAGGGGATGAGCTCCCTGCTGGGCACGCAGTCCTTACACAGCACGAGCATGTGATCCTCTGGGCACACAGTCCTTACATACCACGAGCGCGTGATCCTCCAGGGCACACAGTCCTCACACACCGCGAGCGTGTGATCCTCTGGGGCACGCAGTCCTTACCTATCGTGAGTGTGCGATCCTCCAGGATGCCCTAAACCCTCAGGGGACCACAGGGACCTGGTGGGTCTGGGAGAGGTGGCAGAGGAGCTCCTGGAGCTGCCTTTGTGGCTGGAGAGGGGCACAGCAGTTGGAAGGTACCTCTGTAGTGATGTGGAGGGAGGCAGTGGACAACACACAGAGGCGATTGTAGGTGGCCCAGGCCATAGGATGAGAGAAAATCATGGATCTGAGAGATTTCAAGGAGGGAGAATCAGTAGGACTTAGACACTGATTGGTTGCGACCAGGGGAACATGACATGGGATACATTTTCCATCAGATAGGAGGAGGAAATAATGATGGTCCCAGGTACCCATGTGTGATGTGGGCAGCCACACCCCCGGGAGCTTCTAAGGGGCAAGTCCCTATGTCACACATCATGCCTGGTTCAGAGAAGCTTCCAGGGAGAGCAGGCTCTGGGGGAGGGCCAAGTGGGGCTGTGGAGGCTGCCTCCCACCCTATTCTGGGCTGCCAGATCCCTGAAGTCAGGGGGCAGGTGGGGGTGCCCAGAGGAGCCCCACACCAGGTGGAAGGGTGTGAGTAAGCCCTTGGAGCTCTGGGCCCAGTCTGACAAGGGCGAGGCCTGCCACTGGCCTGAGTCTGGGGACGAAGGCTTCAGCTGGCCAGATGCCTGTGCTCCGGTCTGGTCCCTGAAGGTCTCCAGCATCCTAGGACACCCTGACCCATGCTCCTCAGGCACAGGGACCCAACTCCACTGGTCTGTAGGCCTTGAGCCTTTGCTGCCTGATCTGCAGCTATGCTGATCAGTCCCTCCCCACTCCTGCTCAGACCTTGGCCCTGATGGACATTAGAGCCACTCCCCTCGTGACCTGCCTCTTTCCCTGCCCAGGTTCTCAGCTCACTGTAGGGCTTGCTTGCCTTTCCTGGGAAAGAGGAATTACCAGTAGGTCTGAGGGCAGCACAGCTTCCTCCTGGATGTGAGAAAGCAGATATCAGAGATGGCACCATTGGACTATGAGCCCTGGGCCCAGGACAGACCTGGGCCTCCACCTTGTCCCATCACACCCATTTCACAGACCTAGAGAGGGGATGTCATTTCAGGTCACCAGATGGTGCTGGGGCTAACCCATCCACAGACCTGGCCCTCGGAGGAAATGAGTCTCCCTGAGTTAGTGACTCGCGAAGGGGTCCCTCTTCCTTGCAACGTTCCCAGCTACACCCCGACTGCCCCAAGTCCAGGCTCTTCCTCCGGGCAGGCCTTTTCTTGTGTGCTCCCTGGCCTGCATGCCTTAGAACCCCCTGACCTCCAGGCACTGCCTTTAGCTTCTCCCAAACCAGACTGTGGCTCCCCATGTTAGAAACTGGGTGATCCCCTCTTTTCTGAGGTCCCCAGTCCACAGAAAAGTCTTTCAGACTTGAATGAAAGATGTTTCTTTTCCAGGGCTGGGCCCAGACCCTGGGGCTTGGAGGGAAACATGCAGACTTGGAGAGCTGTGACCTGCCCCATGAGCCTGGTCACCACCTTCCCCTGGGCCTGTCCAGGAGATTCTGGTGGGGTCTGAGACAGGAAGAAGGACCCAGGGTTCCAATCTAATGCCTTCCTGAAGCTCCAGTCTCCACATCCCAGCTGGCCATTGGGAGAAAGAGACAAAGGTCTCTTGTATCGTCCTCCTAATGGTCAGCAGGTGGCGCTGTGCCCCCAGCTTTGCAGGCCTCAGGTCCTGGTTCTGCAAGTTTGCTTTGCCCAGGCGGGGGTCTGGGCTGCAGTCCTGGAGGGCCCCCTGAATGCTGCCAGAGTTCCTCTGTGGCCCCCTTCCTGCCTCTGCTGGTGGTATCTGGTGGGGTGAGATGCCTCCCAGGCCTCAAGAAGTCTGAACACAGGTTCCTGGCGTGTTCCTTGCCCCAGCTCATGCTGTCCCGAGAAGCCTCTTGGCTGCCCAGGTTGTCTGTTCTCTGTAGTGGGCACTGTGTCAGGCGTGGCACACCCATCAGCTCCTATATTCACCAGCAACTGTGTGAAGTGGGTGCCCGTTGTACAGATGAGAACACCAAGGTCAGGAAAGGCCAGCAAGTCCACTCAGCTAGCATGTGGCAGGGCTGGGTGTGCCGCCCAGGCCTGTTGGACGCCCACGTGTGTTGTCAACCCCTGCACTGGATTGTAGCTGCGTTCCAGAGGAATTATAGCTCTTAGGCTAAAAGTCCCAAATCAGGAACTCTCCTAGCCTCCCTCACCCCAACACTGGGATTCTTTGTCCACCCACTCGAGGCCCTAAGCTGAGCCCCAGGGAGCAGTCTAAGCCTGTGTGATCGGGAGTGTCGCAACCTGACCACTCCATTCTGCTGTGGGTGCAGGGGACGGGGACCAGAACGAGAGAGCAACCCTGGGAACCACATGGTGGAAAGGAGTGCCCAGCTCCTCTCTCTGTCTGCTCTTTTCACACCGGGCCTCTTCCTCACCCTGCTTCTCCTTAGCTCTGCCCTCTTCCCCTTCCTCAGCTGTCTAGATGCATCTCCCTCCCTGACTCTGTCCCTAGTACCCTCTTTTACTCTGTCAGCCTGTCTTTCTCTCTTTTCATGTCTCGTCTTTCTCCAACAGAATCGGAGTTAAGTGACAAAAGAAAAATGATCCCCTCCTGCCAGGGTTATTAAAATCATGTTCTACAATTGAGCCGCCAGGAGAGCCCGACTAATGACGGATGATGAGGCCATGGCGTCCCCACAGCTGGGAGTGAGGTGATAGGCCCGGCTGTGGGATTACCACCAATTACTCTGGGCAGAGTGAGCAGCGCTTCTGTTCTCCTTCAAATCACCTCCCTCCTGCTCCTGGGAGATAAAGTCTCACCCCTGGCGGGGAGGCTGGAGCTGGGGTGAGGGGAAAGAGCTGGAGCTGCCATATAGCCCCCAAGGTAACTTGCCCAAGGTCACACAGCCAGTAAGTGGCAGAGTGGGTACTTGAACTCCAGACTCCAGTGTTTTAAAAATTCATTAGGCAGCCTCCCCTCTGTGAACGGGGCATGAGAAATTATTTTGTTTGCCAGAAAATGATAGTCCTTGGTCAACTAGACTTGGATCCTACTGGGCCACAAAAAGAGTAAACAAGGCCAGGCATGGTGGCTTACGCCTGTAATCCCAGCACTTTGGGAGGCCGAGGCGGGCAGATCACTTGAGGCCAGGAGTTTGAGATCAGCCTGGCCAACATGGTGAAACCCCATCTCTACTAAAAATACAAAAATAAGCCGGGTGTGGTGGAGAGCACCTGTAATCCCAGCTACTTGGGAGGCTGAGGCTTGAGAATGACTTGAACCCAGGAGGCAGAGGTTGCAGTGAAAACACATTGCAGCAAAGTGAATTTTAGTTAGACACTAGGAAGGACTTCCCCAAGGAGTGGGCTCTAAAATAGATGACTGAGAGTCTGTAGTTTCTTCCTTGGATGGTCTTTCACAACAAGAGGGGCCCTCTTGGCAGTCTTTCTAAGCTAGACAAGGTGCTGGTGCTATGGAATCCATCCAGTGGAATTTGAGGATGAAACATGCTGGAGTCAGGGAGGCTTGACAAGGTAAATTGCAGAAGAGATAAGGAAGCCTGTATGTTAGACCCAGCCCTAAAGCCCAGAGCCCTGCTCATATGTTAGACCCAGGTCAGAAGCCCAGTGTGGGTGGGGGAAGCCAGGGCCCTTCAGGCCGGGGTTGGTTTACTGAGTCAACTCAGGTATAGACGCTGCTTCGTGTGGGCAGGGGGTCACAGCTCACAAAGCCCTCCCATGTGCAGCTCATTTAAATCTCCCATCCACCTGTTGGGGCAGACAACTGAGAAATTATTATCCCCATTTTGCAGGTGGGAGAATGAGTCTCCAAGAAGGGAGTTAGTCAGCCAAGGTCACACAGAGACAAGGCCCTCGTGCTGTGGCTCGGACCCCAGACCTTCCCATGTCACCAGGCTGTGAGACCAGTGGGGGCTGTAAGCTGCCCCGCACCCTAATCTGCCTTTCTGTTCCAGTCTGACCAACTGCTCTTTAGCTCCCTCCACCTTGGGGTGAAGCTAGTCGGGGGAGGGCTGGTGCCAGCGCCACAATCCGTACAGGACGAATGAGTATCTCTTTCCCATCTGGATTTTATTATTTTTCAGTTTATCCTGGTCAAAAAACGCAAGATGAACGTCTGGAGGAAAAAATATATAATCTTTGAGAAAATTGAAAATATATATCATTGTTTGGGGTTGGGGGCTCAGGGGCCCTGGAGGTTGGCTCTCCCTGGCTTATTCCTGGGCCTGGCTCAGCCTGTCTTTGCACACAGCCTGATTGCAGGCTCCGGGGGATCTCCAGGGGAACTCCCTCCCAGACTTCGGGGCTCGGTCTGGGATCTGGTCTCGTGTGTGTGTGTGTGTGTGTGTGTGTGTGTGTGTGTGCGCGCGCGCTCACGTG
Source organism: Homo sapiens (assembly GCF_000001405.40). Lineage (NCBI taxonomy): Eukaryota > Metazoa > Chordata > Mammalia > Primates > Hominidae > Homo > Homo sapiens. The sequence goes on from NC_000001.11 coordinate 36,519,268, forward strand.
CAGGGGCTGCTGGGGAGGAGAAGAGAGGTCTCAACTTCCTTCCCTGGGGATATGAGCATTTTCTGGATACTTCTGGAATCTCCAGATTGTTCCCTGTAGGAGAAATAGCCACTTCAGCCATAATAGCCAGGGTGTACCGAGGCTTTACTATGTACCAGATACTCTTCCAAGTACTTCCCATGTCTTCTAAGGACTTTTCATCTCTTTTATTCCTCACACAAACCCTGTATTTAGGTACCATCTTCTCCTTGTAGCTGAAGAAGCTTAGGTACAGAAAGCTTCAGAAACATGCCCAAGTTCACATAGCTGGGAAATTTCAACCATTCAAATCCAAGTAGTTGAATTCCAGAGTTCAGTTCTCAACCACGACTCTATAAAGCTTTTCTTCACTGGAAAGAGAAAAGGAAGAAGGCAGGGAGAGGGCGAGAATGTGCACATAGGAAGATGTGAACACGTCTAATGCGTGTCCCTGGGCTGGACTGTGTGTGGTACACAGCTGCAAGTGTCCTGCGTGTACTTGGCTGTAGTTTCATGTATCCACACCTTCATTACCCACCTACCCACTCATGTTCATCCATCTGTCGGCCCGTCCATCCATCATCTGTTTTTTTTTTTTGAAATAGGGTCTCACTCTGTCTCCCAAGCTGGAGTGCAGTGGTGCAGTCTTGGCTATCTGCAACCTCTGCCTCCCAGGTTCAAGCGATTCTCCTGCCTCAGTCTCCCGAGTAGCTGGGACTATAGGCGTGCATCCCCACACCCGGCTAATTTTTGTACTTTTAGTAGAGACGGTGTTTCACCATATTGGCCAGGCTGTTCACGAACTCCTGACCTCATGTGATTCGCCCGCCTCGGCCCCCTGAAGTGCTGGGATTACAGGCGTGAGCCACTGTGCCCCAGCCCATCATCAGTTTTTAAGTGTGGGGTCACAGGTGTGTGGCTACTTCCAGGTGTGTCTGTGCACATGCATGCATAATTGGAATGTGTGTGATGGGTGTCAGGACATATTCAGATGTACAGACCTGTGACCGCCTCCCACCCCCTCTCCCAAGGCTCTTCCCCCAAACCTGAAAAGCCACAGGATGGAGGAAGAGGCCCAGCCTCAGCAGGCCTGCCTTGGTCCCTGGCTCCCCTCCGAGCCCCAGCGGAGAGTTAATTAAATCCCTTTCCCAACAAGGGTGGTAATTAGTGCTAATGGTTCGGCTTCCACTCAGAGGCTGGAGAGGTTCCTGCTCCGTGTCTGTGTGTGTATGTGTGTTAGGGGGTGGGTAGCAGGGCCTTCTCAGTTCCAGAAACTTATGGGGTGTGGAGAGGGGCTTCTGAGAACTCCCCAGTCTTTTCCTGCTCCTGTCTCCTGATCTTACGGGCTCCAGGAGGCTGGGAGTGTGGTGGGTCTCCCGCCAGCCTGCCTGGGAAGAACCTGGTTGTGGTGCCCTTAGCTTGAGGCCTGTGGCTCTCTAGGAATCTGTTTGTGACTGAGGGTGTGCTTCTGTGTGTGTGTGTGTTTGTGTCTGTGCGCGTGCACAAGGGACACTCTGAACCATGCTGTGTGCATATAAATGACCATATATATAACAGTGATATATGAATGGTGCCCCCTGGAATTGTGCAATGTGGTAGCCCTGATTCACAGACCCCAAGTTGGCATGTCCATGATGTGTGCAATGACTCTGTGTTTCTGGGTGTCCTCTGTGTGTTTCGAGGTGTACCTGAAGGTGGGTGCCAGTGAGTGTGGGCCTATGTGTGTTTACATGTGACAAAATGCAAGGAGCAGCAGGGCCGCTGGCTTCTGGGGCCTGACTGACACCCCTTGCAAATAAATGTGACAATGAAATACAGTCCTGGAATTGCTTTGGATGCTCCGTCAAGCAGGCGACGCAGAATAGGTGAAGCTGTAAAGTGTTCCCTGGGGAGCTGTGTGGCTGAGTGACAGCCCCGTGCTGGCTCCTGCCTCTCTGCCTGGCTCTCCCTTGTGAGACCCTGGGGCTGAAGACACTCATCCTGACCACAGCCTGGAAGACTCGGGAGAACCGGCTTCCACAGCCTGTGAGGAGTGAAGGGCAGAGGGGACCTGGCAGGGCTCCATCCCTTCACCATTGTCTCATCGCTCTCTTCAGGTGGAGTGCCCAGAGTAGGGCTGTGTCCCATCCCCGTCATATGCACTCAGACTGGGCTCTCTCAGGACAGGGTCCTGTCTCCCCCCTCAGACTGGGCTGTCTCAGGACAGGGCCCTGTCTCCTCCCTCAGACTGGGATCTCTCAGGAAAGGGCCCTGTCTCCCCTCTCAGACTGGACTCTCTCAGGAAAGGGCCCTGTCTCCCCCCTCAGACTGGGCTGTCTCAGGACAGGGCCCTGTCTCCTCCCTCAGACTGGGATCTCTCAGGAAAGGGCCCTGTCTCCCCTCTCAGACTGGACTCTCTCAGGAAAGGGCCCTGTCTCCCTCCTCAGACTGGGCTCTCTCAGGACAGGGCCCTGTCTCCTCCCTCAGACTGGGCTCTCTTAGGAAAGGGCCCTGTCTCCCCTCTCAGACTGGGCTCTCTCAGGACAGGGCCATGTCTCCTCCCTCAGACTGGGCTCTCTCAGGACAGGGACCTGTCTCCCTTCTCAGACTGGGCTCTCTCAGGACGGGGTCCTGTCTCCCCCCTCAGACCCGGCTCTCTCAGGACAGGGTCCTGTCTCCTCCCTCAGACTGGGCTCTCTCAGGACAGGGTCCTGTCTTCCCCCTCAGACTGGGCTCTCTCAGGACAGGGTCCTGTCTCCTCCCTCAGACTGGGCTCTCTCACGACAGGGTCCTGTCTCCTCCCTCAGACTGGGCTCTCTCAGGACAGGGCCCTGTCTCCCCCCTCAGACTGGGCTTTCTCAGGACAGGGCCCTGTCTCCCCCCTCAGACTGGGTCTCCAGAGGGCAGAGTTCTGCCTTCCTCTCCGGGGCTCCCTTGAGTGGGGATGTTTCTCCTAAGATTGGGAGACCGCTCAAGAGAGGGCCGAGTCTCCCTGTGAGGCCCGAGCCCCTGAGCACCCTCCGCTTGGTTTATGCGTGTATCGCACACTCATGCATGCATATCTGGCTGCAGATTTGGAGGTTGCAGAGCTGTCTGCATGAGCCTTAGCTCTGGAGACCTGGGTTCAAATCCCACACCTGCTAACTTCATTAGCCATGATCTCAGGGAGGTAGTAACAGCTTCCACAAAGTCAGGGCACTGCTTAGGGCTCTGGTTAGGGGCTGACAGGACACTTTTTTCTTTTTTTTTCAATCACAAAAGTGCCTTCTGCTCGTTAAGCCATGTGCCCTCCCAGGTGGCACCTCATTCTAATAGTTAGGCCAGGGGTGCCTTGTTAAATTCTCCCCAAATAGCAGGGCAGGCTACCATGGCCCTGCACAGAGGGTGTGGCGTGCCGTGGAAAGTGCTTGCTCAGTGCCCGGCCTGCTTCCAGCACCCATGGAGCCAAACACCACCTCTGCCAGGTCTCCTGGTGGTGGCAGTGAGTGCCAGGGTCCTCTCTGGGTCTGCCAGCTGCATGGGGGACACTTTGGTATCTTTGTTTCACCCCTTTATCTTTTTGGGTGTCCACTTGTTCTTAGAGCCAGAGGTTGAAGTGTGTGTGTGTGTGCACATGTGCACAGGCAGGGGAGGTTGCAGAATGAAGTTTGCATGAGCCTTAGCTTTGGAGACCTGAGTTCAAATCCCACAGCTGCTAACTTCACTAGCTGTGACCTCAGTGAGGTAGTCACAGCCGTCCAGGGGAGGGCTGTGGAGAAGGCACAGAGAGAGACTATTCCTTTTCCTTGTCCGTCAAGCTAGGTCCTCTCGGTTCTCTGTCAGAGACGTCACGGGCCTTCCACCGCACGTTCTGGGACTCTTCCTGCATCTCTCTCTGTGCTCGGGGATTCTAGGTCATGTGCAGAGACTGTATACACACAGGGAAGCTCTTGCCATCTGTCTTGCCTCTCAAGCAGCAAGCCCCAGGAGGGGCTGTGGACTGGGACAAAACCTATCTCATCTCCTAAGGAGGCCACAACCTGTCCTCGGGCAGTGGGACCCCCACTGTAAAGAGCCTGCAAGGACTGTGAGCCCCATGAGAGCCCTGACCGTGGCTTCTTCATAGCGACATCCCTGCTTCCTCGCACTGAATAGCTGCTCAATAAATATTTGCTTCATGAGTGTGTTATGATACAGCATCCATCAGCATCTGTGGCTTCTAGCATTGTGTGTGTCATGACAAAAATTAAGGCTGAGATTGCATGGCTGCTGGTAGAATGTTCTGGAGCATTTATAGACAGGTAACATATCCCACGCGATAGGGGTCAGTCCTGGCTCCAGACTGATTAGCAAAGAAAGGTTTTCACACAACTTTTCTAAGCCCTAAAGAAACAAAAACTTCCATGTCTCCTTCTACCGATTTCATCTCCATCTCCATATGACTTTCTGGGCAGGAGAGACAGTTTGGAGCTATAACTTTTGCTCTTCATCCTGAAGTGTCTTGGCCCAACCTTGAATCTTCCAAATAGGCCAGCAGCTGACCTTTGACTTGAATATTCCTGAATTTGAGACTATGGATAACAGAGAGAGGGAAATGGACATGACCACTTCCCCTAACCATAGCCTTGCTTACAGACAAGGGTGTCATCATTAAGCCTCGGTCTGGAGGCCTCTAGATGGAACAGAGGTGTGTATTCTGGCCAATTTAGTCAGAACAAAGGGAAGCCATTATGCAAATGTCTGATCGTTTAAAACCGCTCTGGCTTTCCTGGAAGAGAATGGGGGAGGAAGCCACGTTTGAAAGTGTCTGCCCACGCCTAGGTCGCTGCTAATTTCATTTTAATATTACACCATTGTATGATGAATAACTACGTACCTCAACAGAGCGAAGGGAAGACAGAACGAAAGTGCTCACGGGGAGGCGGGGAGCAGAGGGGTCGATAGCACAGATGTTGGCTCTTCCGCTGAACAGCGGGCGGCCTCAGGCACAGGACTCGGCCACTCAGTGCCTCAGTTTCCTCATCTGTAAGACAAGAATGGCACTTCCAGGGCTTTTGAGTATGAAATGAGATTATGCATATACAGTGTTCAGTTCATCGTGGGGCAAAATATTAGCTAGTATTATATTGTTACATTCAGGTGTCTGCATGCATGTGTGTGTGTGATGAATGCTTTCGTGTGTGTGTTTGTGAGGAACATTTGTGTGTATTTGTGTATGTGATGAACACATGCATGTGTACATGGATATGTGTGTGTGTATGTGATGGATGACTCTGTGTGTGTATGTGACAGACACGTGTGTGTGTATGTCAGTAACACTGCCTGTGTGTGTGTCGTGATGGACTTATGTGTGCGCATGTGATGAATACCTGTGCGTATGGGTCTGTGATGTGTATGACACCTCCGTGTGTGTGTACACATGACAGGCACCCACGCGTGGGTGTGTATGTGATGGACAGCTGTGAGGGGCCAGCACGGGAGGATGTCTGTGCACGTGGAGGTATGAATGTGAAACAGTGCGTACTATTCACATAGTGAAATAGTGGAATAATGTGAAAGGGCAGAACATAAGCCAACAGCACGTGACTGAGAACTGGGTCCTGTGAGTCTGATTTCCATCTCTACCACACACTTAATATGTCTGTGACACTGAGCAGGCCCTGCTGCCTATTTTCTCATCTGCGAACTGTGATAAAAGTGATAGCGATAACTGTAGTGATGTTTAGTGAGTGCTTACTATGCGCCAGGATAACAAACCTCATTCTGGCTACTCCACAGGATCGGTATTAGATGCAAGGGTGGTGCAGAAGTGCTTTACACACCAAGACATCCTGGCACACAGGAAGGGAGGCCACTGTGGATGTGCACACGTGTGTGTGTGTGTGTGTGTGTGCAGAGCACAGCGTCTTTCTCTGTTTCAAGGCCGGGCTGAATGAACACACGCCTGTGTATGGACAACTGCACCCACCTGGGTGTCCATATGTACCCCCCCTACATGGCCACATCTGTGGTTTAATGTCATACCTGTGTTCACACATGTGCACCCAACTCAGTGCATGCTCACCTCCATGTCCCCACACGGCACATGTGCGGGCACGTGCAGCTCTGAGGCTGCACCTGTAATGAATGGTGGGCCCAGGCAGCCAGGGACAGTGAGTGAGGCCCAAGCCCCTGAGGTGGGCTTTCTGCTTAGCACTGATGAGATTAGAAAGTACTTATAAAAATTATCAGGGCACGGTGGCGGGCACCTGTAATCCCAGTTACTCGGGAGGCTGAAGCAGGAGGATGGCATGAACCCGGGGGGCGGAGCTTGCAGTGAGCCAAGATCGTGCCATTGCACTCCAGCCTGGGTGACAGAGTAAGACTCAGTCTAAAAAAAAAAAGAAAGTAACCCCACATCTGCGCTGAAGGAGCTGACCCTGAACCGGTAACTCCTAGACCCTCCAGCCCCTTTGCTAAGCAGGAATTCTCTCCATAACCCTCTGACAAGCACTTGCCAGGTTTTGTTTGTGCACTTCCAGTGATGGGGAGCTCATTTTCCCCCAGAGTGACCTTGACAAGATGCCCTTTCTGGCTGCTGCCCTGAGTTGGCCTCAAGTCATTTTGCCCATGGTTTCTCCTTCTGCCCTCTGCGGCCACACAGCAGCAAACCTGTTCCCATTTCTAAACTGTTTCCCCAGCCTCCTTTTTTGTTTTTTTTTGAGATGGAGTCTCACCCTGTCACCCAGGCTGGAGTGCAGTGGTGTGATCTTGGCTCACTGCAACCTCCACCTCCCGGGTTTAAGCAATTCTGCCTCAGTCTCCCGAGTAGCTGGGACTAGAGGCAAGCGCCACCCTGCTTGGCTAATTTTTCTTTTTTGTATTTTTAGTACAGATGGAGTTTCAACATGCTGGGCAGGCTGGTCTTGAACTCCTGACCTCATGCTCTGCCCGCCTCGGCCTCCCAAAGTGCTGGGATTACAGGCGTGAGCCACCACGCCCGGCCAGCTGTTTCCCTTTACCAGCAAGCCTCCACTACTTCTTTTGTCACATGAGTTGTAGCCCAGCCTATACAAGCGAGGCAGACTTTTAAAGAAAAATGTGAACAACTCTATTATTTCTCTTGATTTAAAAATGTAATACATGGTCATTAAAAAAATTCAGACAATACAGGAAAAGAAGAAGAAAGCAAAACCACCCATCACCCCAGCAACCAGAGATAACCAGGGTTCACGTTCTTTAATTTAATTTTTGAATAGGCAATACATTTGCAGGGTTCAAAATTAAAAATTATAAAAGGGTATTATTCAGTAAAAAAATTTCCTCCCACATCTCTGTTCTCTGGCCTTAGTTTCCCTCCCCACAGATTTAAAAAGTCTTTAATTTCTTATGTATATTTCCAGACGTATTTTAAGATATGGAAGGCTATTTTAAGATCTTTTAAGATATTATGTTTATTTTAAAAGATTTTAAATAAATTATTGTTATTATTATTATTATTATTTCTTTTTTTTTGAGACGGAGTCTCGCTCTGTCGCCCAGGCTGGAGTGCAGTGGCGCGATCTTGGCTCACTGCAAGCTCTGCCTCCCGGGTTCACACCATTCTCCTGCCTCAGCCTCCCGAGTAGCTGGGACTACAGGCGCCCACCACCACGCCCGGCTAATTTTTTTTATTTTTAGTAGAGACGGGGTTTCACTGTTTTAGCCAGGATGGTCTCGATCTGCTGACCTCGTGATCTGCCCACCTCGGCCTCCCAAAGTGCTGGGATTACAGGCGTGAGCCACTGCGCCCGGCCCTGTTATTATTTTTTGAGATGGAGTCTTGCTCTGTTGCCCAGGCTGGAGTGCAATGGCATTACCTTGGCTCACGGCAACGGCATTACCTTGGCTCACTGCAACCTCTGCCTCCCAGGTTCAAGTGATTCTCCTGCACAGGAGGCCTCCTGGATAGCTGGGATCACAGGTATGCACCACCACACTGAGCTAATTTTTTGTATTTTTAATAGAGATGGAGTTTCCCTATGTTGGCCAGGCTGGTCGCAAATTCCTGGCCTTAAGTGATCCACCCACATCGGCCTCCCAAAGTGCTGAGATTACAGGCTTGAGCCACTGTGCCCGGCCTAAAGGCTATCTTAACGCACACATGGACTCCCTCTTTCTCTCTCTCTCTCTCTCTTCCCTCCCCAGCCCTCACTTGTGGTTGCCCCCTTGTTTGCTAAACAGTATATGGCTGAACTCTCTTTTTTCTTTTTTTTGAGATGGAGTCTTGCTTTGTTGCCCAGGCTGGAGTGCAGCAGCGCGATCTTGGCTCACCACAACCTCCGCCTCCTGGGTTCAAGCGATTCTTCTGCCTCAGCCTCCTGAGTAGCTGGGACTAGAGATGCATGCACCACGCCTGGTTAGTTTTTGTATTTTTAGTAGAGACGGGGTTTCACTATGTTGGCCAGGCTGGTCTCAGTCTCCTGACCTCATGATCTGCCTGCCTCGGCCTCCCAAAGTGCTGGGATTACAGGCATGAGCCACCACGGCCGGCCAGAACTCTCTTTCTGTCGGTTTTCAGAGGGCAGACTGTTTACCTGCTGCTGTTTCCCTTCATGCTCTTGGTCTAAATGCATTGTTCTGGACTTTGGGGGTCATTTTCCATTCTTCTGTTGGCCCTTCCAGCTTAATGGCATCTTTTCATCTTCAGATGTATTTGTCATGCAAATCCGCAACGACCCTTTCCAATGACACCGCCTCTGAACCATTTAATCAACACACAGCACAGCTTCAATCAACATATGATCATATTTTACCCAGCCTGCATTTTACAGAAATCAACATTGCTCTCTCGGGAGAGTGCCAAATGCGTTTCTGAAATGTCTCTAGTGCTCTTGGACTCATCATTCCAGAAATGTTGTTCGAAGTGGACATTAGCAGGATGTAACCTTTTAAAGTGAACCACTGTTGATTCCTGGTGATTTCTCTTTTCTCCCTGAGGTGTTAACAAATGACGATGATCACCCAAAGGTGAACACAGCGAGTGCTCTCCACCTGCCAGGCAAGGTTTCCAAATCTTTACATACGTTATGTTGTTTACCCCGGCAAACAACCTTATGAGGAAGGTACTATTGCCATTCTCAATTTACAGGTAAGGAAACACTCTCAGAGAGGTGAAGTAACTTGCCCGAGGCCGTACAGCTTGTAGGAGGCAGAGCCATGTTGCTTTGCTAGTGTTATCACATCAGCAGAATAATGTGCTGCAGAGTTCTACCAGGGACTGGCCTGAAGGTTCTGCCCCAGGCACGACCACCATCTTGTAGGGCCTGCTTGGCACAGTGATCCAGGCCTCTTGATGGAGTCTCCTCTTCACTGGGCTCCAGAGGGCGCTTCACTCTCTGAATGGCCCACACTCCTCCCTGGTGAATCTTCTTAGGGCAGTTTTGTGGAAAGAGTTTTAATTCACTGGAACTGCAGCAGCAGGTGTGAGTCTGGCAGTCACAGCCAACAGGACTTATGGGGACTGGGGATAGTGTAGTAAAGGGTAATGATTAAGAGTACAGGCTCAGGGTGAGGCCTCATGGATTCCAGATGGATTCCATCCCTTCCTGCTGTGTGTCCTTGGACAAGTTACTTAACCTCTCTGAACTCCAGTCTCTACATCTCTACAGTGGGGAGAATTACAGACGATGTGTGGAAAATGGCCAGTGTCAAGGAGGTGCTCTGTAAATGCACCATCATCCCAGCCTCATTTGTCAGACTTCAGTGGCCTGGACCCCCTCTCTTACCAATTTCCTCAATTAGTTTCTCTCCAGTGGCACAGTTCAGGTTCTGGACTGGGCAGGGCGTTGCTGGTGCTGGATAGGTGGGTGGGCTTGGTTACTGGCCACCCTTGAGGTTACTGGTGTGGGTTGGGGTGGGACAGCCAGAGACCCATGCAGTGACAGATGGGGGAGCTGAGACCTGGAGAGAGGAAGTCTGCGTTGGCCTGCTCTGTCCTCTGAGGAAGGGGGGTTCCCTGGCCCCTTCCAAAGGAGACTGGTTCCCAGATGCACCCCTGCTGGCACTGTGACTGTGTGGTCTTTTTGGGCTTCTGTGTCTGTCCTGTGGAGACACTGGCCTTTTGCCTGGCCCCTTCTCAGACCAGGGGATCCCTTGGAAGGAACCACATGTCCCTCAGACTAGACTCCTCCAGCCTTGACTTTACCTCCATTCAGACCAGGGCCTCCAATGACAAGGCCTCTCCCCTCAACAGAGCCTTCCAGAACATGTGCAAGGCTGCCCCCTCTGACAGGGGCTATTCCAGGGCAGGGCTGTGCTGTCCCTGTCAGAATGGGGGGTGCCCAAAGAGAGGCTGTGCCTCCCCAGACCAGGACATGAGTTGGGTCTTCCCCCTTAGGAAGCTCCTTGAGGGTCAGAAATGTATCTCTCCCTTCACGGTTGAGATGCTCAAAGAGAGGTTGTAGCTTCTCCTCCACAATCTGGGGCTCTCCAGAGACAAGGGTTGTGTCTTCCTCAGAGGAACTGGGGTTCCCCTGGGATCAACTTGTGTCTCCTCCCTCAGACTAGACCTCCCCAGCCTGTTACCTCTGGGCTGGACTGTCTCTTCCCTCAGACTAGGGCTCCCAGGGTGGGGCATTTGTTGCCCTGTGGCTGCTCCCCCATGCCCTGGCCGAAAGTTCAGTGCCAGGCAAGTAATTGAATTCTTGCACATTAACAAGTCAATTACGGAGTCTTAATGAGTCCTGAGTAATCTCAGACCTGCATGTTAATTGAATAGCTGTCCCGGTTCTAATCCACTGGAAGTTAATCATTAGGGAATTAGGAAATGTCAGCTGGGAACTTCATTAAGCTAGTGAGGGTGGGTTCTGGCTGGGAAAGAGAGGGATCCAGGGATGCAGTGATGGAGGAGAGTCCTGAGTCATAGGATGGGGTGGCCCATCAGGGGGTGGGGGTGGGGCACATGGCTGCAGGGTCCCAACCTCCTCTGAAGATCAGGGTCAGGAGTGACCCCACCCTGAGTCCTGGGAAGAACCCCTACTTCCCCTGTTCCTCATCCCCGGGCTGGTCCTGCACAGGCCTCCCCGCCCCCGCCCTGCCTCAGTCTCCAGTCCAGGAAAGCCCAGGAAGAGGCAACAATGCCCAGAAAGTGCTGAGTGCACAGCAGGGCGGGCACGGGAGGGCTCAGAAGCAGGAATTCCCTCACCCTTCCTGGGTTTGCCACACCCCTGCCCTGCCGCCAGCTCTCCTACCCCTCCTCTGCCCTGCTGTGTACCCCGGGAGGCAGAACCTGTGGAGGGCAGAGCCCCCTCTGGCTTCCAGTTGGGTCTGGCTAATGGGAGGCTTCTGTGAGGGGGCAGCCCAAGGCTTCCCCATCCCTGTTGCCCCTTTAACCCTGCCCACACCTCTGCAACCAGGGCAGGTGTGAAACCCTCTCTCTGGAGCCCTGAGCAGTCTGTTCCCAGCCAGAGCCCTGATTAACACACCTGCCAGAATGATCCTGAGCCAGGGAAGGGTGTGTGTGTGTGTGTGTGTGTGTGTGTGTGTGTGTGTGTGTGTGGTGTGGTGGGGGGGATGGGCTGGGGGCAATGCTAATTGGATACAGCCTCGCCCAGTATGAGGGCAGGTGCCCACCAGGGGCCTGGCATCTCCGTGTCCAGTGAGGAGGCAGCAGCAGGCTGGGGTTGGAGTTTGGAGGCCACACCTGGGACAACACTCCAGGTGAATTCCGGGCAGAATGCTTCGCCCTGACTGGCATCTGGCCTCGGAGTCCTGAAAAGTCCCATTAGGAGGAAGCTTTGGGTTCCAAGTGTTGGGCAGAGAGAAATCTTGATTTATACAAAGACTTGGGCTGGGCTCTGGGCTGTAACTGGGAAGCTGGGCAATTCTGGTGATGCGACTTGGGATGAGAGATGGGGCCTTGGGCTCTAAGAGTTGGGGGTCCTGGGGTCAGAGGTCTGTGCAGTAGTGAGCTCTGGATGGGTTGGTGGGTGTTTCATCCAGGGTTCTCCAGAGGAACAGAACCAATAATTCCAACTGGTTATGTAAGTATAAACAATTACTTTTTTTTTTTTTTGAGATAGAGTCTTGCTCTGTCGCCCAGGCTAGAGTGCAGTGGCGTGATCTCGGCTCACTGCAACCTCTGCCTCCCAGCTCCAAGAAATTCTCCTGCCTCAGCCTCCTGAGTAGCTGGGATTACAGGTCCCTGCCACCATGCCCAGCCAATTTTTGTATTTTTAGCAGAGACAGGGTTTCACCATGTTGGCCAGGCTGGTCTCAAACTCCTGACCTCAGGCGATCCACCCGCCTCGGTCTTCCAAAGTGCTGGGATTACAGGCGTGAGCCACTGCGCCTGGCCCCAATTACTTATAATAAATCTTTTTATATATAATATATATTATACATAGAGATTATTTTATATATAATAAAAATACATAAGAGATTATTTTATGTATAGACATATATAATATAAAATATAAATATATAGAGGTACATAAAGAGACATATAAAGATATACGTAATCATATATGTAAAAATATTTATTATAAGTAATTGACTTGTGTGATTATGGAGAGTAAGAATCCCCAAGATCTGCAGTCAGCAGGCTGGAGACCCAGGAGAGATGATGGTATAGTTCCAGTTTGAAAGCTGGAAGGCTCAGAAAAAACCAACCAAACAAAAACAAAGCAGAGAAAGCTAGTGTTTTAGTTGGAGTCTGAAGGCAGGAAAAGACCCACGTCCCAGTTCTAGACAGTTGGGTAGGAGTTCCCTCTAACTTGAGGAAGAGGCAGACTTTTTGTTTTCTTCAGGCCTTCAACTGATTAGATTCGGCCCACCACACTGGGGAGGGCAATCTGCTTTACTCAGCATGATGTTGTGAAATACAGATTTGCTCTTCATCCAGCTTCCTGGCACACACGTCTAAAACCCTTGGAATCTCTTAGGTGATAGGTGCCTCCTTGAATGCTAATGAGATGTCTTGTGGCTGGGGGTTCAGACACTGATAGCCTCAGGATGGAGGCTGGTTGCCACGGAACCAACCACATGATTGGAAGGTTGGCATTTTCAGTCCCATCTCCAACCTCCTGGGAATGGGAGAGGGGCTGAAGGTTGAGTTGATCACCAGTGGCCAATGATTTACTCAATCATGCCTAAGTAATGAAGTCTCTATAAAGGCTCAAAACGACAAGGTGTGGGGAGCTTGCAGACAGCTGAACATGTGAAGGATGGTGCACCTGGGAGGGCATGGAAGCTTTGCAGCCCTTCCCACATGCCTTGTCCTATGAATCTCTTCCATCTGCCTGTTCATCTCCTGTGTAATATACTTTATAATAGATCAGTAAACATAAGTAAGGTATTTGCCTGAATTCTGTGAGTTACTCTAGCAAATTAAACCTGAGGAGGGGACTGTGGGAACCTTGATTTATGGCTTTTTGGTCAGAAGCACAGATGAAACGATCTGGGGCTTGCAATTGACATCTGGAGTTCAGGCAGTCTTGTAGGACTGAGCTTTTAACCTGTGGGATCTGACACTGTCTCCAGGTAGATGGTGTCAGAATTGAATTGAATAAGAGGACTCCACTGCAGAAATGGTTGTGTGTGGGGATTTTTGATGCCAGAGGTGCAGTGTTCTGTGTTAAGAGTATTTTGTTAACTGTGTGTGAGAGTAGAAAACACAGTTTGGTTTTTTCCTATCTCAGACACTCAGTCTACCAGCTAAAATGTTAATCTCATTAAGAAAACACCTACCTTTCCACCCCCACACACCCAGAATAATGTTTGACCAAATATCTGGGCACCCTATGGCTCAGTCAAGTTAACACATGAAATTAACCATCACAGTGGGTCACTCCAGGCTTTGAGCAATGAGAGTAAAAGTCCTTCCCAATTCAGCAGTCTCCAAAAGTTGGGCAGAGAAGAAAAGCCTGGCCCAGGAAGGATCCTAAAGCCAGTGACCACCACTGCCCACTGCATACCCCATCTCTGGCCCCCTGTGTTCAACCCCGACTTAGCCCTGGGGGCAGGTGCATTGGAAGATATAGGTGGTCAGTTCCTGCTCTCATGGTCTGGGAAGCTATGGAAGGAGAAGTCATCTGGGATCCCCCATTCTCTAAGGCTCCAGCTGTGAATCTGGGTAATATGCATGCCCCTTTATCCCAGCATTCACGTGCGTTTTTCCCTAGTCAGTTTTCTTTACCCTGGACTGGACAAGTTGAGGTTTTGAACAGCTATTCTGGGCTTAGAATGTGGCCCCATCAAGTGTCTGGGTCTCTATGGTGGGTTAAAGATGGCCATGCATTCTTTGCCACTCCTTCCATAAGAGGTGGAATGTATTTTCTTTCTCTTTGAATTTAAGCTGGCCTCTGACAGCTTTTACCAATAACAAAAGTGATGCCGTGTAATTTCTATGGCCAAATCTTATGAGATCTGCGACTTCTACTTTTGTTGCTTGTAACACTTGCTCTTAGAAGGCAGCTGCCATGTAAGAAGGCTGACTATCCTACTGCCATATTGTGAGGAAGCCTAAGCTAGCCACATGGAATGAGAGAGACCATGTGGAACAACTTTGAGGCACTAGACAAATGAATGAGATCTCCTTGACCTTCCAGCCGAATCCACTTGTCAGCTGAATGCCGCCAGTAAATATCCCAGCTGAACTCACACACAGCAGAAACACCACTCTGCTACCAGATAACTTGGTGTATTGGGACTTCTGTGAGGCCAGCACTGGCAGTCCCAACTGGGACATGGCTATCATAGCCAAATGGTGATTCTCAGACCACTGCCAACATGCACTGTTGTTGCGGGCGTATTTTTCTCTCCCCTGGGGATATAATTAGGGTAACTTTTCTGGCTATATCCAAGCTGTGGCTATATCCACGTGTGGATGACTTGGATCCACATGTGATGACCCATGCAGCCTGAGCCTAGCATAGGGTGCTTCACCAGACAAAGAGTCATCAAAAGTTTTCTTTTCTCACCACCTCCATTTTGTGATCCTATTCCCATAGGAGATCATGAGGTTTTGTGTTAAAAGCGCTCTGCAATCCATGTACCTGAAGATTGTAGCTTTGCCTGATGGCTGGGTGGCTCCAAAATAGCAAATGCAAGTCACTGGCTGAGCTGTGGTCACAGCGTCTCAGAGTCCTCGCAGTCAAGCTCTTTGATCCACTTTGGAGTTTGCTGGGGCTTTGCGGGATTAACTTCTCTCTCTTCTGGGCTCCCACGGTGCTCTGTGGGAACATCTATTTCTGCTTATTTTATTCTCTGGTCTTCTCCCATCAACTCGTATGTGCCCATCAACTTCCCTGGCCCAAAGCTGGGGGGAAGAGTGATGGCTGGCTCCCTTTAGTCATGGATTTTTAGCTGAGCTCTGGCACCTCGATGTTGGTAGGGACTCTTCCCTACCCTGAGCCTGATGGCTAAGGTTGCTATTTCACCAGGCCAGCTCACTGCCTTGAAATGTTTTAAAGCCAATCTCTCATTCTGTATGGATTTCCCACCACAGCCTTGATTGGATCCTTGTTCGAATTTGGTTTGTCCTAGTTGATGACTTTAAGGGGCCATCAGCAGTGTCTCTGTGAGCAACACTTGGTTTTGTCTCTCCCAAAGTCCCCAGCACACTCTGGGCCTATGCAAGGTGGCAAATGTGCCCTTGTGGGCGAGGTCGTTGCTGATGCTGATGGTGCCAAGGACTGTAAGCCCCTGGCCTATGGTTTCTAGAATCCATGTCCCTTTGGGAGAGCCAGAGTTGCATCTGCAGCCCCATATGAGAAGGCCACCACCCGTTCCAGGCTTGAGTCCTTTTGCTGCTGACACCAGCCATGCTTGAGCCTGCACGCACTCAGACCCGAGACTGCATTCATCTGGCTTGGGGAGAGGAGCTCATTTCCAGCTGCACTTTCTACCTGAGCTTCCATCTTTCCTCTCTCCTGGTCACGTTTGTTTGTTCAGCCCTGTGTAGATTGGGCAGTTAGGGCAGCTGTGAGTCAGACAGAAGCAGAGTGGCTTTCTCTGTGCTGTGGAGGACAAGCACGCTGGCCCCGGGCACGGCCCGCTGGGTCACCCAGCTTAGCCTGGTATGCCTTCCCAGCGAACTAACCTGCTGCTTATCTAGAGTTCCTGCTAAGAGGCCAGGAGATCCCAGTTCTCTAGTTTTTAAAAAGAAATCTGCCTTTCAACAGGCAATCAGCCAGTCTTCCTGAGTTTGAATTCTGTCTCTATCTCTCTCTACTGAGAGAGGTTGAGTGATTTCAGACAACCTCTCTGTGCCTCAGTTTCCTCCTCTATACAACTGGGAGAATAACAACACCCATTTCATAGGACAGGCAATGAGAACAGTGCCTGGCAGCTAAGTTCTCAATAAATGTTATTCTCCCTGAAGGCCAGCTTCTAGATCTATGTCCATAATGGTCTGTTTTCTACCTGCTTTCTTCCCTTCTTCTCTTCTTTTTTTAAAATTTTTATTTTTTTTCACCATGTTGCCCAGGCTGGTCTCACACCCCTGGGCCCAAGAGATCCACCCGCCTCGGTCTCCCAAAGTGCTGGGATTATAGGCGTGAGCCATCGCACCTGGCCTCTTTTATCCCTTCTTTTCTTCCTCATACAACTATTTAATAATAATGATGATGATTCTGTACCTTCTCCTTGTTGCCAGATTGGGGATCTTGGAGCGAAGGGCACCAGGTCCCTGTCCTGTGTATTTACAGGGCAATTGCAGGCAGTGGGCTGTGGAGAAGTAAATGATGTGCCTAGGGCAGGTGGAGCACAGAGGCAGGTGGCTAAGGGCTGCAGACATTTATGGGAAGGCCTTCATTGTTTATGGGAAGCTCCATAGAGTGAGTAGATTTTGAGCTTGTCCTTAAGGGCTTCCTTAGGTTAAGGTGAGTAGGGAGGTGACAGGTGACTGTAGGCAGAAAGAACAGGAGGTGGGGAACTACGGCAGGTGTCAAGAGCAACTACATAGAATAGAAGACACCAAGCTAGTGGACAGTTTGGGAGCGGGTCTGAAGGACCTTGAATACCACGTTAAAAATGTGGCTTTTACTCCCACTCTTTGGGGAGTCCTTGCAGGCTCTTGAGCAGACAGGGAACAGGGTCACAGTAGGGATCTGAGAAGGTGAATCTGGCATGTGGGAAGGATGGAGGTGGGCTGGAGGGGAGTTTGATCAAGGGCTTCCTGTGCTGGAACAGAGGTCTAAGGGGTGGGCCCAGAGGAAGCTCCTGCTGTGGTTTGAATAGTTATCCCCTCCATACTCATGTTGAAATTTAATTCCCAGTGTAGCAGTATTGAGAGATGGGACATTTAAGAGGTGATTGGGTCATGATGGTTCTGTTCTCATGAATGGATTAATCCATTCATGGATTAACAGATTAATGGATTATCATGAGAGTGGAACTGGTGGCTTTATAAGAAAAGGAAGAGAGATCTGGGCTAGCACCTCAGCCCCCTTGCCATGTGATACCCTGTGCTACCTTGGGACTCTACATAGAGTCCCCACCAGCAAGAAGACCCTCACCAGATGTGAGGACCTTGGATTTCTCATAACTGAAATAAATAAATTCCTTTCTTTTATACATTTTGCAGTTTTAGGTATTCTAAGTAGCAGAAGACAAACTAAGGCACTCACCCTTGCTGCTTCCAGGCCCACCGGGGGCTCCTGGCCTTCTGTCTGTGTGTGGGGGCTGGGTTGGAGTCATTCTACCAGTGGAAAGAAAACTGGATGGCAGGCCCTTGGGTGGGGCTGGGGGATTTGGGCCATGGTGCTGGCTGAGGGGCCACTGGGAGAGTGCCCTGTGGGCCAGGTCTCTGCAGGCTGATAAGGGACAATTCCTGCTTGGCTCAGAAGGAACACCTCCTTCTGACTTCTTGCTTTGGGGTGTGCAGATGTGCTGGGTTTTGATGGCACTTGTGTCCATTGTGCATGTCTGCATAACTGAGTGTGCACATGGATTAAGTTTTTGCTCCCATATGAGAGCAAAAACTTAACCCATGAGCACACTGACAGGGTTTTTCTAATCTCTGTATCCCCAGTGCCAGACTTAAGGGTGTCTATATATGGTTTTTCAATGAAGAAATGAATATTGAACTTACCTAAGCCTTATGCTAGCCCTTGGAGGTAGTTACTCTTGTTATCCTCATGCAGAGATAAGGAAACACGTTCAGAGAAGTTAAGCAACTTGCTCAAGGCCACAGAAATGGTAAGGTACTCAGCCGGTTTGCAAAGCCAGGCAGTCTGTATGAAAGTCTGTGTCAATATGTATAATAATGGCAGCACACACTTATTATTATGTGCCAGATACTGTTCTATGTTCTTCTATTACAGATTAACTCATTTAATCCTCACAACAACCCATGATGAGTAAATTGAGGTTCAGAGAGGAGAGTAAACTAGCCCAAGGTCACACAGCAATGAGAAAAATGAGAAACAGAATTGAGATTTTAACCCAGGTTAGTCTGCCTTCAGAGGTTTCACTTTTCACTGGCAGACTCCATTGTCCCACAGGTGTAAGCATGTTTGTGTGTGCACACATGTGTGTGCATATGTGCAGATCAAGGAGAGCAAATCCAGTGGGTGGAGGGACAGGAAACTTTATGAAGGAACAGCATCCCCAGCCGCCGAGGGAACACTCCTAGTCCTACTCTCTGTCTAGGCATTGGGGAGGGGCAGACATTAGGAATGCCCCTCTCGCCCAACAAATATCTACAGTTGGGATGGGACTGCAGGTGGGGAGGAGACTGTGCCCAGATCACTTAGATGACCTTGGGCAAGGTCCTACAGCCTTGCCCCTGTTGGGCATGGGTGCCCTCCAAGTGGCTGGAGAATGCCAGCCTCCTTGGTCTTGGGGTCCCTCCCCCAGACCACTGCTCGCCCCTCCCCTTTCTTCCTGTATAGCCTCCCATTTCTCTTCTTCCTCCCGTTCTTTCTCCCCTGCCTCTAGTCCCCTAAGTAACGCAAAGGGAAACTGCCATCTGGAGTTCCATCTTGTCAGATGTCTGGTGTTGGCTGTGTCTGTCTCCCCCCTCAACACTGTTTGAATCCCACTGCAAATAGCTTTTAACGCCCAAAGAGAAATCTTTATTTTCCTCTCATCCCATAACAACTTACCTTAGGGGATTGAGATCAGAAGGAAGGACAGGATGGGGATGGGTAGAGGGTGGGAAGGACAGAGAATGATGGAGTTCATGGAAACATATTTTTATATTTTCCCAGATTTCTGTCTCTACCTCTATGGTATATGCAGATTCAGCACCTGCCCCTAACCATACCCCGCCTTGGCCATCATGATGGTCATCATCATGATCATCACCACAATCACTGGTATCAATGAAAATAGTTATTGAGCATGTATGTATCAGGCATTTGGTGTTGTATGGTCACATGGTATTTTATTTTATTTTATTTTATTTTATTTTATTTTATTTTATTTTATTTTTGAGACTGAGTCTCACTTTGTCATCCAGGGTGGAGTGCAGTGGCACAATCTCGATTCACTGCAACCTCTGCCTCCCAGGTTCAAGTGATTCTCCTGCCTCAGCATCCTGAGTAGCTGGGACTACAGGCGCCCGCCACCATGCCGGGCTAATTGTTTTTTGTATTTTCAGTAGTGATGGGGTTTCACTATATTGGCCAGGCTAGTCTCGAACTCCTGACCTCAGGCGATCCACCTGCCTCGGCCTCCCAAAGTGCTGGGATTACAGGTGTGACCCACAGCACCTGGCCAGTCACATGGTATTTAAAACACCATGAAAAACCCTCCAGTGGCTCCCTATCTTGTCTGCAATGAACTCTGAAGTCCTTCTCATGGCCACAGGCACCTCTCTAGGTTAGTCTCCTGGCATGCCTCTTGCTCACTTTCCTCAGCAATATTTGGTCCTCAGACACTGTGGGCATGCTTCTGCCCCAGGGCCTTTGCACCCACCCTTCCTCCCATCTGGACGTTACTCCCCTGATAGCCACATGGTTCTCTCCTTTACTTCATTTAGATCTTTGCTCAAATGTCACTTTACAGAGGTAAAGACTCTGGACAAAATATAAGCACTTCTCATCACTGTCTACCTCCCTTCTCCTGCTTCATTTTTCTTCAGAGCACTTATTACCACCTGAAATACTGTGCTATTTGTTGTTGTTTATATGTTGCCTGTTTCCTTAAGAGAATTAAACTTCTTAAGGGCAGGGGTTTTGTTTTGCTAATCTCTGTATCCCCAGTGCCAGATATAAGGGTGTCTGTGTGTGGTTGTTCGATGAAGAAATGAATATTGAACTTATTTAAGCCTTATGCTAGTGCTTGAAGGTAGTTACCCTTGTTATCCCCGTGTAGAGATAAGGAAACACATGCAGAGAAGTTAAGCAACTTGCTCAAGGCCACAGAAATGGTAAGGGGCTCAGCTGGTTTGCAAAGCCAGGCAGCCTCACTCCAGATCTCTCATTTTTACCACTATTTTCTGTTTGCACCTGATCTTGGCATGGGTTGACCTCATGCTATTCTCTATTGTGGTCAGGTCAGGGGCTGGCTGAGTGGCCTACAAAAGGCAGGACTTTCATGGACTTTGCTCCTGCACTGCCTTGCATGGCTTTTCACTCTTAGCCTTCCTGGAGTCCACATCGCTCTGGTGAGGATCCCAAGACAAGCACTGGAGGTGAGCTGCCTTGCAGGGAAGAGAGAAGGTGTCACCACCTCACTGCCCGATTCACTAGCCTGGTCCTCCCCTTGTCTTCATTACACTGAGACAAAACAATTCTTTCTTAAGAAAAGCCACACCAGAGTGGGTGACACTGGGGCCAGTACAGGTCACAAGAGGATTCAACTCAGGTTTATTTTGCCCAAGGAAGCCTTCCATGATGTTAACCTTTACCATTTGTAGCAGACATCACTGAGGTTTGTGTATATCAGGTTTGTCTTTCTTTCCTCCACGCCTGGAACCCCACACTATCCAGCCCCCGTGCAGTTAGACAGGGCCTCGAGATAGTCCCAACCAATGAAGTGAGTGGAGAGGACGTGTCTCATTCCTGAGCAAGGCATTTAAGAAGCTGGGCGCTCACTCTTCCCACTCCGGGGCAATCTTGGAGGTCCCACGTTCCAGATGGCACAGCTATAATGGCAGGGTAGCACTCTGTCAGTCCAGGTCCCCGAATTCCACTATGGGAAGCAGAGGCTCTCTTGCTGAACCCGGTCGAACCTGCACTGTGGGCCAGAAAGAAATCTTTGTTGTGTTATGCCACTGAGATTTTGGGGTAAATGTGTTCCTGCAGCTTGGCCCAGCCATTCCAGCTAATACACCACTTCTGATCTGTTTTTCATATCTTCAATATTAGTGGCCTGTCTCATTCACCACCAGTGGGAGTGGAAATTGGTACAACCATTCTGGGAGATGATCTGGCAGTATGTGTATATGAAAAGCCCTAAGTAAGTGTATTGTCTTTGACTCAGAAATTTCACTTCTAGGAATTTATGCTAAGGAAATAATTGAACAAGTTCAGAAAGTTGTATGGATGAGGAGAATATTCATCACATAAAATGGTGAGAAATTGGGTCAGCCTAAATATCCCACAAAAGCAAATTGGTTAAATAAATTGTGGTCTGGCTCTTACGATGGAATCCTAGCTGCTGCCGGTGGTACATATTTATTGACATAGAGAGAGCCACACTCTGTTGCAGTGCAGTGTATGCATAATGTGAGCCCATCTTTGTTAAAAAAATATATTTGCAGGCCCGGCGCAGTGGCTCACGCCTGTAATCCCAGCACTTTGGAAGGCTGAGGTGGGCGGATCACGAGGTCAGGAGATGGAGACCATCCTGGCTAACACGGTGAAACCCCGTCTCTACTAAAAATACAAAAAAATTAGCCGGGTGTGGTGGCGGGCACCTCTGGTCCCAGCTACTCGTGAGGCTAAGGCCGGAGAATGGCGTGAACCCGGGAGGTGGAGCTTGCAGTGAGCCGAGATCATGCCACCGCACTCCAGCCTGGGTGACAGAGCGAGACTCCATCTCAAAAAAAAAAAAAAAGATATATATATATATACATTTGCACGAAGACAGTCTAGAGGTTAGTCAGCAAACACTTGACAATGGTAATTTCTGGGTGTGGAATCTCAGGTGATTTTATGTTTATTGTTTTTATTTTGCTTCTTTTCAGAATTTTTTCATCAGCGATTTTGTATCATATGTATAATTAAAAATTAAATGGGAGGAAAAATCACTGTGGATTGTGGACAGGTGAACCTCTAAGTCATGATTTCCTTATCTGAGAAATGGGCGTATCATACCCACTTCATTGGGCAGTGGTGAGGATTCAGTTAGATCATGTGGCATGAAGCACCTGGCACCTACTTGGCGCTCAAAACCCATAGCCTTTGTTATCAGTTATCGGTGAACTAAGGAACCCTTAGAGGCTAGTTGGTTCATTCGTTCATCCATCCATCTATCCATTCACGCAACAAGCATGTCCTGAAACCTACTGTGCACTTGGACATGTACTGAATAAATATAATAATGGCAAGAAGACAGCAAATACTTGAATGGTACTTAGTGGTGCCAGGCACCATTACAAGCACTTCACACTGATTCATCTATGCAGTAACCCTATGAAGGGGTACCATTCTTAGCCCCATTTTATAGATTATGAAACTGAGGCACAGAGAGGCCAAGTAACCTGCCTGAAGTCACAGAGATAGTAGGAGGCAGAGTCAGGCAGTCTACACTCTCAACTGCTGGACTATACCATCCGAGGAAGATGGAGGTGGTGTCTGCCCCTCTATGGGGTCCCATCTTGCTCCCAAGCCAGGAGTAGCAGGGATAATGCAGGAGGGGCCCTGGCTGGGAGAGGTGCAGGTCTGAGATACTGGAGAGGTGATGAGCAGGTGATTAGGGGATTTCTATTAGTATGAAGCCCCTGCCTGAGCTGTGGATGCAGGTGGGACTGTGTTAGCGGAGGGAGCAGCCTCTGACCTTGCCTCTACCTGGCTCTCTCAACCCAGGCTTGGCTCACAGGAAACTCAGGCTCCAGGTGGGTGGGGGCACCAGCCCCTGGGAAAGCTGGGTGGGAGCCAGTAATGGCAGCATGGCCCATATGTACTGTGCACCCCATGGACCCAGTGCTGGGTAAACACCTTCATGCATTATGTCATTTAATCCTCATGGTGACTCTGTGAAGTAGGCGCTATTTTATAGAACAGGAAACGGAGACTTGGGAAAGCAAAGCGCCTTTCTGAGAGCCTCACAGCTAGTAAACGGGAAGCCTAGATTCAACCGAGGGTCCTGGGCTAGGGTCTTAACCACTCTGCTAAACATCCCTTGGGGCCAGGGCTCCTCCATCTCCCATCTGCCCTCAGGGGGTTGTGGACACCGTGGGGAGCTGGAAGACTTCGTATTTCAGGGACACCTTTGGCAGCTATTGCTGCCCTGACAGCTGTCGTGGGTTGGCTGGCCCCAGCCATGAAACTCTGTCACATCAGGGCAGAAGCAGGAGAGGAGCTGGAGACCTCCAGGGCCAAATGGGGACCCACAATGGGAGTAAGCTAGTGGGAGGAGAGCCCCTCAGGAGTCCCAGGGAACAGGCTGGAAGGGAAAGAACGAAAGGATCACCTATGCTTTGGGCCATCCCTCGGGCTGTCCCCCGTGCTTGGCATTGCACTCAGATTTTCTCCTGCTGTCCTCACCACAATGTTGGGAGGATGGAATTATTACTCCCATTTTACTGATGACGAACTGGAGGCTGTGAGTGGTGATGGTACTTGCCCAGGGTCCTCCAGTGAGCTGGGACTGGTACTTGAGTCCAGGTCTGGGTCCTTATGATTCTAAAGCCAGGATACTTTTCTCTGCACCAGCTGTTTCTGCTGGGATCCCACTGACCCTGGAAGGCAAGTTCTCAAAGGAGGATCTACTGTTTCACCAGAAGGTGGAGCATGAGCTGAGGCTGGGGTGACGTGGAGGGACAGTGGTCCCTAAGCAGTGCCTGGGTGTCTGGGACTCTTCTGGGGCAGGAGAACATTTAATGGAACATTCTTAGACCATCCCCCGCTTTGGCCCCACAGTTTTGGCCCTTGCCCCAACTTGGCTCTCTGAGTAGTGGCCTGAGCCCTGGGGGATCACTCCAGCCCCAGCAGCGGTGGGGGCACTCTGTGCTCTCTTCTATGATCTACAGGTCTGTCTGACCTGTATGGTATGGGATTAATTCTGTTGTTAAAAAAATTCCTTGGCGCTGTATCTTCTCTTCTCTCAGCAGAGTCTCTGAAAATAATCACCCGTCCTCTCCATCACCCACTTCCTTCTTCTCATTCTCTCTTGAGCCCGCTCCAGTGAGACTTTGTCCCCCATCGGTCCACTGGGTTCCCAGTGGCCTCTAAGTTGCCAGTTCAGTCATCAGTTCTCAATTCTTGGTGGCATCTGAGAGCTGATTATCCTCTTCTCCTTGAAACACTCTCTTCACTCAGCCTCCAGGGATCCCTCTCCCCCTTGTCCTTTCACCTCCCTGGCTGCCCCTTCTCAGTCTCTGGGAGGTCCTCCTCCTCCCAACCTCTGACTGGTGGATGGCTCTGGGTTCAGTCCTCAGACTGTTATATTTTGGGGTCTATGTACATGTTTTCCTGGGTGCAGGGAGCTGGACCAAGTGAAAGCTCATCCTTATAGATACATTATTTACTACTGGCTCATTCCTCTCATTAAACAAACATGGAGTGTTTAATTCTGCCATATATATATATGCACAATATAATTCTGCCATATATATATGCACAATATAATCTGCCATATATATATTCTAAAATGTATATGGAATATACATTATATATATATTCTAAAATGTATATGGAATATACATCATATATATTCTAAAATGTATATGGAATATACATCATATATATTCTAAAATGTATATGGAATATACATCATATATATTCTAAAATGTATATGGAATATACATCATATATATTCTAAAATGTATATGGAATATACATCATATGTATTCTAAAATGTATATGGAATATACATCATATGTATTCTAAAATGTATATGGAATATACATCATATATATTCTAAAATGTATATGGAATATACATCATATATATTCTAAAATGTATATGGAATATACATCATATATATTCTAAAATGTATATGGAATATACATCATATATATTCTAAAATGTATATGGAATATACACTATATATATATATGCGATTTTAGAGAACAGGAAATGGAGGCTCAGGGAGGCAAAGTGCTTACTGAGAGTCTCACAGCTAGTAAATGGGAAGCCTAGATTTAAACTGGGGTCCTGAGCTAGAGTCTTAACCACTCTGCTAAATGTCCCTTGGGGTTGGGGCTCCTCCATCTCTCATCTGCCCTCAGGGGATGCTGGAGACCCCGGGGAGCTGGAAGACTTCCTATTTCAGGGACTCTCTTGGCAGCTATCGTTGCCCCTGCAGCTGTATATATATGTGTATATAAAATATATATATATGTATTATATATACACATATATAATATATATTATATATACACATATATAATATATATTATATATACACATATATAATATATATTATATATACACATATATAATATATATTATATATACACATATATAATATATATTATATATACACATATATAATATATATTATATATACACATATATAATATATATTATATATACACATATATAATATATATTATATATACACATATATAATATATATTATATATACACATATATAATATATATTATATATACACATATGTAATATATATTATACACACACATATAATATATATTATATACACATATATAATATATATTATATATACATATATAATATATATTATATATACACATATATAATATATATTATATATACACATATATAATATATATTATATATACACATATAATATATAATATATACACATATATAATATATATATTATATATGCACATATTAGATATATGTGTATATATTATATACGTATATATTATATATATGTGGACTTTCTATTTTGTTTCTTGGTTCTATATGTCTATCTTTACTCCAATATCACACTGTCATAATTATTGTAGCTTTATAATCAATCTGGAAATCACATAGCATTAGTCATCCAACTTTGTTCTTTTTAAAAATTGTTTTTACAGTTCTAGGTCCTTTGCATTTCCATATACATTTTAGAATCAGTTTTTCAACTTCTACAAAAAATCCTGTTGATTTGATTTTGAGAGGGGACAGCCTTACCTTAATCCCAATCTTAGGGAGAAAGTATTCAGCCTTTAGCCATTGGTATAATGGTACGGTAGGTTTTTCCGTAGATGCCCTTTATCAGGCTAAGGAAGTTCCCTTCTATTCCTAGATTAATTTGGGGGGAGAATTGCCATCTTAATAATATTGAATCTTCCAACCCATGAACAAGATATATCAGTTTATTTAAATCCTCTTTATTTTCTCCTCACCCATATTTTGTATTTTCAAGGTATGGGTTTTGCATATTTTTTTGTCAGATGTATCCCTAATTATTTAAGAATTTTTGATGTTATTGTAAGTAGTATTGATTTTTGGATTTCAATTTCCAAATGTTAGTTGCTAGTACATAAAAATACACTTTTTTTGCTATATTTTTCTTTCTTTCTTTTTTTTTTTTTTTTTGAGACTGAGTCTCACTTTGTCACCAAGGCTGGAGTGCAGTGGTGTGATCTAAGCTCACTGCAACCTCTGCCTCCTGGGTTCAAGTGATTCTCGTGTAGTTGAGATTACAGGCATGTGCCACCATGCCCGGCTAGTTTTTATATCTTTAGTAGAGACAGGGTTTCACCATGTTGGCCAAGCTGGTCTCAAACTCCTGGCCTCAAGTGATCCACCCACCTCAGCTTTCCAAAGTGCTGGGATTACAGGCATAAGCCACCATGCCTGGCCTTCTATATTTTTCTTTTATCTTACAATTTTGCTAAACTCACTTATTAGTTCTAGTAGCTTTTTGGGGTAGATTCATTGTATATTCCACATAGATAATCATGTTATCTGTGAATAAAGTATTTACCTCTTTTCAATCTGAATGCTTTTTTTTTTTCTAAACTCTTTGTTTTGTTTGGCTTCATTGCACTGGCTAACATCTCTAGTACAGTGTTCAGTTTATGTGAAGAGAGTGGACATACTTACCTTGCTCCCAATCTTAAGGAGAGAGTCTTCAGCCTTCAGCCATTGAATAATGATACCGTAGATTTTTTTGAAGATCCCCTTTACCAGTTTAAGGAAGTTCTCTTCTACTTTTAGTTTGTTCAGTTTTTTTAAAATCATAAATGAATATTGGATTATGTCAAATTCTTTTTCTGCATTTATTAATCTGATCACATGTTTTTTCTTTTTTTGTGTGGTAGACCAAATAATGGCTTCCTAAGGATGTCCATGTCCTAATTCCTGAGACCTGTGAAACTAACATGACAAAAAGAACTTTGCTTAGATGATTAAATTAAGGAACTTGCCATGGGGAGAGTATCCTCAATTATCCTGGTGGGCCCACTGTAATCACAAGAATCCTTAATAGGTGGAAGAAAAAGAAGAAGATGGAGAAGAAGAAAAAGAAGAGGAGGAAGAAGAAGAAGAAGAAGAAGAAGAGTAAGAAGAAGAGGAAGAAGAAGAGGAAGAAGAAGAAGAAGAAGAAGAAGAAGAAGAAGAAGAAGAAGAAGAAGAAGAAGAAGAAGAAGAAGAAGAAGGAGAAGAAGAAAAAGAAAAGAAGAAGAAAGCATGTGCGAGAGAAACAGAGGGACTTGGAGATGTTATGCTGTCAGCTTTGAAGATGGAGGACGGGGCCATGACCCAAGGAAGGGAGACAGCCTCTAGAAACTTGCAAAGGCAAGGAAATATATTCTCCCCTAGAGCTTCCAGGATTAATGCAATCGTGTATCACCTTGATTTTAGCCTAGTGAAATCCATTTGGACTTCTGATTTCCCAAACTGTAAGGTAATTTTTTGTTGTTTAATCCACAAAGTTTGTGGTAATTTGTTCTATAACAGAAGGAAATTAATATGAATTACATTGATCTAATTTTCAATGTGAAACCAACTTTGTATTCCCAGGATAAACCTCCTTGGTCATCATGTATTATCCACTTTATATATTGTTGGATTTGATTTGCTAAGATTTTGTTTAGAATTTTACATATATGTTCAAGAGGGATATTGGTCTGTAGCTTTCTTGTAATGTCTTTGGCTTTGTCATCAGAGTAATGTTGGTCTCATGGACTGAGTTGGAAAGTGTTCTTTCCTTTTTAATTTTCTGGGAGAGTTTGTGTTGAATTGGTGTTATGGCTAAAACCCAAAGTGTTTCTCCTACTCTCACACACGACTCAACACAATACTTCTGACACCAGATGTGTGTGGGTTGTTTCTCCACACACCACGCATTCTCCAGTGGACCCCAGCTGGAAGTCCTCTAATTCAATTCAATTCTGACACTGTCTACTTGGAGATAGCTTCAGACCGCCCAGGTTAAGGGCTCAGTCCCACAAGACTCCCCCTCACCACAGATGCCAATTGCAAACCCCAGGTATGACCTGTGCTTTTGGCCACCCAGGGGTTCTCAGGATTCCTTCCTTAGATTTGAATAATTTGCTAGAGCTGCTCACAGAACTCAGGGAGACACTTTACATTTACCAACTTATTTTAATGAATTTTTGAAAATTTAAAATTATTTTTAAATTAAAAAAAAATTTTGAGACAAGTGTCTCACTTACACAGTCTGGAGTGCGGTGAAGTGATCATAGCTCACTGCAACCTTGAACTCCTGGGCTCCTGTGATCCTCCTGCCCCAGCCTCCTGAGTAGCTGGGACCACTGGTACATGCCACCATGCCCAGCTCATTTTTAATTTTTATTTTTTTGTAGAGACAGAGTCTCACTACGTTGCCTGGGATGGTCTCGAATTCCTGTACTCAAGCGATTCTCCCACCTCTGCCTCCCAAAGTGCTGGGATTACAGGTATGAGTCACTGCATCAGGCCTATAAAGGATGTTACAAAGGATACAGATGAACAGCCAGATGGAAGAGATGTATAGGGCAAGGCATGGGGGAAGTGCATGGAGCTTCTATACCCTCTCTGGATATACCACCCTCCAAGAATCCCGTGTGTTTGGCAGTCTGGAAGCTCCTCCAAACATTGTCTTTTTGGATTTTTATGGAGGCTTCATTAAACAGGAATGATTGATTAAACCATTATTCCATTGGTGCTTAACTCAACCTTCAGGCCTTCTTTCCTCCCTGGAGATTGGGGGTTGGGGCTGAAGTCCCAACCCTTTAATCATGCTTTGGTGTTTCTGAAGCTGTCATTCTGAAGCTGTCTAGGGCCTGCCAGCCACCAGTCATCTTATTAGCATATGCTATGGTCTGAATGTTGGTGTACCCCCAAAATTCATATGTTGAAACCTCACCTCCAAGATGATAGTACTAAGAGATGGGACCTTTTTGGAAGTGATTAAGTCATGAAGATTACACCCTCGTGAGTGGGATTAGTGCCTTTATTAAAGAAGTTGGAGGGAGGTGCCAGGTCCCTCCTGCCCCTGGCACCGTGTGAGGACACAGCGGCGATGTGCCATCTGTCCTGCACAGAGTAAGCCCTCACCAAATACTGAATCTGCCAGGACCTTGATTTTGGACTTCCCAGCCTCCGGAACTGTGAGAAATACATTTCTTCTATTTATAAATTATCCAGCCTAAGGTATTTTATTATAGAAACCAGAATGGACTGAGATAGCATACGAAAGACACTCTTGCCATTCTGGAGATTCCAAGGGTTTTAGGAGCTAAGTGACAGGAAATGGTACAAAGACTAATATATATTTTACAATATCACAGCTTCCTTAAATGTTTCCTAAAATTCCCCACTGAAGTCACCTGGTTCTGAAAGTATCTTTGTGGGAAAGTTTTAACTACAAATTCAATGTATTTAATAGATAGTCTTTTATTCCTTTCAATATTCTTAGAATCTGTAGTGATATAATTTCTCTCATTCCTGATATTGGTAATGTTTTGCCTTCTCTCTTTTTCTGTGATCAGTCTAGCTGGAGTTTTGTCAATTTTATTGACTTCTTCAAAGAATCAGCTTTTGTCTTTGTTTGCTCGATTATTTTTCTATTCCATTGATTTCTGCTCTAATCTTTATTATTTATTTTCTTCTGCTTACTTTGGGTTTAATTTGCTCTTCCCCGCCCCCGCCCCCCCACCCAGTTTCTTAAGATAGAAGCTGAAGTCTTTGCTTTGAGACTGTTCTTTTCCACTATTGGTATTTATTACTATCAATATCCTAAGTACTGTTATAGAGGCACCCCACTAATTTTGTGTTTTCATTTAGTGTTTTATTTTCACTTTCATTCAGTTCAAAATACTTTATAATTTCCCCTTTCATTTCTCCTTTGACCTCATGGGTTATTAAAAGTGTGTTCTTTAATCTCCAAGTATTTGGCTGGTGATTTTTACATATCTCTGTAATTCCAATATAATTCTATTATAGTCAGAACTTCATTTGTATGACTTGAATTATTTTAAGTTTATTGAGACCTTTTTTATGGCTAAGAATATGATCTATCTTTAAAAATATTCTCTGCGCCCTTGAAAATGATGTGTATTCTGATGTTGGGTGGAGTGTTCTAAAAATGTCAATTAGGCCAAGTTGTTTTATAGTGTTATTAAAATCTCCCAAATCCTTAGTGATTTTCTGTCTGCTTGCTTTATCAATTATTGAGAGAAGAGTCTTGAAATCTCCAACTGTATTTGTGGATTTGTCTATTTCTCCTTGCAGTTCTATCCATTTTTGCATCATGTATTTTGGAGCTATTTAATTAGATGCATAAACATTTTGAATTATGCCCTCTTCATTGACTGACCCTATGATCATTATGAAATGAACTTTTTTAATCCCTAGTAATATTTTTATAATCTGAGATCTATTCTGTCTGATATAGTGCAGCTATTACAGCTTTCTTTTATTTGGTGTTAGTAGGCTACACTTCTTGACATCCTTTTACTTTTACCCTATTTCTGTCTTTATATTTAATATATGTCTTTGAAAGAGTACATAGTTGGGTCCTGATTTTTTTTTATCCAATCTGACAATTTTTACTTTTTAATTGGGGAGTTTGGATCATTTACATTTAATGTGATCATTGACATGGCTAGGTATAAGTTTATCATCTTGTGATTTGTTTTATATTTGCCCCATCTATTCTTTGTTCCCCTTTTTATCTTTTTCTGCTTTCTTTTGGGGAAAATGAGTATTTTTTGTGTTTCCAATTTATCTCTATTGTTGACTTATTAGCTATAACTTCTAATATTGTTATTTTAGTGGTAATTTTAGGGATTATAGTATGGATCTTTAACTTATCACAGTCTACTTTCAAATAATGTTATACCACTTCAGGTATAGTGTAACAATCTTTCAATAGCATACCCCTACTCTTCCTCTCTCATTCAGTATTCTATTGTTGTCATACATTTAATTTACATATATAAAAAATAAACTGGCTGGGTATGGTGGCTCATGCCTGTAAATCCCAGCACTTTGGGAAGCTGAGGCGGGTGGATCATTTGAAGTCAGGAGTTCAAGACTAGCCTGGCCAATATGGTGAAACCCTGTCTCCACTAAAAATACAAAAATTAGCCAGGCAGTGGTGGCACGTGCCTGTAATCCCAGCTACTCTGGAGGCTGAGGCAGGAGAATCACTTGAGCCTGGGAGGCGGAGGTTGTGCTGAGCCAAGATTGCGCCACTGTACTCCAGCCTAGGTGACAGAGCGAGACTCAGTCTCAAAACAAAAACAACCCCCCCACAATATATATTTTTATTGTTTAGATAGCCACTTATCTTTTAAAGTGCTTGAAATAATAATAAAACATATTTACCCATGTAGTTACCACTTTTGGTGCTTTTCATTCCTTGGATCCATATTTCCCACTGTTATCATTTTGCTTCTGCCTAAAGGACTTCCTTTAATATTTCTTATGATGAAAGTCTGTTGGTGATGAATTCTTTATGCTTTGTATATCTGAAATAGTCTTATTTTGGTTTTGTTTTTGAAAGTTATTTTTGCCGGGTTTGGAATTACAGGCTGACACTCTAATCACACATATATTAGGTTGTTTAATGTTGAACCACAGATCATTGATGTTCCCTTTTAAAAAATTTGATTTTTTGCCGGGCACGGTGGCTCATGCCTTTAATCCTAGCACTTTGGGAGGCAGAGGTGGGTGGATCTCGTGAGCCCAGGAGCTCGAGACCAGCCTGGGGAACATGGCGAGACCCCATCTCTGCAAAAATACAAACAACTAGCTGGGTATAGTGGTGTGTGCCTGTAGTCCCAGCTACTCAGGAGGCTGAAGTGGGAGGGTTGCTTGTGCCTGGGAGGTGGAGGCTGTAGTGACCTGAGATTGCACCACTGCACTCCAGCCTGAGCAACAGAGTGAGACCCTGTCTCAAAAAAAAAAAAAATTGATTTTTCTTTCTGTGTGTTTCATTTTGGGTAGTTTCTATTGCTGTGTCTTTATGTTCACTAATCTTTTCTTCTGCAATGTCCAATCTGCCATTCCTCCCATCCAGTGTAATTTTCCCCTCTGTTTTTGATCTCTGTAAGTTTGATTTATGTCTTTTTAATATCTCAATCCTCCACTTAATTACTATTATTAACATCTATGTACATTCTGAGTCAGTTTCAATTAATTAATTAATTAATCTTCATTATAGAGCATATTTCCCTGCTTCTTTGCATACCTGATAATCTTTGATTAGATGCCAGACATTGTAATTTTTACCTTTTTGAGTATTTTTGCATTCCTTTGGATACTCCAATTACATATACATTAGGAGTTCTTTATATTCTTGGTTATTTTTGCATTTCTACAAATATTCTGAACTTTGTTCTGGAATGCAATTAATTTATTTGCAGGAAGAGTTTGATCCTTTTAGGTCTTGCTTTGAAGATTTGTTAGGTGGGACCAGAGCGGCATTTAAATTTAGGGCTAATTATTCTTCATTGTTGAGGCGAGAATCTTCTGAGTATTCTACCCCATCTCGCACTAATTATGAGGTTTTCTAGTCCTGGTGAGAATAGATGTTATTCCAGGCCTTGTGTGATTGCTGGGTACTGTTTCCTCTATACCTCTGGATGATTACTTGTTCAGCCTTGGGTATTTTCCATATACACATGTGCTGATCAGTACTCCGATGAATACTTGAAGGGGACCCTCTGCAGGTTTCTGGGGTTCTGGCTGTCTTTGTAGGTCTCTCTCCTATTGAGTGCTCTGTCCTGCAAATTCTTGTCTTTGTCTTTCTGGACCCCTAGCTCTATCTTCCCAATTTAGGATGTTTCCCAGGCACTACTTCCATTCCTACTTCCTGTGATGCAACAGAGAAACTCTACCAAGACAGTATGCTGAGATGATTTTAGGGCTCACCTTGTTTGTTTTCTGTCTCTAAGGGATACTATCCTTTGTTTTCTGATGTCCAGTATCTTGAAAACCATTGTTTTATATAGTTTGTGTGTGTTTTATTTGTTTGTTTCAGGCGAGAGGATAAATCTGGCCTCTGTTGCTTCATCTTGGATAGAAGTAGGTGCCTCTCTCCATGGCTTTAAACACCATCTATATGGTAATGACTGCCAAGTTCACCCCTGAACTTCAGACTCCTATATCCAACCTGGGATAGTCATGGCCAGCACCTCAAACTCACCATGCCCAAAATGGAACTTTTCACTGTCCTCTCATCAAATCTTTCCTTCCTGCCATCCCCATCTCAGGAAACGTCACCTAGATGTTCAGGCAAAAAACCTTGGACTTATCTTTTTCCTCTCTTTCTCTCACATTCTATATAGCTCTACCTCAGTAGCTCTTTTTGGCTTGAACTTCAAAATGCATCTCAAATCTGAGACCCTTCCATTACTCCCACCACTGGTTAAAGCTCCTGTCACTATTCACCTTGAACCTTGCAATAGCTTTCTAGCTCCGAACCAACTGCGTTCACGCCTCATCCCTCCTGCCGTCTGTTTTTCCTTCAGAATCCAGTGAGCCTTTAAAACTTTTAGCCCCCTCGTGATTGTTCAAAACCCTCCACTGGCTTCCTAACACAACTTAGAACAAAGCCCTAGACCCCTGTCGTAGTGCACAGGACACTATCTGATATGGCCTCTACCGCCTCTCTTGCTTGCTCCACTCTGACCACCCAGGCCTTCTCGCTGTCACTTGAACATGCCAAGGACCCTCCTGTGTCAGGGGCCACTTCCTTTCCCAGTGCCAGAATTGCTTCTCCCTACACATTTCCCCATCTCTTCATCAATCTCAGCTCAAAATCATCCCCCTAGAGAGCTCTCCCATAGCTGTCTGATCTAAGATAGCTCGCTCCCTGCTGCTGCTTCTCCCCTACTCTGCTTGATTTTTCATCATAGAACTTCTCTCCACCTGACACCCTACATATTTACTTGTTTGTGCATTTATTATCCCTCTTTCCGTGGAATGTAGCCTTTATGAAGGTGAGGGCTTTGTCTTGGTCGCTGCTGAGTTCCCTGTGCCTATTACAATGCCTGGGGTAAAGTAGGTGCTCAATGAAGCAGATTGAGCGAATGAATGAGTGCTCTTCTTGGCCACTAGGTACGATCGACAGGCTGTGTGACTCTGGACAAGTCCTTTGCCATCTCAGGGCATGTCTTTTTTAGGTGGGTGCTGGCTAAAAGCCCTGGCGTTTGCTGTTCAGTTCCCCACCACGCTAGGCGCCACACTGGAGGGGCTGGGCGATGCTGGCCATCCCGCGCTTGGAGGCTCTGGGCTTCGGATAGTCACGATTACCACCAGAGGGCGCTCGATGCTCAGATTACGGACCAGGGGCTCTGGGTAGGTAGACGCGTCACTGAGACTGTATTTAGGACCTGGGTATACAGGTGGTGTAAATGTGTTGGGGAATGGGGAGGCATTTCTAGGAGTCCTGACTCTGGGGTTCAGGATGTGGAGTCTCAGTTCTGCAGCTCACCCTCCCATGCTTGCTCCGCACCCACAGACAGACCCTGGGGAAAATTTTCACCTGTGTCTTCCTGGGGAAGGAAAAAACGGAGTCCACTAGCATGGAAACTGTTTGGGGGGGGTGCTCAGTGGCTTTCCACATGTCCTAGATCCCAAGATCTCCTTGTGGCTTTGGGTAAGACAAGTAAACCTCCTGGCATCACTGAGCAGGGTGGCCCTATTGTCCTTGGGGTCCCTCCAAGGAGCCAGAAACCTGGCAAGCCCGACCCAGCCTCCCAGCCGCCTTTAGGGCTGAGTCCTTCGTTGTCCCTCCACAGGTCAAGGAAGACCCCCTTCCCCAGACTGTAGATGGTTTCTCAGGATCCCAGGGCTCTCGCAGGGCAATCTCAGGCAGGAGTGAGGAGATGCCTTCTGAGTGGAGAGGCTCACCTGTGAGCAAGCTCATTTCATTCTCTCAATTAGTCGCAGTGTTTTTGCTATTGACTCACATTGCAAATGGGGATACCGAGGCCCAGAAAGTAGGAAAGACAGTGAGAGGTCACATATCAGCATGTGGCACATTTGGTTCCACTGCTCCCTCTGTTTTGTGTGTGCTCAATGCCTCTTTGGGCCATTCTCTTTCCAGAGAGTTATCTTTCCCAGCTCAAACACAGCCTCTGAGCCTTTGTACTTGCTGTTCCCTTTGCCTGGAACATCTTTCCCCACGATCTTCAGGTGCCTGGCTCCTTCATGTCACTCAGGCAGCAGACCAGATGCCACCTCCTCAGAGAGGACTTCCCTGACTATACCCTGTCTCTCTCTATCTCACCAGCTTGTCTTATTTCCTCTACAGCACTTAGCACCATCTAAAATTAATCAATTTCCTGGTTTCTGGTCTATGCTATGTTTTCCCCATCAGAGTGAAAGCTTCACTGGGACAAGGACCCTGCCCAAACGCGTTCCCAGTGGGCCACATTTCACCTATGGCACACAGTATGAGGAGACCCATGGATATTGAATGAGTGAGTGAGGGGGAGGGAGAGTTGCCTGTCACCCATGCGGGTCCCCAGACAAGGTCTCAGTAGCACAGAGTCACACCTGACCCCTTCCTGAAGGTCCAGGCTTCATGATGCTCTGGGGCCGCTGTGCCCACTTCTCTCTGGGGTTCTTCCTTCCCCATCTGCACCCCGATGAGAGGGATGCTCCTCAGACAGGCAACCATGGAGTGTTTGATTTAAGAACAGCCAACACCAATATGTGGGAGAAGGAAGGAGGGGAGCAGTGGACCCTGAGGGTGGGCTGCAGCCTATGGTGGTCTGAGGAGTGAAGCTTCCAGGATCTGGGGTACAGTTGGCCACACCTGTGATTGCAGAGGTGCTGATGCCTTTGTGTTTCAAAACTCAGGCTAAGTGTGTGCATGGACTGTTTAGCCATAATGACTGCCCTCTGTGAGATGGTCAGAGGACCTGTCTTGCGAGGAGCTGCAGAGGGCATCCACTTCACTATGTGTGAGTGCCAAGTGCTCCTAAGCACCAAGAATGCTGACTTGCAGGATGGCTTGGTGACTGGGTGGAGAGCAGACAATGGATGCAGCAGGAGAACGAGTTGTGTTTTGGGCCAAGAGGATCTGGATTTGAATCCTGGCTCAGTCACTTCTGTGCTGTGTGACCTTGGACAAGTGACTTCCTCTCTCTGAGTTAAGAAGAAATGAACTCTGAGAACTGTGTTTTCCTGGGACTAGCTCTGAAACTCCACCCTCCCAGGCTCAGCTTTTCTGTCTAGGGTTCCTGGTCACCATTCAAAGCCCAGTATAAAGCGCCCCTCCTTTGGGAAGCTATATCCCCATCCCATACCTGGAGGTTCAGGTTCCTCTTCCTCTGGGGTCTCTCTATTCTGCCTGTATCTACAGCACATTGGTGTTGTCTGTTTTTATGTCTGACTCCTTCCCATGATGCTGGAGACCCTGGCAGGCCGGCAGTTGCATTGTTCATTTCTTCATCCTTCCTGCCCAGCATGGGGATGGCACACCGTAGGTGTGGTGGTGATACTGAGTGAGTTGGGTCCCTGAGACTGGGTTGATTTCTCTGCTCAAGGATCCCTCAGGATAAACTTGTCATCCTCATCACCCCAACATGACTCCTCGTCTAGCAATCCCTGCCCTCTTTACCACTTCAGTAGGGTTGCCCAGAGTGAGATAACATCACCAGCAGCACCTAACTTACCGTGTGCTAGGCATGGTGCCACACACTCACGTGTGTTATCTCACCCAGTCCTCATGGCCACACTATGATACTATTTTCATACCCATTTTAGACATGAACAAACTGAAGCTCAGGGAGATGAAATAGCTTGCCTGAGGTCACTTGGCTCACAAGTGGTAAAGCTGGTGGTGTACTGGTAAATGTTGAATAATCAGCTCTCCAAACAAACATGTACAAGCTTCCATATGTGGAGTTTACTAATTTCTGTGATGCTCCACAGAATTTCAAGTTATCAACATGACATCACTGAACTTGGAGTTGGGAAGAGATGCCCACAGCTGGTTCTTATGAGCAGGTAAGAGCTTGCTTCAGCACGTCATGGGGCAAACCCAAGTCTGTTTGATCCTGACCAATCAGCATTCTGTCTAGATTCCTAAGATCTGCTATTAAGTGATAAAAGTAAGGTGCATTAGGGTACATATCAAAGGGAAAAAAGAATATATATATATACACACACACACATATGAAAGAATATACACATATTATGTGTAATTTGCTTGTGTGTGCAAATCTAAAAGGATTTGCCAGGAACTGATCACATCATTGGTTTTCTCCACTGGGTAGTAGCTGGAAGGCAGAGTGGGAGAGAGATTTTCTCTGGGTATTCTTTTGTACTTTTAAAAATTCGAGCCATATGGGTGTATTAACTATTCCAAAAAAAAAAAAAAAAAAAGAACAAACACGCAACAAATCCAGATGACCAAGCAACCAACCAATCAACCACAAACAGACTTTGGGCCTGCAGCTCTGTCCTGGGCTGGTCTGCGGGCCTGGAGCTGGGCAGGGGTTGCTGAGTGGCTTGATCAGGGCTGCCCACCAGACCACACTGCCTTTCGGCAGGCCTTGGTCTGTGCAGCCAGGCTGGTGTGTGGGGATGATGGGGAGGCTTCCATGCCTGGAGTCTTCCGGGAATATGAGGGATGGGTGCACTTGTTTTAATTCTCACCCGTGCAGCTTGGTCACTGAGACCATGGCACTGCATTCTAAACTCAA
The DNA here is from genome assembly GCF_000001405.40 of Homo sapiens. Lineage (NCBI taxonomy): Eukaryota > Metazoa > Chordata > Mammalia > Primates > Hominidae > Homo > Homo sapiens. Next base: position 36,557,409 of record NC_000001.11, read on the forward strand.
TTAGAAATTTAACAAACCTTATAAATCCTCCCCAGCCTGAGCCTTGTAAATCTCTGGAGCGGGCCAGCTTAGCACTTATCCATCTCCGGCTTAATGACCTCCCCAGCCTGGCCTGGGAATGATTCAGGGCTGGTGACAGGTCTAATTAGTGAGCACGAACTGTAGCTCCAAGTATAGTGAGGAGGAAGTGCGTGCTTGGTCTCTGCCCCCGTGGCATTAGAGAGGTGAGTGAGTCTTAGTCCTTAGTCCTCATCCAGCCCAGATCTTGGGATACTGGCACATGGGAGGAAGGGGCAAGAAGGGTGTGGCAAGTGTCTCTTTGATTTTGTGTGTGTATGTGTGTGTGTGTGTGTTTGAGACCAGGTCTGGCTCTGTTGCCCACGCTGGAGTGCAGGGGCATGATTACAGCTTCTTGAAGACTCAGCCTCCCAGACTCGAGTGATCCTCCTGCCTCAGCCTCCCAAGTAGCTGGGACTGCAGGCATGCACCACCACGCCTGGCTAACTTTTAAATTTTTTATAAAGACAGGGTCCCACTATGTTGCCAAGGCTGGTCTTGAACTCCTGGGCTCAAGCAGTCCTCCCACCTTGGCCTCCCAAAGTGCTCAGATTATAGGTGTGAGCCACCATGCCCGGCCCTCTTTGACTGTTAATATAACCCTGTTGATGGTGTGTCCCCCATGTAATTGTTCGGGGAAGGCTGTTGTGTGGCCTCTAACATTACTGCATCCAGGGCCATGTGGGAGCCAAGTAGGCTCCTAGGGAGGCAGTGAGTTTGTAGGTATATCTGAAGTCCTGTTGATGGCATGGGTGGTGAGTGCTTGGAGGGTGGGTTCTGATCTTCTTGGGCCTGACAGAATTGTGTTCCAGAGATACACATATGAAATCAGAGAGGGTCCAGTTAGCCCCATTTTTACGAGCTCAGGCTTCAGATTTAGTGAGAGGATGGATTTTCCAACCAAGCTAACTAGGCTTGTGAGGTAGTGAGCTCCCTGTCAGTGGACAGAACACTTGGGATTCTCTACCATTAATGGAAGACCAGCTGTGTGCCCCATCAGACACCAAGTCTGCCGGTGCCTTGATCTTGGGCTTCTAAGCCTCCAGAACTGTGAGAAATAAATGTGTGTTGTTTATAGGCCACTCAGTTTATGAGATTTTTGTGATAGACGTTCAAATGGACTAAGACACTGGGGGTGGGTTGGGTCTGAGGCCCTCCTTTTTTACCCATGACTTTTCTTGCTTAAATGCAGGAAGCAGACGGACATTGGGGTTGCGTGGGTGGGGACGCTGGGGTGACAGATGCCACCTCTCACACCACCAGCCCCTCTGAGCCTCCCACCCCCGCCCCCAACCCCAGAACAGTAACCAGCAGGAGGCCTGGGCAATTGTTTCCAACCAAGCCTCCTCCTCAGTGGCGGGAAAGGGAAAGTCATATTTTTATCTATAACTCACAATGAATAAAAATTTAATTACACTGAAAAATTTAAATTTCATAAGAAATAAATATTAATCCTGGAGAGTGACTTTTGTAGGAAGATAACTTTCAAATGTCGTCAATCTGGAGGTACTGGGGTCTGAGAGGGAGGGGGAGCCTCCAATCAGGCTCTTGGTCTGGGCTGGGGGGTCTCCACTCCTGAGACTGAGGGTTCAAGGACTCAGATCTCCACTTAGCAAAGAGCCCACCTCTCCCCAGCTATGGGGGCAGCAAGGTGGCCACTCTGAAGGTGTGATATCTTCTCCTCTCCATTCGTGCCTCGGTACCCATCAACTCCCTCCCACTTTCAATGGTAATTCATCAGCTGCCATGCGCAGACATTTTTCTAGGTGCTGGGGACAGTGCAGGGAAGGAACCAGATGTCATCCTTGCCCACGTGGTGCATAAGGTCTTGTGAAGGAGGCAGACATGAAATCAGTAGCCACCAATACCACTGCCCAGTGAGTGCTCTGCCGAGCACTGCACCCCGACCTCCACTTGGTTTACCTGACGATTATTGTTATTTGCTTAAAAAATTCAAGTAAAATGCACAAACATAAAGTGCGTACAACATAAGCCCACAGCTCAATGACTGATGACCGTTGTATGAATACGCACTCTCCGGGTTAAGGAATGTAACACTGGCTCCCATGCTGGGGATTTGACGGAGGGGAAGGCCCTGCCTTGGGGACCTTCACAGACTGTTTGATGGATGATTCTTGCTACCTGGCCAGGGAGAGAATGATCTGGGGGTACGGTGGCCTAATATTAGTAATGACATCTCAATACGTACTGAACATTTATCATATGCCAGGCTTGATTCTAAGTGCTTTGTGAGTATTAGCTCATTTAACCCTGACAAAGAAATCCCCATGAAGTAGGTGCTGTTATCACCTGTTTCATTTTATCAATGAAAAAACTGACACACAGAGGGTAAGTAACAAGTCCAGAGTCACCCAGCTGATGGGAGACAGAACCTGGTGACACCTGAGTCCCTGGCTTAGAGTCCCCAGCCTCTTCTGTGATGGGAGAGCCCGGGTTTTGAGTACAGGACACTTGGGATCTGGTGCCCTGGGGAACCTCTGCAAATCTTTTGATGTTACTCCTCATTCAAAATGAGATCTGCTGTGCAGCCTCTGGCAAATGTCTCAATCTCTCTGAGCTTCAGGTTCCTTCAAAAAGGTTTGGAGAAACGTAGAGAAAAATCCTCATTCTGTGCCTCCCAGGGTTTGTATGGGGTGGGAAGAGGTAACAGAGGTGGATATTATAACCTGGTCATAATCGCGGTCAAACTAGTCCTAACAGTGAGCCACTCTGGGCCATGCCCTGTGCTGATGCAGATGCACCAAGCACACTTAGTGAGGCAGGCCCTGTTATTATTCCCATGGGTGAGGCATGGCACCAGGGTCTCGGGAGGAGTCTGAGGACGGTGAGGTGGTCACCTAAGCTTCCTTGGGGAGTGCTGGGTTAGTGAGGTGCTGCTCTGAGCATGGGAGTGAAGGCAGGATATGGGACGTGCTTTCTAGTAGGGGTCCCACGGGAGCAAAGGCACGGACATGTGGATGCTGTGTTGCGGGCTGGAAAAGTGTTCTCTGATGGGCTAGGGTGAGGCCGGTGTAGATTCTGAGCTGGCCACCCCAATGGAATCACTTCTCCATTCCACAGTTGCTGGAGCCGAGACCATCCTGAGTTGGAGCTGCAGAGCCCGGGTCTACGGATGTGCCGCACCTAGGCGGAGGAATGGGAAAATAGGCCCAGGAACGTGGACTTGGCCTGGGAAGTAAAGTCCTTGACTTTTGAAGCTGAGACCAAGGGTAAAGCAGGTAGCTAGCCCAAGTGCCAGCTTGGGGCAGTGGGATGATGACAAGAGGGCCTTGTCCTGCAGTTGTTAGCGATGTGCTGGGCCGAGACAACCATAGCCCATGTGTGGCAAGAGGAGTGTGGAGGAGGCTGGGGCCCAGGGGTCTGATTTGCACATGAAGACCCTCCATGGAGACTGGTGCCAGAGACCTGCACTTCTCCAGGGACCAAATGGACCGGGACTCCTTAGTATTGGGAAATACCTTAGATTTTTATTTGGCTGGCCCAGGGCCCAGAATGACAGTTCTTTAGGCGGCAGATGGGAAATTCATCTTTTGCAGCAAAAACAGCGGAAAGCTTCACTACTCCCCAAACACCAGACCCAGACACTAATATTCACATACACACATATCCAGAGAAGGAGATGCATGCAGCCGTCCGTGTACAGTGTGCATGCAGACACGAGGGCTCATGGGGACACGTGTGCACACACATGCTTGTACAAGGTGCTTGGACAACCATAGAGACACCCGCGTGCTCCTGCATCCCTGGAACCCACTCTCCTGGCTGTGTTCTGCTGATGGAATGCTGTAATATTTTTCTATTAAATGTTGCATTTGTTGTGCCTTTTAGTAGCTTCCCTCATTAAAAATGATATTATCCCCATAAATAAGCCAGCATCTGAGAAGAGTGCCCGACTCCATTTCTCTTCCTAATTGAGACACTTAGCTTTGATTTGCACGCCGGCACGTACCGAGCGGATTAATTTTCAATTAATGCTCCTAGGCGGGTGGCTACAGGCAGTGTGGGCTCAAGCAGCCCAGTAGCCTGGGAATAGGCACAGTGGGAGCCGGGGACAAGGACAGATGGGGACTGGGAGGACCTAGTGAGGGTTTTTCTCCAGCATTTCCTGGCCACGTGAAAGAGGCCCCTGGGCTGTCTGGAGCTTTATGGTTTTGTTCTTTGTGGGAAAGAGGTCCCTGGGGGCATCATGTATGGGAAGCACCCTAGTCCTGTACCAGGAGAGGGCCCCAAACTCTAGCCCTTACCTAACAGAGGCTACAGGGTCTTTTCAGTGCTTGGCTGTTATAGGCCCTACTTGGTGGGCCTGGCAGCTTAGAGTAAAACTGGTTATGGTGGCCTCAGTTTTGTCATATGAACATTTATGAGACATAGGCCCTCAGCCCCTCTCCCCCAAGTATAGCCACCTGCACGTCGGGCGCCAAGTCTGTGGCCTGATGTGCAGGTGGCTCTACGTGGTGGGGAGGGGCTGAGGGCCTCTGTCGCATAAATGGTTAAGAGCCTGGGTTCTGGATCCAGACAGGCCTGGAATCACAGTCCTATTCTGCCACTTCCAGCAGGTGCCTTTAAACCATTTTATCTTCTCAAGACTTAGTTTCCTTATCTGCAAAGTGGGGATAAGATCAAGTGCTAAAAACGTTATGGTGATTCAACGAAACAATGCAAGTAGTGCTTGGTGCTCAACAACGCTTAGCTCTCCTTCCTCCTTCTGCTCTTCCTCTTCTTGCTCCTTCTCCCTCTTCTCCTCCTCTTCCTCCTCCTGCATGTCTATCCATAAGGTGAATTTCCCACCTATACCTGCCACTCTGTCTGCTCAGATCCTTTGCTTTAGATCTGTACCTGCAAAGAGGAGCCTGCTTGCCCCGCCTGGGGGCAGCCGTCACTGGGAATCTGTCCTAATGGCCTTTCCCCTTGGTGTCTGTGGGTCTTTGGTGGCTCAGGGTCCTGACATGCTTCTTGGTGCCCTGGGAATGCCTCCACTGCAAGCTTGTGGTCCCTCTGGGCTGCAGCCTCCTGTGGTTTGGCCTTCTTGTGGAACCCATATAAGAGTGAGCAGCTGCATTTCAGTCTCTGCTCGTTGTCACAGTAAAAGACACACTAGTCTGGGAGCCAAAACATGGAGAAATCCCTGGAATGTTTATCAAAGTCTTCTGAAGAACACTAAAGAAGATTCTGTTTCTGTTTATAAGAAGCAGCATTGCATCTTTTTTATTTTTATTTTTTAGATGGAGTCTTCAGAGTCTTGCTCTGTTGCCCAGGCTGGAGTGCAGTGGCACAATCTTGGCTCACTGCAGCCTCTGCCTCCTGGGTTCAAGTGATTCTCTTGCCTCAGCCTCCTGAGTAGCTGGGATCACAGTTGTGTGCCAGTACGCCTGGCTAGTTTTTGTATTTTCAGTACAGATGGGGCTTTGCCATGTTGGCCAGGCTGTTCTCGAGCTCTTGACCTCAAGTGATCCTCCTGCCTTGGCCTCCCAAAGTGCTGGGATTATAGACGTGAGCCACTGCGCACAGCCAGCAAAACCCTAATTTTTGCTATCATCTCTCTCTCTCTCTCTCTCTCTCTCATATCTATCATGCATGGCTGCTGTCCCTCAAACCTGTCCCCTTCCTCTCTCAGGACTCCCACAAACTCCCCCTTCCCACCAAATCCAGCCTGTGCTGGCTGTGGTCCAGAGGTTGCAAAATGGTGACCCAAGAGCCTATCTTGCTCATAGACATATCTTATTAGGTCTGAACAATCTTACATATATATTTTTTGAAATACTGGGCAATATAAAAAAGTGGATTTTTTTTGGAAAAGGTAAGCAGCATTGAAAAAATGGGGGATTTCCCGTTGAGTGTGAACTTCCCACTTCACTTGAAGAATCAGCTCTGGTGACACGGGCCCACCTCACTCACTTTGGACACCTACCTGGCACCTGTTGGCATCTGAGTGCGTGACCCTTGCTCTTGTCTTCCTCTCCCTGCACCCCTTCTAGGCCTGCTCACTTTCTCACATTTATATTTTTTTCTTCTGTGGCCCTTGTGAGGTCATTCCCTGAGCCTGAAGCCAGTGCAAGTCCTCCCAGTTGCCGGTCCCCGAGGCTGGAGCTCCTCCTTCTCATCCTGGCTCCAGGGCCTCTTGCCAGTCCACTTAAAAATTCTTCTCTTCCAAGCTAACCATCCCCAGCTCAGAGCGCTCCCATCAAAGCGAGAGAAGTTTCCAGAACCAGCATCTCTCTCTTCTAGATATGGCAACACCTGCTTTCCAAACTACAGTTTCCTCCCTTGCTGAGGCCAAGGTTTCTCTTGAAGAAACCTGTATTTCCTAATGCCCTCTGCTCTTGTATCATCTGAGCCCTCCTGCCCATCCTCAGGACCTCACTCCTGGTGTGGCTCACATAATTCCAGGTCATTGACTTCTTAGGCAAACGCTGGAGAGATAGATGGTCTAGCACTGGGGCCCAGTGGGCAGACTATGGCCAGGTGACCTGGGTCCTAACCCTGGTTCTTCTGCTTAGCATTGTGATCGTGAGGAACTTATTCCATTTCTCTAAGCCTCAGTGTCCTCTGTGAAGCAAGGATGATAATAATAATGCCTGTCTCACTGGCTATTGTGCCAACCAAATGAGATAAAGCATTAGCACCTTGATACTCAAGGTGTGGTCTTTGAACCAGCAGCATCAGTATCACTTTGGTACTTACTAGAAACACAGAATCTCAGTCCCCATCCCAGACCTGCTGAATCTGCATCTGCATTTCAACAAGATGCTCAGGAGTTCCCTGTGTGCAGTCAAGTTGGAGAAGCTCTGGGTTAGTGTAACTTTTGGTATAAGGTAATGGTAGCTGTCACGACTGATAGTCTAATAAGAATCCCTCATACTAAGGCAGGTTCTGGTTGTGGAGAGAAGACTGTGGGCTCCAATCCTGTTCCTGCAAATTAGTATTGTGTGCCCACTTCAGCCTTCCTCCCTGTCTCCTGATCCCTGTCTATTAAAATGGAGATAATTATGCCATTTCTTGGAGTTGATTTGAGAGTTAGATAAGATTAAGCAGAAGGTGCTTCAGAGGATTGTGGAAAGTGATTCCAAGATATTGAAGCTCTGAAAGCATCTTTGCACATGTTTTATGGGCACTTCCTGCTATTGTTCCCACCTCACTTTATTTTTATTTTGTTTATTTTGTAGAGACAGGGTCTTGATCTGTTGCCCAGGCTGGAGTTCGGTGGTGTCATTGTAGCTCCTGCAGCTTTGAACTCCTGGGTTCAAGAGATCCTTCCACCTCAGCCTCCTGAGTAGCTGGGAGTACAGACGTGTGCCACCACATCTGGCTAATTTTTTGTTGAGATGGAGTCTTGCCATGTTGCCCAGGCTGGTCTCGAACTCCTGGCCTCAAGCTATCCTCCTACCTTGGCCTCCCAAAATGTGGGGATTTCAGGCATGAGCCATCACGCCTGGCCTTGTTCCCATTTTATAGAGTGAGAAGTTGAGGCATTTCAAAACCAAGGGTTTGTCCAAGCTCATGTAACCAATCAGCTACAGAACTGGGTCTGGTTCTCAGGCCCTGAGTCCATGACCAGTGCAAGACCCCTTAGAGATCTAGATCTGCCAGATCAGGCTGCCACCGGGGTCCTGGAACCTCTCCTCTGCTTGTCCCCCATCTACAATCCTCCAGCGGTCCCTCTCACTGTATTGCGCTGTTGGCTGGTTGCTTCTTGCTTCTGTGTTGGGGACGATAGTGGCTGCAGACCAGGGAGGGGTTGGGGAAAGGAAGGATGGGGCAGCTCTGGGAACTGGCGGTTAATTAAAACGTCCTCAGAGGCGATCAATTCACAGTCAGTGGCTTGAATCCGCAATGACCCAGCACCTCTCTGGCAGAGCACATGGCCTTCCTGGGGGTGGCAGGCAGGAGGTATGACTGTCCTCCTTCTGGTCCTTGGAGCCCTGGCAATGGGCAGTGCTGTTGATGCTGCCTCCAAAATATTCCCATCTTGTTTCCATAATAGCTTCTGTCACCGCTCTTGACAGGCCAGCCATTAAGTCTTTGGCAAAACTGTAAGAATTATTAACATATGAGGTTTTATATTATTTGACAGCTGTCGGCTCCTTTAGAATTTCCATCACCCTGTCCCCTCCCTTCCCTCCCATCCTTTCCCTCACCTTCCCCCTCCCCAACCCATAAGGATGGGAGGGGATTCTCAGTCACTGGGGAACTGGGAAGAGACAAGTCGCTCAAGCTTCACTCACAGTCACTTCTGCACATCTGTGGAATGTTCCTTGTGACCCCTCTGCTCTTAACCTGGAAACTTCCTCAGCATCGGCCACACCTCGTGTACACCCCCAGCATCAATGGCTTCAGTGACGACTCTCTGCTCTCCACCTACCTCCTAACTCTGCCTCCTGAGCCCAGACAGACACACAGCTGTCTCCTGGACATCTGTCAGATAGATGCTCAGTATTCCTGACCCAGCATGACCCAAACCAAACCCCTCCCCTTGCCCCGCCCCACTTCTTTCTCTGGAGTGCAATACTCCCTCATCTGATGCCCCGCTCCATCATCCATCCCATTCCCCAGGCCAGAAATCCAAGGGTCACCCTGGTCTCCTCTTCTTCCATGACCTCAGGGGCTCAGGCCCCCTAGCCCTGTCTATTCTGCTTCCTAAAAGCCTCTTGAATTTACTCTCTCCTCCCCACCCCCATTGACCCCATCTAGGGCTCACTGGCAGATGTCCTGCTCAGATTCCCTTGGGCCCTCCCATCAGAGTGCTTACCTGTCCCACGCCAAATGCCTGTAGCCTTTCTCTGGGGCTGCAGCTCCTCCCTCCACCCAGGCAGGCAGGAAGTGCTGGAGAGTTAATGCCCCTCCCTGCTTCTCAGGGCTGCTCTCAACCAATGGCTGCTGGGAGTACTTGGGTAGGATATCTACTGCTCTCAACCAATGGCTGCTGGGAGTACCAGGGTAGGATAGTACTTGGGAGTACTTGGGTAGGATAGCTCTGAGGCCCATGGTCTACCCTGTGGATCACTGAAGTCTCTGTGGAGTGAAGCTCCATTCCCATGGTTGCAACCAGCTTGATCAAGGCCCCTTTGGCCTGCTGCCTTCTTTCCCTTTCCCTCTTGGTGTTTCCTAGGATCTCCTCTCAAGCAAACTGCTTGCACTCAAATCCTTGTCTCAGAATCTGCTTCTAGGGGGACTCAAATGAAGACAGGACTCAGTCTCTGTCTGTCCTGCGTGCACATCCGACTCTGCCAGGCTCTTCTCAGGACTCTGCGGGTTGGGGGTGGGGTGGGGGGTGTCCCTAATGCTTCAACTCTTGCTGCTACTGAAAGGGAGGTCTTCCTAATGCCCATGGGCCTCGATCCAGAAAACCTGACTATAGAAAGTATTTGGGGACTGTTATTTACGTTTGAAAAGGAATTGCCACAGGCCTCAAATGGTATGCTTTTCTGGTACTTTCATTAAATAAAGTTTAGCATTAACACAGCTATAAAATAATAAAGATATAGGGCATCCGTGTTAAAGAGAAAATATATTCTCATATCAAAATATATCACAAAGCTATGCTCAACAAAACTTGTACTGGTTAGCACAAAAATTAACCAATTAACAGATATGCCAGAAACAGGACCCTAATGAATGATAAAAGTGGCATTTCAAATGAGTGTAGAAAAGACAGATTAGTCATGAAATGATGGTGGACACTTGGTTAACTATTTTAAACTCATCTACTTCATGCAAATTCCAGGTGGATCAAAATGTTCACATTAAAAATGAAATCATAAAAGAACTAGAAGAAACAAAGGTGATTATTGCAGGATGAGTTGGGCTTTTCCAAGCATAAACACGAGGGGAAAAATCACAGATAAGCCTGTAAGAACTGACAAAATAAAAATAAAGAATCTCGAAGTGAAAAGGCAGATGAAGTGGGAGATATATTGGCAGTATATACTGCAGATTAACAACAACAAAAATCAATTGAATGGGGTTTAGGTGAATCAACAGTTTTTGTTTGCTCAGGGCACCTAGTGTCAAATACTTAAAAAATCAGTCAGATCTAGAACATACCCTGAAAAGGCAAATAAACATCTGGTCACCTGCTTGTCAAAGTGCTTACCTTTATGAGGAGGAAGTTCTTCCTGATGTCCAGCCTGCCTTCCTCTTGCTGGCAACAAGAGCCTCTTCTCTCTTTCAGTTCTTAGGGGAGTGGGAGGGCTTTTCCTCGAAATAAGTTCACACACTATGTGTGGCCTCCAGGGTTTCCAGGCCAGGATGTCTTGGCACCTGCATGTATTGTCAGAGGTTCAGCCACACTTGAGGTCCAAGAGGGAACAGACTTCTCAGAAGGACACATCAGATTGTCAGCTTGGACGCACAGGCTCACAGCTGGCCTGATCTCATGCTGTCCTCCTCCCTGTCCCATCTCCATCCTGAGCACACCCTGATCTACTCCATCCTGAGCCCCATTCTAAGCCCCATCTGGATCCCACTCTTGTCCCTTACCCTTCCCATCCCAGACCTTGGTGGGGGCCCCCATGGCCAGGTCTGGCTGGGTTGCATGGCCACTCTGAGCCAGGCCGGCTGTGCAGGGAACAGATGGGCTCCCTGTAGAAGCGGCAGCGGCGCAGAAGCTAATCCACTTTTATCTCGTTATGGTGACAGCCACCCTGTTAAATGGAATGGACTATTGATTCGGGGCTCACTTCCAGCCCGAGGATTTTCCATCACAGGCCTGAGTAGAATAGGAGAAAAGCAACACTTATAAACTTGGGTGCCAGTCAGGGAGAGGCTGGGGTGGGGGCTGGAGCTGGGCAGGCGCAGGCGCCAGGGCTGGCAAGCCAGGCCTCCAGGGTGCTGGGGAGCCAGGCTCAGACCTAGCATCTGAGGGAGCCTCTCCTTCCCTCCTCCCTCAAGGCAGATAGGGGGACAAAGGTGCAAAGGTGCATGACACAAATAGCATGCATGTTCACACAACACTGATGCACACATACACCCAATGCTGATGCACATATACACACAATACTGACACCGACAATGCTGACACAGATATACACAAGCATGCTGATACACAGCAACACTTCTACCCATCACTGACACAGATATACATACGAACCCACTGTCGACACACAGCTACACACTCAATGCTGACACATGTGCAGACACACAACACTGATACACACCCAACACTGATAGACACACTCATGCAATGCCAGCACACACATACACACAACACTGACACACATATGCATACAATGCTGGCACATCCAAACACACAATGCCGAAACAGAGCACACCGTGCTGACACATGTATATGTATTGGCATGGGCACACTCACATACACACTCAACACTGACACACACATGCACACAGTGCTGACTCCTATCTATACAAATCACGGACACAGATATACACACACACACCACGATCCTGTGTACTCATACAACACTGATGCACACGTATACACACACAATACACAACCATAGAATGCGGATGCTGATTACATGAGTACGCAGGCACACAGCAACACATACACCCATCACTGACACACATATGAACCTACTTTGACAAAAATCTACACAAACAGTACTGACGCACGTACACCCGACACTGACAAAATACACATATGATGCTGCATACATATACACACAACACTGACACACATACTTACCCAGCATGGACCTACATATACCGCCAAGGCTGTCACACATATATGCCCAATGTGGACACAAACATACACACACAATGCCAACACAGACACGCATATACAGATGCTGATACCATGTACGCACAGCACTGACACACAGATGCTGACACACATATATCCACAGTACCGACACCTCCTAACACTGTTCCATACATAAACACACGCTCACTGGGCCTCATACTGCAAACACACCCAGTACCCACCAGCATCCACACCCAAGAGACGCATGTGCCATGCTGGTAACCTAATGCCAATAGAAACAAACACAATAGTGATACTGGCATAGAAATTTGTCACCTATTACTGACACATAAGTTAATGATGCACACACACAAAACACACACCTATACATAATATTGAGGCACACCTGTGCGCACACACACACACACACACATGCACACATTGGCAGCCTCCTGTGTTCAATGCCTGATCATTATGGATCGCTAGTCCTGCTTCGCCCTGGGGGTGCTAGGCCTGGAAAGGAGAGTAAACCTCGGTCTCAGCTTTTGAGCAGCTTTGCCTCTAGTTGGGGAGGAGGGGTGCTCACATAGAATATAGAGCCACATCGTAATTACAGCAGACTCATCTACAGCACTTATCATATGCCCCTCACTGAAACACAAATCTTCACATAGAAAACACAAATCCTCACAACAACCTTTGGCTGTAGGTTCTATTATTAGCCCCAGTTTGTAGATGAGGGACATGGGCACAGAGAGATTAAGTGACTTGCCCAAAGTTGCACAGCTCTGAAATGGTAGAGCTAGGATTTGAACTCAGGCCTTCAGGCTCCAGAGTCTTCAGTGTAACTTTTATAAAGACCGTTTCATCACACCTGATTCTGGCTGAAAAACCCCCATGTGCCACTGTTTTAGGCCTAGACCCACCTGCATACACAGACACACACCCACAGTACCTGCGTGGCCCATTTGGAATGAACTACCCAGGGAAATCCACCCCCTGTTGGCACCTGGTCACTCTGCTGTGACGGCTGCGTGCCTGCAGGACTTTACTGTGACCCACCCCAGAGGGGAGGGGCAGCTCATGCTGGAAAAAGCCCTGGAGAGGAGTTCTGAGCAGCAGGGTTGGGAACTCTTTGCCAGGGGAGGAGATGCCTGGGCCGGCAGGTGTCCCATGGAGGAGGCCAGCTCTCCTGGGCCTTGTCTTCAGTCGACCGGTCCCCCTTCCTCTGCTTGTGCTCTAGAACGTTCTTCCACAGCCCAAGCAATGGCTGCTTTATTGCAGCTGGGTTTTCCCAGGGACCAGGGCCTGGGGGAGAAACACTGCCAAAGAACAGATTTTCTCAAACAGAGAAGAGGGGAAAGTGAGTCAGGAATCGAGACAGCAGTGAATTGGGCCTCGAGGTCTTGCTTCTTCAGATACATTCTGGAAAGGTGCAGCCGCAGTGACAAAGAGCCGGGAACTAGGCTGGACTGATCACATTCAATCCCTGTTCAGCCCGGACCACTTCTGCCTGACCGCAGGCAGGTTGTTCTCTAGTCCTCAGTCTCCCCATCTGAAAAATGGAGCTAAGAAGGTCATCTGACACACTTGTAATTGGGGGCCTGGGATGACGCCCTCCAAGGGCCTGCTCCATTTGGACACCATGGGACCCGAGAGTTCAGGGTCATTCACAGCCCTTGGGGGAGTCTCTGAGGGCAGTGGTGGAAGGTGAGGCCCACAACCCCCGTCGCCTGCCCGCCTGCTCCATTGCCTGTGGATTTGTGGGGGGCGGGGGGTTAGGATGGGAAAAAGTGCTTCCACCTGTGACCCTCCCCTGACTGTGGCCTGGAGGCTGCAGGGTCACAGTCTGGTCAGGCCTTCCCAAGGCATTTCTGAAAAGTAGGATGTGGTCCCAAACAGAAAATACATGGGGACTTGTCCACTGCCAGTGTCTCTACTGCTGTGCCATTAGCCAGGTGTCCTGCCTGCCTCAGCCCAGCTGTCCCCTCACCTCAGCCCAGCTGTTCCCACCTCAGCCCAGCTGTCCCTCACCTCAGCCTAGCTGCCCCCTCACCTCAGCCCAGCTGTCCCCCACCTCAGCCTAGCTGTCACCACCTCAGCCCAGCTGTCCCCATCTCAGCCCAGCTGTCCCCCACCTCAGCCTAGCTGTCACCACCTCAGCCAAGCTGTCCCCTGCTTCAGCCCAGCTGTCCCCACCTCAGCCCAGCTGTCCCCACTTCAGTCCAGCGGTTCCCTCACCTCAGCCCAGTCCCCCACTTCAGCCCAGCTCTCCCCTCACCTCAGCCCAGATGTCCCCCACCTCAGCCCAGCAGTCCCCTCACTTCAGCCCAGCTGTCCCCATCTAAGCCCAGCTCTCCCCTCACCTCAGTCCAGCTGTCCGCCACCTCAGCCCAGCTGTCCCCACCCCAGTCCAGCTGTCCCCTCTCCTCAGCCCAGCTGTCTCCTCACCTCAGCCCAGCTGTCCCCCACCTCAGCCCAGCTGTCCCCACTCCAGTCCAGCTGTCCCCTCACCTCAGCCCAGCTGTCCCCCACCTCAGCCCAGCTGTCCCCACCCCAGTCCAGCTGTCCCCTCACCTCAGCCCAGCTGTCCCCACCTAAGCCCAGCTGTCCCCACCCCAGTCCAGCTGTCCCCTCACCTCAGCCCAGCTGTCCCCACTCCAGTCCAGCTGTCCCCCACCTCAGCCCAGCTGTCCCCACCCCAGTCCAGCTGTCCCCTCACCTCAGCCCAGCTGTCCCCACCCCAGTCCAGCTGTCCCCCACCTCAGCCCAGCTGTCTCCTCACCTCAGCCCAGCTGTCCCCCACCTCAGCCCAGCTGTCCCCACCCCAGTCCAGCTGTCCCCCACCTCAGCCCAGCTGTCCCCACCCTGGTCCAGCTGTCCCCCACCTCAGCCCAGCTGTCCCCACCCCAGTCCAGCTGTCCCCTCACCTCAGCCCAGCTGTCCCCACCCCAGTCCAGCTGTCCCCCACCTCAGCCCAGCTGTCCCCTCACCTCAGCCCAGCTGTCCCCACCTCGGCCCAGCTGTCCCCACCTCGGCCCAGCTGTCCCCCACCTCAGCCCAGCTATCTCCCCGGCTTTATCCAACTACTCTCTCAGTATAAGCCTAGATGCTCCTGAACATGAGTCACAGTGTCCTCCCATAGGAACCTGGAGCCCGGCGGCTTCCCCACATGAGCTTTGCCATTCTCTCACATCCACCCACCTGTTCCTCCATCAGTTCAGGGGTTTCCTGTGCCCGCCAGCTCTTCCCTTTGTTATGCCAGTGGCCCTGCTCTTGCCCCAGACCAGGCATTCCCGCCCCTTTGCTCAGCTGCTCTCCGCCAGCAGCCGAGCTCATCCTCCTCAGGTCAGCCTCAGCGCTGCCTTCCACATCTCCGCAGCTCTTCTCCCATCACATCAGTCACGCTGTCTCCGTCGCCAGAGCTTCTCCCCTTACGTGGGTGCACTCATTCTCTTTTCTGGGCACCCTCTCAGTGAAAAGACTTTATTGGGTTCCCCCGGCAGCTTCTCTGGCATTGCTAGAGAGTGACCCCTGCTCCACCCCTACTTTCCTCAACATGGGGCCAGGGTCCTGGGTTGTGGTGTCTAATCCTAGAGTCATACCTGGCTCTTCCCTGAGAGGGACAGGGTACGGGGAGGAAGCAGCCAAGACTGGAAGGAGAAAGGAGGGTTCAGGCATCCCTGTCCCCTGAAGACAGGAGGGACCCCAGCATTGTCCCCAGTCCTTCTCGAAGCTGGGGGCAGGGTGTACCTGGTATGACCCCATTCCCAGAGCAGCAGGAGGGAGCCCAGGCATTCCACAGTCACCCAACTCCAGATAGGAGAGGTGCCCCCCAACATCGCCTGCCCGATCGCCACGGGAGCAACTCCTGGAATCATCTTCTCCACCCTCATCGGAACCCCCAGAGGAGAAAAGACAGATCCTGATTCAATATGCAAATTCAAGCAGATGGCGGAGCTGGGTGATGGACGGGCTGTCAGGAGAGCACGTCACCATGAGACATGTGTCTGTGTGATTAGTGTGGGGACACTGTGTGGGGGAGGGGCCTGGGGCTGTGTCGCTGCCTCTGGGGAGTCTGATGGGGAGTGTGGGAGAAGGGTGGACGAGGAAATGGGGTGACTTTCCACCACGGGCCAGTCAGGACCTCTCTGTGGCCAGCTCACCAGGCCTGTCCTGGCCCCTCTCAGCCAGGATGTTAATTCCACCAGGTCAGGGCTGGAACAGGAGGGGATGCATTAGTATAATCTGCACCTGTATCTCTGCTCTTGCCATCGGCCAAACAATAAAAGACACAATATTTACACAACTTACCGGGGGAAGCAATATTGGGCCATTGATTTTGTGTCCCTCGGATTTTCATGGTCTAAACCTTAATGGTTTTTAATCATAAAATATTAGTGCTGCAGGGCACTTAGCACTGGCACCTTGCTGGTGAGGGATGGCCTCCTCCCCTTCACGGCTCCAAGGGGAGCACCCCTTGGAGGAGGGGCCGATATCGCCCTGCACACACACCCAGGGCAGCAGAGCCTCCCACGTGCCTGGTGTGGAATTGGCCCAGGCCTGGGCACAGCGTGGGAGCCCCTGGAGGACAGAGCATCCTACCAGTCAGTCCCCCTAGTTCTAGAGGCAACCAGCTCCTCAAAACTGATCTGCCTTCATTAAGATTTCTTAAAAATAAAAGCTTCTGCCTTTGTTTCTCTCACTCAGATACACTTTTCACCCCATCTCTGCTTGAGGACCCCACCCCCCTGTCCTGTCTCCTAAGTGGGGTGCTGCACAAGGATCAGACCAGCTCCTATTCATTTCTGTATCTTTGGTGCCTGGCACAGTGCCTGGAACAGCATT
This sequence comes from Homo sapiens, assembly GCF_000001405.40. Classification (NCBI taxonomy): domain Eukaryota; kingdom Metazoa; phylum Chordata; class Mammalia; order Primates; family Hominidae; genus Homo; species Homo sapiens. The sequence goes on from NC_000001.11 coordinate 36,573,973, forward strand.
GGTGCTCAGTATTGGTTGAATGAATGAGTAGATGTGTTAGACTCTAAAGGCAGGTTTCAAAAAGGAATTTTCCATTGACTCATTCATTCATTCAACAAATATTTATTGATCACCTACTATGTGCCTGATCTCAGAGATGAATCAGACCCAGGTCCTGCCCCCACTATACTAGATGCTGTACAGGGGACATCCCATATGCTAGGGCCTGGTGGGAGCTCAGGGAGGGGATCCTGGAGGATGAGATAGAAAGGGCTTTTCAGCAGGGAATCTGAGCCTCCTGAATGAAGCTCAGCCTCCTCAGGGGACCACTTTGAAAGCCCAAACTTGTGAGATGTAGAGATATGAACAGATCGCATGTCTAAGCCCTCTCTCATCCCAACCAGGGAGGGCTTCCTGGAAGGGGCTTCCTTGAAGAATAAGGTTTGGATGTTGTGAGTGTGTTTGTGGGAGCAGGAAGTCCTGCTGGCTCTCTGGGAGAGGCTGATTCCTCTGGTGCAGAGGAAGACATGGGTGGGAGGTGATTGTTGCTGTTGTTTATTTGTACCAAAAATGAACACATTGCATACCCCACCCAGCTTCCCCCATCCCCAGCGCCTACGGGGAAGTCAATAGCAATGGATTACACAGCGAGGGGAAGGCTGAGAGCACAATTGGAAGAAAGATAAAGATAATTAAAACTAATTCCAACTGTTCCCAGAGAAATCAATTTCATAACTTCAGTGTGTCCCTAAGCTTGTTTCTGAGGCTCTGCAGCACTGAGCACAGGGCATGTGTTTGAGTGTGTGATGTGCAGACACTGGTATGTGTATACACGGGTGCCTGTAATGCATGCGTGCATGTATGTGGCTTCATGCACATGTGTGCATGTTTGTATGTACATATGCATACTTTGTGTATGTTGGGGGGACACACAGGTGTGTTGGGCAGCAATTCCTCTAGGTCTCCATGTGGTACCAGCTTATGGCCTCACCTTTGATTCTGGAGGAGGAGGGGTGGAAAGGGTAAGAGAGTTAGGGTGGCTGGGTAGGGTTAGGTTACCCTCCCCTATACCAAGGCCTTAGACACCACCTGTCTAGTCCAACTCCCCCTTATACACATGGGGAGACTGAGGCCCGGAGAGGGGAGGCTTGCCATGGGTCACGCAGCAGGTGAGATGCAGCAATGGAACGAGAATGCTAGTCTCCTGGGTTTCCTCTACTCTAAGGACTTGCTGGCCACTGGGACAAGGACAGCCAGGGGTGGAAGGAGTGGTAGATCTGATTTTATATGGCTGGGAAGCTCCCGTGTGAATAACCCCTTAATTATCTAATTTCTTCATTCTTCTAACATAGGCTGAGCACCTGCTATGTGTTAGCCCTGTGGGTTCTCTAGCTTGTCTAGGGGACTGGGGGTTGTCATAGCTGGCTCTGAGAGAGGTTGGTTCCTCTGGGGGAGAGGGCTGCTTGGCTGTGGTGACTGGTGGATGGTGGCCTCTCCTAGTCCCTTATGGGTAAGTCTCTGAAGCAGTGCTCAGGACAGGGCCCCGTCTAAGAAGCATGGGCTGCCAAATGGCCTTCCCTGGCTGAGGATGGTTCTGTTGGCATTGCTGTCACGGCTGGTGACTTCTCACAGGGACCTCATGGTTTGCCTCTCAGGGACTTCCTGGTGTAGCCAGGAGTCCTGCCCATGCCCCCCAGCCCCTTGGTGAGTGTGCCTTGGGCAGCGTCTGATATGTCCCTGAGTTTCCCAGGACCTGGCACAGACCCCAACACACAGTAGGTCCTCCCCCAGCACAGGACTGGCAAACGAATTAGCGAACCTTTGAGGACTGAAGTGATCCCCTCCAGAAAACCAAGCCAGGAAGTTTATCACTCTAAATGAACGGTTCCCTCTACCTACCTGTGCCTGTGTCCTCGACTTTTAAATGGGGCACTATTATCCACATGGCAGCTTCAGTGAGTGTGAGACGTGGTGGCACATCACTTCGTTTCCCCTTCTTACAGGCCCTGAGCTTTCCCGTTCATTTTCCCTTCTTATAGCGACTTCATTTTCCTTTCTAACAGGCCCTGAGCTTCCGTGAAGAGGGTCACTCCATGAGCAAGGAGCCAGGGAACAGCTCATGGCCATACAGCTTCCTGGAAGTAGGGGGTGGGTGAGGTGACGCTCCCAGCGCCTCCAGGCAAGGTGTTTGGGCACTCCATCCTTGGTCCAGCCTTCCATGGTGGGCCTTGGGGGTGGGGATCCTAGAGGGCTCCTGGGCAGCGCATCGGTTCCTGAGGTGCCCCGGATGACCTCTAGATGGCAGCATTGGCGAGCGGGAGCCAGATAGGAGCTGATGGGGGTGGGCTGGGCCTGTGGGCTAAGACTGCAGCTCCTGTCCTTAAGCCCCCACCTTGTCCCATGGTCTGAGAGCAGAACGTGGGTGGGGGTGGGGTGAGGGAAGAAGGCACCTTGGGAATTCCTGGACTGGGGAGTCAGGCTGGTCCTTTCTCTTCCTGAGATGGTCCTTCTGAGAGCTGGATTTCCAGCTGTTGAATCTGGAAGTCAGCAGCTGGGCAGGACACTGTGGCTGGAACCTCTTCTCTTAAAGACCCTCACACCCTAAGGAGTGGGACCTCCAGGGGTGTGGGCATGAGGGTTTCTTTGGCAGCAGGGCAGTGGACAACCATGCGGCTAGGATGCCCAGCAGCCCCAGTGTGAGGAAACCACTTTCTGCTCTGTTCTACCCTTCTCAGCATCCCCTCCTCTCTCTCCCTTTCCCCAGGAAGCCGGAGAGGAACAGATGGGAACTGTCAGCAACTCGTTAGGGTTACAGATGGGGTGCTGGGGTCGGGGAGGGAGGAGGGGAGTTGGAGGGGGCAGAGTTCTTGGCCAGGTCCCTGTGGAATCCCAGGCAGGGCCCGCTGTGGGAGGGCACTCTAGTCTTTCCTCTCAATTCCTTTCCAACCTGGGGAGAGGCCTGGGAGAAATCCCAGGCTCTCCTGGCGGCTGCATCTGGTAGTAATCTGAAGGTGAGATGGGAGTTCAGGGGCTGAGAAGCTTGCAGGCATCCTTTGTTTTTTCCAGGGCCTGGCCTGCTGGTGCGGGCTAGATGGCAGTGCTCCTCCTCACTGCTGTCATTCCAGGGCAGCTCTCAACTTCCCTGGGAGGCTAGGGATAGATTTGATATAGGGTGGGAACTTACAGCACCCCCAGATCACAAGGGAGAGGGGACTGAAGACCATCTTTGGTCTGCAGGTGCTCTGGGGAGGAAACAGTGGGTGAGTGTAGACTGTGGGGCCCTGAGCCACCTGCCATGGCCTCAGGTGCTGCGGCAGGCAGCTGTTTATAGAAGGAGGATATTTGGGATAGGTCACTGAGCCTTGACTGCCCAGCTAGCCTCTGGTGTCTTGGCCACAAAACACTGAAGCAGCTGCACGGTGCAGTGCCTCAGTGCTGCAGTGCTGCAGTGACAGAGGAGGCCTGAGTGCGGGTGTCTGGTCTGCTACCAACTCCCGGTGACCTTCACCAACTCATTTTCCCTCTCTAAGCCTTAATTTCACCATCTGGTAAATAATAATAATAATAACAATAATAATAATGGCTCCCTTCCATTGAACACTTACACAAGATACAACATTTTGTGTGGATTATCTTATTTAATGCTCACAACCCCCCTATGGAGAAATGAAGACTCAAAGGGGGTGAGTGACTTGGCCAAGGTCACACACCAAGGGGCAAGAGATCAGACCCAGCACTGCCCGAAGTCAAGGCCTCGCTCCTCCCCTGTCCTTTCCATAGGGCTGTCTGCTCTTTCTCTGGTGGGTGGGGGCAGAGGGCTGACACACATTTCCTTTTTTTTTTTTTTTTTTGAGACGAAGTTTTGCTCTTGTTGCCCAGGCTGGAGCGCAATGGCACGATCTCGGCTCACTGCAACTTCTGCCTCCTGGGTTCAAGCGATTCTTCTGCCTCAGCCTCCCGAGTAGCTGGGATGACAGGCAGGCGCCACCACGCCCGGCTAATTTTGTATTTTAAGTAGAGACAGGGTTTCTCCATGTTGGTCAGGCCGGTCTTGAACTCCTGACCTCAGATGATCTGCCTGCTTTGGCCTCCCAAAGTGCTGGGAATACAGGTGTGAGCCACTGCGCCTGGCCCCGAAACTCCTATCCTAACGTCTCTCCAGGAGGCTTAGGAGTGGGTGAGTGGAAGAGTGGTTATCGTAGAATTCTAGATTTAGCCAATAAAAATCCAGGATGCCTAGTTAAATTTGAATGCCAAACAACAAGTTTATAAGTGTGTTCCATGCAATAGTTAAGACATACCCATACTAAAGAATTACATATTGTTTATTGGCAACCCTGGCCAGTAGAATGCATTGCACTGTGCGTTTACTAATTTCCAGGAATTGTTCTGGAGATTGGGAGATGAGGGCTGGGTGGAAGAGAGCAGAGATGTGTATGGGTCACACCCAAGCTTTGCCACTCACTGCTAGGGCTGCCTCTTCGGGCTCAGTTCCTTCATCTGTCAAATGGGAAGAAGGACCGTCTCCTCTGCCCTCCTAAGGGATGATATAAGTATCCAACACCCAGTTAGTTGTGAGTGTCTTTGAATAATCCAGACAGCCTTGCCAAGATGAGCCCTGGTCTGGTTACTGGTGGGTGCCAGCCTGAACCCAGCCTTGTCTCCACCTCCTAAGCACCCACTGGTGAGCCTCCTTGCCCACCATCACCCCCAGCTCCACAGAGGCCCACGCGGCAGGCTGGTGTCCATGAAGGATTCTCACTTACGATTCACAGGAAATCAGTAATCACTTAAACCTCCTGTGTGTGGGGGAGCCCTGGTCAGTGATAGGCCTGAGCGGCCTGTGTTTTCAGCCCAGTGCCACCATCGTCCAGCTGGAGAAGCCCCTCACTTCTTAGGGCCTCAGTTTCCTCAACTGTGGTGTGGGAGAAAAGGATGGACATCTCCGAGTTCATTGTGAGAGTCCAGAGAGATGGCAGACAGTAGACACTCAGAACACGCTGGCTCTGCCCTGTCCCCAGCTTTATCTCGTGGCCAGGGACTCAGATCACATAACCAACAGTCAGGCCCAACTCACTTGTCACCTTCATCTGCTGCAGACGGATGATAGGGTGGATAATCCGTATTTTGTAGTGGTCTTGGCTGAGGCTTGTCTGCTGGGGTAAGTGATGGGGACACTCATATGTGCTCTCATAAATACCTGGGCACAGATCCACATGCATTCAGCCCACACACGAGATACACACACCCACACAGACAGGAGGCTCCTCTAACACATCTCCTCTCGACCCTCGCCTGACTGAGCTTCGCCTTTTCTCTGTGAAACACACAGCCTGATGTCCATCCCACGCAGACCTTGCCATCCACAAAGCTGCTCTCTAATGAACTAGCCTGCGGGCCTCTGCTCCCTCAGGCTGAGTTACAGGCTTACAAAGAGTCAGTTGTATTTGTTTCCAGATTGGTTTATGCCACTAGCCCTTGTTATTGAAATTCTACAATTTAATTAAATAATAAGTACTCCACAATACTGTGAGCACACAAAAAGTTGTTGTTTCTATAAAATGAAATTGAAGTCTCTAGAAAGACTCTATAAAGGTGAATTGCTTAAAAAATTGCTGTCAAATTAGGTGTGGATAAGCAACTCTAAGATAAGATTGGGAACAAAATTGTGAAGACCTAGAAGATGTGGCACTCATATCACTTTACAAGAGTCTTCTTACCTTCTTGCTCCACTTTAGAGAAATTGAAATAGGAAATTGAGAATGAAGTGTGGGTTTGGTTTACCCAAGAAAGAGGACACAGCTCCAATCATTAGAACCACAGGCAAACCAAAGACTTTGTCCTGCTTTAGAGAAAATTCAAAAGGCAAAAAACGTATATGCTTTTTGAAATAAAATGTTGATGTTGTGTATTTTTTTTTTTTGGATATGGAGTCTCACTCTGTCACCCAGGCTAGAGTGCGGTAGTGCGATCTCGGCTCACTGCAAGCTCTGCCTCCCGGGTTCACGCCATTCTCCTGCCTCAGCCTCCCGAGTAGCTGGGACTACAGGCACCCGCCACCATGCCTGGCTAATTTTTTCTTTTGTATTTTTAGTAGAGACAGGGTTTCACCGTGTTAGCCAGGATGGACTCGATCTCCTGACCTCGTGATCCACCCACCTTGGCCTCCCAAAGTGCTGGGATTACAGGTGTGAGCCACAGCATCTGGCCCCGATGTTGTGTATTTTTTAATGATTTCCCCCAGAACCAGTATTTTGGATTATCCTGCTACCCAAACTTAACGGTATTAGTTTAACCAGAAGGCTTTTTCTGTCAGTACACATTAGTACACACACACACACACACACACACACACACACACACAGAGTCACACACCCTCATAAGCATATCCATGTACACACATTCACACATATGTACCCCTGCACATTTACAACCCTGCACACACATATATACCCATGGATACATGCACTCACCCAAACCACATACTCACACACAGACACATGTGTACGCACATTCTCACACTCCCAGGCTGACACATGTCTACTCAGAGGCACACATGCCCATCAGTAACTCACACATACCTGAGCGCACAGGTGCATACATACACAAGCTGAACCCTTTCCCCCCTGCAAGAACAGCCAAGGCAATAAGTAGAGGCTGGTTTTTAATCAGAAATTCACCCTTTGGTGTTTTTCTCACCTTGGCACGCTGGGGGATTGGGAAGGACAATGAGGAGGGAGGAGGGAGGCTGGGGAGGGAGCCGGTGGGAGGAGTTAGGCCTGGGGCTAGATTCCTCTAGCTGGCACCCGGCTGGGGAGACATGTGGCTGCTGCAGGTGAGCTGGGTTTGAGCTGCATTATTGAGTGCCCTGTTCCACTTTTATCTAAAATGTAGCAAGGACTGGCTGAGAAGGTGGCCCTTTGGGAGGGCCAGGAGGGTGGTGGGAGGAGGGACTCCCGAAAAAAAGGAAGGGGATGCAATCCCACCTACTTGGGAGGCTGGGGCAGGAGAATTGCGTGAACCCGGTAGGCAGAGGTTGCAGTGAGCCGAGATCGCGCCGTTGCACTCCAGCCTGGGTGACAGTGTGAGACTCTGTCTCAAAAAAAAAAAAAAAAAAAAAAAAGAAAAAAAAAAGAAGGGGAAGGGGAGCAGGCTTTGCGGGGATTCAGGGTTGGGCTAGGCCTGTTCAGCCCAGCCTTCCCTTGCTAGGTCTGATGAGATCCATCTGGGATGTTCTGATGTGGGGCTTCTAGACCTGCATCAGATCTCTGGGCGCTAGCTCAGACCTGCTGCATCTGAATCTCTGTGAATCAGGCTAAGGAATCTGCATTTCTAAACTTCCCTTAGTACTTTGATAAGCAGCCAGGTTTGGGAACCTTAGTAGAGAATACTGCACTTCCATAGAAAGACCTCTGTCTTTGGGGATCCCCAGAGATGTGCTGTCTCTCTGGTATCCTCAAGACTCTGTGTGATCCTGGCCAGGAGTGGGGAGCTTTCTAAGAAAAGGGTAGAAAGTCCTGGAGTTCTGGGAGCTGGAGGTAATCTCATTCTTGGGTCCTTTATTTTCTAAAAGGGAAGACAGAGACCTGCAGGAAACAGGACTTGCTCAGGGTCATCAGAGAGTCAGTGGAGTTGCTGGGATTTGAATCTGAGCTATCTGATTCCAAAGCTCATATTTTGTACATCGGTCAGGATCGGCCAGATTGTATGTTGCCTTAACAAACATACCCAAGTCTCAGTGGTTTAAAACAAAAAAGATTTATTTATTATTCCTGCAATGTGTCCAGCAAGGGTCAACAGAATCTCTGCTCATCTTAGTCACTCAGGACCTGGCTTGCCTTTTGTCAGTTTTGGGGCAGAGGGAACAAGCACTCAGAAGGGTGCGTCGGCACTGAAATTCTCTGGCCCAGAAGAGACCACACCACTCTGTTCCCAGTCATTGGTCAGAACTAGCTGCATGCCTCACTTCCACCTACAGGAAGTGAATCTCACCACCTGCCAGGAAGGGGCAGAACTGGAAATATTAGGTGTATTGCACCAGTCACGTCCAGTCTCTGCCAACTGCACGTGACCCTGGGGTCCAGGAGCCCCACTATGTCCCTGATGGGAGCCGTCTAGAGAGCCAGCCTGGGGCAGCCCTTCCCCTCCCCTCTTCAAGTCAGTGCTAGCCTCTCCAGCTCTGTCTCTGTCTCTGTCTCCTCCCTTCCCTGCTCATCTCCTCTTAGGCCCACCTTCTCCATCTTATGCTCCGATCCAGGGGTTTTACGTTCCAGTCCTGGCTTTGCCTCTAACCCACTGTGCAGGGGGACGCAGGATGGGTCTTTTCTCATCCGGTGGGCCTCAGTTTGCCCATCTGCACATTGGGACTCTGCCTGTGAATCTTGGCCCCCACTGCTTCTGTGGAAAGTGTTTCTGGAGGCCGCTGCTTGTTGAGACAACAGACCTAGGGGAACAGACTTTATTTTTCCTCCTTTCCTGTCCCTGTTTTAGAAGATCCCACATATGTTGGGCCTGAAGGCATCCTACGCGTCCTGGGAGCTGAAGGGGCTGCTGCTTCTGCCAGGAAAATTCCTTCTCGAAGGTGGGGAGCTCTCCCCAGAATGAGGCCAGGCCAAACCTGTTCCCTCTCCTCCTCATCACGTCCATGGGAGTGGGGGCAGGTCCCAAGGCAGCCAGCAAGGGAGCCTTGGCCAGTGCATCAGACTAGCGGCTGGGCAGAGAATCCTGGCAGCTCCCCTCTCCCGCTCACCTGGAGACAGCCCGAGAAGTGAGCTTCATATCTTGAAGGGTTTAGATTTGATGTCTGAAAGGGCTTCCTGGCAGAGGCAGTGGCTGCACGGGGGAGTGGAGGACAAGGGAATCTTTTCTGATATAGATTTAATTTTTAATTAGCCTACAAAGCTTAAACATTTCTTACATTTTTAAAATTTGTTTTTAATGTTACAAAAATAATACATTCTCACTATAAAAAACAACACACAGAAGTGTGTAGAGAACAGAGTGAGTGTTCCTCCCTCCCCCAGGCCCATCCTCCAGGGGCAACCAGAGTCGGCAGCTCAGTGTGTGTTCTTCCAGGCCTTTCTCCACATACATACAAATGAGGCCAGAAGGTTTTAGGATCCATCTTTATAAAAATGGGATCATGTTTTTGTTTATACATAGAGTTCTGCAAATCACTCACCCACTTACCCACCCACCCACCCACCCACCAACTCATTCATTCACCCACCCACCCACCTACCCACCACTCACCCACTCACCCATCTACCCACTCACTCACTCCCCCACCCACCCACTCACTCCCTTTCCCCCCTGCCACAGCTAACGCAGTCGCCCACTCACCCATTCACTTTTGAGACATGCACTGGCCCCTGCTGCATGTCTGACCCTGCATTGGTCCCTAGGGCTCTTCTGTGGGCCTCCCTCCCTGGATTCCCTAGCTTAGCTGACGGGGAGGGCACTGCTATCTCTTACTGAGTGCCTGCTGTATACCAGATGATTTCCTACATGTTTCTAACCATTCTAGTGCTACCTGGATTAAATGCCACCTCCTCCAGGGAGGCTTCCCTGGGTGGGGGTGAGTGCTGGTCTTTCTCTTGCTGCTGTGAACTCCTGTGCTCTTTTCACTCCTGTATGTACCCCCTTCAGAGCAATGGCCTGTTCGTGCCTCCCACCTCCCAGCAGACTGTAAACAGCTCCCTGAAGACAAAGATTGGGGTCTGGTTCAAATCTGTACCTACCATTTCTAGCACATGGAAGACACTGGCTCCAAAAATGAGTGCAGCTTCCCGTTAGCCCCATACAGACTCAGGACTCAGGATGGGACCTAGAGTGGGAGGTTCCCCTCCCCAGGCCCTGCGTTCTTTAGAATGGGGACAACTCTAACTGCCTTCCCCCACTTTCCATCCTGTCCCAGCCAACAGATCTTGCATAGATATCCAGGTGGTCTCAGAACCTTGTCAGAGAGAGTGGTGAGTTTCTGCATATCCTTGTCATAGTTTGAACATCTTTTTGGATGGGAAACTCACCACCACTCACATAACCCCTTCCTGTCTGCTAAGAAAGCCTTCCTTGCAAGGAGCCAAAGTCTGTCCCTGATACTGGTAATCACATCCAGTCAGCTCAGGATGGGCCCTGGATGCTGGCCAACCAGCTCACCCCACCTTTCACAAATGAAGGCATTGCATCCAGAGAGGTTAAGCGACTTGCTCGAAGTCACACAGCAAGTGAATAGAGGATTGGAATCCCTGCTCCTCTCCCCACCAAAGGTCCTGGTTCTGACCTCTGGGCCTCACTGACCCGTGGGCTTCCTTTGTCTCAAGGGTTGGATGACTGAGGCCCTGACGTGGGAACCTCTCCCATCCTGACCACCCCTCTCCAGACTGTTCGTGTGTCGGTCCCTGGGGCAGAGCTGATTGGCCTTGAAAGGCTGCAGTTCGGCCCCACCCCCCACCTTGCCTCCTCCTTCCCCAGCTCCTCTCATTTTTCCTCTGAAAGGAAAGAATTAATAGAAAATGTAAGTGAGCAATCTCACAGACGAGGCGGGTTTTCATTATTTGCGGCTGGGGAAGGCAGGCTGGGGCGAGGATCCCAGTGAAGCATGGATTCTGCCAGGAGCCTCGGGAGATAATTGAGCGGTGGAGGCAGAGGCGGCGGGCACTGGGTGGGTGCAGGCTCGGGAGCTGTATTATCATTAGAATTTACATGACACATTAGCCAGAAGTGGCAGCGTTCATCTTTCTAACCAAATCTCATTTACCAAATGAGCAGCCGACACTTGCTTTATCAGCTGGCTCCTTCTCCATGCAGCTTTTTGCGCAGAGCGCTCCGAGTGGCCTGCTGTCCCTCTGGGCGTAAGAAGGAGAGGCTACCGGCAATTACTGAGTTCCCACTGTGTGCCAGACACTTGTTTACATGTTATTGAATCCTCCTAATTCTGCCTACCCTCATAATTCTCGGTAGGCAGTGTTATTCTACCCATTTACGGGCAGGAAAACTGAGGCTTAGAGAGGTGAGGCTATGCTTTAGTTTTCCACTGTTCTAGCAATAATAATAGTAAACTTAAAAGGGTGGACTCTGAAGCCAGACTTCCTGATTTCGAATCTTTGCTCTTCCACCTGCCAGCTGTGTGGTCTTGGGCAAGTTGCTTAACCTCTCTGGATCACCCTGTCCTCAATTGCAAAATGGTATTAATAATCGTACCTATATCAGGGCTATCGTGAGTTCTAAATACAGCACTGAGAGCAAAGTGATGAACATTGAGTGAGTGTAAACCCAGTGAGCACCTTGACATGCATTAGTTGTTATTATGATTCTTTTTACTGCTTGCATTTATTGCGCCCTCACTAGGTGTGTTGTGCTAGACACTCTCCATTCAAGACAGCATTTGATCTTCCCAACAACACAGCACTTTTTCTGATGAGAGACATGAGGATCAGAGAGGTGAATTGGCTGGCCCAAGGTCACTCAGCTCCTGAGTGGTAAAACTTTTTCCTGAGCTGGAATCGGGTCTTTTTGAGACCAAGACAGATGTCCTTCTGTCTGTACCAACTGCTTTCCTGCCCAGAAAGGGAGTTTTCCTTCAGAGAAGGATGGCGAAGTCCTTGATGCTCCTCTCTGAGCTGCTCCCCTCAGCTCTGCCTCTGGCCCCTCCTCTCTGCCCCAAGGGACCTGTGGAGGTGGGGGTGGGGGATGGTGGCTGCTTCTGCCCCAGGAACGTCTTCTGCTGAGCACATCACTCTTGCCGGGAAGGTAGGGAGGGTTAACGACAGGGAACCCCTGATTGAACACCTACTACGCGCTGGGCCCTGGGGTGAGACAGAGATGAATGAGATGCAGCCTCCAATGACAACACAAAGGGTATCACCTGACAGAACATGATTAATTGCAGAAGGAACTGCACAGACAACGGCTAGGGCTGGAGTTTGCAGGCAGAGAGCCCCGTTCTGAACAGGGAGCCGGAGCCTCAGCGCGGTGACGAAGCACTTATTCATTCATTCGGCAGATATTTGTTGAGTGCCCACTATGTGCCAGGTTTTTTTCTAGGTGCTTGGAGCTATCACTAAGAACAAGCCTTTGCTTGTCTTAAAAAAAGTCTTTGCTCACCTGGAGTTTAAAATCCCATGGGGATGACAATGAAGCTAATTTCAGATGGTAAATGCTCTGAAGACAATGGAAAAGGCTGGTGAGGCAGATGGACTGGGGAGGCGTTGTTAGATGTTGAAGTCAGAGGAGGCTTCCCAGAGGAGGTAGCGTTTGATCAGTGACTTGCAGCTGGAGGAGCCGGCCATCTAGGCAGGGGAGACAGCGTGGGGGCGTGGCTGGAGGGTGTCGTGGGAGGGGAGGGGAGAAGGAGATGAGGTGGGAGTAGGGACCCTACCTCTTCTCTGAGCAGCCTTGCTCCTCCCCAGGTTGGCCTCTTTGCGTGTCTTTGTCTCCGTTGTCAATGTCCTTTTCTGCTTGAAGGTCTTGTGGATGCACCCTGAGGGTCACAGCCAGCTCCTGGAACCAGGGTTTCCTCGTCCCCATCTCCGCCCTCTGGCCTCACCTGCCGCTGCTTTCTCGGCTCTGCACTCCAGACTTCAGGCTCTTCACACCACTGTGCCTTTGCCCAAGCTATGCCTTCCATTTGGAATTCCTCTCTGTTTCAGCTTGGCAAACTTCTGCTCCTCCTTCTAGACACAGCTAAAACGACACCTTCCCAGAGAGGGTTGACACCCCCTCCTCTGAATCCTTCCATCCCAAGGCTCCCTCTCTTAGAGCACAGGACACATTGCAGTAAAACCACTGTTTCCCGGAGGTGGGCCCTATTCATCAGTGTCTGTTGATGAGTCCAAGAAGGAGGTCCCTTTTTTGTCTATGGCTCTTTAACTTCTGAGGGGACTCCTGGCTGGGGTTGCAGCTGTCACCTTTGGGATCTCTCTCTGACTCTCTCTGAGGCTGAAGGGGGAAGAAAGAGAATTTGCTCTCTTTGTTTCCTCCTCTCCCCCATGGGGAGGTACCCGACATACTGGCCTAGGCTGGGGGTGGAGCAGCCCCCTGGCTTGGGAGTTTGCACTTCTCTGCACCAGGAAATGACTTGGAGATGCTCTGTCAAGCACAAGATATAAATTGCAGGCAGTTTTTAAACGTTTGGAGAGATTGCTTTTTGAGTGGCAACCTGCATCTGTGCATATCGGAGGGGGCGGGGCAGGGCTTCATTTACTTTTCTCTATTCTCTCTCCTCCCTGGGGCTCAGTCCCTTCTTGGCCAGGCAGGACCCTGGCTCAGGCCTGGGGTAAGACGTAGGGGGCTCTGGACACCATGGGGCCTGGTTGCAGGGGTTCCCCAGGCCCAGCCTCTGACCTCCTTCTGAGGGGAGCTGAGCGAGGGGTTGGCAGGCCCTGGCCAAGGAGTCAGTGGACAGGCCGGCAGACAGGTAACAGGCTTACCTGCTGGTGGGCGGTGTCCCCATCCCCACTCCCCGCTCTCAAACAAGATAGGCTAAGGGGACTTGCTTTCAATGCTTCTCTGCTAGACTGACTTTCAGGGCATTTGATTCGACTGCATTTCCTTCTCTTTAAGCCACACTCATCAAATCCCAGAGAGGCCCCAGCTCAGCCTAGATGTTCTCATTTTCTAGACCTTCTGGGGCCATAGGCTGGGCTTCTGTGTCTGGCTGTGCAGGCTACTGAGGCTTGGGGTTAACGGGAGATAATCTGTCAACCAGGATGATTGCAATGAGGCCAACTGCTGACCCCAGAGGCAATTATTCATTTGTTTCTTTGTTCATTGATTCATTCATACAAGAAATGTGTTTGAGTGTTTACTCAATACTAGGTATGGCTTAGGAGCCTGGGAATAGCAGGGTGAATTAACTGGAGTAGGGGCTGCCGTCATGGAGTTTACATAGGAATTTGTTCCTTAGCTTCAGTTCAGCTTTCTCATTGTTTCACAGTGATAGGAACAGTGCTCCCCACACGGGAGGTTTGAGGAATCAGTGACGGTGAGGCTGTAAAAGCCCTATGAGGTGCAGGGAGGGCTTCATAGGTGAGAACCACACCCTGCTTCTGGTGTTGTCCTTATTAGCCCTGCACCCTTAGGAAGCTTCCTGAACTTTCTGTGCCTCAGTTGTAAACCGAGAGTGATAGTAATGAGGTATGGACATGGAGGGTTGTGGGGAGGATTGAATGGAAGCCACGCCTGGCACAGGGTGAGGGCCACGGGGTGTTTGCTACCCTTTGCCCCTGTGGTATGCTGAGGGAGGGAGGAGCCAGGGGGCATTCCACGAAGGCAGGGCCATATCTCCCCCTCTCACTATCAAATCCCAGGCCCCAGCTCAGGGCCTGGCACACAGTAGGCATTTGGTAAGTAATAAAGGGCACGCCCGTCCCCAGTAAGTGAGTAAAGGGCATGAGATGCTCTGCTTGAGGAAAGACCCAGCTCTGTTCTCAGGGAGCCCCAGTCTAAGGGAAGGAGTCCTGGTGTGAGGGGAGCCGTGTTCCAACCCTGGAAAAGCCCCGGGCTGAGGAGAGACATGGCAGAAACTTCCGGTCCCAATTCTCTCATTCTGACTTCCCAGATGGATCACCCCTGACCTCTCTTGGAGCCCAGTCCCAAACCTAGCACAAAGCTGAGTGAGGACTTCCAAGTCAGCCCTGGTGGGGCTGGTGCTCCTGGCCCCTCCCTGCCTGTCCCTGCCCCTCCTTGCCCATCCTCCCTGCTCATCCTTGTGCCCTGTGCTCCTGTTGGGTCCCTCGAGGGATTCTTGCAGGCCCCAGAAGCTTCTTCCAGACAATAACCCTGTCCCTGCTCCTGGGGACATGAGGTCCCCATCCCAGGAGGAGGAGAGGGGAAGCAGAGCTTCCTGGGCAGGGGTCAAGGATTTGCAGTCAAAACCCATAGGGAATCAGTTTGCTGGGAGGTTGAGGGTTGCTTCCAACCCCAGTAAGGCTTTGGGCCATGCCATGGTCCCTGCTCAGGTGGCCCTGCAGTCATGTCCCCTCACAGAAAAGCATCCCTGGGAGGTGGACTCAGCTGGACACAGGGCAAGGGGCCCTTGAAGGGTAGGGGCCTCCTGGGCAGGCATGGAGCTGGGTTGAGGGCAGAGGCCATGCAATTCCCCCTCCCCACCTGGAAGAGGGAGCTGCCAGCTCCTCCGCAGCAGTCAGAAGGGCTCCCAGAGGACCTGGCCTCCCCAACACGCTTGGAGAGCTGGTTACGGTTTGAGTTAATGCTCCTTAGAAGGAGCCGATGGGTCCCTCCGGGGCCTTTCGGGAGATTACAGATCGCATTCAAACCAATCCACCCTGGAGAGGAAGGGGGAGAGGGAAGGCGAGTGCACTAAATCAGCCATCTGAGCCCAGGAAGCCAGGAAACCTGGAGAGGGCTGGAGGCAGCACCAGAACAGTGGTAAGGCAAACAATTCCAGAGAGCAAACTGTGTGCTAGCCCTGGTCCTAGTAGTCTAAGGGATCAGCCTCACCTTGGCCTATCGGGTAGGTGCTATTATCGTGCCTATTTGACAGATGAGGAAACAGACTCCAAGAGAGGTTAAGCCACTTGCATAAGGTCACAGGGCCACTAAGTGGGGCATCAGGGATTCGAACCCAGGCAGCCTGGCATCCCAGCAGCACTGCTTACCACAGTGCTGCAAGGTAGAGCAGCACCTGGCACTACATCAGGAAGTGGATACAACCAGGAGCTGGTGCTGATGTTGAGACCTGGCTGAAGCTGTGTGGACAGGCGCTGGCCTGAGCTCATGCCTGCAGAGAACACTCCCTATTCTTCTTTGTGTCCAGTGGGCTTGTGGGGGAGACATGGAGCTCACATTCCTGGGATCCCTTCCTCTCGTTGGAGTCTCAAGGGATAGGGGGTCTGAGAGATGGTCCACCTTTACCACTCCTGGCTCACCCTGCCTGGATGGTTGACCATTCACTCGTACTGAGGCCCAGGACAGAGTCTGCTTCTCCGATATTTTTTGGGAGGAGATATTCAGGTCTGGGCTGTGCTCTGCTCTGAGGGGGCTGGTGGGAGAGGGTTGGGCTTTCAGGGAAGGTTCTAAGGGGCTGGTAGCTGCAAGGGCATTTACATCAGGAATAGCACACTCTCAGTCATGGGTAGCCCTATCTCCTACTCCTGGGCCAAGGCAGATCTCCATCTGACCTCAAGCTGGCTGTGGGATATGACAAAAGTTCCTAACCCGGAGCTGGAGGGAGGGTGGGTGGGTGTGGCCGCAAAACAGACAGCCGAAAGACACTATCCTGAGAGACCAAAGAGCCTTCTCCAGCCCTCCTGTCCCCCGGAGTCTCAGGTACCTGAAGTCCCAGGCCACTTTCTTGCTTAAACATTTTCAATGATTTGTAATTGCCTGCAGAATAAAGCTCAGTTTGGGCTGCATCTGATTTCCAAAGTTCTTTCATCTTAGCCTGTTGCGGCCAGTCAGTGTACAAGGAGTCTCAAGGGAAGAGCCGGGACAGGGCTGGGAATGTGCAGCCTCCAAGGGCCCCTTGACAGTGTCGCTATGGAGGTATTCAAGGTTACATTGTTACTTCTCTGGGACACACACCCACTCAAGGCCTGGCCAGAGGGGCGGGCTCATTTGTGTGGTTCATTAGGGGATGAATCCCTTCCTTTCTTCCCCTATGGGCTGGGCTTCAGAGTCCCTTTCTCTGTACTTTTTGCTGCCTTATCCCACAGAATCCTGGATTTGGCAGGGTAACTGATACAATGAAAAACGGCAAATTGCAACTTCGGGGTGTAAACAAAATGCAGCATTATTTGTTTCTCCCACTGTGCTTTTGCATTTTATCCTCATGGCTTATTGTTTCACTTTCAGGTAAGAAGGCCATTAAAAAGTCACTTTTAGGCATAAAATAGGTTTCAATTACAAAATAAGGATGTATAGTCCCAGACGATAATCCACATTTCACATCTGATTTAAAGTCGAATCTTTTCCCTCTTGTGGAGGGAATCTGGCTTGTGACCAGAACAGCTGACAGATTGCAGGGGACAGGGCATGCTGTAACTGAGTCCTCCAGGGCTGGGGAAGGGGATGGAGGAAGGGAGGAGGGCAGTGAACTTCCTTTCTCATTCATTCTTGGGTGCTGACTGACGATACGCATCTCCGTCCGTTTCCCCTCAGCTTCCACGTCTCTAATGGGCCCTCTCCACACAGACTGTTGCTGTTGAGTCCCAGCTCTTCCTGGAAGTCCCCGTGGGCATGACTCAAAATGGTCCCGAGCTGTTCTCTTTCTGGGCTCAGCAGTGAGCACACAGCCTTTGTCCCCTCATGCACTGGGCATGCAGACACCCCCAGGGCAGCTGCTTCTCTTCTGCCATAGTCTCTTGCCTATGGTAGGAGTTAGACCCCAGGATGGAGTCTTAGTCAGGCCCCACACTTCATTAGGCACTGTCTGTTGCATCTTGGTGCCTCCGTGAAAACTTCTTTTTAAAATCCCAACGCGTTACATGTGTCAGAGGACAGTTCCGCCTCCTGCCTACGACAGAGGGTTGGTAACAGGGTGTCCAGAACCAGCCATATCCAGCTGCCTGTGGCGCCCCCCTCAGCCCTTCCCTGCACATTGGCCATCAGGCAATAAGACTGATAGGAAATTGTCAATCTGAGTAAACTATAGAATATCGAACCCCAGTTCTATCCTCAACTTGGTGTGTGACCTTGATAGATGTTGTGGCTTCTTCATGCTTCAGTTTTGTCATCTGTGAAATGGGCACACTAGTATTTACCTCATAGATTGTTGAGAAGAATAGATGAGACAACCAAAAATACTTCGAGCAAGATGCTTGGCACACAGTAAATATCAATAAGTAACAATTTATTATTGTTCTTATTATCTACATACTCTGGAATTTGGGGGGAAGTGGGGAATAGTAAGAGCATGGGCTATGGAATTTGGAGCAAGACAGATCTGGTTAGACTCTGGCTCAAGTTTTGTGACTGGCCAAATTACTAACCTTCTCTGAGCCTCAGTTTCCACAGCTATAAAATGGGCTGCCACTCTCCCAGTTTGCCTCAGGGTTGTTGTGGGGATTTATTGAGAAAAAGTTGATAATGCTCTGAACTCAGAATTTAGTTTATACTAGGCAATTGATAAAGCGCAGCCATTGTATTCTATTACTGACGGGATACTGGGTTTTCCCAGAGCTCTAGGAAGTGCCAGTCCTCACCGATGCCCCTTTAAATCAGCCACGCTGCCCTGACTTTATCTGTGCCACTTTAATCACCAAGGAAACAGTGGAGGGACCCAGATATCACTGAGAAGCCCTTGATTGAGAATTACTGCACCTCACAGGCAGGAATCTCTCCTCCGTTGCCCTTGTCCTGGTGTTGCATGTTGGAATGCAGCTCTCCATGGTCAAGACCTGGGAACTCAGCCTCAAATTAAATGCAAACAGATGGATATCTCTCATCTGTGTTTTACTCCGACTCTCCAAGCCATCCTGGAGAATAGGGGAGCTGCGTCTCGGGCCTGCCTTGCTAATGAGCAGGATCATTTTCTGTACCCTCCTCTTGCCATAAAAAGAGAAGAATTGCTTTTCTGTTTGGCAATCCAGTATCAATATTTCCAGAGTGATATGACAAATAAAACAACCCCAGGCTTTATGAATCTTCTGATAGCTTGGGGAGACTGTGGGAGGATTGCTGGGAGTGTGGCTCCCCTCTTCCTTGGTCTCACCCCCTACCCATGCAGAGCGACCCAGAGAGTCAAGCTGGGTTAGAGACTCACAGGTGGAAAAGCCCCTTGGAAACAGACGGAGGTCCAGACAGAAGATGGATGTGCCCAAGTTCGCAGGACAGAGCTAGTACTAGAAACAGGTTTCCCAGCTCCCTGTTCCATACTTTCCCACTAAACTGAGATTTCCAAACTTTTAAAAAGTTACAGAATCAGGCCAGGTGCAGTGGCTCATGCCTGTAATCCCAGTACTTTGGGAGGCTGAGATGGGTGGATCACGAGGTCAAGAGATAAAGACCATCCTGGCCAACATGGTGAAACCCTGTCTCTACTAAAAATACAAAAAATTAGCTGGGCATGGTGGTGGGCACCTGTAGTCCCAGCTACTTGGGAGGCTGAGGCAGGGGAATCTCTTGAACCTTGGAGGCGGAGGTTGCAGTGAGCCGAGATGGCGCTACTGCACTCCTGCCTGGCGACAGAGTGAGACTCCGTCTCAAAAAAAAAAAAAAAAAGTTGCAGAATCTAATACAGAAATTCAACACAGAAAACAGATAAAGCAGAGATGCTCCGGTTGAAGTGTGTTTGGCAGAGGGGCAGGAGCTCAGCCTAGTGTCCTCCCACACCGTGGTTGGCCCTTGAAACTCATTCAAGGAACCCTAGGGTTCTATGGCACCCAGTTAAAAAAATTCTGCAGATTCTCAACATCTGCATTTGGGGAAGAACGTTTGGAAGTTTGGACTCTAGTCTTTTTGAAAACAACCAGAATTTTGGGATTCTGCTTTGTTGCCTCTCCTTCCCCGTGAGCATTTGCTAAGAAAGGACAGGGCCAGGTGCGGTGGCTCATGCCTGTAATCCAGCACTTTGGGAGGCCGAGGTGGGCAGATCTCCTGAGGTCAGGAGTTAGAGACTAGCCTGGTCAGCATGATGAAACTCTGTTTCTACTAAAAAAAAATACAAAAAATTTAGCTGGGGTGGTGGTGCATACCTGTAGTACCAGCTGCTTGGGAAGCTGAGGCAAGGATAATTGCTCAAACCCAGGAGGCAGAGGTTGCAGTGAGCCAAGATCGCACCACTGTACTCCAGTCTGGGTGACAGAGCAGGACTCTATCTCAAAAAAAAAAAAAAAAAAAGAAAAAAAAGAAAGGATGGGGAAGCTGCCGTTCAGTTTCAGAAGAAAGGGTCAAGAAGAGACAAAGCGTCTGAGTGGGATGGGATGGAATCTTCTTCTGGGACCTGACTTCTCTCTAGCTGGGTAGGGTCAACATTTCCTCTCGGTGAGCAGTAGGAGCCAGTCTGTGAGGGACTGCCTCCCCTCCTCTGGATCCTGGAAGGGGAAAGGACTCCTGGGTTCTCAGTCCTGTGCTGTTGGGGGCAGCTGTATGTCTGCTGGCAAGGCAATTCACTGGTCTAAGCTAAGCCTGTTCACCTCTGAAACAGGCACGACGACATGACCTGGGTTGTTGTATGATTCAGTGAGCGAAAGGGCATACAGGTGACTGACCAAGTTCCTGGTTCATAAGAAGTGCTCTATAATTGTTAGTCCTTAACTTCACGTGTTCATTTTTTATTCAACAGATGTTGATTTGAAGCCCTGGGCCCTGGGCTGGTTGCTAAGGCTACGGAGCTGGCTGGAATGATTGCTGGTTGGAAGAGGTGGGGCTGCACAGGGTTCCTGGCCCTTGCTGCTCGTACCTGTGCTAATGCCCTCCCTCCTTTGTCCTCAGCCCCTTCTTACCAGAGCAAAAAGGGATTACGGAGTCCATTGGTTTTTCAAGTCTTTTTTTTTTTTTTTTAAAGCAAGAAGCTGTTTGTAAAAATAAGTAATAATGATGGAATTCTTACTATGGGAACAATTTTAGCTCCTAAATATCCTGTGATTCTACCATTATGTCCATTTTGCAGCTGAAGCAATTGCTTCAGGAGGTTAAAGAATGTTCCTAATGTCAGCCATTCTACATGGTGGCTCACGCCTATAATCCCAGCACTTTGGGAGGCCAAGGTGGGTGGATCACCTGAGGTCAGGAGTTCGAGACTAGCCTGACCAACATGGTGAAACCCCATCTCTACTAAATTCAAAAAATTAGCTGGACATGGTGGCGCATGCCTGTAATCCTGGCTACTCGGGAGGCTGAGGCAGGAGAATTGCTTGAACCTGGGAGGCAGAGATTGCAGTGAGCCGAGATTGTGCCATTGCACTCCAGCCTGGGCAATAAGAGAGAAACTCCACCTCAGAAAACCCCCCAAAAACAAACAAACAAAACAAACAAACAAACAAACAAACAAAAAACCATGTCACAGAGCTTATGTGAAATTCTGATACATGAGGAGGATCTAAACAGGCCTCAAAAAAGAAACTGGGGCTCCAGCTTTCCCTTTAACCCCTCCCTGCCACATAGTCCTAGCACGTAGTTTAAGCACTGTGGATGCAGGTCAACTTTCTCATCTGCTGAAAGAGGGAAGTGAGGAGCCTTGGTCAAGGTCATTCATTTAACCCAGTGGCAGAGCTGGCACCTAAGCCCAGGGCTCTGGACTCCCGGCTCAGGGCCACATCCTTGGCTGCATCAGGGGACATGGAGCATCATTTTGGCTATGTGAGATGATCTCCTTGGCCCCTTTTAGTGAGATCACTTCTGAGCGCTCTTCTGTAGTGGGGCTGGGCTGGGCTGGGCTGATCTGGGCTGATCTGGACTAGGCTGTCCTGTAAGGGAGGCTGAATAGAACCCTCCTTGAGGGGAGAAATGGCTCACTTCTTGGACTCCCAGGCAGCCCCTCGTTCAGACTTCTTTTCTTTTCTCTTTGAACTTCCCCAAGTTACAAACCACACAATTAAGGGCTCTCTAGTAAGCCATCCATCTTGTCCCATAAAGAGAGAGCTGCAAGCCTCCCGCCGGCTTCCTCCTCCTCTGGGAGGGGATCAATACCTTATCTCAGTCGGGCCTGTGTAGAGAGGAAGGAGGGAAATGAAAGCACTTAATTAAGGCGCAGAGGAGCGGAAAGGGAACACTGCGTCCTCCCTGCTCCCATATCTCCCCTCTGAAGGCAGCGGGCAGCTGCAGAGTCCATGAGACTTAAGTCTCGTCTGCTCAGGCTGCAGCCCCCGCTGCAGGAGGCCGAGGAAGAGGTGTTGAAGTTAAGAACTACAGGGGGCCCTAATGTCTGGGCCCAAGCTACAGCTTGCCCCAAATGCAAATACCCCATTTTTTTTTTTTTGAGATGGAGTCTCGTTCTGTCACCCAGGCTGGAGTGCATTGGCATAGTCTCGGCTCACTGCAACCTCTAGCTCCCGGGTTCCAGCGATTCTCCTGCCTCAGCCTTCCGAGTAGCTGGGACTACAGGTGCGCAACAGCACGCCTGGCTAATTTGTGTATTTTTAGTAGAGATGGGGTTTCACCATGTTGGCCGGGCTGGTCTCGAACTCTGACTTCAAGTGATCCACCCATCTCAGTCTCCCAAAGTGCTGGGATTACAGGCATGAGCCACAGTGCCCGGCCCCCATTCTTTATTGTCCAGCCCACTGCCATCCCAAGCAGGCGCGGCCCTGGCTGTGGACGGTGAGGAGGGGTAGTAAGCAGCAAGCATCCTGCCTGAAAGTGCCCTCCGGGGCCTAAATTTCCTCCACGAGAGTGTATTCTGTCAGCTAAGGAAAGCTTTCTTGGCTTTATGTGCCTTGATGACTATAAATGCTTACAGGAGGGAGATCCTCTTCTGTGCTGCAGAGAGAAAGCAGCTCGGTTCAGGGTCCACATTTCCCTTCCTGTTAGGCCCTGGGAAGTACTTAAAAACAGCCCTCCGTGCACTGGGAAGGTGAGTGCCCACATGGAAAAGCATCATGCACTTGAAAGACCTATTGCCAGAATTTTCTGGGCTGTTCAAAAGTCCCTCTGCCACCCGAGGTTCTTCCTTGCTATCCTGTGTGACTCTCTCCTCTGGGAACCTGGCTGTTGACACTCGGGCATCTCTTGCCTCCTTGGCTCCTGGTGCCTTCTGTCCTGACTGATGCCAGACTGTCAGCCTTCACAAGCCCTGTGGCTGCCTGGCCTAGATGTGATCCTTGCCTCTGGCTTTTCCAAAGGTGACTCTCATCACACCTCTAGCCTTTCACATCCAGCTCCAGGACAGTGGGTGGCACCTTCTTGGCCCCGTGACCCAGACAGTCCTGCCCCCAGGGGGAGTACTGATGGGGTGAGAGTCATTTCCAGAGGATCCGGAGCTTGGGTGGAGGGTCCCCAGCCAAGCAGTCCTGTTCTGCCCTTCCCTGGGAGGCCTGAGGTCCACCTGTAGCCACCACCCCTCCCTGCCTACTCCAGGGATTCAGTGGTGGAGAACTGAGGGTGTTTGAGCCACAGCTGGGGGAAAGTTGACTGTTCCCACAGGGTGGGCCCTGTTTCCTCATCACCCATGAGGGCCAGGCTTAGTGGATCTACTCAATGGGACCAAAGGGGATGTTCCCAAGGGGAGAGTCCTCAGTGTCGGTGCGCCCCTGAGAGCAAAGGTTTTTGAGATAATTTATTAATTTGATTTTTTTTTTGAGGCAGTAAAAGGGGGAATGGAAAACTGATCCCATCCCAGGGGACGAGCCCTGTCAAGTTTTAAAATTAACGTGAGTGTGGTGTGTAGAATTGTTGTCCGCTGCTGGTCACCCACAGGTGTAACTACAGTGTAGCTCTGACCTTGACCTCTTATTCCTCCTCACCAGGGTATGGGCTGAGCCTTAGTCAGAGGTCTCAAGGCTGGTTTCCTTCCCAGTGCCCATCTCAGCCTCCCCTCCACTTGTCTCTTGGGGTGTGGGTTTCTCTCTTACATTGTTCACTCCTGCGTCCCATCTGATGTGACCAGGCTGCTTCCTGCTAAACTCATCAGGGGCCTTGCTGTCCGTCTGCCTGTTCTTGTTCTGGGTATAATCTTGTATGGGCATCTCCCATGTCCACCTTTCACTCCAGCCATTGCTACCACCACCAACTTCAAGCTATTGTACTTAACAGCACCTGGGGCAGCTATACCACACTTCTCTCACTTCCTGCCCCAGGGCTTCCCTGTGCAGAGTTTAAGATTCCTGTAGGGACACACTCAGCACCCACGTATATACAAACCTGGGCGTGGGAGTCGGTGAGCCAGCTCATACCAGTTTGCAAGAGCTGATTGTTAGATATTCAGAACATTTACTAGACAGGTGCTAAACCAGCGACAGCTTGAAATGAACTATGGTGGGAGTATTTACACCCATGGCAATTGGCAAATAATACAAATCAGTCTCCCCTTCACCCCAAGAGCCGATTTACCAGCACACTACTGGACGGCATGACCACTCATCCTCTGGGGCCACCCTTCACCAATGGGTAGTGGATAAATACTCTCCCCTTTCATTCTTCAGATGGATAATTCTGAGGTGTGTTCTACACAGCACAGAAGGGTCTCAGAAGGCCCCCGCAAAATTGAGCTCCAGTTTCCCACAGCAATGGCTGGTCAGATAGTGACCTTTGTCTTGAATTTTCGTATTTCTCTGTTTTATTCTCTTCAGCCTCCCACTCCTGTTTCCTGGCATACTTTCCAAAATAAATGAATGGGATGCAAACCTTTGTTTCAGACTTTAGTTTTGTGGGTAGGGGCACAAGCTAAGACTATTTCTTTAAGTACAGACTATATTTGCCTACCTGATGTGCCATCTCTCTGCTTTTATTCCCTTGGTTTTTATTTCTGTATCTAGCTGTGATTGTACAGAGTCCTCCCAAAGCAATGACTCCTGCATTGCCTTGGAACACCTTCTGTAGAAGTGGAAAGGATTTTAAAATATTCTGTCAATTTAGGCAGCAAAAAGAACATCTTCTGGCTGGGGTACTCTCTGCAAGTCTCTTGCCTGTTATTCTAGCAACTTTCCTCTATGATTGATTTCAGTTTCCATTTGCAAGTATAACCACTACCTGTGTCTTCTCCTTGTGATCGATTTTCTCTATAGTATTCCCCCATCACAGCTACCCAGGAACCTTAAAGCTGAAGGTACCATCTTAAGTAATTTGGCCAGCCTTCCCCTAAACAGATTTTACATGTCATCATCTTGTTTCCAGTTTCTAACCCAAATCATTGGTCCTGATTGACCTCAAACTGATATGTTGCTGATTGTTGAATGTTCTGACCTGTGACTCAGTTTCTCATTGTTAGCAGAATTCCATGGGTTGCACTTAATGGAGCAGATTGGGTGAAGGTTGGAGAGCTTTCTAATGAACTGGGTCATGAACAGTAGCTGTGGTGGTCCTTGTGCTTTTCTCCTTGAGATGGTCATGCCCCATGAAAATTAGATTGGGCCAGAGTGGAAGGGGGCTGGGTATTCTTCCCCTACTTGTCCCTCTACTAGGGCCAGGTCCATTTGACCCACACAGTTCCATGAGTTATCTGCCCCATGTCATCAGTCCTTGATGGGGGATGGAAGGAAGGATGAATAAAGAAGAGGTCATGGTCACCAAGACCCGGAGGGAAGACACAGGGAGGAGAGAGAAATGGTTATGGTCGGTAGAACAACCTTCCATCCAGGAGCAGGCTGACTGAGAAGATCCCACTGGGCCATCCAGGGGATTGGTACCGTCAGGAACCTCCCAGATGCTCCACATCAGGTGCTCCTAGGAGTTCTCTCAATTCTGTCTTATGCCTCAGATGTGGCCTTGAGTTTGTACATCTTTCATATTCCATCTGCTGAACTAAGGAGAGGATGGCAATGTATGGAGCTAGCCTCTCTTCTCTCCCTCTCAGGAACCTTCAGCCCATGGAAACTGGCAAATTTGCAGACTGGTACATTTTTTAAGAACCTGCTGGGAGACCCTAACAGGAGAAGCAGAGACCAATGTTCTGAGACTAGTGTTTGTGGCTTCTCTTCGTAAAGAGAAGGCAGGCTATTCTCTACCTCCTGATTCCCTGACTTTTGAGTCCCTAGAACTCAGGCCATATGACAGAGACCAGTTGGGTGCTCCAAATACCCACATGCTACTGCTTATTCTCAGCCTTCCTTGCAGTTAGGTTGGGGCCATGTGACTGGTTCTAGCTGATGAGATGAGTGCAGAACTGATGTAAGTTTCCTCCAGGATGGCTTTTGAAAACATCTCATGAAAGTATCCAGTCCTCTTTTCCCTTTCTGTGGCAAAAATGAAGGCCACACCTTGAGGATGGCAGTGCTACATGACAGAGAAGCTTGGATCCCTGAGTCGCCACTGGAGGAAAGCCACTCGACCCACTGGGTTAGGCAGAATTTTGGCCCCAGTGATCTTTTCTCTTGATTTTATATAATATGTTATGTTCCATGGCAAAGAGGACTTTGCATGTGTAATCAAGATTATTAATCAGATGACTTTAGACAGGGAGATTATCCTAGATTATCTGGGTAACCTCAGTGTAATCAGATGAGTCCTTAAAAGAGGAAGAGGGAGGCCCAAGAGGAAGTCAGAGAGATTTGAAGTGTGAGAAGGATATGACACCCCATTGCTGAATTTGGAGATGGAAGAGGCCATGAACCAAGTAATATAGACAGCCTCTAGAAGCTGAACCTGACTCCTAAGTGACAACCAGCAAGGAAATGGGGGCTTTAACCCTATAATCTGCCAACAACCTGAATGAGCTTGAAACTGACTTCCCAGAAACTTCTGATACAAGCCCTGTTGGCTGACACCTTGATTTTGGCCTTGTGATACTCTTAAGTAGAGGAACCAGTCAAACCCCAGCCTGGACTTTTCACCTATTATGAGATAATACATGAATATTGTTTTAAAAGCCACTAATTTTTGTGGTAATTTGTTATGGCAGAAAGAGAATACTAATACACCCACCTAGGACTTTGTGTGCATAAGAAAAAATCTTTTGGCTGGGCATGGTGGCTCATACCTGTAATCCCAGCACTTTAAGAGGCCAAGACAGGAGGATCACCTGAAGCTGGGAGTTTAAGACCAGACTGGTCTCTCTTTAATGAGACCTGGACTCTAAAAAAATTAGCTGGGTGTGGTGGTGCATGCCTGTAGTCCTAGCTACTATGGAGGTTGAGATAGGAGGATCACTTGAACCCTGGAGTTTGAGTCTGCAGTGAACTATGATCATGTCACTGCACTTCAGCCTGGGTGACAGAACAAGACTCTGTCTCTTAAAAAAAAAAGAAAAAAGAAGTCTTTTAAGCCAGAGAGATATCATAGCTTGCTTCTTGAAGTAGCTAATGAAGCTTCCTCTGACTAACACAGGCCCTGTGGCTACCAGGGTGCAGGGACCTCCATCCTGGAGGCAGAATGGATAAGAAACTGGGTTCTAAGGCATCTGAATGCCTGTTCAGGCCTCCTGGGAGTTTCAACAGAGAAAGTTCTCAATCAGCAGTGAGGCTGAGGTCTCATGAGCCCTGGGGAGCAGGAATATGGCCCAAGAAGAGAAGTCTAGAGGAGAGAAAGGTGATTGTCCAAGATTAACAGCAAGATATTGGCAGAGCTGGGGCTAGAACCCAGGCCTCCTGACCCTAAACCTGGGCTGTTTGCTCAGGCTGGGTGTAAATGAGCTTTTGCATGTGCAGGTTTGCTGGCTCCATGAGTGCCTGCCCTGCTGGATTCCTCTTCTCCAGCTCCTGGCTCTCCAGGGTTAATGCTCCGCTCAGAGGCTGAGAAGTGCAGCCTCTCTACTTTGGTAATTGAAATCAATTTCTCAGCCTTATCTTTAGGAAACCTATATAGTCTAGACTGCAATCTGAAAGCTTGGGCTCAGGCAACTTTTAAATGAAAACCCCTCTGCGAGGGGGGAGAGGGAGAAAAGAACAAGTGGCTCACCTTGCTCCGCAATTTCTTGAGAAGCAGATGAGTGTGTAAGTGATGTCTCTCTTTTTCTCGGGGTATTTGGCTTTGGAGTATGTGAGAATGTGTTTAAAGATGTGTGAACTTAGATGTATGTGAGTACGTGAGTGTGTGATGGCGTGAAGTGTGTTGGTGTGCATGTGTGGGGATGGGGGATGCGGAGGTCGATTTAGGTGTGTGTATGCATGTGTGTGCGTGTGTGTGCATGCATGACTGGATACAAGTGTGATGGCGATGGCCTTCTTTTTGTTTTTGTTTTTGCCTCTGAGATTGAGAACATAGGGATGAGGGAGGTGGATGAGAGTGTGTTCATGAGCATAAATGTGTGTGTGCAGGTGCCCAGAGTAAATTCATAGGCTTGTAAATATGTGTGAGATCAGAGGATTTATGAGTATTTATGTTTCTTATTTCAGAGGGCATTTCCCAATGGGGCCTTACTTCCGAATTCTCCCTGGCAAGGAATAGTCTCTTTTAATGCCTTGAGTGGCCTTCTGGAGCAGCCTCTTACCCCTTAAGCCTTCATCCTACCCCTCTAGCTTTCCCCTGTGCCCATGGAGGAGAGATCCTGCATTTGCTTGCCCTGGATAGGTTTCTCCAGAGTCTCCCCAACCACCTCCCTGAAGCCTCCCCTGCCTCCCTCGGGATGGCTTCTCTCAAAGGGTTGATGTGCCAATGGACACGGAGCCTTCTTTGGTTGATCCACTGGCCCAGCCATCCTCAGCACTCTGCATGGGTCCCTAGGAAGGCTGGAAGCAAGGTTAGGAGGATTTTACAGCCTCTCCTTGCAGCCTCTAGGTGAGGCCTCCGAGGTATCAACCCAGTGGGTGGATGCTCCTTTGTCAGAGCTGTGGTTCTAAACACAGAGGCCCATGCAGGTGAAGGCAGCTCCCCCTGTCCCCACCCCCACCACAGCAAAGGATCCTCCGCCCTCTCCGAAGCCCCATGGATTTCTCATTTGAAGTCAATCAGCCTTGAAATCCCTCCCAGTGCCTGCAGAGTAATTATGGGGCTGGTAATCAATGCCAGACACTTGGCTGCCCAGGGTGGGAGTGGCATAGGTATGGTTTTTCCTGGGCTCCAGGAAAAACTGGAAGTGGTAGTGACAGCCGGGATCAGGAGGGCCTGGCCCAGGAATGGATTTGCCCCATTTGGGGTTCCTGCCTCCCACTTAGATAGGGGAGATTTTGGGAGGTTGGCATTTAAGCAACTACCTCTCTGAAAGGTGTAAAGGCAGAGGGTGGCTGTGGCATCAGAAAGGATGAGCATTTTGTTAGCTTGAGGATAAGGAAGAAGCCTGAGGGGTCTGTATGGAAGTGTGGGGGATGCAGGTGAATGCAGCACAGGAGTGGGCAAACTCATCTTGGGTTGGTGACAAACGAGCGTCAGCCTAGGAAGTATCTGAAATGGGCCCCTCTCACCTTTCTCACTTAGTTCAGGTCCCATTTTAAGATATCCAGACACTAAGTGCTCTGGTAAGTGACAAGGATGGTGGTGGTGCTAGGGGTGGTGAAGGTAGTGATGGATTGAGTGACAGTGGGATGAGGAGGTGAATGGTGGTGTTGGGGATTACGCTGCCATCAGAGGTGACTCGAGGAAAAGGTGGTAGTGATGATTATGGGGAGTTACAGGTGATGGTGTTGATGTTTTGGGAGTAGTGAAGGTGATGGGGATTGTGACTAAAGGGACAGTTTTGTTGGTAGTGATGGTGGCAGTGGCGCGGATGTGAGAGGTGATGTTGGTGGTAGTAACTATAGTGTGATGGTTACCACCCATGGGGGATGGGCAAGGCGGAGCCAGTTTGAAGCCTATGAGTTGTCCATGGTGGGAGGAGACATTTTAAGGTACGACTGGCTAAAGCTAGGAAGAGGGTCACCAGTTCAGCAGTCCAGGGGTGTTGAAGGCCCCTTTGGGGCATGCAAGTCTGTGAAGGCAAATCTTGGATCCCAGGGAAACAGCTGAGACAGAATCAGGATCCCAAGCAGGGAGCTGAGCAGGCAACAGGGAATCCAAGGATCAATTATATAAGAAGGCAAAGCTTGGATCCCTGCTGTTGGTGGGAAACAGCTCAGATGGAATCAAGATCCCAAGCAGGGAGCTGAGCAGGCAACAGGGATTCCAAGTACCAATTGTAAAAGAGATTGGAAACCAGACTCCTTCACCATATCCAAGGGTCAGGGAGATGCTCTGGTTGGGCTTTGGGAATTAGAGAAATACAGATTAGCACCATGGACAGAGAACAATGATGATGGATAGGGACCCATCAAACCCATGGCTTTATTACAATCTATCTGTGTGGTTTGGCTTAAAGCAGAATGTAGAATGGAGAAATCCCGCCCCGTGGAGACAAACTCAAGGTTCCCCAAAATAATAGATAAGTGCGTGGGAGGGTGGGTGTAGGGGGAGGGAGTCTACAGATCCTAACAGCATTGTACCTGGCCTTAAATACACTGGAAAGAAGGGGAGCCTTGAACCCAGATGGAGAGCCCAAGCAGTAGATGAGAGGACACTCAAAGTGAGATGACTGGGAAAGTAGAACAAGCATTGGCTTGGTAACCAGACAGACCAGGGTGTGAATACAGATTCTTATTAGCTGTATAATCTTGGGCAAGTTACTTAGCCTGAGATTTTGTTTTCTCCTTTATAGACTGGAAATAATAATACCTATCTTGAAAGGATGTTGAGAGGATTAAATACGCTGATGTGTGTCAAGGCAAAAAATAGGTGCTCAGTAGAGGTGGCATCCTCAATTCCTTCAAGGTCACCTTCCTTCACAAATGTCCTCAAGCCTATCCAGGAGTGGAAAAGTGGATCTGCTGTGAGATCTGGAATGCAGAGAGATAGGCAGGAGCCAAGGGACAGACTCATATTGTCTCCAGGAAGAGCTGACAAGAAGAGCTCCAAGTCAGCAAAGTTGAGGGGCCCATCCTTGCAGCCATGGTCAAGATGCCAACCTGAGGATGGGGAGGAAAATGTCCCCTGTTCCTCTGGGGCTTAGCAGCCTCAGCCCTGGTGTTCTGGGCTTTAGCAGCCTTTTGCACTCTTAGGTGTCAAAGTCAGATCAGTGACTGAGGACCCGGGTGCCTGACTGAGTCTTTCTTGTTCAAAAAGACTCAGAACCTTGTGTCCTGGGGCAGGCTGAGGGTGCTGCATAACCCCTAAATGACAGCACCTGCTCCTGCCAAGTAGGTAGCTGTGGGCTTACATCTGGGTTTCCCTTTTGTAGCATTGCCCTGTGACAAAGGGCTCAGGTTGTGAAAGTGACAGGCCAGGGTTCAAGTCCTAGAGCTGTCTCTTTCTACTTGTTTGACCTTGGGTAATGTCCTTAATGTTGATAAGACTCAGTGTCCTTTCTTGTAAAATGGGGGTGGTGTTACCAATTCTCAAAGTGGCTATGAGAATTGAGTGTGGCAGACACTCATCCAAGTGGCCGCCATAATCCCTGCCTTTTGGTGTTCATGCCCTCACTGTAATCCCCACTCTCGAGCATGAGCTGGATCTATGACTTGCTTCTAACCTAGAGAATATGTGAAATGGATAGGCCATCACTTCCGTGATTGTATTTAACATCACAAGGCGGTAATGCCATCTTGCCCTGAGACTCTTTCCTTTGTTAGCTTTGACAAAGCAAGTGTCTGTGTTGGGAGGCCCATGTGGCAAAGAGCTGAGGGCAGCTTCTAGCCACCAGCCAGCAAGAAATCAAAGCCCTCAGTCCTGCAACCTCAGGGAATTGGATTCAACCAACAAATATGTGAGGCTGGGAGTAGATCCGTCCCCAGTCAGCCTCCAGGTGAGAGCCCAGTCCTGGCTGGCATCTTTACTGCAGCCTTGTGACACTTCTGGTCCACAGACCCCATGAGAGAATAAATGTGTGTTGTTTTAAGCTGCTGAGTTTGTAGTGATATGGTTACACAGCAATAGATGAATATAGTGAGGAACAGTCTGTAAAGCACTGAGTCCAGTGCTGGCATGTGGAGGTGCTCTGTAA
The DNA here is from genome assembly GCF_000001405.40 of Homo sapiens. Classification (NCBI taxonomy): domain Eukaryota; kingdom Metazoa; phylum Chordata; class Mammalia; order Primates; family Hominidae; genus Homo; species Homo sapiens. Next base: position 36,605,411 of record NC_000001.11, read on the forward strand.
GGAGTTGTGTTATTACTGTTGTATTGTTAGTCTGCTGATTACTTGCCTAATGCTGTGTGGGGCCTGGCTTTGCCCTGCCCCGGTCCCTAGTGGGGCCAGGTTCCATGGCTCTGACTAGCCCTGCTGGTTCTCATACCCTGGTACAGAAAGAAAGATTCTATGACTCAAACACACACACACACACACACACACACACACACACACACACACACACACACACCCCAGAGCCTTAGGCCTTGGTCTCCCAAGGATTGATATCCCAGCCCAGTCCACATGATTCTGAATTGCACCAGCTGGCTGCATGGACCTAGAGATTGCTGGAGTTTTGAAAGCAGCATCGGTGCACTTTGGAGCAACATTCTCCTTAACCATAAATGAGAAAATCACTCACTGTATGTCTCTTCTCTTAGAGGAGTCGGAAGGAGGGAGGATGAGTGGTTGAAGATGGGCAAGTACAGGTGGGAATGTGTGTGGGAGAAGGAGTTTCTGTAGCAACTCGGGTGGCCCAAGGACCCATTACACAGGAGAGGGAGGCAGAGATGGGGCAGGCACAGGGGTTTCTTACCACGAACCAAAGCTAAGAGATGCAGAAGCAGAGAGACCTATAGACAAAGGACAGAGAGAAATGGAGAAACACAGAGACAGAGAAGCAGATGGAAGGAGGGGGAGAGAGGAACAACCAGAAATAGGTCAGAACAGAGTGACACACACTGTGTATATGCGCGTACAGTGACATGCACAGGAAGACACAGGGACACACGACTGACAGGGGACAAAGACTCACTCAGAGAGAGAAACTGCAGAGACACAGACGTGGGCACACACTGACATAGAACCCAATTCACACAAGGAAACACAGACATGTGAACCCAGACTCAGAGGCAGCACAGCGAGAAATGCAACCAGACACACAGAGAGGCACATCCACACAGAGAAACAAACGTGTGTGTGCATGTGTGAAACACATACACACACATCCACCCACTAGGGAGTGGAGCATGTGCAGAGACAAGGCCAAGCAGCAGTGCACTATTCCTGGGCACAGGGCTGGCTGAGCTAGGCTGGCCCACCCCAGTAAGTGGCTGCTCTTTCACATCCCCTCCAGATGGGGCTGCACAGTGGGGGATGGGAGCATTTCTGGGTGATGAATGGGGGCTCAGAGACCTGCTTCTATTCCTGGGCCAGCTGACCCACACCCCACTGTGGAAGGTTCCTGGTTCTGTTGGTGGAGGTTTGTTGGGGAGGGGCTCGAAGGAGAGGAGGGTGAGGTGCAGGGTCAGCGTGGGCCTATCCATGGCTGCCAGAGGCCGCCCCCACAGTCCTGCTGCTCCTGTGCCCCATGCAAGGGCCAGACATGAATGTTGGTATCCGTCCCCACCCTGCTACATTCCCTGCATAGACACCAGGAGGCCTTCTCTCAGGCATTGCCTCCTGAGGCTCTTTAGAGGCCACTGTACCCAGAAATGAGGCCCCTGGGTGACCCCAGGACAAGCCTCAGTGCCCATGCTTAGCAACAGCACCTTGAGGGGCTGGCGTCAGGCTTAGGGTGACTCTGTAAATCAGAGCATTTTAATGCATAAAATCTGGAAACACGAGTCTATGAATTGTAATCGAGCATGACGAAATCTCATCAACAGAAGTAAATATGAAATGCGGGGCGATGGGGAGATGCACAGATGTGGTTTCTGCATCCTGACCCCACACCCCAGCTCTGGCTCACAGCTCCACCCACAGATTTATTCTCTGCACACAAGAAATTAGCTCGAAGTATTTCTGTTGGTTCAGCTCAGCTGCTGCACTCTTCCTGTCTGTCCCTCGAGGAGCTGGAACATTCTCCTGCCCTCCACCTTCAAGGCATGAGCCATCTTAACTTTGTTGTCCATTGAGGCATAGACTTTTGGCTGGAAAACAGTCTGGAGAGGCCAATTTCTCTGCAACAACTGCAGACCTGGAGCTAGTAATAGTGGGCATCTGTTTACCATCTGTATCTGTGCTAAATGTTATTCCTGCCCCACTTTCTTGCAGGCCTTCTCAGAGCCTTTGCTCTGCTAATCTATAATGCAAAATTCCAAGGAGGGCTGAAGCAGGCAGGGTTTCACAGACTTATTTGGCCATAGGCAACTTTCTAGCCATAGTTCATCTTGGCCTCAGCATCTCCTGGGCTAATATTCCATTTGGATAATGTTGGTATGAGGCCTGTAAGCTCATTACCTGATTGCAAGGCCATTTGGGTCCCAAACAGGACCTCAGCCCAACTTGGGGGCAGAGGTGTCTCAGCCTTCGGACCTCCTTTTGGAGAGAGCAGTGACTTTGTAATCTCATGACAGGTTGGGGCGGGGAGATGCCAGGGAGTGGCTTCTTCTAAAGAGCAGGAGTGAGCTCTGTCCCTAGTTAGGCTGATCTTGCCTTGGAGTGAGTCATACCAGTGTGTGTGTGTTCATGCGTGTGTACATGCACATATGTGTGTATGTGCACATGTGAGCCATGTACAATGATAACTCAGCACCTCTGAGATGCAGACCAGATGCTGCATGTGGCATGTGGTGGAGAGTACAGGACCCCATCTTGGGAAACGCCCATCGGCAGGAGAGCTGAAATCCTTACATTAAAAAGTCCTTGGTCTGATGGAGTTCTGGACTTCAGGGGCCCCAATCTTTATTTAAGGAACCTGCAATCCCACTGGGAAGAAAACAGCCCACAGAAAAGCACACTCATGGACATACACACATGCATATATGCACCCCAATATACAACCACATGTACATATAGACCCAGACATACGTGTGTGTGATATATGTATATATATATATATAAAATACACTGTGGAGTGCAGAATTCTAAGATGGTTCCCAAGAGTCCTACCCCCTTGTGTACATGCCCTGTATAATCTCCCCTTAAGTGTGGGTGGGACCTGTGAACAGGATGGGATATTACTCTTGTGACTAGGTTATGCTTTATGGCAAAGGTCAAAGAATTTTTCAGATAAAATTGAAGTTCCTGATCATTTGACTTTGAATTAATCAAGAGGGACATTCTCCTGGGTGGGCCTGGCCTAATCAGATGAGCTGTTAAAAGAGGCTCTGGAGGTCAGAGAGAGAGTGTCTTCTGCTGCCCTTGAAAAAGCTGCCATGAGGGCTACAGCTATAAGGAAACATGATCTGCCAACAACCACGTGAGCTTGGAAGAGGACCCCAGGCCTCAAATTTGATTGTAATCCTGGCCAACACTTTAACTGTAGCCTGTGAGACCCTAAGCAGAGGACCAGCTAGGCTGTGTCTGGACTCCCAACCCACAGAAATTGTAAGATAATAATTGGGTGTAGTTTTCAGCTAAGTCGCGTTGATTTGCTATGCAGCAGTAGAAAACTAATGCGCAAGCATTCCATTCGGTGAAAGTCACAAATATACCCGAAGATATCCACATGTACATAGGTGTATATACATGCAGACATTCACATACTTCCATTTACATGTACACCACACTCACTATACTTATATTTACATACATAAATATGTATACAGACATAAGCACATATGCATTCTTAGGTACACACACACACACACACACATATATACACACACGCATCCATCCATAAACACAGAGGCATGTAAACAATCTATACATCCACATTTACATGAATATTCAGGCACAGGTATATGCACATATTATACACATAATCATAATGAGGACAAACATTTATTGAATGCTTTCTATGTGCCAGGCACTTGCCTAAGTTCTTCATATTAACTCACTTAATTGGTAATCCTATAGACGTGCGCATGTGTGATATATGCAGCCGACCTGCATAACACCGAACTTCTGCAAAATACTACACCACCATATACTGCAGGGGCACGAAGTGAAGAGCTCTCAGCTGGGTCAGTTTCTCAGGGAGGTTTCTGGCAGAGTGTTTTTCTTTTTTCCTTCCTTTAGTGCCTGACTGGTGGGTAAGTCCAAGCAACTTCACTCTCCTTCCCTCTGCCAGGAGGGGCCTGGAAGCCACCCACATGCGGACTGCAGTCTTTCCACTAGGTGGTGCTAGACTAGCATCTGTGGGCTTGATGGGTGGAGTCCTGGCCGGCTCTGGGGAGCAGAGCTTAACCATGGATGAAGAATAGATACAGGAAAGAAAAAACTTCTGGCCATAACACCCCCATTCCCCATCTGTTCAATATATTCTTGGAGCCCTAGGACCATTGGTGTCTACCTCAACCAGGAGCCAAGCCTCAGGTGACAGTGCTGACCAGGTGCTGGCTTTGCTTGACACCCTGCTGAGGACATCCAGATTTTATTAATTTATTTAACAAACCCTTATGCACCATATCGTGTGGCCTAGCCACTGTTCTAAGTTCTTTACAAATATTAATTCATGTAATCCTCGTAACCATCCTATGACATAGTTACTATTATTATTACCATTTTACAGATGAGAAAACTGAGGCACAGAAAGGTTAGGTAATTTGCCCAAGCTCACACAGCTAATAATTGATGAGAGGGAAGGAGACAGGGCAAGGATTCTTCATCCCATTTTAGAGATGGGGAAAGTGTATAGCCCAGTACCAATCCCAGAGAGTCAGTGGAGGAGCCTGACCTTGAACTCAGAACTTAAGTTTAGCGCAGGGCATTTCTCCCTGGGCCCTGAATTGTATGGAGATAAAGGCTGAGGCTGCTGTTGAGTTGGGGGTTGTGACAGGAGCAGGAGACACCCTCCTCGGCATGCTCCAATGACCCCTAGGATTTGGAGCTCAGGAAGCAACTTCCTGGTCAGTGGGGATCTCTTTGGGTTTTCACCTGGATTCTACATAAAGGAATAAAAGGTAGGGCCAGCTCCCAGCTGATGCCCAGCCACGGGTGAGTCTGTAGACTCAGATGCTGGAACGGGCCTTTTACAAGATACACAACCCATTCTACACTCAATTGCGTCCTATAAATCAGGTTAACCTTTTCAACGTGGCTCGGAGAAAATTAATTACTCATATCGGAGCACATGACCTTTTTCCTGGGCAGGATGAAATGAGCTGCTCTGAAGCACTGGGCTCCTTATTCTCCACACTGCAGCATCCTAGCCTTTAGGTACCCATCCAATGACCTACACAATCAACCAAGGATGGCAGTTACCTGTGTACTTCCCAAGGGTGACCATAATGGGCTATTCAATGCTCCTCCCAGGGACTGGGTCCTCCTCATTGGGGCTGATGATGGGAAAGGAGCACCTCCTTGGTCCTCACAAGCTCTGGCTTCGCTGGGCAGAGGGAGGGAAAAAGGGAAGGGAGAAGCATTTGAAGGGTTCTTTATTCCCTGGGAGAGTTTTTTTTAGAAACCAAAGAGAACCCCCACTGGGTTTTACATGGTAGGTTTGCCACTCAGGGAAAACCCCTACCTCACCCCACACTCTGACAGCATCCAACTAGCTAACCAATATTGACTAATTGGTCCATCCAACCATCCAAGCAACCAACCCATCACCCACCTAACCGACCAGTAGAAAACCATGCAGAAAGTCTGTATTAAATTCTTTGTGCAGCCTTGGGAATGTGGGTGAAAAAGAACACAGGTCCTGCCCTCTAGGGGCTTATAGTTCAGTTGGAAACAAAAAGTGTAAAGCAGGGAAGAAGATTGTGTAGAATCATTGAATAGGTAAGGGCAGGCTCTGGATTAATCTTGGAACTTGTCTGTTCTTGTAGGGATTGGGTAGCTTCTGTCTTTTCAGTACCTATAGTTGTCAGCTGCTGGCAACAGAGGGTGGGTTATTCAGTAATGTGTAGTTGTCCCTAACTATTATCTCAGCCACTTATGCATGTCCTGGTCCAGGGTTTTGCCTTTCAATTTGGACAGATTTTCTACTTGAATCCTGGCAGTCCTTAGGCAAGTTACCTAACCTTTGATTTTGTTTTCTTATCAAAAAATGTGTATAACAAAACCTACCCACAGGGCAGCTGTGAGCATTCAGTAAGATAATGCTTGCAGAGTGCTTAGCACAGTGCCTGGTACATAGTAAGTGCTCATTAAATATCAGTTATAATAATTATTATTATCAGTTGCCAGAATGATTCATGGCAAACCAGTGAACACAGTTCTTAACCCAATGCTGGCGAAAGCATGTGTTTTAAAGTAAGTGCTCTCAGGGATACATTGAAAGTTTTCTGTCAGTCAGCTTGCTTTTAGGGATTCTGAGGCTGAGAGGTCTTTGTCTGTCTTGAAGCATGTATGGTGGAGGGGCCTGAACCAATGTGCTTGTGCTCCTAGCTGTAAGCAGGACCCTGAGTCTCTCACCGTTTTGTTTCATCTAAGGGAAGGACATTCAGTGATCGGACCTCTGAATGCGAGAAGCCTTTCTTCTCATTCTCGCCATGGTCTGGGGCTCTAGATCCCATTAACAGGATCACCTGCCTGGGAGGGCATGAGTGACTGTTTCAACCCAGTTATCTGTGGTCCCCAATCTGGGAGATTTCTTAGATGGTGATATGCAGGAGGGTGGGGCTGGGGTAGGTGGAGACGAGGGGCTGAATGAAGCCAGAAGACTCTGTGGACCGCAGTCTTCAATGGGGAAGAGATGCTGTTACGGGCAGGGTATGGGATGGTGGGCGCCAAATTCTAGGATGGAGGCAGCCAGGTGAGAATGGGGCTGTGGGGGACAGCATCCAAGGCTTCTCTAAGCTGTGGAGGGTACGAGTCTAATGAGGAACTAAGGGTGCTCTTGGGGATGGGGCTCATAAGGTGCGCTCCCCCAGGTCCCATCCTCAGCCCTGGTGATCCCACGGTTCCTGTAGCTTTGGCATCACTCACCTTACGATGACTCTGACACAGACTGACCCACCATCAGCTGCATTCTTGAGTTCCAGGCCTGCACATCTGAGTCCAGCAGGACACCACACCTGGCTGGCTCGGGGCGCCTCACTCACCAGCCCGATGCTGACCTTTGTCCTTTAGACTCGTTTGTCTGAGAACTGCCAGGCATACCCGAAGGGTGGGTTTCTGTGTGACTCCGCCTCCACGGCCATTCATCACTGATTGGACCAGCTTGGACAACTGACTCAAGTGTGGTCACTCAGATTTCTCTCCCAGTCTTGGAAATGATTGATACTGGTCAGTCTGGGGTGCTCTTTGAACTGAGGCACTCTAAGCTCAGGAGTGGAGGCAGCCATCTTTGGTTAGACCTGTGCATGTAGAAGCTGAAAGAGAAGGAAGGGGAGATAGAAAGAAGACAGAGGGAGAAGGTCAGGGCTCCCATCAGTTTTGCAGTCCTTTTGAGGCCGGGTTCTGGTCCTGTCCTGGGGTTTCATAAAACACTCCTATATCTGATAACACTCTGCTTTTAAAAAATCCTGTGCGTGTCCTTCAGGTTCTGTTTCTACCCATCCAAAACCCTTTCATGCCGCTGTTAGGAGAGGCTCCTGCCCTTGCCAGCACTGGGAGGGGAAGGAGGATGAAGGGGCCAGGGACAGAAAGAGACAGTAACGGAGGCCCAATCAAATGTGTGTGACAGGGTGTTTTACAAGGAGTGTGAGTAGGACAAAGAGATCAATAGTCTGTGGGTCATGTTTGTGTGTGAGACATGGACACACACACTGACAGAGAACTAGTGAGTGAGAGAGAGACATAAAGTTGATCAATGACACACACCTACGTGCAGAGGGAGAGAGAACAAGGGAAAGGCAAGATACGTGCCCCCAGCAGAGGGAGCAGCGAGGAGACCCACGGAGGACACCACTGGGGCACGCAGAGAATAAAAGTACGAGGTTTTCCCCATTGCCCACTGGCCCCAGAGGCTGCCCGCCTGCTACCTGTGGGGATTGAAGTGTCTGTAGATGGCCAGGCTATAGCAGGTGACTCAGACAGACCCTGCGCCTGTGCCTTTCTGCCTCTGTGGCCACAGGGCCCAGCTGGGCAGAGGTCCACTTCCAGTCTGGGGAATTTTTCTTCTCTCTGGCTGCCTCCTTCCCATCCACCTGGCTGGATGGCCTCAGCTGCATGGAGCTGGAGCAGAAGAGAAACCTGTGCTCGAGCCCAGACACTGATCTGTCTCTTGCCGTCATCCTGACCCCAGACATCTGCACAAATGGACACAATGACATATGCACAGACACACTCATGCAGACACAGACACACACCAACATACACACACGGACACACTGATACAGTGACATCTGCACAGGCAAACACACTGGCATATGCACAGACTCACCACACAGACACAGGCACACACCAACACACACACCCAGACATACCGATACACACAGTGACATACACACAGGTACACTGACACACACACACAGACACACTGTCATACACACAGCCATACATATATGCATCAACACTCAGGCAGACACACTGACATACACACAGACATACATATATGCATCAACACTCAGGCAGACACACTGACATACACACAGACACACTCACACAGACACAGATGCACCCTGACACACACACACGGACATACTCATACACACAGTGACATACAGGTACACTGACACACACAGACACACTGACATACACACAGCCATACGTACACACACTGACACACACACAGATACACTGACATACACAAGCACTAATGTAGTCATCACACAGACACAGACACACAACGACATACACAGACACACACTGACATACAAACAGCTGTGCACACACACATATACACTGACATACACAGCCATGCTCACACATACACACACACAGTGACATATATGGAGCTATACTCACACACACACACATAGACACAGATACACAGGTGCAGACACACGTAGGTACAAAAGCATAGAGACATACATATGCCGACACGCTCCAATATACACAGCTTTGTAGATTCACACAAATGTATAAGAACACCCACAGAAATGATGATCCAGAAATATACAAACCCAGATACAGAAATGCACAGACACACAAATGCAAGTAACAGATATGCATAGAGAGTCACAGATACCCAGACATTCACAGATGCATGCAGATAGATGTGCAGACCTTCACTGAATGCCAAGGCAGACATGGGTAGCACAGATACACGAACATAAACACACAGGTGCAGGTGCACCCAGGCACACAAACATGCGCAGACACACAGCTCCATGCAGACATGGCCATGGGCCCTGGCGTGAGCTGAGCTTGATGGCACAGGGGGTCCTGGTAGAGGGGGTCCTGCTGGTGGGCCCCCAGGTGTTGTTGTCTGGTGATCCTCTCATTTTACAATTGGGGAAAGAATTATGGGGGAGGAGGGAGGTGACTGGTCTCCAGCATGGTGTGTGGTGAGTGGGCTCCAGGACAGGGAGGGGCCATGGCAAGGCTCCTGGCAGGTTGGGAGCAGTAGAACCTGAGGAAGCTGGGCTCCTGCTGCAGGCTGTCAATCAAGCCTGGCTGTCACTGGCCTGAGTCTGGCACAGAGAATCTGGGCTTGCAGGAGCCTCCTTGGAGCTGTGGCCTTCCCAAACTCCTACCCAGAACCAGGAGTCCTTCGCCTGGTCCTGGTGATGTGGCTGTGTTAGTGTATGTGTGTGCAAGTTTGTGTATCTATGCGTGTGTGTTTGTGGGTCCGTGTGTGTGTATATGTATGTAGGTATGCCCACAGTTGTATAGGTTTACGCATGTGAAGGCACATGCACAAACACACATGTTTATATGCATGCAGACACACGTTTATAGGTTTGATGTGTTTGTATATTGCAGGAGCATCTATGTATGCATAGGTGTGTGCATGTGCATGCCGACATAGATGTGTGTACAAAGTCTGTGTACGTTTATGGGTGTGGATGTGCACAGCATGAGAGGGCTGTATTCTGAGCTGTCATCGCTGCCACTGTGCTCTGCATATCTCAGCCTGGGGCAGCTCCAGATGTTGTTCCAACATTCCTCATTTGCTGCAGAAAATCAAACAAACACATGAAAAATTAACGCCATTGTTAGCCAGGAATTCTCCTGAGCTGAGGAAGCTGCCTCTAGCCAGCCCAGCTGCAGCAGATGGTGGAGACTCCTGGGCTTACCTTGGGCCTTGGTGCTGGTGTAGACAGGATCACCAGGAGGCTGGCAGAGGCAGGTTGCTGTGGGTTGGGTCCTGATGTGACTGCAGAAGGCTGTCAGCGCCTCAAAGGAGGGTCTGTCTTTCCTACCCATCCCCATCCTAAGGGTCTCCTAAGGTGTGGCCCCAGGGCAGGAGGGCAGGGGAAAGCAGGAGGAGATGCACATGCATGGGGCACCTAGCATATAGTAGGTGCTCACTAAATGCTGTTGATGACTGAACTTTATGTACACAAGCCGTATACATAAAGTTTAGTGTAGACTTTATGTATCCTGAACTTTATGTATACAATGCTCACAACAACAGCATTTGACAGATCAGGAAACTGAGGCTCAGAGAAGTTATTTAGGTTGCCCAAAGCCACACAGCTTGTGAATGGAGGTACTGGGATTCAAACCCATCTCTAACACCCTCTCAAATCCAGGGTTTTTTCACTATACTGTCAGTGTGATACACATGGTGGTAGATGAAAGATGGCTGCAAAATTTCCACCACTTTTCCGGTTGAAAGGTGGAGTCTAATTCCCCTCTCCATGAATCTGGGCTGGGCTTAGAGACTCCCAAGGCTAGGCGATAAGAAGCCTTGTAGCTTCTATTCCATTAGGAAATTGTCTCTCTGAGCCACCATGCAAAAAGTCATCAGACTGTCCTGCTGGAGAGGGCATGCTCAGGTGTTCTAGTTGAAAGTTCTGGCTGAGTCCAGCTTTCCTCATCTCTGCCAAGGCACTGGAAGTGTGAGTGAAGCCAGCTTGGACCCTCCAGACTATACAATTCTCCAGCTGAATATTGCCACTTCTATTGACACTCCGTAGAACACAGGAGAATTTTCCAGCCAAGCCCATCTTGGATCTCCAATCCACAAAACCATGAGCTGTGATTAAATGATTGATGCTTTAGCCACTTAATTTTGGAGTAGTTACACAGCAACAGACAACTGGAGTAGACACATACTCACATCAGCACACACACACCACAAACACACATGCTCAGATACACACACACCACAAACACATGCTCAGATACACACTCAGAGCAAGAACATCTCTCTCTCTCTCACAGGCACTTGGGTCCCTGTCTGATTTCAGTTCTTCCAGCACCCCCACCCCCCACATCAGGCTCCTGGGTGTAATTACATCCATGTTTTCTGGGGGTGAGAAGTGCTCACATCCAGATAAATGACAGTGGCTCCTCATTATCCATCCAGTTTAATTGTTTGTGGGCTTTTCTGATTTGAATTCTTCCCAAGGAATCAGAATGAGTAATTTTATATGGAAATGTATAAAAAAACAATAATTACCAGTGGGTGTGGAGTAGTAAACAGTTCTGCTGAGTGGGTCCTATCCATGCTTGGCTATGCCTTTCACGTCCATCCGCTCCAGCCTCGAACCTACAACCGGGAGCTGGATGAACTGGGCTGCTGGGCAGACAGGCAAGGGAAGGAGCAGAATGTGCTGGAAGGAGGCAGAAGGCTTCTGAAAGTGTCGCGAAAGAAAACAACCAAACACAAAAAGAGCTGAGAAAGGTTGTTTTAGTCCTCAGGTTCCTAGAAACTACCTCCCAGACATCACCCGAAACCAGCTGGCCTGGCTGTGTGTGTACAAGTGCACGTGGGGATCTAGGAGAGTGAGTGGGTGAGGCGTGCCGTCCTGTATGCGCAGGCTGTGTCTATGGGTGTGAGACGGTGTGAGTGGCACTGTGTGTTACAGGTGGGGGCACATGTGTACCAGTGTCTACATGTGAGTGTGTGACTATGGCTGTGGGTGCATGACCACCCATGTAACAATGCATGACTGTCCTGCGTGGTTCTCTGTGGGTGATTACATATGTTCATGCACATGCATGCCTATGAATGTGAGTGTGTGGGACTGGGGAGAACCACATGGCTCTATGTGCTGTGTATGGCCAAGTGGTTCCATATGCCTGTGTATGACAGCATGTCTCTTGTGCCTGTGCAAGTGTGTGTGTGTGTGTGTGTACGTGTGCCTGCCACCAAAGTGTGTGTGCGTATGTGTGCATGTCACCAGGCCCCTGTGTGGGCCTGATGCTGTGTATTTTGGTGAGAAGCCATACTCCTGTTAAGGCAGCATGGTGGTGGTGGAATTTACTCATAGTTGGAGGTCATTTCTGATGTCGGGCACTTGGGTGTGCAATAACAGTCGTTCAAAACATATTTTTTTGAGCATTGATGTTGGAGATACAGTGAGGAACAAAACAGGCAAAGAATCTGCATTCCTGGAGCTGGTAGTCATGTGGAAAAGACAGGGAGGAAATAATAATTATAAGATAGTCTAATAATTACATTATCATAATTTGATAGTTTCTATGAAGGCAAAGAAGTCAGGGTTGTATGAGACCTTAAGGGTCCTCATTTAGCTTGTGGGGGGCAAAGGTTAAGAAGGGCTTCTTTGAGGAAGTAACATTTAGGCTGAGGCCTGAAGAATGAATAGGAATTGGCTAGGCAAAGGGGTATAGTAGATGGGTGTGGGGAGGAAGAGTGTTAAGGAAGAGGCAACAGTATGTGAAAAGACTCTGACGTGTAACAGAGCAAGTTTCTTGGAGAAACTGCAAGAAGGCCAGGGAGGAGGCTGGAAAAGTGGCAGGCACCAGATCTTTGGGGCCTTCTGGGTCATGACAAAGGCTTGGGACTCCTACAGGCAACAGAAGGCAGGGAGAGTTCCCATGTGATCATGGCTGCTGTGCTGAGAGCTGGTTGTCAGGCTGCAAATAGTGGAAGCGAAAAAAATCAGAGAGGAGGCCGATGCATTGGTCCAGGCAAGGGTGGCATTGGCTTTGCCCAGTGGTGGGAAGTAGTGAAGATGGAGAGAAGTAAAGAGAATTCAAGGTCTATTTTGAGGTTAGAATTGACAAGCATTGGTGGTGGGTGGCACATATGAGGGCAGGAGAGGGAGGTGTCCAGGATGACTGCAGGGTTTTGGTTCTGGATTCTGGCTTGTTGGAAGTGCCAGTGGCTGAGATGGTGAAGCAAGAGGAGGAGCACATGCTTAGATGGACGGAGGAGTGAAAAATTCTAATTTGGGCATGTCGAGTTTGAGATGCATTTGAGACACAGGGGTAAAAATGTCCAGGAGGCAGTTGTAAACAAAAGTCTGGAGTTAGGAAGGAAGGTTTAAGCTGGAGACAGGGGTTTATGTAGAGTGGAAACCAGAACTGGGAGGAAAACCAGCTTTGGTGAGTAGATTGGGGACAGAGGGGTGCCTTTCTTTGCTTTGATTGCAACGTCCACTGTTTAGGGACAGTTGGACATGGTCATTAAGACTCTGAACTCTGCTTCTGGGTATATATCTTTTGATTTGAAAGCAGGAACTGGAGTAGATATTTGTATACCCACGTTCATAGTAGCATTATTCGCAACAGCCAAAAGATAGAAGCAAATGTCCATTAACAGATGAATGGAAAAAACAAAACGTGGTGCTGACATACAAAAAAGTGTTATTTAGCTTCGAAAAGGGAGGAAATTCTGACACATGTGGTAGCATAGATGAACCTTGAGGATATTATGCTGAGTGAAATAAGCCAGACACAAAAGGACAAGTACTGTATGATTCCACTTCAATGAAGTGCCTAGAGTAGTCAAATTCATAGAGACAGAAAGTGGAATAGAGGTTACCAGGGGCTGGGGGGAGGGAGGAGTGACGCGCCATTGTTTAGTGAATACGTGAATACGTGTTTCACTTTGGGATGATGGGAAAGTTCTGGAGATAAATGGTAGTGACAGCTGTACAACAGTGTGAATCTATTTAATGCCACTGTATCAAACACCTAAAATGATACATTTCATGTTATGTATATTTTACCACATTTAAAAAATAAGATTCTAGACTCTGGAGCAACCAGACTACTGTATTTGAATCCCAGCTGTCTCACAAACAAGCTGTGTGATGTTGGGCAAGTTGCTGGGCCTCTCTCTGATTTGGTTATCTCATCTGTCAAATGGATACCTTAATAGTACCTATCTTAAGGGCTGCTGAGGGGATAAAATGAGTTAATATATGTGCAGCGTTAAGAATGTATCACATGCTTTGTGAGTTGGCTGTTATCCTTAATAGCAGCAGGCCAGAACCTGGGGGTGAGCCTCTGTTACTGTAGTCTGTAATCCCAGTGCTTTGGGAGGCCAAGGTGGGTGGATCGCTTGAGTCCAGGAGGTTGAGACGAGCTTGAGCAACACGATAACGTTCTGTCTCTACAAAAAATTAGCTGGCTAATAATTAGCTGGCTAGTAATACAGTAGTCTGGCGGGCTCCAGAGTCTAGGAGCTTATTTTTTAATTGTGGTAATATATACATAACATAAAATGTAACATTTTTAAGTGTTTGATAGAGTGGCATTAAATATATTCACATTGTTGTGCGACTCCTGGCCCCTGATTCTCTCCTGGCCTTGACTGGGACATGCAGAAGTGTTCAGGTCTCCCTGCATCCCCCAGCCATTTTCTGATCTATTTCCTATAAAGAGCCACTGCGATCTCCGCTACATGAATCTGACGGTGCCACTCCCAGCTACAGGGATAGAGAGCATGTGCTTTTCATTGCCTAAAGGCCCTGTTTGCTTCCGACCTATCCTCTCCAACCATGTTGATCCCCAGTCTGTTCTCTGTCCTTCTCTCCACATGGCCTTTGAAGATGCTGGTTCTGACTTCTTAGAAGGATCCTCCACCTCTTACCCAGATCTCTTGATCCCCATCCCCTGAAATCTGCCCTGTCTCTTCTCCATCGGGCCAGGCTCTGGGCTGGACACTGAGGACATGCAGGTGGGTAAGACATGGGCCTGGATGAGGAGAAAGGACACAATGGCAGTGGATGGAATAAGGAACAGTGGAGCGGAGAACCGTGGGGAGAGAACCGTGGGGGGAGAACATGTCCTATCCCCAACATGACTTCCTTGAAAGAAGTGCTGACTCGGCTAGACTCACATGCTGTGTCCTCCTTACTAGTAGGCAGGGTTCCTGTAAATGGGAGGCCAGGTGCATGGTACAAACTCTCTCTTCTGGTCCTCATGGTGGGATTAAAAGCTGAGCTGAGCAGTGTCAGCATTATGGGGTGGCTTTGGGGGAACTTCAGCACCCTCCATCTCCATCAGCATTTCCCCTCTGAAGTGGCATGGAATAAAATTTGAAATCAAAACGTGTGCTTATTATTCAAATGTGCCTTCAGAATAAGTCCTCCAGCTGCCTGTTCTGATTGAGATGTCAACCCTAACCCATGTAGAAATCCTGGAACCAAGGCTGGTGCCAGGCATCAAGCCTCAGTTTTTTTTTTTTTTTTTTTTTTTGAGATGGAGTCTTGCTCTGTCCCCAGGCTGGAGTGCAGTGGTGCAATCTCGGCTCACTGTAACCTCCGCCTCCCGGGTTCAAGCGATTCTTCTGCCTCAGCCTCCCAAGTAGCTGGGTCTACAGGCCACCATGCCCAGCTATGTTTTGTATTTTTAGTAGAGACGGGGTTTCACCGTGTTGGCCAGGATGGTCTTGATCTCTTGACCTCATGATCCACCTACCTTGGCCTCCCAAAGTGCTGGGATTATGGGTGTGAGCCACCACGCCTGGCCAAGCCTCACTTTCTTTTCAAACAATTCTCCTACAGAGTCTCTGTTGTTTGGGGCTTGGCCACTGTTTTAGTTGTCTATTCTGCATCACAAATGACCCCAAAATTGGTGGCCTTGAAACAGTAAACTTTTTTTTATCTTACAGTCTTCTGGGGTTCATTAATTTGGGAATGGCTTAGCTCAGTGGTCCCCAAACTTTTTGGCACCAGGGACTGGTTTCGTGGAAGACAATTTTCCCACAGATAGGTCGGGGAGATGGTTTTGGGATGATTCAACTGCATCACATTTATTGTGCACTTTATTTCTGTTATTACATTGTAATATATAATGAAATAATTCTACAACTCACCATAATGTATAATCAGTGGGAGCCCTAAGCTTGTTTTCTTGCAACTAGACGGTCCCATCTGGGGGTGATGGGAGACAGTGACAGATCATCAGGCATTAGATTTTCATAAGGAGTGTGCAGCCTAGATCCTTTGCATGTTCAGTTCACAATACGGTTTGTGTTCCTATGAGAATCTAATGCCACTGCTGGTCTCACAGGAGGTGGAGCTCAGGCAGTCATGTGAATGATGGACAGTGGCTGTGAATACAGATGAGGCTTGGCTCACTTGCCTGCCGCTCACCTCCTGCCGTGTGGCCCAGTTCCTAACAGGCCAGGGGGTTGGGAAGCCCTGGCTTAGCTGGTGTGGCCCTGGGCCCAGGCCTGTCATGTGGTTGCAGTCAGGACATCAGCTGGGGCTGGAAGATCTGCTTCCCAGACAGCTCACTCACATGGCTGTGGGCAGGAGGCCACAGTCCTCACTGGCTATTGGGAGGAGGCCTTAGTTCCTTGTTACACAAACCTCTTGATACTTAAATGTCCTTATGACATGTCAGTTAACTTCTCCCAGAGCAAGTGATCCAGAAGGAATGAGTGAGGAGGAAGCCACAGTGCCTTTTGTGACCTAGTCTCTGAAGTTGCTCACTGCCAATGTCACTTCATTGTATTCATTAGAAGCAAGTCACCAAGTGCAGCCAACTCTCAAGGGGAAGGAAATCTGGTTCCATCTCTCTATTTTTTTTTTTTTTTTTGAGACAAGTTCTTGTTCTGTTACCCAGGCTGGAGTCAGTGGCCCGATCATGGCTAACTGCAGCCTTGACCTCTTGGGCTCAAGCGATCCTCCCATCTCAGTCTCCGAAGTAGCTGAGACTATAGGTGTGTGCCACCATGCCCAGGTTTTTCTGTAGAGACAGAGTGTTGCCGTGTTACCCAGGCCGGTCTTGAACTCCTGGGCTCAAGTGATCCACCCACCTCAGCCTCCCAAAGTGCTGGGATTGCAGGTGTGAGCCACTGTGCCTGGCTGGCTTCATCTCTTGAAGGAAGGAATAGCAAGGATTTCTTGGACTTTTTTTTTTTTTTTTTTGAGATGGAGTCTCTCTTTGTCGTCCAGGCTGGAGTGCAGTGGTGCCATCTCGGCTCACTGCAACCTCCGCCTCCCGGGTTCAAGTGATTCTCTTGCATCAGCCTCCTGAGTAGCTGGGATTACAGGCGTGTGCTACCATGCCCAGCTAATTTTTGAATTTTTAGTAGAGATAGGGTTTCGCCATGTTGGCCAGGATGGTCTTGGTCTCTTGACCTTGTGATCTGCCTGCCTCAGCCTCCCAAAGTGCTGGGATTAGAGGTGTGAAACACTGTGCCTGGCTGGACATTTTAAAAAACCACTACAGCCACTAATGTGGTAGGGTTTAGATTTAGGGTTAGGACACTGGACACTGACCCAGCTAAGAATGAGTGGCCATTTTGCTGTTTTTCCTTGGGTGTGTAGTTTGAGGAAGGGATAATTAACAGAACAAAATGTACGCATTCCTAGGGCCTCCAGTCAAACGCCACCCACTAAATCAAAACTTCATTTAGAATACTAGTGCGAATGACTAACTCTGCCTTGGTGAGGGGGAGAGAGAGAAAACCAGGGAGGGCTTTGCGTAGGAAATAACACTGTAACATCGGGTCTTGAAAGAGGAATAGAAGTTCTTGAGGAAGACAATTCATGAGGCAAGTGGGGCAAAGTAGGAAAATACAAGCTTTGAAGTAAAAAGTGACATAAGTTCAAATTCTGGCTCAGTTACTCGCTGTGTGAGCTTTTGCAAGTCACTTCCTCTCTTTGGGGCTGTTTCCTTACCTGTAAATTAGAGATTATAAAACCACTGATGCCGCTGGGTTATTGTAAAGACTGGCAATTGTGCATATGAGGTGCTTGGCAGGCTGTGGGTATTCAATACACAGTAAGCCAAAATCCTTGTTTGCAGGCACCCATATTCAGAAGTCTGGCCCTGAAAAGGTCTGATGTGTGGGGAGCATGGATGGCAATTCTGTAGGCTCAGTCATGTTCACGGAGCTCAAGTTCTTTCCTGTCTCCTGCCTCAGCCCAGCCAAATTCACTGCAGTCATTGACTCGACCAGCCACTAATGATTAACTTACACATGGAGGAACCTGGGTTCCCGCCAGGCTCAGGCTGCAGGCACGGCTGAGGGAGCAGGTGAGGAGGGGGTGGTTTTCTCTCCCTTGTCTGCTGTCCCCAAGTCAGTTCTATGGGCAACTGACATCCATCTGAGGGAGTCTCAGAACCGCAGAGATGAGTCTTGTCTGAGTGCCCTCCTGTCAGCCCCATCGCTGCCCTGCTGGCCTGCTCTGCTGGCCCTGGTGACAGCCGCATTCTGCAGGCAGGTGTTAGGATGGAAGAGATCAATGCCTCACACATGTGGTGGGCAGGGTGGGTCATCGGAGGGCGAGTTAGGTGGTTGGAGGGGAAATTGCCTGGGTTTGCTGGGCAGGTTCTGTGCTGACTCCGTATCAGCTTCCCTCCCTGGCGTATGTGTGCAACGGTGACTCCACGGCCTGGCTGCAGGTGGTGCGGAGTTGGGCTTTTCCTCTACAGTTCATCCTGGGTCTTAGAGGGACAAAGTGGGAAGAGCTGGGAGCTGTGTTCCTTGGGCTTCATGCTACTCATGCCACGTTTTTAGGGGATTGGGGGTGTATTTCATCATTATACTCTGAACCCTCCAGAGAAATTCATTGTACGTGTTGTCTTCCTGTAAGACAAAGCAGGGAGCTCATTGGAAAGGAGAGCTAGAGACCTTAGTGAAGATCCCAGCTCTCCTTGGGTGATCTTAGGCACATTATTTTACCTCTCTGAGCCTTAGTTTCCTCATCGGTTGAAGGGGGATCCCAGGCTGCCAGGGCTGTGTAAGTTCAGATGAGCTAATGGCTGTGGATGAGTTTCAGCTGCTGTGGGGATGGGCCATGAAGGCAAGAGTGGAGGGTCTCTATGCTCACTGGACTCCTGGAAGGGTCTGAATCCTTTTTGATGGGATGGGCCCTTTCTTATCAAGGGTAGGGTCTACAGAGTCTTTGGTGCCAGCCCCTTGTTCACACAAACCCTGTGAACACAAGTCCCAGGTAGGCATGTTTTTAGAAAGAGGCTGCAATTAGAAGCCTTGAAGGCAGATGTTCTTAGAGAGTAGGACCTGGACCAGCAGCATCCACTGGGAGCTTTTCAGAAATGCAGATTCTCAGGCCCCATCCCAGACCTTGTGAATCAAGCTCAGGCATTGTGGCCAGCCCTCCCCTCCAGGTGATACTGATGTGAAATGTGAGAACTGCTACGCCTTCCACATGGTTCCCCCTCCTTCACAGCTGGGGGCTCCTCCAGGGGAGGGGGCTGCAAGGCCTGTACTGAATCTCCCTGCTACAGAGAACCCTGGGCATGATGCGGGTCTCTTTCCTCTGACTGACTGAAGACATCCTGAACCTCACCAGTGGGGTTGATGTCAGGATATTTGCATAGCTCATTAGCTCTACTCTGGGCTTCCTCTTAATTAGTTTTGCAAAAAATCTGCATTTAAAAAACCTAAACTCATCAGAGACGAAACACAGGTCCTTGCTAAGTTTGTCTTTGTGCTCGTGTGTGTACGTGTGAGCACATGAGTGTGTGCTGAGGGAGGGTGTGTTGTGGGAGTGCGAGGGGGTGTGCTTGTGCGTGTGGGTTTCAGCGACTGTGAAGGTGCCTATGTGTGAGTGCCGTGTTGTGTCTGTGCTCACACAGCCTCTTCATCTCCAGGGGTCCCCACAAGGCCGGTTACTCCTCCCTTTCTCACAAGTCACTATTTCTAATGGAGCCAAATTGCAGGGAAACATCAGGCTTTCAACCTTCCTCTGCCCTGGTGTTTTGCTTGTCTGGTGCTCATTGCTCAGCACCAGCTTGCCTAGTGTCCCCAGCTCTGGGTCTTGTGGCAAGGACAGTCCTGGTCAGCTGAGGAGCCAGGGAATAGCAGTGCCCCCACTACTGGGCCATCCTTTGGGTCCAGTCTGAGGATTTGAAGAGCCTGTCAGGTGTTGCCTTATCTGTGTGCCATCACCTCGTGCCTGGAGCCTCCACCCCTCCTTGTTCCACCTGGGGCCCCTCTGCTCCTCTGATTGGGCTGCAGATCCTCAGGCTGCCACCCCTACCCCCATCCTTACCCCTACCCCCACTCTTTGGAGAATCAGCCAGCAACAAGGCCACCTATGGGACTGGGGAGAAGTATAGTTTTGTGGTGAAGGGGTTGGGGGTGTCTAAAGATGCTTAGGCATAGAGTCTGGGGGGACTCCCCTATCACCCTGTCCCCACTCCCCTACTGCAGTCTCTGCTGGGAACAACCCTATTTGGAGCCCAGTAAATTTATGGCATAATCCCGCATGGAAATGCATGGAAATGCTGCCAATTACCATTAAGCCAAGAGAGGAGGCTGCATCCCCTGGCATGCCCTCCCCAGTTGGCTGTCTGCAGGCTCCCAGCCTTCCAGAAACCACAGGGACTAAGGAGCTAGCTGGGACGGCCTAGATTGGTGGAGTGGGACCATTTGTATAAAACTCTTTATTCATCTCACCTGGCCTTGAAGGTTTGCAGCCGGAACGGCGCCTTTGCATTAAACCTGAGCAAACCAGGGAAATGTCATTCTCTGAGTCTCAGCAAAGCCGACAGCTGATGCGATTTATCTAGCTGAGATCAGTTCATCAAATTTGGGAAGAGCTGAGCCGCTGGAAAGACGGGGGAAATCTGATACAACTGTGTCTGCTTAAAATGCAAAGGCTTGTGGAGATTTTGGAACACTGTAAGGAGAGTCTCAGTGAAGCCAGGAGGAACGTTTAGCAGGCACCGAGACGGAGGTTGGGGGAGTGCTGAGGGCGGGGGAAGTTCCTGCTCTATTGGGGAGGGTGGAGGCTAGGCGGAGGCCGTGTGCACCTGCAATCTCTGCCCTGTGCTGACCCCTGTTGTCCTAGGTCAGATCCACTCCAACGAAGAAGGAATGCCACCTATGATGCGAAGATTCAAATTGGCCTCTGGAGCTTTGGGGTGTGGGTGATGTGAAACATGGCCCCATCCTTGAAAAACTCACAGTCTAATGGGGGAGGCAGACAGAGACATGACAACTTGTAAACATAATGAAGTCTATGTCCAGGGTCCAGGGTTTATAACAGAGACTAAAGGTGCTGATAAGAGACCAAGGGCAGGAGAAGGTCAGGGTGATGCACTCAGATAGGCCTGGCTCAAAGCCTGGTCTTTCCACCTATGTACCAGCTGTGTGTCCTTGCATGAGTCACTTAACCTCTCTGAGCTTCACTTTCTCATCTGTGGAATGGGTGTAACAATTCCTGCTTCTTAGGGAGCTGGGAGGGTTGATGAGATACTGTTATGTAAAATGGTTGGCATCAGGCTTGGTGCACAGCAAGTGCTCAGTAGTGGAGCTAGCATCCCACTGCAGGATGTGGGAAGGGCTCTGGGAGGAGGTGGGGATGCCAGCTAGGCCATGAAGGATGCAAAGGACTTTAGTTTGTGGAGAGGGTGAGGGAATGCTCGTAATTATGAAGAGAGGCATAGGACCTGGCTGGCTGCTTGTCACTATCCCCACCACAGTCCTGGTAGAGGAAGAGGGAGAGGCTCTGAGGACTGGGGTGATGGGGGTGCCTATCTTAGTAGAGCAGGGCCTCTCCCCTCCCCATCAGCCCCATAAGCCCCTGGCCCCAGTAAGAGGGTGTTGTGCCCCTCCCCCCGTTAAGCCCTCCCCTCGCTCCATCTTGCTCTCCTCCCCGCATCTTGCTCCCCTCTCCATGAGGATTTATCAGTCCTCCTGCGATAGGCTTAGCGGGGACCAATTTCCTGCTATCAGTCAGAAGGGGTGGCATTTGTAGGGCAGCGCCGAGGCCTGGGAGGGGAAGGAGGGACCCACCGTGTTTTTCCTCTGTGCCTGCTTGTTCTGGGCTGCCCTCCATCCTTCAAGTCTGTCTGCTCTTCTCTCTGGCTGGGGCTCTGCTGCCAGGAGGATGAGGAGAGATGAGGGGACGAGGTGAGGTGGGGCTGGGCTAAATGGAGGGGTTGAGCCGGGGGCAGGGGTGGCAAGGCAGTGGGGGCCATCGTTCAAAAGGGCACCGACTTTTGTATAAGCAGGTGCTCCTGAAACAGGTCATTAATATTCTGGATTCCTTCAACTCTGTGGCTCTGTGTCATTCACAGCAGGAACATGGGGGCTCGTGACAGACTCCAGTCCCAATGGGAAACTGATGCAGCAGCTCGGGTCTAGGAACAGGTAAGCAGAGGCTGTGACTCAGGCCTCCTGGGCTCATGGATTTCAGGGGTCCAGGCTGTGGCAGTCCTCTCTGCCTTAACAAGAACATTATTAATTTAGAGTTCTGGGTTGGCCTCAGGACTGCAGCTGGCCATTGCCAACAGCCTCCTCCAAGAAGCTTGCCTGGATGCAACCAGGCTACCGAGGCCTCCTTTTGGGCTAGGAGTGATAACTGGGTCTGCAGGGCCTCTGCAAGTCCCTCTCTTCTTAACTAGACATGGAGCTACAATCTATTGAGCATTTATTATGTGTCAGGCCCTGGGCCAGCACTGGATGTATATTAACTCATTTAATTCTTTATCGACCTGGAAAGACAGACATGATTAAAATTACCTTAACTTTTAGGGTAGGCAGGTAGGTAGGTAACCACTCAAGGTCTTCTTTCAAATGTCATCTTCTCAGAGACTCCTTCCCCGACTGCCTATTTCTCTATCCCCTATTCCAGTCCACCCCTGGCCTTCCCCATCTCATCATTTTCTTTTATTTTCTCCTTGTTTATCATCTCCCTCCCCTACTAAAGTGTAAGCTGCATGAAGACAGAGACCTTGTCTGTCCTGTTCCCTTGTGTGTCTCAAACAACGAATGTTTGTTGAATGAATGAATGCTACGTAGCTAATATGGACAGAGCAAGGATTCCAACTGGGTTGTTCGGTTCAAAAAACACGACCTAGGCTGAGGCAGGTGGATCACCTGAGGTCAGGAGTTAGGACCAGCCTGGTCAACATGGTGAAACCCCGTCTCTACTAAAAATACAAAAATTAGCCGGGCGTGGTGGCACGTATGTATAGCCCCAGCTACTCGGGAGGCCAAGGGAGGAGAATCGCTAGAACCTGGGAGGCGGAGGTTGCAGTGAGCCAAGATCGCGCCACTGCACTCCAGCCTGGGTGACACAGCAAGACTCTGTCTCAAAAAACAAAAACAAATAAAAAACCCCACAACCTGCTTGTGGTCCCTGCAGCAACACTGACTGTCTCTGTCAAGGCTAAAGCAGTGTCCAGAGGAGGGGTCATCCCATGTAGAGGAAGCCTAGACTGGGGTCCCAGTGAATCTGTCTCAGCTCGATGGCAGCCACGGAATGAACAGTGTTAAATCTGAGATGCTAACATTCCCACCCCAGCCCCTCCTGTGGTCAGTGGATAGAGACAGAGACTAGTTTTGAGTAGCTGGGGTGGAGGTAGGGGGCTGGGAGAGGAGTGATGACTTTCTTTGCATTCAGCTGGGCTTCTTACCTCATCTGGGCCTGCTCTGGATTTGCTATCTAGACTGAGCACAGCTGGGGTAGCTGGGGGGCTCTGCACAGCTGGTGCTGCTCCTTGAGCTCAGATGTTTATTAGGATTGGGGGTTGAGGGGAGGGATTCTATTTGAGAATGACGGGGACGGGGAGAAGGGCTTTCCGGAGATGAGTGGCAGGAGAGATAAGCCTGATGTGTGACTTTCTGATGCTTGGTTGGTTTGAAAATGAGTTCTGGGCCCAGATATGGGATTGACAGGGGGATCGGAGAGGGCTGTGAGTCAGGAGACCGGGTCCTAGTGCCAGGGGAGGAGGCAGCTGGGCCCTGGGTCACCTTGGCTGGTCTGCTGGGGAAGGATGGGTTGCCAGGCTGGTGTGTTTTGGAATCAGCCTCGGTGTCTCCAAGTGCCTGGGCTTGCCTTTGCTCCTGTTCTCAAAAGAAGCCTGAGTGCTTGGAGCTCACAGACCAAGGGCCAGAAATTATACTAGTGTCAGGTGGCCAGGACTGAACATCCTCCATGTGCCTCTCCATATCCACCCTCTCCCCATCTTGTGCTGCAGAAGGCTGGTCCGTGCCCACATCTCAGGGAGCTCCTTTGTCCCTCTGCTGGTTGGCTTGGCCAATGGGAGACATGGGCAGGGAGGAGAAGGGTGACCATAGCTTTCATCCCCTCCCTCCTTCCCTGCCATGTGGTTGGGGGTTGATTGCAAGCCTCTACCGAGGCCACAGCTGCTGTCATGCAGCCCTCCCCCTATAGCTACAGTCTTCAGGTTCCCTTCCCTTTTAGGCCTGGGCTGTGACAACTCTCCACTCTTGCAGGCCCTGAGATCCTACACCACCCCTTATTGACTTTGCTTCCTGCCTATGCCTCTGTAAATAGTCTCTCTCTTTTTTTTCTTTTGAGGTAGAGTCTCACTCTGTCATCCAGGCTGGAGTGCAGTGGCCCTATTTCGGCTCACTACAACCTCCACCTCCCAGGTTCAAGTGATTCTCCTGCTCAGCCTCCCAAGTAGCTGGGATTACAAGTGTCTGCCACCATGCCCAGCTAATTTTTGCATTTTTAGTAGAGATAGGGTTTTGCCATGTTGGCCAGGCTGGTCTTGAACTCTTGACCTCAGGTGATCCACCTGCCTCGGCCTCCCAAAATGCTGGGATTACAGGTGTGAGCCACTGTGCTTGGCCTGTAAATAGTCTCTTTACTAATTTCTATTCAATTTGAATGTGACATCCCTTCCCTGCTGGGATCCTGACTAATATATCATCCTTGTTCCAAATGGTTGCACCTAAGCGTGACTGGCAGTCCCGCAGATCTGTCTCTTGCTTCAGACAACAGTATTTTCATGGAGCAGACCCGGGACTCCCCTTCTTCTAGCCTCGATTGCTCCCAATCTCCTCTTCAGTCACAACCTCTGGACCATCTTCTTGGCCACTCTCTGCTTCCTGGACCAGCCAACATTGTTTCTGTGGTGAGCTCCCAGATTCATTAGAATTATTTCACCCATGTGGAGGCTGCCAGCAACCGCCTGGTCCACCCACATCTGCAGGCTTCCCGGACCTACCTCTTTCTGGGCTTTCATTTCAATCTTGATGATGTGGCTTAGAGGGTGTGGGACAATGTCGAGTTGGTGGAGGAGAAGCCTGAGGGCTCTGAAAACTTGAAAATTTGAAATTTTCTTGGAAACGCAAAACCAGCCCTGTGGTGCCAAACCAGGACCCTGGCTGTACCCTCTTCTAGGACATGCAGAAGCTATCCCATGATGAGAGGGGTGAAACCCTGGACTGCATGGTAGATGTCCTGGCTCTGTAGAAGAACCTGAACCAGGCCCTTTTACATCTGTGTTCCCTGGGTTCTGTCCACACAGGCCCCACCTCTCCGACTTCCTGGAGAGCCAATTTCTTATCAAGAAGATGAGCAACCACCTAACCCACCTCTGCAGGCAAAAGGCTCACCCTCAAGCAGGACAGGGACCTTCTGGAGCCCAGAGGCCTTTCAGGGGCCTCTCTGCACCCCTCTGGTAGCAGGGCTTCTGCCTGAGCTGCTTCCTCCAGCCATTAGGCAGCTTTTTAGCCATCCTGGAGCCCCTCGTCCAAGGCATGGACCAAATAGAAACAATAAAGCTTTTTGCAGCAAGGAAAAAAAGTGCTCCCGTGGGTATTCCCAAAGTGCTCATCAGTACAGAGATCATGGAAACAGGTGTGTTGCCTGGATTTCCAAAGGCTGCTTTCCTGCCTATGCAGGTTGGCCCAACCTCAGGGCAAAGGGAGAGCCTCACTACTAGGGGTTAGGAGACATAGGTGGCAGATCCTCGGCCTTTCCCTTCTGTCTTCTCAAGATCAGTTTTCTCATCTATAAAATGGGGGTAATGATAAGTGTGGTGACCACTAGGTGCCTGTATATGCATGACCCCATTTGTCTTCCTTGAAGTCCTGTGAGATGGCCTCTCTTCACATCCCTAGCTGATGGGCAGGAAACAGAAGCTCAGAGAGGTGAATTGCCTGGCTCAAGTTCTCACAGTCTGAAAGTGGTAGACTGGAATTTGAACCCAGGTCTCTCTGTGCCCTACATCCCTTTGCTTTCTCTGCTCATCTTTTTGAGGCATTTGAGACAGAGGGAGGGTTCACTTCTCATTCTTTTTAATGGCTACCTATATCTCATTGGATGCACACCCCACTATTTAAGCAATCGCCTATGGATGGACATTGAGGTTTTTCTTATTTAAAAAATTCTTTCCGATAATGATACTAGGAGTAATTTTGCACACTCACCAATTCACACACGTGCATGCATATCTTTTTGTGTAATTCCTAGAAGTGTAATTGCTATGGCAAAGGGTATATTGATAGATGTTACCAAATTGCCTATCTTTCCATAGAGATTGCACAGGCAGCAATGTGAGATGGCAACTTCCTCTCATCTTCACCAACACAGTATGTTAGTAAGCTTTTTGATCTTTGCCAGTCTGATTGGTAAAAGGTGTATCAGGTGATTTTATTTCACATTTTTCTTAGAGGTGAGGTTGAGCATCTTTTCAAATGTTCAAGACCTATCTATTTTCTTTGCTGGGAACTATTTTCATATCTTTGTTCATTTTTTCTACTGTGTTACTGGTCTTTTTCTCAATAGAATTGTAAGACGTTTTTACACAAGTGGGAAATGAACCCTTTATCTGTGATAAGCACCAGATATTTCTCTTGGTTTGTTGTCTTTTGACTTTGCTAATGGTGATTTCTGCCATGAGGAGATTTTCTATTTTTATATATACACATTTAGCAGCGCTTTTATTTTTTTGGCTTCTGGGTGTCTTGTCAAAGGCCTTCTCACATGAAGATTATTTTTAAAAACTTCCTCATGGTTTCTTCTAGGCTGCTTATTACTTCATTTAAAAATATTTAGGCCGGGCGCGGTGGCTCACGCCTGTAATCCCAGCACTTTGGAAGGCCGAGGCGGGTGGATCATGAGGTCAGGAGATCGAGACCATCCTGGCTAACAAGGTGAAACCCCGTCTCTACTAAAAATACAAAAAATTAGCAGGGCGCGGTGGCGGGCGCCTGTAGTCCCAGCTACTCGGGAGGCTGAGGCAGGAGAATGGCGCGAACCCGGGAGGCGGAGCTTGCAGTGAGCCAAGATTGCGCCACTGCAGTCCGCAGTCCGGCCTGGGCGACAGAGCGAGACTCCGTCTCAAAAAAAAAAAAAAAAAAAAAAATATATATATATATATATATGTGTATATATATATATATATACACATATATATATATACATATATATATTTAAATCCTTGAATTTAAACAAATTCATCTGGCATTTATCTTGGTATAAAGGGTGAGAAATGGACCTAATTTTAATTTTTTTGTCAATGGCTGCCCCGTTGTCCTAATAACATGATTGAATAGTTCATCTTCTCTTCAATGACCTGCCCCCTCCAACAGCTGTATTGAGGTATAATTGACAAATAAAAATTGTTTGATTTATGGTGTATGTTTTGATATGTTTCAAAATGACTGAATCAGACTAATAAACATATCCATCACCTCACTTTTTTGGTGGTGAGAGCTCTTAAGCACTAATCTCTTAGCAATTTTCGAGTATACAATAGCACACAATACATTGTTAAATATATAGCTACCATGCTACACAGTCTATCTCCAGAACTCATTCATCCTATTTCATTGAAACTTGGTACTCTTTAATCAACATCTCCCAATTCCTCCCTCTCCCTACCCAAACCTTGGCAACCACCATTCCACAATCTGCTCCTATGAGTTAAACTTTTTTAGATTTCACATACAAATGAGATCATGCAGTATTTGTCTTTTTTGTGCTTGACTTATTTCATTTAGCATAATGTCCTCCAGGTACAACCACATTACCAAAAATGTCAGGATTGCCTTCTTTTTTAATGGCTGACTAGTATTCTATTGCATACAGATACCACATTTTCTTATTTATTTATTTATTTTTTTGAGACGAAGTCTCGGTCTGTCGCCAGGCTGGAGTGCATTGGCACAATCTCGGCTCACTGCAACCTCTGCCTCCTGGGTTCAAGCGATACTCCTGTCTCAGCCTCCTGAGTAGCTGGGATTACAGGTGTGTGCCACCACACCCAGCTAACTTTTTGTATTTTTAGTAGAGATGAGGTTTCACCATGTTGGCCAAGCTGGTCTCGAACTCCTGACCTCAAGTGATCTGGCCACCCTGGCCTCTCAAAGTGCTGGGATTACAGGCGTGAGCCACTGCGCCCCGCCCAGATACCACATTTTCTTTATTCATTCATCTGTTGATGAACACTTATATGGATTCTATATCTTGGCTATTGCAATAATGCTGCAATGAACATGGGAGTGCAGATGTCGCTTCAAGATCCTGATTTCAATTCCTTTGGATAGATCCAAATTTCTTTGAAATTGCTAGATCCTATGTAATTCTATTTTTAATTTTTTGAGGAACCTCTATGCTGTTTTCCGTAATGAATGGCTATGCCAATTTGCATTCTCACCAATAGTGTACAAGGGTTACCTTTTCTCCACATCCTTGCCAACACTTGTTACTTTTGTCTTTTTGATAACAGTCATCCTAACAGATGTAAAGTGATATCTCATTATGGTTTTAATTTGCATTTCCCTGATGATTAGTGATGTTGAGAATTTTTTCATATACCCATTGACCATTTGTATATCTTCTTTTGATCCTTAATGATTTTGAATGCTCACATTTTAAAATTTTTCTGTGCTTTTTGTTTTGTTCCATTGACATATTTGTCTGCTCACAACTTACTACCATACTATTCAAATTATTGCAGATCTATAATAAGTTTAAATATCTGATAGGGCTAGTCTCCCCTCTCATTACTTTTCAGAATTTTCCTGGCTATTTTTTCATTTTCTTGTTTTTAAATATGAACTTCAAACTTACCTGATTACACATAACATTCTTATTGGGGATGAGTGCAGTGGCTCACATCTATAATCCCAACATTCGTGAGGCTGAGGTGGGAGGATCACTTGAGCCTAGGAGTTCGAGACCAGCGTGGGCAACATAGTGAGATCCCATCTCTACAAAAAAAAATTAGCCAGGCATAGTGGTGCAAGACTGTGGTCCCAGCTACCCAGGAGGCTGAAGTGGAAGGATTGCTTGAACCCAGAATTTTGAGGCTGAAGTGAGCCATGATCATCACTGCACTCCAGCCGGGGTGACAGAGCAAGACCTTGTCTCAAAAAAAAAAAAAATTCCTTTTGGTATTTTTACTGGAAAATGTAAGTGTCATAGAATAAGAGAATGCTGATACAACTTCATGATGTTGATTAGTCCTATCTAAGAATGCGATATGCCTTTCCATTTACTCAAGTCATCTTTTGGGTTCCTCAGCAGCATTTTAGGGTTTTTAAAAAATATTTTGTATACTCCTAGGCATTTTATCTTTCTCATCATCTGTTCTTCCAACATATGCCCCAACTGGTTGCCACTGTAAAATATGAAGGCCATTGATTTTTGCATACTAATTTTATAGCTGGTCACATCATTGAATTATCTTATTTTTGATAATAGTTTTTAGTTGATTCTCTTTGGTGTACAAGGTATACAGTCATATCTTCTGCAATCAATAATTTTAATTTCCCTTCTCAATTTTTATATAGTTAAATTATTTTTTCTTACTTTATTGCAGCAGCTGGTACCTACAGAACAAAGCAATGTAATAATGAAAATATTGGATGTCCCAGTCTTGTTCCCGACTTTAATGGGAATGCTTTTAGTATTTCCTCATTAGGAGTTAAGATGGATATATTTTATCATGCTAAGAAGTAGCTGTTCTTATTTCATAAGAGTTTAAAGAAATTAAGAATGATTGCTGATTTATGCAGATAATCTATGCTTAAATCCTCTAATATGGTAAATTAATAGATTTTCTGACACTAACCTCCTAGCATTTCTTAAACTCCACTTGACAGATATATTATTTTTTTTCTGCGCTGCCAGATTCTGTATGCTACTGTTTTACTTAGAGTTTTTGCAGTGAAATTTATAAGTGAGATTGTTCTTTTGTGTGTGTGTGTGTGTGTATGTGTATGTATATGTATGTGTGTGTATGTATGCGTGTGTGTGTGCGTGTTTGTATGTGTGTATATATGTGTATGTGTGTGTATGTGTATGTGTGTGTGCATGTGTGTGTGTGTGTGCGCGCACATTCTTTCAGTTGGGTATTAGTATTAATGTTACACTAGCTTCATAAAAAATCTAGAAACTTTCCTTCTTTTTCTGTGCCCTGTAACAGTTTAAATAGCACTAGAGAGATCCATCCCTTAAAGATTTGGTTGAATTCCAGGGTGCCGACCTCAACCTGCTGCTGGTACCTGGGAAGTGGGTCTCGATGACTCAGATAATTCTGTGACCTGTGCAGTTGGTCCAGCAGGACAGTTTCAGGGTGCTGACCAATTTCAGAGGTGCAGACTCCCAGGTCCTCTCTCCCACCATCTTGGATCTCCATGCTGGGCGGGCCTACAAACATTCCAAATGAAAAGGGCACAGTGAAGCTGGGTGGGCAGACACAACCCAGGGCAAATAGGGCTGGATTTGGAGGAGAGCATTTCCTCGGGCTGGCCTTAGGTGTATGGTAGACTGCTGAGGTTGGGCTGGGCTCTGAGCACCCTTTACCTACCTTCCCTCTCTGGGTAGTTGGGTCTGCCCAACCCACCATCTACAATGGTAGCCTGCTGTTCTCTCTGTCTTTGGGTCTCCAGGTGGTCATGAGGCCTCTGCCTTTTCACGGTCATTTTACCATCTGCTGTGGCACTTTGTGACCAGTGACCAGCCACACGTGGGCAGCCTCCAATCATTTCTGTGTCTTGGCCAAGGATGCTTCTTGCCGACACTCCTAAACAGTACGTTATAAGCTGCAGGTACTTCTCCCCACCTCCTCCCCGCCCTCCCTGCTGCTCCCACCCCTTTAGGCCTGCTGGCACAGCTTAATTTCCAGCCCTGGTATTTCTTCCTAGCCCGTGACAACCTCAGGTGGAAGCAATTTCACCGTCTTGTAACTCACCAGGTCATTATAATTAGTATCCGGGCACCCAGGGCGAGGGCGGAAGGAAGGAAAGGAAGAGTTGATCCAGCCAGGCGGAGAGCAGCCTTTGTAGGGCTGGGGGCTGGGCACCACTTTCTCCAGCTCCAGCTTGTAACTCAGATTTTCTCAGGGCTCTGATTCCACCAGCACCCACCTCCCCTCTGTGTGTGTCGGGTGGGAATGGATGAGGAATCAGGACTCTCTGGCCTGAATGAGGGACCCAAGAGCCTACACCTGAGGCTGGGGTGGGATAAGGGGCCCTGAAAGGAGAGGGCACAATACTTCCCACCTCCCCCTGCCCTAAAGGACCCAGTATTCCACCATGCCACCCCTCCCTGCCTCTGGGTCCTTCAGAACCAAAGCCTACCAGAACTGGTGATGGTGGCAGTGGGGTAGACATGGGTATAGCCCAAGGCACTGCCAAGAGTCTGTGTGACTCCCAGAGAAGCTCACAGGGTGAGGAAATATGACTTATCAGGCCACAAAATTTCTCATGTTGGTGAGGGTTTTTTGGTTGCAACAGAAATGGACATAAGCAAGAAAGAGGGTTTATGGTCAGGATGTTGGGCTGTTTGTCTCAAAGTTAAGAGGAGATCAACCAGCTTGGGAAGAGTCAGGACTGAGGTAGCCCCAAGGAACCCAGAAATAGAAAAGGGTGGGTCTTCAGCTTATGCAGCTAGTGGGAATCAGTTCCCATAACACCCAGTCTCTGCGTTTCCAAGTGAAAAGTTCAAATTCCTCATAGAGACCCATTTATTCATTCAATATTCATTGAACCCTCTGGGGCTGAGGGTCCATTTGACCAACTGCAGAGGTCACAGAATCAGTAGTGAGAATCAGTTCCCATAACCCTAAGTCTCTGTGTTTTCAAGTGAAAAGTTCCAAATTTCTCATAGAGACCCATTTATTCGTTCATTTGTTCATTAAATATTCATTGAGCCCCTACTGTGTGGTAGGCAGAATTCTGGGCACTAAGGATACAGCAGTGATCCAAGGAGACAAAAATACTTCTTTTGCATCCTACGTTGTAGTGGGGGCAGAATCTGATTGGCTCGGTTTGGGTTAGGTGTCCACCTCTAAGCCAGTTGGCTGTGGTCAGGTGGGGTTCATGACCTGGGAGTGGATTCCACTACAATGATCAAATAGCTTTTTAAGACACAGATCAGCTCTTGATTGACACTGCAGAAAGCAGGCAGTGGGCTTCTGAGAAACAAGGCATGGTTGAGTCCATTCAGTCACCGAGACAGCAAGCATTTGCTCTGGGCAGCCTGGGTGTTCCCCAGGAGCAGCTTGTTCATCCCGTGTACCTCAGGCTCTCTGGATCCTCCACTTCCAAGCAGGAGGAGTGGGGCTGGGGAAGGTCCTCCCACACCATCAGTTTTCTCCCTGCACCAGACCTGCCTCTCCAGGACCTGTGGGAGAGGGTTGGACTTCTCCCCCTTCCGGTGTCCTCTGTACCTGCCCTGACTGGAAGGTTCCACAGACAGGGATCAGGCTTGCTCTTTCTGCTGTCCGCCACGGCAAGAGCCAGCCCAGGGGCAGTCGTGGTGAGGGTTGTGACGTGTCTGTTCCCCACACTCCATCTCTGACCATCCCATACCCCTAGGGACCCAATCTGTTTAGTTCACTGGCCCTCCCCTGATTCTGCAGCTCAGAAAGGAGGCTCACAGGTCCTTTGCTCCCCCTTCTCTTCCAAACCCTGGGTTTTCCTGCCTGAGCCTTGGGAGCCTTGGCTTAGCTGTGCCTGGTTTCAGCAGAAAGTGCCTGGGATGGCTGTGTGGACTCTCCAGGAAATTCCCGAATCAATCACTGGGGGCTTCCCACTTCAGACCCAGTCTGTAAGGTCCAGGGCCACCAACCCTCCTGGTCTGGAGCCTTGTAAGGGGACCGTTGATAACAATACCATTATTCTCCTTAGCTGGGGGCAGGCTGAACCCTCACTGAAGCAGGCTTGCCATTAGAACCCTGCAGAAACAAAGTAATAGCCTGCACAGAAAGCCATTTGTAATGTTGCTATAATTCCCATGATTCATTAAACAGGAATGGAAAATGATAACATTTCCCCTGGAAAAAAACTCCTCCTGGAGTCGCATGCTGGGTTCGCTTGGCTCAACTATTTTATTGACTAAGCATCTTGTTGTGCTGATGTGAAGAGCACACAGGCCCAGCACCATCTAGTTTTACATTCCCTGAAATGGAAACAGGGGAGGGGGTCCTGCCAGGGCCTGGAATTGACCTTGGAAATGGAACCTCTACACTGTTTGGGTGGCCATCTGGTATCCCCTGCAGGCCTGGACTTTCTGGGGCCGAGGGTCCATTTGACCAACGCCCCTTCAGCATCCTCTCCTCCAGGAGGGGTGCAGCATGGGAGGGTTGGGTCTGCCTGTGTCAGAGCTCTAAGCTGGCATTGCTCAGCCCCGTGGGATGCCTGCCTTGGGAAATGCCATGCAGTTTCCCAGCCATCCTACACACGTGACCTGTGATGCCCAATGGCTCCCTCATCTCCTCCTTTTCCTTTAAATGGTCTCAGACCACCAGGCCCTCCAGAGTCCCCGACAGAGAGGCCTCTGACACCCAGCTTGCTTCTGGCTCCTCTTCTCCCTCCGCTACTGCTGCCCTAGTTGAGGCCTTACCATCTCCTGCCCACCCAGCCATGCCATGCTCTGCTACTCAGCTGCTGTCCCCAGTCTCCCCAGTGAGGCCTCTATACAGTGGCCAGAGCGATTGTTCTAAAAAGCAAATATGACCATGTTTACCATCTTGCTTAGAAGCTTGGCGGGCTCCCCACTCTCCCATGGGCTCTATCCAGAATGCATTGTGTGGCATTCAGGTTTGTTTCCAAATTGGCCTCAGTTGACCTTTCCAGCATTATCTCCAGCCACTTCCCACCCTTGCCCCACCATGCTCTCCAGGCTTTAGCAAGCCCTCATGGTCACATGGGGCCCCCAGGCCACATCATATGTGTTCGGGCCTTTTCTTTGCTATTCCCTCAGCCTAAAATGCTCTTGCCTTCCTTCGTTTCTTGGGAAATCCTGGCTTCCTCCTGGAACAAGCTGCTCCTGTAACTTTCCCATCACAGTTAATGGTGCTGCTCCCTTCTGGTTGTTCAGCTCCAAACCTTGGTGTCATCCCTTTCTCCTTTCTCTCAGCCTCTGGGTCCCTGTGTCTGACCTGTCACCAAATCCTGCTGGCTCTAACTTCTAAAGATAGCAAGACTGTGACTGTTTCCCAGCACCAACTTCCTGGGGTGTGCCTGGATTCTTGTGGCCAATACAGAGTACAATGCAGGTACATTGCCGCTGTGGGCACTTGGAGCTTAATTCTGCTGGACACAATGTAGAACATGTCTTGAAATTGTCCCAATCAAGGGGCGAAGAAACTGGGGTGTTTGTTCACCAGCTCACATCAGTCATTGGCCATCACTCACTTTGAGCACTTCCACCCGGCCCTGTGTATGGTTGGAGCATCCACCAGCCAGCTGGTCACTGGGGTTGCAGTGAGCTGGGGGAACATGGACAGGGCCCTGGCCACATCTGCTCTATTGCAGGATAGGTCCCGTCTGCCTCTGGCATTTCTTCTCTGGGCGCTCGTGTCCTGATGCGTGCATCCCCTGGCCTCTCTGTCACCCCCATCGCATTGGCTCCACTCCCGCAGCTCTTCTCCCCTCTCTCTGGCCTGCTCCCTGCACAACCCAGTGTTGCCGTCCCTGATCTCTCCCATCCAGCTCCCCAGCAAGTTTTCCAGCTCCTGTCTCTGCTTGCTCCAGGCCATCTCTTTCCCCTCATGCTGCCAGCACAGGCTTTCAAAACTCCCCTGTTGCAGCACTTCTCATGCTGCACAAGTGTTGTCAGGTTGACGCGACCTGCTCACCAGTTGATGTCCTCTGTAGTCTGAGCTCAGGAGGGTGAGATCTGAGGATCCTGCCCGAGTCACTTAGTAGGTGCTCAGTAAATGTTGATTGCACTGAACTGGCAATGCAAATTCAATCATGTCTCTCCCCAGCTTA
Source organism: Homo sapiens (assembly GCF_000001405.40). Taxonomy (NCBI): domain Eukaryota; kingdom Metazoa; phylum Chordata; class Mammalia; order Primates; family Hominidae; genus Homo; species Homo sapiens. The sequence continues at coordinate 36,640,434 of NC_000001.11, forward strand.
ATAGCCTTCACTGGCTCCCCAGTGTCTCTAGTGGAGAGCCCAAACTCCTCAGTCTGATGTACAAGGTCCAGCATTGCCTGTCCCTGCTGACCTCTCCAGATTCGGGTTCCAGAATGTTCTCTCCCAGGCCTCCATCTGCCCATGCAGGAGCCTCGTGCATTCCTTCCTTTCCTTGATTCTAACAGGGTAACAGACTCAGGGTCTGCAGGGGTGAAGCAGGCTGGGTGTATGGCAGCAGGGAGTGGCGGTGACTACAGCGAACTATTGAGAGCTCATGTCCCACCTACCAACATTTATGTTCCAATGCTTAGAGAACTTGGTGCCTGTCAACCCAGCCAGGCTCTGCCCATGCAGCCTGTTTGTTGGCAGTACCCTCCTCCTGCCTTCCTCTTGTGAAATCTGGCTCCCCCTTCAGAGTCCAGTTCCAATATCACCACCTCCATGAAGTCTGCAAGGATTTTCCAGCTGGAAGGACTCTGTCTACTCTGTGCTGTCACTACCTTTGGAATGTCTAGTAGACTATGTGTGTTCCTTTTTAAAAAATTGAGCACTTATCCTGTATAAAGCCTCATCCAGGGGACTTCTACGTACTTTATCTCATTTAATATATGTTTTTCATTTAATATTTTTGTGACTGAGAAATTCAACACATACACAAAAAATACCTAATATGTAAATGTACAATATAACAAGTAATGATAATGAAACTCTCCATGTAAACACCACCCAGGTCAAGAAATAGAACTTGGCCTGGTATGGTGGTTCACACCTGTAATCCCAGCACTTTGGGAGGCCTAAATGGGAGGATCACTTGAGGTCAGGAGTTCAAGAACAGTCTGGCCAACATGGCGAAACCCCATCTCTACAGAAAATAAAAAATTAGCCAGTCGTGGTGGCACATGCCTGTAGTCCCAGCTTACTTGGGAGGCTGAGGCAGGAGAATTGCTTGAACCCTGGAGGTGGAGGTTGCAGTGAGCTGAGATCGCACCACTGCACTCCAGCCTGGGCAATAGAGCAAGACTCTCAAAGAAAAAAAAATAAAAGAACTTATTTGATTGATGAGGAAACATGGGCCCCAGACAGGTGAAGTGATTGCCCCTGGTTACACAGCCAATTAGAGGGAGAACTGGGATTTGACCTTGAGGATGTCTGGCCCAGGTGCATGATTTCATCACATCACAGCTATCTCACTCATGACTACAGTGCCAGATTTAGCAAATAAAAATACAGGATGCTCAGTTTAATGTGAAGTTTAGATACATACTGAATAACTTTTTAGCATAATTATATCCCAAATACTGCATGGGGCATACTTATCCCAGAAAGTTATTTGTTGTTTATCTGAAATTCCAATTTAACTGAATGTCCTGTGTTTTAACTGTCCACCTTATGGCTCACATTGCTTGGTCTTTCTTGTGTGGTGGTCATTTGAGTCTGTGCCTGTCCTTTCTCTCCTGAGGCTCTTACAGGGCAGACCTGTCTTGTTTATGTCTGAGTTCCCCATGTACACCACAGGACAGGCTCAGGGCATTCTCAGTAAATGCTGCTTGTATGGATATGACACAGATTCTTATCTCTAAGCAAGACTCTGGGCAGTTTCTGTTGAACTTGGCCCTGCCTTCTTCCTTCACAGATCTTGGATGTTTTAGAGAAAGGAGATGAGGCTGGGTGCAGTGGCTCACACCTGTAATCTCAGCACTTTGGGAGGCTGAGGCGGGCAGATCCCTTGAGCCCTGAAGTTCGAGACCAGCCTGGGCAACATAGCGAGACCTGATCTCTACAAAAAATATGAAAAATTAGCCGGGAGTGGTAGTGCATGCCTGTAGTCCCTCAGGAGGCTGAGGTGGGAGGATTGCTTGAGCCGGGGAGTTAGAGGCTGCAGTGAACTGTGATTGTGCCACTGCACTCCAGCCTGAGCAACAGAGCAAGATCCTGTCTCAAAATTAAATTAAATCAAATTAAATTCAATTAAAAAAGAGAAAGGAGATGAAAAGCAGTTGAGTCTCTCCGTCTCTTCCACTTTGACCCCTGTCCTAGCCGTGGCTGTCTGTTCCTGAGACTCAAGCTCACTCTCTGAGGACCAGCTGGGGTGGCGGGATCTGGGGTTCCTGATCTGAATGTGGCCCTCTACCCCAGGAGCATTGAGGGTCTTAGAGGTGAGGAGTATTGTTCCCATTACGTAGATGAGAAAACTGAGGCTCAGCAGGGTGAAGTGGTTTGCCAGAGCTGGTTTGTTTGTATTTATTTATATTTGAATGGGATTTTCACAGCTCGGTGGAAGTAGGATTTAGTTCCAGGTCTTTCTGACTCTTGTTCTGTCCAGCTCCCTCTCCTGCCCCATGACTGTGGATTCCCAGTCTCCATATCTCTTCCTGGAGAGAGAAATGAGTCTTGGGCTGGTGGTGCTTGGGATAGGGAAAGTTGGAGGCTGTTCCCACAGACTTCAGTGGGGAGGGTCTAGGGACACTGGGCTGCTCTCAGTCACAGACACTCCTGGGTAGGAACTCCAGGGGCCTAACTGCCCCCACCCATGCGCTTCGGGGTAGGCAAGGGGGTGGGCTGGCTAGGGGCTGGCTTCTTTGCTGTTGATGTTTCAGGGCAGACCCCAGGCTCAGATTGTTGTCATTGCTTCAGTCTTATTTCACCTCATTAACAAAAAAAACCAAGTCATTGATCAGCTTCCACTTACTGTGTAGCTGGGCCAATTGCAACCAAGTCATTGCTGTTTGGCTTTGCAGCTCTGCTAGCTCTGCTAGCAGCCTCAGGGCCCTCTGTCTGCTTCCTAGGATATGCTCAGGGCCTTGGCCATGCACCAGCCCCAGCCCTGGTGTCAATCTCAGTCCCAGTTCCAAAGTCAGCTCAACCCAGTTCCATCCCCAGCCCCAGGCCCAGTCCATCTCTAGCCTCCAGGGGTCTGATGGCTCCGGGATCTCTGGCCACAGTAGCCCAAGAACCTTAGGCTCACTTTCTCTGGGTTCATCTGAGGACTCACTCTGCCTCCTCAGTCCCACCACACAGCAGCCAAGTCTGCAAACAGGAGACTGCTGACTGCTGTGTCATCCCTGCAAGGGTCTGTCTGTGCACCCTGAGGCCGCTTCCAGCTAGCTCTGCCAGGGTGCTTTCAGATTCCCAGCCTTCTCTGCAGGCGGAGGGGCTGGAGCTGGTCCGGGCATCCTCCTGGTGTGAAGGTCACCTCTCATCCGCAGCAGGCTGCCTTGTGATATTGCCCTGACGACCAGGGCAGCACTGGTGCCTGGGTGGTGTGTGGGTGTGGATGCGAAGACCTGAATGTGTGCACGTCTATGTCGTGTCTGCATGTGCTTCTGCACCTGCACTGCTCAGCGCACACCTGGGTTCCTATCTACTCCTGAGTCCCAGACATAGGAGGGACACACACAGTCTCTGGGGAGACTGGAGTGTACCCAGAGAAGAGGTGGGAGGGAGCAGAGAGGGAAGATGCTGGGCACCGTGGAGGGCAGGCTCCATGGTCGCTGAGCTGTACCAGCTCTGGGTACAGAGGGCAGTTCTCTTTACCCAGCTCAGGGTTGTGGGCGGAGATGAAGTGTGTCCTGGGCTAAGACCACTGTGGCCTCCCATCTTGAGCTGTTCCCTGGTAACCAGAAGCCGTGAAATGAGGTGTTTCAGTTCCCTGAGCCAGAAATGGGCAAACCACAGGGAGGGTGATTTGCTTTTCAGATACAGCTGTTCTGGCCACAGGCTATGCACCTGAGCAGCCACTGCTCCCCACCCTATCCAAAATGCTGGCTGGCCTGAGCCAGGGAGGCCTGGGCAGGCTTGGGCACACAGCCCCCTGCTCATCCCTAAGCCCTGGGAAAAATGAGGACAGGTACACCATCCCATCCCCCAGCTCCCACAGACCTGAGGACCCTGTGGCCTCCCACGACCTGGGCAGCCCCAACCTCAGGGCATCAGCATGTCACTTCTACTCACTCAGACAATGGGTATTTATTAAGCACTTCCTTTGATTTAGGTCTTTTTCTGGGTGCTGGGGAACATAGCATATAAAAACCCTTGTACTCCTAGAGCCATCATTCTGGGAGGCGGGGGAGATGGACTACAAAAATTAATAAGTGAAATAGAGAATATGTGAGACGTGACAAGTTTCAGGAAGAAAAATGAAGCTGGGATGCAGGGTAGGGAGTGTTAAGTGTTGCAACTTTAATTAGCAAGGCCCAGGGAAGAGATGTGAGCCAGGACTCAAAGGAGACACGAGAGGGAGTTGTGCAGGTTCCTAGGGGAGGAGAGGGCTAGGCGGGTGCTGGCTGATTCCCCTGGCTTGAGGGCACATGGTGAGGTGAGACTCCTCTGTTGGGGGTTTAGAGCTGGAGAGTGAGTGATAAAATCAAAGACCGACAGATTCATCATCTCACAACCATGTACTGAGCGATGTTACCCGCCATGATCTTTTCCAAACATCTCCGCAATGCTGTCTCAAGAATTTCATGATAACCCTGGGAGGTCCGGAGTAGGATTATTCCAATTGAATAGAAGAGGGAACTGAGGCTCGAGGAGGTCACATGTCTGTTCAAGGTGACAGACTGAGCCTTGATTGGAATCCAGATGGGTCAGACCCCTAATCCTATGCTCTTAATACATCATAGTCTCTTGAAAATGAGAATAAAAGAGCTACCATTTCTTACACCTAGCCCCACTTTGGGGAGATTTGAATTTAGTCACCCATGGTTTCCTCTGGAAGGTAACCCCTAGAGTAGAACTTTCTGGGTGCTTGCTTCTTCCTGAATTTTCCCTTTCTCTCCACATTTAGGGGTTCTTTTTTTCCCATGGACCATGCACACTTGGGCTGCTTGGAGTCTCTGTGGGTCCACACCAAAGTCTGCCTACCATCTTGCTTCCCCCAAGAAGTCTTTCCTGATTGAGCCTTTGATACCTGGTGGCTGCCTGTCTCTCTGCCCAGTCCTGACATCAAATAGCTCCCTGGCCCTATTTTGCTACTTGCCTCCTGTAATGGGCTGAACTGTGGCCTCTTCCCAACCAAATTCACATGTTGAAGTCCTAACTGCAGAATGTGACTGTATTTGGGGATAGGGTCTTCAAAGTGATTATTATGGTAAAATGAGCTCATTAGGCTGGGCCCTAATCCAGTATGACTGGAGACCCTATAAGAAGGGAAGATTAGAATGCAGACACCTACAAAGGGAAGGCCTTGTAAAGACACAGGGAGAAGATGGCTCTCTACAAGCCAGGGAGACTGGCCTCAGAAGAAGTCAGCCCTACCCACACCTTGATCTTGGACTTTCATCCTCCGGAACTGTGAGAAAATAAATGTCTGTTCTGTTGTTTAAGTCTGTGATACTGTGTTATGGTAGCCCTAGCAAACGAAGACACTGCCTTCTCCCTTTCTCAAACCCCTGCTCTGGATGGGAGGGCAATGCCTCCTGGGCTACCTCCCCGATGCTAGGATCACAGCAAACCCCTACCTCTGTGTTATCGGCCCTGGTCCCAGGGAATAGAGGTCAAGGCTTGCTGACATCCCATCCACCGACAGCCCGTCAAAGTAGCATTCCCCCAGCTGACACTCCAATATGCAGCTCTTCCACCACACTGCCCTTCTGACACACAGGCGTTCTGCCACCCTGTCATTCTGATGTGCTAGCCATCTGCCTCGCTAACATTTTGCCACAGCAAAATTCCACGGAACTGACATGGAGAAACAGACTTTGGCCGCAGCTGCATCCTGCCACGCTGCGTCTTGCCCCCTGGATGCTCTTGGGGCTTGAATATACTGACCCCTCCACATGCTGACCTTCCTGTTGGAACGTCAGGGTTGGTCAACCCTTCAATTTCACTGACTAATGAGCATATTGTTCATCTCTCTTTCTCCGTGTGTCACTAACATGTTCCAGCCGCCTGCCCACCACCCCATAATCCGTTCTGCTTGTCCTCACTGTAGCCCTCTGCACAGACCTTGCCCCATCCTGCTCCCATCCCCTCAGGCCATGTCCCCACTCCCTCCCCCTAAGTGCCCCCATGAGGCCCCAGTACACTAGACAGGCCTCAGGCTGCTCACACCACCTTCTGGGGAAGCGTTCGCCCCCATCGCCTGCTGGGCATGCAGAGGGCCACAGGAGCTGCCCCAGCTCACAACCAGCCATAAATGGGCACTTTATGTAAGACAGGCCTTTCCATAGTTTGGTCATGACCCATTGAATTGCTTTTAGTCACAATGCTTCTGACACCAAATGCGTGGTGTCTTCCAACACCAGTAATTGTTTCTCTGATTCTCTGGGCACCAACTGGGTGTCTAACAATTTAATTCAATTCTGACAGTATCTACCAGGAGTTAATGTCAGACCCCACAGGTTAAAGGACTCCTTCCTACAAGACTGCCCCACTTCAGATGCCAGTTGCAAGTTCTGGTCCTCCTGTACTTCTTACTGACTGGCTATAAATTGGGGGTTCCTTTGACCTCCACCTCAGGTTTGATCCCTTGCCAGCATGGCTCACAGAACTCAGAAAGGCATTTTACTTATGTTTACCAGCTTATGATAGAGGATACAACTCAGGATACAGCATCCGCATGGAAAAGATGCATGGGGCAAGGTATGGAGGAAATGAGCGTGGAGCTTCCATGTCCTCTCCGGTGTGCCACTGTCCTGGCATCTCCCAGCAACCTGGGGTTCTCCAAACCCAGTCATCTAGGGGTTTCTATGGAGGTATAATTAGGTCGGCATGATTGATTAAATCATGGCAGTTGGTGATTAAACTCCCCTTCCCAGAGTTCGGGGGTGGGGCTGAAATTTCCAACTTTCTAATTATGCCTTGGTCTTTCTGGGGACCAGCCCCTTTCTGAAGCTAGCTAGGGGTCTCCAGCCACCAGTCATCTAATTAGCATACAAAAGACACTCCTTTCACTCTGGAGATTCCAAGGCTTTTGGGAGCTGTGTGCCAGGAGCTGTGACAAAGACCCAAGTATTTGTTTTGGTATCAAATCCATCACTTGTGTAATTTCAACAAATCCCCTTTTCCCTGAAGTAAGGAATGAGTCTGTCTGCAGCCACGGAAAGACCCCCAGCTAGTCTCCTTCTTATACTGACTTTAGTGTCTCTTTTAGCCTTTTCTCGCTGCCCCATATCTACCCCCTGCAACCCTGGAATCCTGGATTTTAAACTCAGCTATCTGTGTATTAGCTGTGTGACCTTGGGCCAGTTCCATTGCCAATCTGAGTTTCAGTTTCCTCATCTGCAAAACAGGGACAGGAATAGCAGTATCCACCCCACAGGGTTGCTGTGAGACCCCAGTAGGCTCAGAAGGATGGAGTCACATGGTCCAGGCCACACAGAGAGGGCAAGAGATCTGCAATTCAAACCCATGCCTGTGTGACTGCAGAGTTCATGCCCAATGAACTCTACCTTCACCCTGAGCTGCTCCATTTTCAAGGTTTGGGGTTCTATAACCCCCCTTTCTGAGCAGAGCTTGTCTCTTACCCTCTCACTTCCTAGAGATGTCTCTTGGGGGCCTACAGTCATTGAATGTGCCCCCTGCCCCTAATCAGGGTCCATCAGACCAGGTGTTTGTCTCAAGATTGGCCACATCGTTATCTCCCACACCCTAGGACCCCTTGTCTGTTACCTTTCTGTCCCTGGGCCAACCTGAGGAAGACCTGGAACTGGTGAATGAGTACTGAACTTAGAGTCAGGTTCAGGGATTCAGGGCTGCATGGCCTTGGGCAGCTTGCCTAATGTTTCCGGGCATTTGTAGGTGTGGCTGATCATGCCTCCCATGCATTAGATGAGATAAGGGGTAGAAGATACTTTACAGACTTCAAAGTGCATGCAGGGGCTGCTGTGCATCCCACACAGTCACATGCTCCACTTTGAGCTGGGTTAGGGCCTGGACCCCTGAACTGCTCAGGGATCCATCACTCATCTATGAGGAACTCCTTCTCAGAGGGGAAGTGGTTTCATGTCGCTGGATCAGGGGCTCCCAGGGGATAGGCTATGTCTGAGCTATCCTGTATCCAGCCTCATTCTGCACAGGGTCTGACATGGGTCAGAGTAGTGTTTGTGGGTTTGAGTTTCAGCTCTGCCACCAACTTTACAACCTTGGACAAATCATATCACCTTTCTGAACCTCTGTTTTTTTGTTTAAATGTATTCTTAGTTTGTTGTGAAGATCTATCAAGAGAGTGTATGAGCATAAGTGGGAGCTAAGCTATGAGGATGCAAAGTCATAAGAATGATACAATGGACACTGGGGATTCGGGGGAAAGGGTGGGAAGGGGGTGAGCAATACAAGTCTACAAACTGGGTTCAGTGTATACTGCTTGAAGATGGGTGCGCCAGAATCTCACAAATCACCGCTAAAGAACTTACTCGTGTAACCAAATGCCACCTATTTGCCAAAAACCTATGGAAATAAAAAGAAAGAGAGTGTATGAGGGCCATTTATAAATGCTGACTAGTAAAGCCCCTTGCCCCTGATCTTGCATTTGCCCCCAGGCCCTCTGACCACCTTACTGGCCTCTGGTCATTAACCACCTTCTCCTCCTTCTCTCTTGGGCTTGGCCCAGCCCCCATGCATGTCCTGGATCCTGCTCCCTCCATCAGTTGAGCCTCCACCCATCAGTGCATCTCCAGTCTGTTATTTTTTAAAATTTATTTTATTTATTTTTTGAGACGCAGTCTCGCTCTGTTGCCTAGGCTGAAGTGCAGTGGTGCGATCTCAGCTCACTGCAACCTCCGCCTCCTGGGTTCAAGTGATTCTCTTGCCTCAGTCTCCCGAGTAGCTGGGAGTACAGGCATATACCACCATGCCCGGCTAATTTTTGTATTTTTAGTAGAAATGCGGTTTTACCAGGCTGGTCTTGAATTCATGACCTCAGGTGATCCACCCGCCTTGGCCTCCCAAAGTGCTGGGATTACAGGCGTGAGCCACGGCACCCGGCCATGTTTATGTTCTTTACCTATAAAACAATTTCCCTCAAACACAAAGTTTCTTGAACATAGCACCGCCCCCTCCTACATAGCTTAGCTTTCCCTCAGGGTCAAATTTCTAGAAGAAATAGTCTAGAGGTAGTTAATCACATTCTGGCTTAACTTGCAGCTGTGTGTCTTGGGCAAGCTCCTTCATTTCTCTGTGTCTCAGTTCCCTCATCTGTAAAGTGGGCTTACTATCCTTTACCTTACCAGCATGTTAGGAAGATTAACTAGATCATCCATGCTAAGCACATAGTGCAGTCTGGTACACGGTAGGGGCTAATTAAATAATTAGAGCTAACTGAATCATTAGTTGCTACTATTATTGTTGTTGTTATATCCTTACCTTCCATGTTATCCTCAATCAGCTACAGCTTGGCTTTCTCCTGCCACACCCATCACCTGACCAAAAACCCTCTCTGGTTGAATCACCAATGACTTTCCAGTGGCCATTCCCCATCTCCCTTCCCGGGTATCCTCCCAGTTTCTCTGCAATATTTGACACTGGTTTGAATCACCAATGACTTCCCAGTGGCCACTAACTTCCCAGGCACCCTCCCAGCTTCTCTGAAATATTTGATATGGTAGGGAATGATCAGGACAAGGTTGAAGACCCACAGAAGTCCTGCGGGGAATGTCAATCTGTGGCCAGTGGGAAGCTCATGGGCCAGCCTCACACGAATGAAGAAGTTGATACGGGGCTTGGGACATTGTTGGTGCTCAGTGTTTGCTCATGAGTAGATGGGCCCTCCCAGGAAGAGCTCTGAAAGTCAAGGAACCAGGCTCCCATGAGTGCCAACGTGTTTGGAAGTTGGTTCTGGGTTGAAACTCGGCCATTCAGAAGATGTTCATAAGGAATTTGGACTGGCACCCCCTCGAGGGCCAGGACCACGTTTCCTTTGATGAGTGCAGAGTAGTATCCACAATTGTCTGTTGAGTATTAACAGAGGGACAGGGCTGAATGTTCACATGGAACCAGCTCCGGCCCGTCTGTGTAGTTATGAGGAGGAGCAGGGGTTAATGCTCCCATGGAGTGAGCACACAACTCCGTCTCTGCACTTCCAGGGAGGAATCTTTTTCCTTTTTAGCTCAGGCAGCCCAGCGCCTGCATTGCACAGAGTTGCCTGGTTTGATCTCTTATTTATTACAGAGAATATTCTCTGTTATGGTGAGTGTAGCGGGAGGGAGTTCCAGCGGCCTCAGTTTTTCCTGCTGACTTTGCAGCCAGCCTTTTGGGGACCTCTAGCACCTCTAGTGGCCACCCTGGTACTGCATTCAGTCTCCCACTCATCAAACGTATTGAGCACCCATCACGTGCCAGATCCCAAGCCAGGTATAGGAGAGGCCAGAAGAACAAACATGAAAACTGCCAAATAGACTGAATAATGGCCCCCAAAGATATCCATGTTCGAATCCCTGGAACCTGTGAACATTACTCTATATGGTAAAATGGAATTTGCAGGTGTGATTAAGGATCTTGAGATGGGGAAATCATTCTGTATTATCCACACGGGCCCAGTGGTATCACAAGGCTCCTTAAAAGGCAGAGGCAGAAGGAGGTTGGGCACAGAAGAGGAGATGATGATGGGAGCAGAGACTGAAGCGATGTCCTTGCTCTGTGAAGATGGAGGGAGAAGCCACAAACCAAGGAAAACAGGAAGCCACTAGAAGCTGAGACAGGCGAGGAAACAGACTCACCCCTAGAGCCTCCAGAAGGACCCAACTCTGCCAACACCTTGACTTTAGCCCGGTGAGATTGATTTCAGACTTCTGACCCCCCAGAACTGCAAGAGAATACATTGGTGGTGTTTTAAACCATTAAGTTTGTGGCAACTTGTTACAGTAGCCATAGCAAACTAATATAACTGTCTTAAGGTACTCAACAACTAGGGGAGAAAATGGACCTTTGCACAGGGATTGGTGTTGTAATAGGTACAGTGGGAGGGGGAGGGGCATAACAGAGGATGTGATCCACCCTGCAGGGTTGGGGAGGTGCTGTCAAGGCTTCCCTGAGGAGGAGCTGCTTGCTGAGCTATATTGCAAAGAATGTGTAAGGATTCCCCAGATGGGTAGTGGTGGAAAGGGAAGGAGGAGAGGGCTTTAGGAACAAAGAACAGCAGGTGCAAAGGCCAACCTGGAGTGTGGAATAACAAGGCATATTTGGGGAGCTGTGGGAAGTTAGGGAGTGGACCGAAGTTCAGAGAAATAAGAGATGAGGCTGGAAAAGTGGCCACGGTAGCTCATGGAGGGTCTTCAGGTCAGGAAGTTGAGACTTGACCCTGAGGGCAATGGGAGGCTATTGTCGTGAATCACATGAATGGCTCCAATTCTTCAGCCCTTCCTGTACCCAGGCTGTTGCTAGGTGTCTTTGTACATTCTCCCATCAAGGTGAGATGTATATTTTTCTGCCTTGTGATACTAGTTCAGCATGTGTCTAGCTTTGGACAATAGAGTGATGTGGATTGACCAAGTGACAATTCTGAGCCTAGGTCTCAAGGGACCTTGCATGTTTCTGCTGGTTCCAGGAGGGATTGTGCCCCAGTGAAGCCCAGACTAGAGACAAGCCCCCAGCTCACCTGCAGACCACTAATGACTCCAGTCAAGGTCAACTGATGCAGCTGACCCACAAATGCATGAGCTATTGTATAAAAACAAATGACAGCTCTTCAAAGCCACTGAGTTTTGGAGTGGTTTGTTATGCAGCAACAGCAGCTGATTGACCCATCAATGAGGGTTCATAGAAGAGTGAAGAGTGTGACATGGCCAGATCTGCACTTTAGGAAAACCTCCTTGGCGTTGAGTTGCTGGAGGATGGATTGCAGGAGGTGAGTCTGCAGGCAGAAATCCAGGTGAGAGGTGGTGAGGGCCTTCCCTAAGGCAGGAGCAGGGGAAGGAGGAGACAGATACGAGCAGTGTTAAGGAGGCAGACCATACAACAAACCTAAATTACACATTAGAGTGGTCAAAGGAGGGAGGAGATTTGGAAGTTGCCAAGATTTCTGGCATTGGAAATTGCATCAGAATAAGGTACACATGCGGATAAAGTGATAAGGTAATGACAAGCTTTTTGTGTTGGTTTCCAGTGCTATTGCCAGGACAAAGTTACAATTACAAGTCTGGGGCTTGAAGACACAGACTAGGGAACCATCAGAGAATTAGTGACAGTGAACTAGTGATGAGTTAGTAAAAGTAGATGAAGTGTTTACAATAAGCAGAAAAGAGGGTGAGTTTTGGGTCCTGGGAACCCCCACCATTTATGGAGCAACTGGAGAAAGAAGAGTCCAGGAAGGTAATAGAGAAACAGTCAGAGAGGAGACAGGAGAACCAGGGAGGAGCTAGATTGCAGAAACCCCAGGGAGGAAATGAATGGTCAGCAGGGTTGTGGGCACAGTGCCAGGGAGGATGAAGACCCAGGAGGCTGAGGGGTAAGCCCAGGATGTGGTCATGGGTCACTTTGCTGAGAGAGGTTTTGGAGGCTGGAGGCTGGCTGGTGGGAGATTGCGAGGGGCAGGGAGTGGAGAGTGACAGTTAAGGAACACCCTGATGTGAGGGGGGCAGGTGAAGCGTGGGCTTGGGACAGTGCTTTTTCTCATGATGGAGGGACCTGAGCATGGCTTGTTGTCAAGGGTTCTGAGCAAGTGAAAGAAATGGTCTGATTTAGAAATTTTATTTTATTTTATTTATTTTTTATTTTTTTTTAGATGGAGTCTCGCTCTGTCACCAGGCTGGAGTGCAGTGGTGCCATCTTGGCTCACTGCAACCTCCGCCTCCCGGGTTCAGCCACTCTCCTGGCCTCAGCCTCCCGAGTAGCTGGGACTACAGGTGCACACCACCACGCCCAGCTAATTTTTGTATTTTTAGTAGAGATGGGGTTTCACCATGTTGGCCAGGCTGGTCTCGATCTCTTGACCTCATGATCCACCCACTTCGGCCTCCCAAAGTGTTGGGATTACAGGCATGAGCCACCGTGCCCCACCTGATTTAGATTTTTTAAAAGATCATTCGGGATGTTGTGTGGCTACTATATCCTAGGGTAGTAAGTTGTGGGAAACAGGGAGACCAGTGAGGAGACTAACTTGACAGTGCAGGAGACAGATGACGGTGGCTCTGACCAGGGTGCTAGTTGTGGAAGTACACAGCCGGAAGAAGCGGCCAATTTGGGATTTTGTTTTGTTTTGTTTTCTACGTTAGGACCAGAAGAAATTGGCTATGGATTGGATTGTGTGCACATGCATGTGTGTGTGTGTGCATGTGTGTGTGAGTTGTGTGCACATGCATGCACATGCACGATGAGAGGAATGTAGGATGACTTCCAGGTTTTCACCTGAGTAACTGGGAAGAAAGGCTGAGGGAAGAGCAGAAACAGGTTTTGCTGAGGGGGAAGTTTGTGGACTCATTTTTGTCTTAGAGACTGTGAGTTTAAAATGCTTTAGAAACGCAAACGTAGATATTAAGGAAGCTGTTGAAAGTGCACATCTGGTGTTCAGAGGAGACGTTTGGGCTGGAGATACAAATTCGGAGTCATCAACGTACTCGAACATTTAAATCTGCATGGCTGGGTGAGAATTTCCTGAGAGAATGGAGTTTCTTTTGCTCAGTGTCATGTTCTCTGCTAGCCTCTAAGTGTTGTGAAAGCAAGGCCCTTGTCTGCCCCCTCGTGCATGGCTGCTTGCCCGTGCCTAGAACAATGCCTGGCATAGTAACTGCTCCACACATGCTCATTTGAGGAATGAGAGCAATGAGTGTCATAGGATGCGGGAAGTTCAAGCTGCTGAGAGATCTGAGTATATCAGCCTGTGAGCGGGAAGCTGCCTTGTTACAACTCAGGAGGGAATGATCAGGAATCATTTCTGTTTCCCACTTGCCACACCTTTGCTCCTGCCATTTCCTCTGTCTGGAATTCCCTGTGACCCCCTGCATCCCAGACCCACAAGGATAAATCCTGCTGACCCTACCCACTGAGTCATTACGAATGCCCTGAGCTCTGCCATCCAACTCCCTCTTACTTGTCTGGTCCACAGGAGTTTGGGAGAATTCTCCAAACCCCTGGAGTTTCACTAGGTTGGCGGTCACTCGATAGAACAGGAAATGAGGTGGGTCTGGCAGGCCTCCTTCCAAGACTTGCCTTCCCTGTGCACACAAACTGACGTCCTAGGCTCTTGCTGGGATGAAGACCAAGTTAGGAAAATGCTCCTTTTCTACGTTTCCCAAAATGAAGACATTTTGCTTGTTTGGAGTTTTCTTGCCCTCTTCTGTCCTCTAGGATTTCTTGGCTTTCTTATCCTCTCAGACAGGAGTCTTTCTGGGGTTTGGAGATATGTCTTAAGCACCTGCCTGTTACATTTCATTCCCCTTGAAGCTTTGGGGGTTCCTGTGGTCTGTGTAGCTCTCTGCTTGGCCAGCGCTCCCCTGCCGTCTGTGCAGACACCCTTTACATCTGGGCTTACCAGGGAGCTGCTTCCTGAGACCCCTTCAGATCTGCCTGTCCTTCCCTATTGGGACTACTCCAGGTCCTGGTTGACTGTGACATTTCTGTTCACCGCTCTGGAGCTGTCTTCCCCTTTGAAGATCCAGACAGGGGCTTGCATCTTTCTATCAGGAAGATTCTTTAAAATCTGCCCTTTTCTAGACGAGGTGCATCTGTCAGACTAAGTTCTGCTTTTCTCCTCTCTGGCCCCACAGGGGCCGGCATGGCTAAGTCCCTTTGTTCCACTCACTTTTGTTTCCCCAGGGGTGAGTTATTGGCCAAAGTCTCTCCAGAAAAACAGTTTTTCTTGTCGATTCTTTAACTGATCTGAGCCTGGCTTCTTCATTTCATTGCACAATGGAAATGGTAGCACCTGCCTGCTAGGGTTGTTGCCAGGATTAAATGAGATGATATATTTGAATCTTCTTCGCTTCCACATACAATGGAAATGATAACACCTGCTTGCTAGGGTTGTTGCGGGGATTAAATGAGATGATATATTTGAAACTTCTTCGCTTCCACACACAATGGAAGTGATAGCACCTGCCTGCTAGGGTTGTTGTGAGGATTAAATGAGATGATGTATTTGAATCTTCTTTGCTTCCGTATACAATGGAAATGATAGCACCTGCCTGCTAGGGTTGTTGTGAGGATTAAATGAGATGATATATTTGAATCTTCTTCGCTTCCATATACAGTGGAAATGATAGCACCTGCCTGCTAGAGTTGTTGCAAGGATTAAATGAGATGATATATTTGAATGCTCCTAGCACCGTTCCTGACCTTGAGCTGGCACTGAATAAAGCCCATCACTCTTCGCCCTCCGCTGCCTCCCTTTGATTCCTGGCATTTCCTTTCCTCTCTTCCTCTTCCTGTGAGTTATGAAACTGACAGGAGTCAACTACATCTTGCCCAAGCTGCTGGGTGGAGGATGGAGGGTGATGCCCTTCTCTCCCATGGCAGCTCCGGCTGGCTCTTCTACAGGGGAACCAGCCATCTGGGTTTGCCTAGAACTGAGGGGCTTCCTGAATCATGGGATTTTCCTCAGAAAAGTCCCAGGCAAACCAGGAGGCATTGTCACCCTACTTACTGGCCCTCTCCCTCATCATTTTAGAGGCCAGGAGCAGGCTCCATGTGTACTATTTCTGACCTCACCTTGCATGGGGCATGTAGGTGGTGCCTTCCAAATCTGATGGTTCTAGCCTTGGCAAGGGACAGCAGTTCTTGGCTCTGCCAGCAAGCTTAGTGTTCCTATCCTACCCCCTACTCAGTCAGAGGCCTCCCGTCTTCACTTCTTTGGGAGTGGTTCAGAGCTGCAGGCAAGTGGCTCTGAAACTATCAAAGGCACCGGTGTTGACTCCTTCACACCATTGGTTACTGACACTCCCAATCATTTTCCAGCAGTCGCTGACACCACGGTGCCATGTGCAAGTCAGTTCCTATGCATAGCCCCAGGAACTCATCTTCAGTCTGGGTCTGCTGTGATAGAATCAATACTCTTCCAGTGTTCTCCCTGCCAGCTCCTGGCTGGTCCTGGAAAGCAGGTCTCTGAGAGGCAGCTGTCATTTCTGCTGCATCAGCATGAGGCTGGGCCTCTTGGGCCGGGCATGGGGCTCAGGCTGCTGCCCTGGACCATTCATATCAGGAAGCCAGGCCCCTAGCCCACTGGTCTGGCCTGTACCTGCTGGTGGTACAGCTCCTGGGGAAAGAGTCTATGTGAACAGGTACCTGGGCTCCCCTGGGCATGAATGACCTGTGGGTTTTGAGTCCTTTGATGCAGAAAGACTTGGTGTTTATTCCCAAGTCTGCCATATACTCACTGTGCAACCTCAGGGACATTCGCCATCCTCTCTGATCTTGCTCCCTTATTTATGAAGTGGTCATACCTTGAAAACAAGATCACCAAAGGAAGAGCACCCAGCACAGTGCGAATGTGGTGCCAGGCAAGAATCTGGTAAGCGCTGCTCCTTTCTTTCCCTATTTCCTTTCCTGTGGGACTTTGGTTGTTTGTCTGTTTCTTATCTCACTGGTATTACCATATCTGCCAGCATCAAGTGTAGTTGGGATAATAATAAGCAAAGACAGTCATAATTTGAGTTTTTTTTCCAAGGCCTGGAACAAGTTAACCCAATTTGACATGGCCTTTTATCTATCTATCTATCTATCTATCTATCTATCTATCTATCTATCTGTGTATCTATCTATCTATGCATCTATCTATCATCTATCTTAGAGATGAAGTCTTGCCATGCTGCCCAGGCTAGATTTGAACTCCTGGGCTCAATGGATTCTCCCCAGCTCCAACACAGCCTTTTAAATGTGGATCAATCACATCCCAGCTTAATTAGAGCATTGGAGGTGGGGCCTAAGGGCTTTGGCTGACTCAGTCATGGAAGGGAAGAGACGCCTCTTTTCACACCCTCACCTCTTCCTTTTGCCTAAATGTGGGTGGCAGACTGGCCTCCAGGCAGGGCATGGCCTCAGGGTGCTGCCTCCAGTCCCCATTTTCTCCTGATGAGCTGGTATCCTGGGAGAAGCTTCCAAACTTTTCTGAGCTTCCGTTTGGTCATTTGTAATTTGTAATTTTGGGGGATATTGATGTCTACCTGCTAGGAGTTTTGGTAGGCTTCAAGAAGCTAGCAAGCACTAATGTTCATTGCAAAAAACAAGGTGCTGAGTGCCCAGGAGTGTGAATGAGGTGACTATGTGATGGTTGGGGGAAGTGTTGGGTCTGTGGCCTGCTTTTCCTTAGAGTCATAGTGGTGGTGGCGAGGGGACATAGGATGGGTGAGGTTTTTTTTTTTTTAAGATGGAGTTTCGCTCTTGTTGCATAGGCTGGAGTAAAGTGGTGCAATCTCAGCTCACTGCAACCTCTGCCTCCCGGATTCGAGCAATTCTCCTACCTCAGCCTCCCAAGTAGCTGGGATTACAGGCACTTGCCACCATTCCTGGCTAATTTTTGTATTTTTAGTAGAGACAGAGTTTCACCATGTTGGCCAGGCTGATCTGGAACTCCTGACCTCAGGTGTTCCACTCGCCTCGGCCTCCCAAAGTGCTGGGATTATAGGCATGAGCCACTATGCCCAGCCTGGTTGGATGAGTTTTGATGGTAGAAGGTGGGGGCTAGGAAAAGGGCCTAAGGGGAGAGGGACTGCTGTAGACAAAAGGCCCACTGTCCAGTCATCTGGGCAGCTTGCTCTCGCTGCCTCGCCGTCCTCGCCCTGCCTGATGGCATTGATTTACTGGAAAGTTTTTAATGGGTTATAATTGGAAAAGGCCTGGGTGAAATTTGCATATTGATTTGACATTTAAGTATATGATTAAATAAAAGCTGACTGAGGTCATCACTTGACTAAATTGGCTTAATGAGTGTTGATTACCCTGTGCATGTTAATTTCATTTACCCTGATTACTCCATCTATCTTTCTCAGGGATCTATTAGCACCTTTGACTCAATTGTACTCGATGGAACAAGAAGCAAGGCAGGGGTCAGTGGGGGGTGGCCCTGGTCCATCTGCCTGTCCATCTGGCTGTCTGCTGAACCCCAGAGGTTCTGACCCCCTATAGCATTTTATTTTTCTCTCTCTCTGGCTCCCACCCTAACTTCCTAATCACAGAATCTGATCACCACCTCTTTCTAAACAGGAGTGCCTCCACTTTAGAAATCAGGTGCTGGGGAGGGCAGGGAGAGGGGACAGGTTATGATACTGAAGAGAAGATGAGAAGCCTCTCCTCTCCCTGTCACTCCACCCTTCCCTCCTGACACACACAAAAACATACCTTCCTCCTTTGAGCCTTTGGGGCCCCAAGGACTGGTCTGTTCCCTCTTGCACAGGAAGGACAGTGGCTCTGAAGGCAGGGATCCCTAGAGCTGGGTTTGATTGGTGCCTTCTGTTTGCCCCTCTGGACCCATTCTCTGCCCCCACCAACTCTGCTCTGGTCCGTCCACCCTGCTGACCTGTCTGGCCCTGACAATGAGCTCCTTTGCCCTCTGGTTTTCTGTGGGGTTCAGCCAATAGGGAGCCTAGCAGGAGATTGGAGGGAGGGAGGAAATGGGGGTTGGGGTAGTTATTTCCCGGCTCCTCCCTGCTGGCTGACTAAAGGTCTCAGTCTCCATGGCCAGCCTTCTCCACGAGGCTCTCTCTGGGTTCCATGGCCATCTGTCCCCTTGCTCCTTCAGCCCCAGGGTGGCAGCAGAGTCATGATCCCCTTTCCCCATACAAGCCTGAGGGAGCTGCAGTAACCCATGGCTCCCCTACACGCTGCCCACACCTTTGTAAATAGACCCTTCATAAACTCTCCTTCAATTACCCAATTTGAGTGTGCCATCTGTTTCCTGCTGAGACCCTAACTGATACAGCAGGCAACAGATTTTCCCATTCAAAAATCGGGACAAACATCCCGACAAGTCCAAGCATGGTTGTAGGACAGAGGACCAAGCCTAGATCAATCCAGCAATACCTCCTTTACCCTGTACCCTGGGTCCCTGGGCACTGGTGGAGGATTCACTTACTCAGGACCTCCACCATCAGAGCCCTTCTGCCTCCTCCCGGCAGCCCATTCTTCTCACTGGCTGCACCAACCACCTTGACCTTCCCGAACCCCCTGGTCCCTGCTTTTCCGCTGACTCTCAGAAGACACACCCCCCTCCAGCTTCCTTAGAAAAAGAGGCTGTTAGTTGGGAATGTGCCTTAATGCTGTGCTCTTTCTCACCCAGACACAGTTCATCTCTTTGTTCTCATATTTTTTGTTTCCTTCTGTCCGAGACAAGTATCCCCACCTTTGCCTTGTATCCCTTCCCATCCGTTTCTCCACAGACTTCCCTGAGGTGCCACAAGTTCTTTCCTCTCTATTGTTTCTTTCCCTTAGTCCAAAAATGCATCAAAGTTTCTCCCTCATCCTCTCCATCCTCTTCTCCTTCACAGGCAAACTGCACTCATTTTCATGGCATCTTCTGCCCTTCTGTTCCCACCCTCCATGGTGAGCTGCTCCTGGCGCCTCACCAGTGACCTCCATGGTAACTTCTCAGACCCAGTCCCCTGGGCTGAGGGTTGCCAAAAGCAAAACCCCTCTCTCCTTTCCCATGTCGGCCTGAAGATTATGTTCCCAAATTGCCCAGCTTGGAAGCTGGGAAGATGATGAGATGTGATGTTCTGACACACCTGCATGAGTCAAATCAAGGGCCCATCGGGATACGTCTGAGCCTGGGGCCCACCTTCATCCCACTAGGCTCCTGGACATGATGCCATCAGCTCTGCCCTGTTATCTAGACTTCTTCCCCTTCCCATTCACTCTCTCCAATGTCTAACAGGCCACACGTTCAACTGAATCTGTCCCTTCCTTTCCATTCCAGACAACACACCCCAGTCCCGGCCTCATCATCTCTTACTTGGGTTGTTACTGCAGACCCTTGGCAGTTCTCTCCAAACCATCCTGCGTTCACAGCAACCAGAAAGACGGCTCTGAAGTGCAAATCTAATCCTGCTATGACCCCTCTGCTTGAAACTCTTGGTGGCTCCTCATCTCCTTCCAGTGCAAGGCCAACCATTTTTTGCATGGCATACACTGTGGGAAACCACACTGGGTCCAGGGAGCTGCTATTTATCCTTTAAGGTCCATTCATTGGTCTTCTTCTTGGTGAAGCTGTCCTGACCCCATCCCAGTAGAGCCTGCTCCCTCCTCTGAGCCCTGCATCACCTCATTCTTTTCTCTGCCAGAGCATGCATGATGGGGTGCCATAATGATCGGTGTCTTTGTCAGCTTCACCCACTGTCTGGGAGCTCAAGACCATGTCTAATGTGTCCCTGTAGCCCTGACAAAGCCTGGCAGAGAGAGTAATTCATTCATTTAACAAATATTTATTTGGGCTTCCTATATGCAAACTGTTGTTTAAGGATAAGGTACTGGGGTACTGCAGTAAACAAAAGCAGACAAAAATCCCTGCCCGCATGAGCTTACATTCTAGTGGAGGGAGAGACAGAACAAACAAGATGATTTTAAAGAGATGAAAGTGCCATGAAGAAAACATTGCAGGGCGATGCATTGGAAACTGGGTAGGAGCAGAGTGGTGGCTAATTTAAGCTGAGTGGTCAGAGAGTGCATTACTGGAGAGGCAGTGGTTGAATCAGACAGGGAGCCAGCTCTAGAGGTCCAAAGGCCCTGAGGCAGAGGTGAACTAGGAACAGAGAAAAGATCAGCATACCTGCAGCAGTGGCTTGGTGAAGGAGGGCAGCAGGGGAGTGGTCTACTTCGGAGGTAGATGTATTTTATCACTGACATTTTTAGATTGGTCTCTGTGCATGATAATAATAACATGCAGATTAATTCTTTGTTGGTTTTGTTACCATGGTAAGAAAATTGGCACCTTGGGGAGTGAGTCTCCAACCACTTAGTGTGCAGGTGAGTGTGTGGAAGATTCTCTGCAAGATCTGAGAGTGTTCAGCTAGAGGTCTGGCAGGAGGACCTAGCCACATTCCCACTTTGTGTCCTTGGACAAGTTGCTTGACTCCTCTGGGCTTTATCACCCAACCTCCTGCTTCTTGCATGGATAAGTGTGCCTTTGGGGCCTTCTCCTGTTACCCAGACTGGAGTACAGGAGCAAGATCATGGCTCACTGCAGCCTCAATCTCCCAGGCTCAAGCACCCCTCCCACCTCAGCCTCCCGAGTAGCTGGAACCAGAGGTGCGAGCCACCACGCCTGGCCAATTTTTATAGTTTTTGTAGAGACAGGTTTCACCATGTTGCCCACGCTGCTCATGAACTCCTGACCTCAAGTGATCTGCCCGCCTCGGCCTCCCGAAGTGCTGGGATAACAGGCATGAGCCACCACCCTCAGCGGGCTTTTCAGGCCAGTGCACAGAACTCCCTGCATGCCTCTCTGTCTCTAGACTGGTTCCTGGGGAAATTCTGATGGGTATACCCATTCCACAGACCTCTTCTCCACCCACCAGTCCACCTGGATCTTTCTCTGTATATGTTAGGTGGAAGGGTAGAACCCCTAGGCTAAGGGCAGTGGATCCTGGGGCTTCCATTGTTTGTCCGGTGGAATCCTAGGCTAGGTAAGAGGGAGGTTATTTAGCCTAAATTTCAAGGCTCTAAGAGGGGATGTGGCTTTCTCTCGATCATAGCAAATCAGCAGAAAGAGCAGAACTTAAACTCTGCTCTTTTGATTGAAGTCTATTGCTTCTGTCATCTCCCCCAAGGTGATTAGTGGACCTGGGTTGAAGTCTTCTCTGGAGGATGTGCCCAGCCTCCCAGCCTCTGTTTGTCCATCAGTAATGGAGGGGAAGTCATGCTTGCCTGCCTTCCTTGGGGGTTGGCTGGTGTGTTAGTTTCCTAGGATTGCTGTAACAAATGACCACAAACCAGGTGGCTTACACACACACACACACACACACACACACACACACACATACACACTCTTATTCTCTCACAGTCCTGGAGGCTGGAAGTCTGCAATCAGTGTCATCAAGGTCATGCTCCCTTGGAGGGATCTAGGGAAGAATCTGTCCTTGCTTCTTCCTGGCTTCTGGTCACTCCCAGCAGCCCTTGTCATTCCTTGGCTTGTAGCTGCATTACTCGAGTGTCTGCCTCTGTCTTCTCCTAGCCTTCTTCCCTGTGAGTGAGTGCCTCTTTCTCTCTCTCAATCTTCCTTTCCTTATAAGGATACAGTCTTTGGATTTAGGGTCCACCCTAATCTAGTATGACTTAATCTTAACTTGATTACATCTGTAAACACCCTATTTCCAAATACAGCCACATTCACAGGTGCTGGGAGTTAGGACTTCAGTATCTCTTTTTGGGGAACATCCATTCACCCAACTACAGTTGATGTGAGAAGGGACAACAACAGGAAAAGGCTTAGAACTGAAGACTGGGAGGCAAGACCAGGGCCAGCCTGAGGCAGGAGCCAGGCAAAATTTGGCTTCTTTTGTGAGGTCCTGTCCTGGGGGTGAGGGGACTAGGGCTTCTAGCTCAACCCCACACAGTTCAGCAATGGGTAGGATGACTCAGAGATGGGGCTGCCAAGCTTGAGGGTGTCCTAGAAATGCAATCCTGTGCTCCTGGCATATTTTCCTCACCTTACGGGGCTGAGAAATACAACATTTTTGGGAACTTGAAAAGCTTGGGTTAAAAAAGAATAACCCAAACCATTTATTTTTCTTTATAGGGAAAAGTAGAAAGTTTGGGAAATTTTGAAACATATGCAATACTTATTTTTGTAGCACCCTTTTCATATCTAAAGTCACTCTCTTAATTTAGGAGTGCAAATGCAACCTTATGTAATTTGGTTTGCTCAATAAAATTATCATGTTTGGCAAATTCAATAAAAAATTATAGCTTGCTCAGACAATAATGATAAATTTGCTAATTGAATGAAGTTTTCAATGTTTTAGGCTTTGTAATAAATGGAACTCTGTGCAGCTGCACTTTAAGCATGAGCTCCACTGAGATGAGCAGAAAACAATATCAGTGGCTGGGCGCGGTGGCTCACGCCTGTAATCCCAGCACTTTGGGAGGCCCAGGTGGGCAGATCACGAGGTCAAGAGATCGAGATCATCCTGGCCAACATGGTGAAACCCTGTCTCTACTAAAAATACAAAAATTAGCTGGACGTGGTGGCGCGTGCCTGTAGTTCCAGCTACTCAGGAGGCTGAGGCAGGAGAATTGCTTGAATCCGGGAGGTGGAGGTTGCAGTGAGCCAAGATGGCACCACTGCACTCCAACCTGGTGACAGAGCGAGACTCATTTCAAAAAAAAAAAAAAAAAAAAAAAAGAAAGAAAGAAAGCAATATCAGTGAACCAGGAAGAATGATGAACGCATAAGCACACACATGCGTGTATGTTGTACACAATAAAGTGACATATTTAATATTAGCAATACTACTAAACAACACATCTATGACTTATTAGGTGCCTGCTATATTCCCTTTTCACTTAATCCTTAAAATATCCTCATTTCACAGTGAGGAAACTGAGGATCAGAGCGGTTAAGCCACTTGCGCAAGGTTCTACAACCAGTAACTGGCTGTTCTCAGATGCATGAAGAGTTGAACCTCAGTTCACTTATTAATAAAGATCGACTCCTGTCATCAGCACTGTCCAGGCCACAGAAGTTTCTGTTCCTTGGATTTAGTGTTGTTTACTGTGTGAGGCAACTGTGGTTTCCTTCAGCATTAAGAAGTAAGCTGAGAACATGAGGGTACCTAGGGACCCTACAGGAACTAGCGTAGGGACAAGGCAGGGGTCTTGGGCCCTGGGAAGCAGTGTGAGGATGCAAGACAAGGGAAGCCAGGCCTCAGGTAGTAGGTAGGGCCCTGGGACCATGGGGAGGGTGGCTGGAAGGGAGTGACACAGAGGAGGTACTGAATCCCTGGGCCAGGGGCTGCCTGTGTTAGTCTATAAAAGGCCAAGGATGACGCAGGATGTGTGCCAGGGGTGAGCCAGGCAGGATCTATTCTCGAAAACCTACTCTAAGCTTAAGAGATGACTTGGCTCTCCAAGGGGCTAGAGCCAAGCTCTAGGTGAAGGAGAAAGCCAGCTCCAGGGGGAAGCCAGACACAAGGGGTGGAAGGGAGCCAAGATCAAACAGACCAACATCCCTGAACACACCTTTGTCCCTGGATGTGTCCAAATAGGCCTCAATTCTGGGCTCTCACTGTCCTCAATCCCTGCATCTGTACCGTTATTATTTCATTTTGTAGCATCTCTGGT
The DNA here is from genome assembly GCF_000001405.40 of Homo sapiens. Classification (NCBI taxonomy): domain Eukaryota; kingdom Metazoa; phylum Chordata; class Mammalia; order Primates; family Hominidae; genus Homo; species Homo sapiens. The sequence continues at coordinate 36,664,572 of NC_000001.11, forward strand.
GGCTTTGAGGAGGGAGGGTCCCCAGCATCTCTGCCTCTTCCTTACCTAGGCTTTCCTGCCTTGTCGCCTGGCAGCGTCAGCAGAACTGACTTTCTCACCACTGGGACCTGCCTGGCAGGTTGGGGGACATGACTCTGCTTTCATTTCCCCCTCCATTGCCCTGTTCTCTGACCCCGGGTGGCCTTTCCTTCGTGAGGAGGTAGCTGGTTTCCTGGGTGACGACAGGAGTGGGGAGTGTGGGAGAGGGAGGGAGGCTGGCATTCCTGCTGCTGAGGGCTTAGAGGAAGCATATGCCATCCCGGCTGCCCTGTGAATTATTCAGCGGCCGTGAGAACTGACTTGCTCCCCAGTCTGCTGTCTCCTCCCAAAAACTTCCTGCTGCCTCCTCCTTGGCAAACCCACCTCTGCCTCAGTCTTGGGGGCTTAAATTGCTGTCTGAGGCCTCTGTCCTCAGGATGCTCATTTCTGGGTATCTTTGAATCTCTCCCCACTTCCTGTTTCTCCCCCTCACCTTTGAGCCACTATGATAGATGATTTCTTCTCTACCAACTACTGTGCTAAGTGCACAGATGTGGAAACTGATAGTGGCCAGGTGCAATAACCTGCTCAAGATAATACAACTACGAAGTGGCGGAGACAGAACTTAAACTCGGGTCTGACTCCAGCCTGTGTTCTTGGGTCTTGAAATGGCCCTTGGATTGATGGAGAAGATACTTTCTAGAATCTGCCCCCAGGCTGCCTTGAGAGCTGGCGAGGGGGTGTTGGATGGGGTAGGTTAGGCCAGCTCAGGGTTCGTCCATGCTGGCTGTGGACTGTCCTACTTGCCCATGCATCTGCCTGGGTACCTGGCCCTTGGGCTCCCAGAGCATAGCGCAGCCAATGAAGCAGCCTCCTGCCTCCAGCCTGCTGCAGGTCTGGCCAGAGCACAGGCTGCTTAGAGGTCTCCTGGTGTAGCCCCCTCATCTTTTGGAGGAACACAGGCAGGTCAGGGCTGGCCTAAGTGCCTCACTAGGGGCCTTCAAGTCCCTCCCCTGCACTCTGGTCATTCTGGGGAGAGTAACACTGCTGTGGGTGGGGCTTCAGCACTTGGAAAGGCTGCCAAGAAAGGAACCGAAACGCTTAGTGGAACCACAGGCAAGACATGCACCTCGCACTGAGTGTGGGGAAAGGGTCGAAGGTGCAGTGACTGGAGATGGCAGCAGTGGTGGTGGCCGAGGGATAAGCCTCTGGGAGGGATCTGGGAACCTGGCAGAAGTGCTTCAGCCATCCAGGTGTGGACCCTCATGGTCTGGCTCTCTGTGATGGGTGCCAGGGCTGTGATTCCCCCAGGCCGGGACTCTGAGGTACATGCAGACCAGCTATGCTTAGAGGCTGGGAAGAGGCTGCCTTTCCCTTGGCTCACTCCATTTGACCCAAACACACATTGACAATTTTGGTCTAGTTCGTGGGGCCTCCTGTAACCAGGGACACCTCCGTGGGAGGTTTCGTGCTGGGATGCCAGGTGGGACAAGGCCCCTGCTCCAAGATACTTCCACGGTTGGTACCTAGACTCTTCTCCTCCTCCTCTGGGTTCCTCTGCTGCCTGTCAACCACTCAAAGCTGCCAACCATTGTGCTTCCCACCCAGTTCAGGGATCAAGTCAAGAGAGTCATCTTCACTGAAATTCAAAAATGAGCCACTACATGAGTGACTCAAGTTCAGGTTGGATAGTAGTGTCCACCCAGGAAGCCAGGTGCCCCCAAAACTTTGCACTTTGGTGGCTTTGGTTGTGGCTGGGATTAGATCTACTATTGGATGTGGACAGCATGGGAGGTTGGGTGCCTTGAGCGAGGGCCTCACTGGGTCAGGTGTGTTATCCACTCTCTTTCACCTGATGGCTAAGGGGCCTCCCTGTCTATCCACACCAAGCCTGGGAACACACTTTGACTGATCGAAGTCAGTAGGAACTTAGTTTCCTCCAACTCCTGCCTCCCCCTGGCCTGGCTTAGGCCATTTTCCTGCCCCTTCCAGGAGTCCTCCCTGTACCTCTCCTCCCTCTGGCTCCTCAGAATCCTCCTGGAGATGCAGTTCCCCTATGCTGGGCCTGGGCTCTGGGATCTCACCATTTCCCTTTTCCCTGCTGCTCAGCCAGGGCCCCTACTCTGGCCCCTGGGCCCAGGAGAAGGAAGGCTCTTTAGGTTCCAGATGGCTTCTTTGCCTCTGATCCCTCGTAGTCACTGGAAACTCTTTGGCCGCCAAGAACCCTCCACAACCAACCATGAAGCATCATCCCTGATGACTACCTCATGCTCCCCTCCAGCCCGGGATCAGTGCCTTTCCCTTTTCCTCTGTCTTTTCATGCCCACCTCCCCCATTAGAAGCTGTTCTAGTCTTTCAGGTCATCATGCATACAATCTGGATAGCTGCCATTATGTGAACTGTAGTGTCTGGGCTAGAGTCACCTTGAACAAAGAGCCTCTCCATGGTTGTGGATAATTGTGGACCTTTAATGTTTTCTCAAATACATGCATTGCAAAAACAGAAGACAGAAACCAAAATATATGTATGCAATACATATTACATATATAACCTATAGACATATAGAATGCGTGTGTAGTAGAATTTATTAAATAACAAAGTATAATGAGCTAATCTAATTAATGACTACATATAAAAAGTGATAGCTAATTTAGAGCAAGATGTAGAAATAGCCCAACATTTAGGTAAATCGGGCATCCTCATTAGCCCTTAACTGCTAATAATTAAGCTTAATTTTACATTGACTGTTAACTTCTCTCATTCTCAGAGCAATTTAATTTTGGCTTCTTGGAGGCTTCTGTGAGCCCCCTGAGACCTCTGGTCAGCTGGATGAGGTGTTAAACCCTGATACTTTTCCTTTCTGCGGCTTTAACTGCCACAGGGAAAGAACCTTATCTGTGATTGCTTTCTGCAAATCCCCTGGTCCCCTTTGTCTGTGCTTGCAGCCCCTACATCTTCTCCTTTTCACAGAGAAACTCAATAGAGAGAGAGATCATGCTACGTGTATGCATATTTTCCTAGGGCTGTCTTTTTTTCCAATTAAGAAAAGCATTTTCTCACCCTGACCCCTTCTTCTGGCCAAACTCTGCCACCTTTGGAGCTATATCTTGTCTAAAATCTGTTTGCTTCTAATTCTTGAGGTCATCCATTGACCTCATGTCTCTGTAATACTTTGGCTTATGTGACCTCTTCTCTGTGGAACATTGCTCTCTGTTACCAGGGTTTAGAGTTAGGGCAATGCCAAATTATGTCAGACTTAAGCTTTTTAAAATATAATGAGAACTGTGTAATGACATTTAAAAAGGAAAACGTATGGTTTCCTCATAGGGAGCTGTGACGTGGGGAATCTCTGATCTGGTAAGGGATGGACTCTCATTGAGGGGGTCTTGGGACTATCAAGTACACAGGCCACAGGCTCCCGCTCCTTTCTGCCCCAGGGGAGAAACAGAGGAGCTGCTCTTGTTGCTGTTTGCAACCTTTAAGACCCAGGTCAGGAGGGAAGCAGGGTAGGAGCTAGGAGCAAGAGAGGAGAGAGGGAGGGACAGAGGCTCAAAGCTCAGTTCAATTCAATTCGACTGAGTCCAAGTGCCAGGCTTGGTACAAAGTGCTAGAAATTCAGAGGATGACCAGCTATGTCATTTGTGGGTACAATGCAAAATGAAAATATGCGGCCCCTTGTTCAAAATTTATTAAACATTTCAAGATGATGACAACAGAGCATTAAATCAAATGCAGGTGAGAGAGGGGTAGACACATCCTAAGGTGCCCTGGGGTTCCGAGGAATACAGCGTGAAAAACACTGAACGTAAAGCCTGAGACAAGGACCTGGGTCCAGGTGATTTACCTGACCCCAGGAAGCAGGAATGAGGGAGCAGGGAGGTGAGACAGGGAGGAGGAGAAGCCAATGTACGAGTAAGCTGTTGGGGTTGTTTCTGGGCATTATGGGATTATGATCCCACCAAATCTCCTGGGAATGCCCCAGAATCTCTGCCCGAAACACTGAGAGCTGAGGCATTTCTCCATCAACTCCCAACCCCATTGGTTGAAGGATGCCCCTGGGGGTGCTAGCTTTCTTGCATTTCTTTCTTCTTCTGTTTTTTTTTCTTTTTGAGATAGGGCCTGGCTCTGTCACCCGGTTTTGAGACAGAGTCTGGCTCTGTCGCTGGAGTTTACTGGCATGATCACGCCTCAAGTGATCTTCCTGGCTCAGCCTCCTGAGTAGCTGGGACCACAGGTGGATGCCACCACGCTGGCTAATTTTTTATATATTTTTTGTAGAGACAGGGTCTCACTTTGTTGCCCAGGCTGGTCTCAAACTCCTGGGCTCAAGCGAACCTTCCATCTTGGCCTCCCAAAGTGCTGGGATTACAGGTGTGAGCCATTGCACCTGGCTCTTTCTTGCATAAATTGAACTTTCCCTACAACCATGCTATTTCCCAGGCTCCTGGAAGGTTTTGGGGCAGACGTAGAAAGACATCCAGAATGGCTCTTTGAGGTGGAACTCTTCAGTGCAAGATGAGTCGGAGCTTGCAGACAGCTGCCCTTCACAGCCGTCAGATGTGGGCCGATAGGAGGTGACACTGAGCTGAAAGGTGTCTGCTATCAAGACTTGAACAGAAAGGGCCTCTACACGTTGGAGATTTTTTTTCTGGCAGCTGGTGAGGACTGGGTCAGAGAGTGAGCAGTGGTGCTGAGGTTGTTGCCCCAGCCCCAGGAAGAGAGAGCAGGAAGTGCCTTGTCCGAACCCCCAAGCCCCTTGAAGGCCACATTCCTCCCTTCCCCTGCTCTAATAATTAGTTCCAGGTTCTTGTCCTCCTGGGGCCTAGTTATTTCCCTGCTGCAGTAATGAGGTGTGGGGTGGGGGCAGTGGGGGCCAGAACTGAGCTGATTAGACCTCCCAGGCCAGCAGCGGTTGGGCTGTCTGAAGTCGCTGCCTAAGCAGTAAAGGCACCTTCCCATTTGTCACCAGCATTAGAGCTCGCAGGATGACCTGTCCACTGCATTCTCATGCCCGGAGTTCAGGAGAACGGGTCCCGGACGGCCAATGCGGATTTCCAATTTAGAATTTCTGTCCATTTACCAGGGAATTACCCCTAAAGAACACCATTTATGGAGCTGACAAAGGCCAAATTAGATTTTGGATTCTGTAGCTGTGTGTGGGTGACAGGCTGAGGGGAATGAAACAGCAAGGAGGAAGCTGCAGACGCCACGTTTGTGCGAGGAAGCGCTCGCTCGTCCTCTCTCCGACAGCCCCTTGAGTCTTATTTCTCTGTCTGCAGTGGCCTCTGCCACTTGCTCTGTTACCCTTTCTTGGCTGCTCTCTCTTTCTGGGCCTCCCTTGGCCTGTGTCTGTCACTCTACATTCTGAGCATCCTCCCGTTGTCCCCGCACCCCCCCGCCCCCTGCCTTTGTTTCTCACGGCTGTGTTTCTTGGTCTTTAACTTCCAGACTTTTTTCTTGGGGGCTCTGCCTCATCCTCTCTCCATTTTTGGTGGCTGTTTTTTATTCAGCGGATGGAGGCCCCTGTTCTATATGATCAGAGGGCTGTGGCAGAGACAATGGGATATGTTCATCAAATCCTATTTCATTCTCTCCCTGGGTAAATTGGAAGACTACATTTCCCAGCCTGTTAAAAGGGATAATGCTTAAGTTGGGGCTCAAAAGATAAAAAGAAGCCAGCCAAGTGACGAGTGGAGGAGGTGGGAGAGGGCATTCCAGGCAGAGGGAACAGTTGGATCAAAGCTCTAAAGGGGCAACAGCTGGATGTGGGGACGGACAGAGACCAAGATGACTGGATTTGTTTGGTGGAATTGTTGATGCCAACTCATCACTCCCCTGTTGTTGCATTCCACACCCACATACTTGCCATGGCCTTACGTTAGCAGGAGCACACTTCTCCATGGTTTTAATTAGGGCTTGACCATGTGACTTGTTTTGATTAATGAGATGTTGGGAGACACCTTGAATTGTAGAAACTTGGATTGTTCCTGTGTGGTTGGGTCTGTGGTCCTGTGCTCTGCTATTGCTCAGAGAAGGAGATGTCCCAGGATGCCCCAGTGGCACATTGGTCACTGAAGAATGAGAGACATGCATAGGAGACCTGAACTCAACTGGTGGCCAGGAGCCAAGATCAGCCAAGCCCAGACTAGATGAGCAAAACCCCAGCGAACCCACAGACATGCTTGTAAGCCACTGAGTTTGGGGCATTATTGTGGCCCTGACTAAACTGACCCATGGAAGCTGAGGGAGCCTTGGGGACTGGGGATTAGGATGAGGCTGGACAGGTGGGCAGGGCCAGTTTATGCAGCATCTGTCAAGGCATGGTCGGGAGTTTGGATGGGAAGCCTTTGAAAGGTTCTACTTTCTAGGTATAGGATATGGTAGGGGTTATTGATACCATTGTATAGATGGGAGAAAACATTTTACATTCCCAGAGAACTTAAGCAAGTTGACCACTATTACAGAGACAGGAAGGTGACGGAGTGGTATCAGACCCCAAATCTGTCTGAGCCATGAAATGGTTGTCTGAATTCCTCCCCTTGCGTCAAGTCTGTTTGCCTCAGTTTTATAGTGTGACATGCTTTGATCCTGTCTCCAAGGTTTTTGGTGCTGATTGCTTCTTTCTCCTTCCTTCCCATCCTTTGCATGACTGTCCATGTGGCCAAAGGCCCTTCTGGTAACCCCTGCTCTCATAGTCCCTCGCGATCCAGCAGCACATCCCCTGCTGCCCCACTGGCCCAGAGCCCCTGGGCAGCCATCCTCTCCTGATCTCACGGGTCCTCCGGTTTCCTGGTCCCATGACATCACTGGCCAGCACAGTCCCTGGCCCTAAGCAGACTCTACACCTGCTGCCTCTCCTTGCACTCTAGGACTGCCAAGTGGTGCTGAGGATAATTATAGAGTATGGTTCCCAGGTCAGTGAAAAGATCATGGGGTTCGGCACTTACAGACTCATGTTCAAATACCAGCTCCTTAGCAGCTGCGTGACCTTGGACAAGTTACTCAATTCCTTTGAATCTCAGTATCTTTGTCTGCACATAAGGGATAATGGGGCCCCTGTCACTGGACTCTTAAGAGAATGAAGTAACTTATAGGCAGACACTCAACAGATGGGAGCTATTGTAGTTGTTGTGGGCAATGAGAATGATTTCCAACGCCACCTGGGCCCTCACTGCTCCTTGGCTGTCATTATACCCATCTCTGTCAGCCTATCACATCTCCCAGTTGCCCTCACCAAACCTTTCCACCCTCCCCCACCTCCATCCTCCTTATACCAGTCATGCTCTGCAGACAACCTCAACTTGCCCTCTACTGGGTAGATCAAAGTCATCAGATGTGGGTTCCCTAGATTTCCATCCATCTCTGTCAGTGTCCTCCCCAATCCTACCTCAGAGGGAGGGGCTCCATCCTCTTGTCACATCCTTCCACCCCTCCAGAGTGCCCTAAATCATAATGCCTTCAACTGGCTCCAAGACCCTTCTCCATCAATTAGCTTCGTACGTCTTACTTTCTTTGTTCATTTACTCATTCATTCAACATCTCTCCTCTTTCTCCAACTCTGCATTAAGCCCTCAGTCTGCATATTTGCTCACACTTTTCCCAACTGGAAAGCCCTTTAAATACTTCCTCAGCGATTGCCCCATTTTCTTCCCCATTTCCCAGCAACGCTCCTTTCCTGCTTCCTCACCGTGCTTGCTGTCCTCACCAGCTCCATTTCGGCTTCCGTCTCCACTAAACCACTCTTGTCAAGGATACCAGTGACCCACTTACCAATTCCAATGACACGTCTCGGTCCTTATCTTACTAGATCTCTTGGCAGGAGCTGACACTGTCAACTGCTTTGTTCTGCTGCCTCTCTCTTCCCCTGCTTTGAAATGTCTACTTTGTCCAGATTTCCCCCACCTCTCTTGTTAGTCCCTTTCTCTGCTTCCGGCAGCTCCCCTCAGGGTTTGGTCTTGGCCCTCTTCTTTGGAAATGACACCTAGCCATACAACATTAACTCCTGTGTGACCTCTACCTTGCCTTCCAGATCTGTGTCTTCAGCCCAGACCTAGCTTCTGTGCCCCAGGCCCATCTAGACAACTTTCCACTGGGTGCTTTGTGGGGTGCCCAGACCCACCGTCCTGCCTCCTCCTAACCTGCTCTGCCATTTGTGCTCTGTACGCAGGCTAGTGGGACAGTTCATCATATTTCTGGGGTCAGAAATCTCATCTTTGCCTCTGACATATCATCCGTTGTCGAGTTCTGTCAAGTCTACCTTCCTAAGATACCTGGCTGAGACCTCACCTCTCTCTCCTACATCTCCCAGGAACCTTCTCTGACCTCTAGAGAGGCAGGATCCCTGGCCCTTAAGCATTTGCAGTTCACTGTACTTCTCCTGGGCAGCACTTCATCACACTTGCAATTAAATAACTCATCATATATGTATTTATTTAACGTCTATCTTCCTGCCAGACTGTGGGGTCTGTGAAGGCAGGGGTTGTCTCTCTCCTGGTTATCTCTGTGTCCCTATACCTGGCATGGTAACTGATACATGTTAGGGACTCAACAAATACTTGTGGAGTGCCCAGACAGCAGTAGGGAGGAATTCTAGATTGGGAAGAGGTGGGACAAATGTCCCGGCATTAGGTGCCCACGTGGGAAAGCACAAAGTAAACCAAAGTGCACCCCTGAACCTTATTGCCTGTGCTCCCCTCCCCGCAAAGCCTCTGAAGACAGCAGCTATGGAGGCTTTTGTTCTATTGACAGGAGGCGAAGCAGCTACAAGCTCCTTAATCACCTCTTCACAAACATGGGGAAGCCTCATTAATCCCAGTGAGCAGATGATCTATTGTTCCCAGCTCAGGTCTCTGGAAAACTGGCCTTTCTCTGCAGATGCAGAATCCACCCCCACCCAACTGGGCAGGAACATTCTGTCCCCTTTTCTCATGTAGATGAACTGCTAACACTCTGTCCCCTTCTCTCGTGTAGATGAACCACTAACATTCTGTCCCCTTCTCTCGTGTAGATGAACCACTAACATTCTGTCCCCTTCTCTCATGTAGATGAACCACTAACATTCTGTCCCCTTCTCTCGTGTAGATGAACCACTAAGCCTTGGGAATTGTACCCTTGGTGGGGGTTCTTTGCCCAGGTGAGCCCTCAGTGTACACTGAGACCAGGACCAATCTTCCACAGATGGCCTCTGCTCACCTACCACATAGACAAAAACTGGAAAAGGTTTGGTCATAGCAGTGCTGCAGAGGAAAGGGGTTCTCATGTGGTAGTTGGTGTGTGTGTGTGCATGTGCATGCAATTTGGTAGTATGAGTGGTTACGTTCATCAACTCTGGAGACAGACTGGGTTAAAATCCCAGCATTGGCACTTGCCAGCTGTGTGGGCTTGGGCAAGTCATTTGTTTCCTCCATATCTCAGTTTTCTCATTTGTGAAGTAGAGATAATGATAGTATCTACTCACAGGGTTATTATGGGGACAGGTATGTTAATATATGTAAAGGCTTGGTTTCAGTCATCCTCTATCTGAACTGAAACACTTTAGAAGCTATATTCCCTCTCCTCACCCTGAACTAGGAGACCAGAGGCTTGCTATGGAAAGCATGGGGTGGAGGAGCAGGTTCTCATTGACTGCTCTTTGACCAGTGGTTTGGGGGCTCCTTAGAAGTGAGACTCAAGGAGTTCAAGACCAGCCTGGCCAACATGGTGAAACCCCATCTCTACTAAAAATACAAAATTTAGCTGGGCGTGGTGGCAGGTGCCTGTAATGCCAGCTACCTGGGAGGCTGAGGCAGGAGAATCGCTTGAACCCAGGAGGCGGAGGTTGCAGTGAGCCAAGATCGCACCACTGCACTCTAGCCTAGGGGACAAGAGCGAAACTCCACCAAAAACAAAACAAACAAAAAAAAAAAAAAAAAAAAAGGAGGTGAGACTCAGATATCCCCAGCTATGCCCTGCTGTGTAGCTGCATGTCCTGCGTAAGTGGCTGTGATTAGAGGCTGGGAACTCTGGGCTCTTATCCCGATTTTGCATCTGACTTGTGTGAACCTGGGCAATTTGCTTTCCTTCTGGGCCTCAGTTTCTCTATCTGCACAATGAAGGAGCTGGCCTAGAAAGGAGACGGATTTTATTTCATATGCCATTTCAGATCAACTGGTGGTAGCTGGAGATGTGGATGGAGAAGGATTCTGAAGCTGTGCCCAGGCTCTGTAGGAAAGAGTGTCTGTGATTGATGAGTGATATCTGCAACAGACATGGGATACAGAAGTGATGGGCAGCATTTCTTGTATTTGCCATCCCTCAGCTAGATGCTTGATTTTTAAGGGGTCCTCCTTGATCTAAAGCTGTTCAGTGTTGTGCATGTTCAGAATGAGACTCATTAACAATCCAGACATGATCTTGGCATTAGTTCCAGGAAGCCCTGCTCATTGAGCTTCAGTGTTACCTGGGTTTGAGGAGGAGAGGGGTCTTCTATAGCTCTGTCCCAAATACCTGTAAATATAGCTGGTGGTCACCATGAAGGGGTGAGAGATGTTGGCTCTAGAGAGTGGAACCTAGAAGGGGACCGGGAAGCATGTGAGGGGTGATGCCTAGCCAGGGAGGTGGTAAGGGTGGCAAGCATGATGAGATGCCATGGAGCAGCCAGGCATGGGTGGATCATCTGTGAGTTTTAAGGCCAGAGGGGGAGTAGTCAATGAGATCAAGGGAGACAATCTTACAAGTGTGCCTGGGGCAGGCTCTGCCCAGAGTAGGATCAGTGCTGGGGCTGGGACACAGGAAGCCTCTTCCCTAGGAACTACTACTTCCTATAGACTCCAGCTGAAGGCCCCGGCCATATTGGCCTCACTCCTGAGAGAACTCATGTAGAACTGGACGTAGGAAACAGGCAGGAGACAAAGGCCAAGAAGAATTGGCTGGAATCAGAAGCATTGGAAGCTCCGAAAGTGGAAGGTGATTTTCTGAGTTTCCTTGGAAACCTGAGTCCTTATACTGTTCAAGGTTGGGAGGAGGTGAGTAGCCAGGTGTGAGTAAGGGGCTCCATTCCTGGTGGTCGTGGTTTTGTTGGAGGGCATTCATAGGCCTGAGGGTTTCCCAGCCTGCAGGCAGTTTTAGAATCGGTAAAGTTCAAAAGCACAGAGCTCATCAACAATTAAGCTCATGTAACCATTTCTCTCTTTGTCAATTCATTGAAATTTAGGAGAATGAATTTTATTCTTCTTTAAATTTATTGTCTGCTAACTCAATCAAGGTTCTTTTAGCAACTTAATTGTTTCTGTATTGCTCCTAACTCAACAAAAATGTCAGAAAATGAAGTTGATAGTTTAAAAAACCTTATTCTACATCCAGCAAGTACCTTCCCTATCGTTAACAATGAGCCATTTTCTGTACTTGGCCTCTAAACACAGAACAGTCTATAGAGTTACACAGCTGCTGTCACAAATAGCTAGTCAGACAGACCTGGGTTCAAAGTTCTTCCCCTGCCCTCCACTGCTGCATGCTGGTGGTATGACCTTGGGCAAGTAACTTAGCCTACTTGCACCTGAGTTTCCTCACCTATAAAATGGGTATAATAATACAGACCTGCACAATGTCATATTGTATGATTAGTAAGGTAATTGTATGTAAACCATGCAGCAGAAGAGGGTCCAACACCTAGAATGTGCTTAAGGAATGGTAGCTATTGCAGTTTTATTATTGGAGTAAATGCATATTCACGGTAACATTTAGTTGCAGTTAAGCTTGACTTCAGTAATAAGTGCTTTAACACCTGACACAATAACATAAATACGGTAACACAGATTTACGGTAATACCGTTAGAGTCCTACACACAATAACAGAATCGTTGCATGGAAACAGTAACATACAAATGTAGTAGTGTAATTGCAATAATGTTTAGCCACAGTTACATATGCATATAATAACCTTTAGCTATACTAAGGATGATACATAACAAAGTGACAGCTACAGTATCAATATACAGTATCACACAACTATAGTAATATATATATGTTACAGTAATATATAGATGCATCAACTTAGAGTGAAAATACTTAGGGTAAGTCACAGGTAGAGTGACATTCCCTATAAGATATAGATAACTACAGAAATACATAGATCCTATAATATGGTTAAATTTTCTTATAGGAATTATAATGTGTACATCCAATAACATGTGGATAGAGTAATACACAGAGTCAGACCTGTAGGAACATTGATAAACAGCAGGCAATGTTGCTTCCAGCATTCTCTCTACAGTTGTTTTTCAGGTTACAGTTTTTCTGAGAATCTTATGAAAGCTATGGATGCTCTTCTTAGGAAAAAAAACCTTCCCAAATGCATTTATAAGTGGCAAAATTCTGTATCCGTGTAGCCCTAGCTCTGGTCTGATATTTAGTGTTCAGATGTCCCAGATTCAAATACTTGAGAATCAGAGCAAGGAGAAATAATCTCTTAAGAGATCAGACTTCTGTCCACATCCAGGCATAGTCTATTCCTGCTTACTGGACTCTGATTTGATTTGATTTTTTAGGTGACCTACTCTTCTGTACTGTTGGAGCAAAGAGGGCATCTCTTTTTGATCATGGTTTTGAGGTCCAGCTGCTCCTGCTGGCTAATCTGACTTCTGCTGAGGAGACCATCTTTGCCTGAGCAAAAGTCCTTTTTGACCAATATCCTGTAAAGCCCAAAAAAGTCAGTTCCAAACAGCCTATGCATAGGCTGGTCAGTCCTTTTGTATGGAGATGTTGGTGGCAGTTGCAACCTGGCTGGTGCTTGGGGCTGCAGTGGAAGATGAGTAATTATTTAGGGGCAGCTGGTGTTCACTAAAGTCAAACTGACAGACCACCTTCTTCATAGTTACATTCCCCTGGACTTGCTATATCAGTTAGCTATTGCTGTGTAACAAAATATACCAGAGCTTAAAAAATACACATTTATTATTGCTCATGAATTTATGGGCGAAGTGGGTGGTTCTTCTGATCTGGGATAGGCTTGGCTGGCTTTGGCTGGACATACTCATACCTCTACAGTCAACTGGCTGGTCTCAGATGACCCTGGCTGGGAGAACTGGCTCAAATAGGTGTTCTGTCCATGTATCTCTCACATCCCTCTAGCAGGCTTGTTTACAAGGCAGCATCAGGATTCTGAGAGAAAGAGAGAGAAAGAGGGAGGGAGGGAGCTGCGTGTGCAAGCCTGTTGAGGCCACAGCTTCAACTGGAGCACTGTCACTCCTGCTGCATTCTATTGATCAAAACAAGTTACGAAGTCAGCCGAGACCCAAGGGGTGAGAAAACAGACCCCAATTCCTGATGGAGGGAGCTGGAAAGTCAAATTGCAAAGGTTTTGGTACAGAGAAGAATGGAGGATTGGGGAACAACTACACCTGCTTTGCAGGGAGAGTTGCTGGGGCCTCTGCCAAGTCCTCCTTTGGATCCCTCAGCAGGGCCAAAGCTGAATCTTGGGCTGATTTCTGACCCTGCACACTTCAGACTTGGCTCCACATGGGCAGTGGGGCCCATTTTCTGGTCTCAAACCCTCATAAATCCCTCCTTCTCTTGGGTGATTGGAACATCTGACCCAAAAGGGCTTATCCACTGGCTTCTAGTGATCTGTGCCTTGCAGGATTTCTCGAAACAATGAGGTAGGCCATCACATTTCTCTACTGGGAATTTGAAATCTGGGCCCAGAGGTGATGAAGAGTCAGTGGTGGGTAGAAACTGAGAGATCATGATGAGAGAGGAGAGCAGACTCTCAGAGAGAGATACAGAAGAGAGAGACCATGTAAATACAGAAAGGAGGCAAAGGGAGAAGTGGACTGGCCCCAGGTGCTTTCCTGTTTCCAGAAAACTTGCCTGAACTTTGTTTTCTGTCCTTGAATTCAGTGAAAGCTCTGTTTCCTTATAATATGCCCCTCACTTTTGCTTAAGAAAGCCTGACGGGTTCTATTCTTTGCAACCGAACACTGTTGATTAAGGATCCCCTTTAGGGGAGAAGGCCAGACAAAGCTTCCATGGGGGACCCCAGCTTGTTGGCATCCATCCCATACATCCCAGAGCATTTTCTCTCTTGGGTCTTGCTGACAGCCCAGGCTCAAAATAATTAGCTTTCGATGTCTAGCCTCTGCCCCAAATCAGAGAGACACTTGATATTTGCAAAAGAAAGTCATTGACATTCATTCCTGAATGTCCCTGAAGCTCCACCTCAGGGAGAGAGCCACATAGTTCACCCACCACAAAGATGATTTTCCCTAAACTAGGGGTGAATGTTCTGCCTTTTACTTTTATATAGGGCTGGTTGAGAAACAGACACCTGAAAAGAATTTCTACACTTTCTTTTACACTCCTGTTGAAAACATTGTCTTCTACATGACAGCCTATGTGATACATTTCTTTAAGAATTCAGTGATAGGTAAAAGTTATGAAGAACATTTTATGAGAGAGAGGCCTCTGAAACTCAATCCTTTCTATTTTGTTTTTCATGGTTACAGGGAAGCTCACACCGAAATTTACCATTCAATCACTTGCTGACAGTTGCCAAACATGCCGATATTGATTTCATATATATATGCTACCATTGTTGCAATGAACGATCACAAACTTAATGGTTTAAAATAACACATATTTATTATTTTACAATTCTGGAGGTCAGAAGTCTAAAATTGTTCTTAAGGGCTAAAATTAAGAGGTTAGCAGAGCTGCATTCCTTCTGGAGTCTCCTTGGGAAAAATCTGCTATCTTGCCTTTTCTAGAAGCTACCTGCTTTCCTTGGCTCATGGTTCCTTCTCACGCCTTCAAAACCAACAGTATAGTATCCCTCAATCTCTTTCTATATCTGACTCTGATCCTCTTGCCTTCCTCTTGTAAGAGCAGTTATGATTATATTGAACCTACTGAGATATTCTGAGATTATTCTTTCTAAATAAAATCAACTTAATTCCATTTGCAAAGTCCCTTTTGCCATCTAAGGTAACCTAATAACAGGTTCTGGGGATTAAGATGTGGACACCATTGGGAGGGGCTATTATACAGCCTGTCACAATATGTATCTCAGCCCCCCTGTCCCATTTATGGGACAATTCTGAGGTGTGTTCTACAGCCTCACAGAGGATCCCCGGCAGGATTGAATCCCAGTTGCTCACAGCAAAACCCACTCATGAACATATCTTTATTGGTTCTCTTCCCTCCTTGTGTTCCTACTTCCTCACACACTCCTTGGGATCACCTCTGATAAATTATTTGTACCCAAAGTGTTGTTTCAGAATCTGTTTTGGAGGAAACATGAACTGAAACAAGAACCATATTAGCCTAGATTTATCGGCATATTTTCCTTTCCTTCTTTCTCTGGAGTCCTCTGAATTTTCTATTTTTAATACTTATGTAAAAAAACAGGATAATATAGAAAAGAATATGAGCTTTGGAGCCAGAAAGACATGGATTCAAATGTGAACTCAATTTCTTATGAATTGTGTCTTTTAAAGCACTACAGGTTTCTGAAGTATCTTATGCATCGTCCAAAATATTTTTTTTCCCTGACTAGCGTGGTATTAAAGTGCATTTCATGTTGCTCTTTAAAACTAATAGATAATCCATGCATATACATTCTAGTGTGCAGAATATGTGCTTCACCAGAACATAGATTTCATGATCTGCTGAGATACCAGAGGTTTCCCAGTGCATGGTGTTTAATGAGGACCTCTGGTTTTGCATTATTGAAGCCCATGTTTCCCATACACTTAAAATTATCAGAGTATCTGTTCACAGGTTTCTGATGCTTATTGGGTAGCATGGTACCCCTGTTATATGCCAGTTGGGGAAGGGTCTACGTTGCGTGCTTCTCCTCACCTGAGACTGCAGGCTGTGTCTGTGGTCCTGATGTGGACTCAAGTCCTACAGGAGCAGCTCTCTTCAGTGTGGGGTTCTCAAGATGATCCTTTGGAAGTGCAAAGAAAATATTAAAATGATGATTTATCTATTTAAAAAGACCCAAGTTCAGTGTTACTAGTATTTAATATGTGGATTGATATTGGTGTCCTGTTATATGTTGGGTAGTCATGGTACATGGAAGGGCCAACGTGTGCTGAGGGAGGAGTGGCGTTTCACAGAGCAATAAGATTAATGGTGGTATCTACCTTCATATGCCACTCCTAGCCATGGAATTTCAGTTTACATGTGGCTGATTAAGGGATTCATGGATTATGAAATTTAGTTTGACCTTAAGCAAAGTTTTAATTGCAGGATAATTTATATACAAAAAGGTATACAACTTTTAAGGGTACAAGTCAATAGATTTTCACAAAGTGAACACATCTCTTATAATCATATAATCCAGATTAGAAAGAAAGTTTCCAGCACCCCTGAAGCCACTTCTATGACGTCTTCCCATCACTACCTACCCCTCGGTAACCCTTATCCTGATTTCTAGCACCATCTATGAGTTTTACATGTTTTTGAACTTTGGATAAATGAAATCATGTGTTTGAATGACTTTTTAAATTCAACATTACACTTGTGAGGCTCATCCAATCACATTGTTTTGTAGTTTGTTCATTCTCATTGTTGCACAACATTACACTGCATGCACACATCCATTCTCCTGTTAATGAGCACTTTTGGTGTATCCACATCCTGGATATTATAAATAGTGCCACTAAGAACATTCTTATGCATGTCCTTCTATGAGAAAATGTAATTTTAACTAAAATAATCCTCACAAAATGGGAAGATGGCTTAAAAACTTCCTGCAAAAATATCATGAGTTGAAGATAATACTAATAAATGCAAGCCCATCAAACAGCCAGAAAATGGAAAGGATGATATTTCTACTCCGAATAGAAAGTTTTGGATGAATGACAATTATTTAATCATACCCAACAAGAAATTAGCAAAAAAAGGAGGAAAAATTTAAGAAGACTTTGCTATGTACATGTGACCATTCATGATAAACCTTGAGAAATTAGCTAATGAGAATGTGAAGTGTCTGCAGTTAGCATGTGTGGATGTCATTGGCTCCATGCACCAGACATTTCTGATTCTTTTTTAAAAGATTGTTTCATTTTTCAAAAATTTCAATAGGTTTTTGGGGAACAGGTGGTGTTTGGTTACATGAATAAGTCCTTTAGTGGTGATTTCTGAGATTTTGGTGCACCCATCACCTGAGCAGTGTACACTGTATCCAATGTATAGTCTTTTATCTCTTACCCCACTTCCACTTTTCCCCCCTGAGTCCCCAAAGTCCACTGTATAATTCTTATGCCTTTGCATCCGCATAGCTTAGCTCCCATGTATAAGTGAGAACATACGATGTTTGGTTTTCCATTCCTGAGTTAGTTCACTTAGAATAATGGTCTTGACATCCTGGCTAACACGGTGAAACCCCATCTCTCTAAAAATACAAAAAATTAGCTGGGCATGGTGGCAGGTGCCTGTAGTCCCAGCTACTCGGGAGGCTGAGGCAGGAGAATCGCTTGAACCAGGGAGGCGGAGGTTGCAGTGAGCCAAGATTGAGCCAGTGCACTCCAGCCTGGGTGATAGAGTGAGACTCCGTCTCAAAAAAAAAAAAAAATAATGGTCTCAAACTCCATCCAGTTTGCTTGCTACGAATGTTATTATTTCCTTCCTTTTTATGGCTGAGTAGTATTCCATTATCTATATCTATATCTATATCTATATCTATCTATATATCTCCAGGGAATATATATACCACATTTTCTCTCATTCTTTTTGATTGATTGACTTCCTGGCCTGCTTGGAGTTAAGTGTGGCCATGTGACTTGTGTTGGTCATTGAAATATGAGAAGGAGTGATGGATGTCACTTCCAGGCAGAAGCATTAACAGCCAATGTGCTGTTTATCATCTTCTCTTTTCCCTTTGCCACAAGGACTGGCAATGTTCTGGAAAGAACCTCAGTCAGTCTGGGTCCCAGAGTGAGGCTGTGCTATAGCTGACCTGTGATGTGCACGTAGCATGCAACAAGCTTCTATCGTTTTAAGCCACAGTTAGTGGGAATATTTGTTATCAGAGCAAAACCAAGTCTCTCCTAACTAATATAATAATATCCTTTAAAATGAAGCATCCGGAAAACAAAGACAAACCTCTAATATTGTTTTCCGATGATATCCAAGGTTATGTGATGCTCCCGCTGGTTCTTTACATCAGTTCTCATACTTTGTGGCAAATGTTTAGATGCCTCTTTTGAGATTTTTTTTTTTAAACAGTGAAAGATAAAAAGCCACATATCATCAAGAAAATGCTTGTTCTTCCTGCCTCAGAAAAAAATGGATGAAATAATCCACAGAACACAATCCATGGACAAACTAAAATGCATTCCCTTGTCAGCAAATGTAGTTGGAAGACGCAAAGTGAGTACTGCCAAACATGTGAAGAAACAAGTACTAGAACAAATTATGCAGTGTAGGAGATCTGCTCTACCATCAAATGAAGGCACTGATATTTCTAGCATGTCTCAGCTTATGGTATACACTGGATTTGGGTTTCAATAATGAAATACACAAAGAATTACTTTTTTATGAGATGTACTGAAGAAGATACAGTTTTAATAACCAATGACTTACTTAATGAAAACAGTTTTTTTAAATGAAAAACAATATAAATATAGCCACTGAGAGAGTGGGTGCTTAACTGAAATACATGAAGTAGTCTGGATTAAAGTTATCGAGAGTACTCCAAATGTAAAATTCATCAAAAAACTAACTGTTGAAGCAAATAAATTGAGGCGAGAAGTGTACAAAATAATGCAGATGTTATTGATGAGACTATATTATCAAAATAAGATCTTTAACATATAGTAGAATCCTTACAGTATTTTATATTGAGGATATAGAGGTTTGATTATTTTTAATGAGATATAGAAGTTTGATGGTTATCTTGTGGAAAAATACTGAAATGTGGAATTTTAAGACGTTATACATTTTTCTTTTTTTTTATTATACTTTAAGTTTTAGGGTACATGTGCACAATGTGCAGGTTTGTTACATATGTATACATGTGCCATGTTGGTGTGCTGCACCCTTTAACTTGTCATTTAACGTTAGTTATATCTCCTAATGCTATCCCTCCCTCCTTCCCCCCACCCCACAACAGGCCCCAGTGTGTGATGTTCCCCTTCCTGTGTCCATGTGTTCTCATTGTTCAATTCCCACCTGTGAGTGAGAACATGCGGTGTTTGGTTTTTTGTCTCTGCGATAGTTTGCTGAGAATGATGGTTTCCAGCTTCATCCATGTCCCTACAAAGGACATGAACTTATCATTTTTTATGGCTGCATAGTATTCCATGGTGTATATGTGCCACATTTTCTTCATCCAGTCTATCATTGTTGGACATTTGGGTTGATTCCAAGTCTTTGCTATTGTGAATAGTGCCGCAATAAACATACGTGTGCATGTGTCTTTATAGCAGCATGATTTATAATCCTTTGGGTATATACCCAGTAATGGGATGGCTGGGTCAAATGGTATTTCTAGTTCTAGATCCCTGAGGGATCGCCACACTGACTTCCACAATGGTTGCACTAGTTACAGTCCCACCAACAGTGTAAAAGTGTTCCTATTTCTCCACATCCTCTCCAGCACCTGTTGTTTCCTTTTTAATGATCGCCATTCTAACTGGTATGAGATGGTATCTCATTGTGGTTTTGATTTGCATTTCTCTGATGGCCAGTGATGATGAGCATTTTTTCATGTGTCTTTTGGCTGCATAAATGTCTTTCTTTTGAGAAGTGTCTGTTCATATCCTTCGCCCACTTGTTGATGGGGTTGTTTGTTTTTTTCATGTAAATGTGTTTGAGTTCTTTATAGATTCTGGATATTAGCCCTTTGTCAGATGAGTAGATTGCAAAAATTGTCTCCCATTCTGTAGGTTGCCTGTTTTCTTTTCTTCTTCTTCTTTTTTTTTTGATGGAGTCTTGCTCTGTCACCCAGGCTGGAGTGCAGTGGGGCGATCTCCACTCACTGCAAGCTCTGTGCCTCCCGGGTTCACACCATTCTCCTGCCTCAGCCTCCCGAGTAGCTAGGACTACAGGCGCCTGCCACCATGCCCGAGTAATTTTTTGTATTTTTGGTAGAGACAGGGTTTCACCGTGTTAGCCAGAATGATCTCAATCTCTTGACCTCATGATCCATCCGCCTCGGCCTTCCAAAGTGCTGGGATTAGAGGCGTGAGCCACCGTGCCCGGCCATACATTTTTCTTTTACAAAAAAAGAAGTGTTTTAAACTTGCTGACCATTTAAATAAATGGCTGTCAAAAGTATGCTATACAACCAAACATTAAATAAATAAATAAATAAATATACATATATATATATATATATATATATATATATATATATTTTTTTTTTTTTTTTTTTTTTTTTGAGATGTAGTCTCCCGCTGTCACCCAGGCTGGAGTGCAGTGGCGTGATCTTGGCTCACTGCAACCTCTGCCTCCCGGGTTCAAGTGATTCTCCTGCCTCAGCCTCCTGAGTAGCTGGGATTACAGGCATGCGCCATGACTCCCAGCTAATTTTTGTATTTTTAGTGCCCACGGGGCTTCACCAGTTGGCCAGGTTGGTCTCAAACTCCTAGGCTTAAGTAATCCTCCTGCCCTGACCTCCCAAAGTGCTGGGATTTACAGGTGGGAGCCACCACACCCGGCCCAAACATTTTTTAAGTGAATTTTTAAATTTTGAAATGATTTTATATTACAGAAGAGTTGAAGAGATAGTACAGAGAGTAATTGTATGCTCTGTGCCCAGTTTCCCATAATGTAACTTCTTACATAACCACGATACATTTGTGAAAACTAAGAATTAACACTGTACATTGCTATTAACAAAGCTCCAGACTCTGGATTTTACCAGATTTGCCACGAATGCCCTTTTTCTGTTCCAGGATCCAATTCAGGATACCACATTGCATTTAGGTGACAGAGATCTTGAAAGAAAAAAAAAAAAGCACACACATTTTCTCTGTCTCTCCGTGGTACATTTGACATGTGAATAATGACTCAAAGAGAAATTACTTTCTGAAAGTAACTAGTGCTATGGAGAGAGCATTTTTTTTTTTAAAACAAACGTTTGGAAATGTCATTGTTTGGTGATTTTTGTGATAGAAAATGTTGTACATATATCACCCATAGCAACTCCTATGTATGAAAACTTTAAAAACTTGGAAACAATATTTTAACCTGTTTAAAAACTTCCAAAGTGTTTCAGAACTGATTTGCTAAAAATATAAAAATATAACACCTTTTGATTAGTTTGCAAGAATCACTGATTGACATCAGGGAAGATGGAAATTTGCTTGCTGAATTTCAACAAAAAACTTTGCATAGTTGGTGGATGAGAATGTAAAATAACTATGAGTATTTAGTAAGCACAGCCAGCATTGTTGTTTTTCCATTTAGAACAATGCATCTTTGCAAGTAATCTTCCTCCCTGACACCTCCAGTAATTAAAACCAAGTATCAAAATAATCTGAATTAAGAACCAGGCCTTTGACTTGCCGTATCACACAGCTTTGCTTTTTAAAAATGAAACATTTTCAATCACATGGTTCCCATGTAATCTTTTTTAAATTTTTATTATTTATTTATTTATTTATTTATTTTGAGATGGAGTTTTTCTCTCGTCGGCCAGGCTGGAGCGCAATGGTGCAATCTCGGCTAAATGTAACCTCCGCCTCCTGGGTTCAAGCAACTCTCCTGCCTCTGCTTCCCGAGTAGCTGAGGTTACAGGCATCTGCCACCATGCCCAGCCAATTTTTGTATTTTTAGTAGAGGTGGGGTTTCACCATGTTGGCCAGCGTGATGTCGAACTCCTGACCTCAGGTGATCCACCCACTTCGGCCTCCCAAAGTACTGAGATTATAGGCGTGAGTCACCGTGCCTGGCCTTCATTTAATCTTTTAGTGAGAACAAAAGTGCTTTGAACCATTAATATTAATAACTATGTACAATAAAATGATTTAAAATATTTTATCTTTATCTTATCAATTTAAATCTAAATAATTTTAATTATGTTTTACAATACACGTAAAACATTAGTGCAGTGATACAGAAATATACTTTATAAATAAACATGCCAAATGCAAGCATGTACCCATTTTAAAAGAACTGGCAGGGGTGGCTGGAAAAAACTGTTTGGGATGTGGACACCTGTGGAGCAGGTGCCTGGTAGATGCTGAGGAGGGGAGAGCTCTGTGGATGCTTGGAGGGCTGCCTGGGGCAGGGTGGGTCAAAGCCACCAAGCTTCCATGGTATTAGTTAGACATCAAGGCTCAGTGCCAGGGAGACAGTCAGGACTGTCACGAAAGCAGAGGTCCAATCCCATTCCAGGTGTTGGGGAAGGAAAGGAGTCTAGAATTAAACTGGCAACCTCAGTGTCCAAAGACATACCCCGAGCACTCATGTGCCCACCAAGTTGCAGCCCTCCCCAATGCCTACCTCTCATAACTGGTCTGGCCTGGGGTTCCCTGTGGACCTTGGTGCCAACACCCAGTGTCTTCTCTGAGTCCTGACACTTCAGGTTGTTGCCTCTATGTTGTCTCTGCCCAGACCAGGCAAGCTCCTCTCTGCCCAGCATCCTCTCTCACATGGCCCTTCTCATTGTCTGCTGGGGGTTCTATCATGGGAGCTCACATCCTGCTTCTCTTTGCCTGGCAGACCCCCAATGTGTGGGTTGAATGGTGGTCTCTAAAAAGAAATGTCCACATCCTGCCCCCCAGAACTTGTGAACGTGACCTTATTTGGAAAAAGGGTCTTTTTACACATCATTAAGTTACAGATCTTAAGATGAGATTGATCATATTGGATTGCCCTGGACAGACTCAAAATCTGATCAATGTCTTTATAAGAGACAGAAGAAGACACAGACACACAAAGGAGGGGAGAAGGCCACGTGAAGAGGAAGGTGGAGATTGGGGTGATGCAATCATAAAGAAGGTCAACAGCCACCGGGGGCCGGGAGAGGCCTCTCATCTCCTAGAGCTTTCGGAGGGAGCACAGTCCTGCTGACACCTTGACTTCAGATTTCTTGTTTCCAGAGTGGTGACAGACTAAATATCTCTTGTAAGCCACCTAGTTTGGGGCAGTTTATTAAGACAGCCCCAGGAAATTAAAGTACACACTAACATTTTTAGCCCCAACTTGGACCACTGGGAAGCCACCTCTGGCTTCTCTAGTCTGGGGCATAGCCACTCCTTTGGGCTTCTCCCTGGCAAGTGAAGAAGGTATAAGTTCTCCTGTTAGAACGTATTTGTATGTGTTAGAAATACATCTGTCTATCTGATTCTCTCTCCCCTGAGCTAACCCAGAAAACTCTGCAGCCTCTCTGATTCCCCAAAGCTCCCAGGAGCACAACGCTGTCCCAGATGAGTGAGTTTCACTGGAGGTTTGAGGGTAATGAGAGTGGTTACACAGGCCAGCACATGACTTAAAATCAAACCCACACTCTTGAGCCTCAGCCATTCCTGGTAATGTTCACTGGCTATGTCTCATCTTCAAGCCTATCAGTTTCCACCATGTTGCTCAGACTCCTGGTCTCTCAAAGCCCTTCTTACATCTCTTCTCCTATATCTTGGGGAGACTCTCATCATCTTGGATGTCTTCAGCTGAGTTCACCAAGAAGGAGACCTGAGGTAAGGATATGAGTGCAAGTCATTTTTTTGGAGGTGCTCCCAGGAAGCATGGGTAAAGGAACAGGGAAGACAGAAGGGAAGGGGAGGGAAAGGAAAGGAAGAGAAAAAGGGGAAGAGAGGGGAAGGGAGGGAAGAGAAAGGGAAAAGGAAGGAGAAAAAGGGGAGGGGAAGGGAGGGGAGGGGAGGAGAGGGAGGAGGGGAGGGGACGGCAGGAGCCCCGACAAGCCCTGAAGAGACTTATGTTTCTTCATAAAGGAAGGGATATGGGAAGGGGTATGGGAAGGGGAAAGGATGTGGGAAGGGGAAGGAGTATGGCAAGGGGAAGGGGTGTGGGAAGGGGAAGGGAAATGGGAAGGGGAAGGAGTATGGGAAGGGGAAGGGGTGTGGGAAGGGGAAGGGAAATGGGAAGGGGAAGGAGTATGGGAAGGGGAAGGGGTGTGGGAAGGGGAAGGGAAATGGGAAGGGGAAGGAGTATGGGAAGGGAAAGGGGCGTGGGAAGGGGAAGGGGTATGGGAAGGGGAAGGGGTGTGGCAAGGGGAAGGGGTGTGGGAAGGGGAAGAGGTGTGTGAAGGGGAAGGGGTGTGGAGAGGGGAAGGGGTGTGGGGAGGTGAAGAGGTGTGTGAAGGGGAACGGGTATGGGAAGGGGAAAGGGTGTGGGAAGGGGAAGGGATGTGAGAAGGGAAAGGGGTGTGGGAAGGGGAAGGGGTGTGGGAAAGGGAAGGGGTATGGGAAGGGGAAGGAGTATGGGAAGGGAAAGGGGTGTGGGAAGGGGAAGGAAGGGGAAGGAATATGGGAAGGGGAAGGAGTATGGGAAGGGGAAGGGGCGTGGGAAGGGGAAGGGGTATGGGAAGGGGAAGGGAAGTGAGCCAATACAGAGTGCTGATGAGCCATCACTGTGGGCAACAGGGGCTCCATTTCACTGGGACATTTCACTGGGACATTTCACTGAGGTGTGGAACACACCTCAGAGTCGGCCCACCTGAGGGTCAAAGAAGCTGTGTTTAGCCTCCAACTTCCGTCTGCTATTGGCTGAAGGCTGCTCCCAGTGGCAGTGACTCCCTGGCAGGTCCAACCTGCATCTCAGGCAGGCCCTGAGAAGGCTCTCATTTGGAGGGGTTCAGAACCTCGCAGGGGCTGAGCATGGAGGGCAGGGGCACAAGGGCACCAGCAGCATCTGTCCCAGTGGAGCAGGCAGGGTTGCTATCTTGCCAAGCCTGCTGAGTCCATGCTCTTGGAGAAGGGGAGGTAATTTTCCCTCTAAAAACAGCCATCAAGGCCATCAAGGCATGTTGCTAAACAAAGAACAATCCACCCTGGAGAAAAATTATGCCTCTTTCCCAAAAGACAAAGGGTGTGTACACAGTGGTGGTTTGAAAAAAAGCAGTTGCTTCTGTATACCATGGGGTAGATACTATTATTACCCCCACTTGATAAATTAGGTAACTGAGGCCAAGGGAGGCAGAGACGGAGTAACAAAAGCCAAGATTCAAACTCTGGTCTTCCTAATGGAATAACCACACGCACTCCCAACTGCTCCATGGGGCCTGGGAGTAGGGCTTGGGTTAAGTGTACGAACGCACAAAGCTTTGCCATTTATAATCACCTCCTTCTCCCCCATCCTGTGTGCAGGGGGAATGGGGCTGCTCTTGTCGTGGCCATTTTACTGAAGAGTAACTAGAGGCATGGATAGTTTTAAGTCATGTGTCTAAGTTCCCATAGACTTGAACCAAGTCTGTCTGACAACAAGTTGTTGAAACTGCCCCCTTTAACATCCTTGAAACACAAGGTTCCAAGTGCTGATGGCTCCAGGCAAATCCGTCCCCACCATCAAAGTCTGCAGCTGCACCATAAGGGGAATCAGAGAGAGGCGTGATCTTCAGAGACAACAGGCAGGGTGCCATCCTAAGTGTCCCCACCATCACCACCCTCATTCCCATCATCCACGAGTGGCAGGCACTGCCTAGCCTTATGTTGTTGAGTACTCACTAGATTCACAGAAGGAAATAGGATCTGAAGAAGAGATGGCCATGAGCCAAGAGGAAGGGCTTAGAGCAGTGAAGAGCACAAGCTGCCTAGGTTTGAATCCCAGCTCTGCCATCTGCCAGCTGTGTGAGCTTGGGCAAAGTACTTAAATGCTCAATGCCTCAGGTTCCCCATCTATAAAACAAAGATAATGCTGTCTATCTCAAGGGTTGCTGGAAGACTAATGTATAGAGAGAAGCTAGAATGTAGGTTGTGCCATGGAATTATTAGCAATTATTAAGTTGGTATTTATGGTAGACTCCAGTCACTTTGGGAATCGTGGGGGCTAAGCAGAGAATCTGAGGTAGAAGACAGGTCATATGGAGTTAACTTGAGAGTAAGGTTGAGGGGAGAATGGTTGGGACCTCCCCAGGCACACGGTTAAGAGCAGTATAACTAATGCAGAGCTCATCCTAGTGGGACAGGCCTCCTTAAGCCCTCCTCCCCAAGGGCACCCCTGGATTGAGAACTGAACATGGATGTCCTGTGGGTGACCAGCCTCTGTAGGTAGAAGTGTAAGCATAGCCAAGAGTCGGCCTTTGGAATCTGATAGAGCCAGATTTGACTCCCAATTCTACTGCAAGTTATTTTGCCGTTACACCTGTGAAACAAGAATGGCAAAGGCTTCCTTTGAGGGTTGACGAGTAGGTGGCCCTGGTGACCACTCTCCCCTTGAAGTCCTCTCCTCTGACTGCTCCCTTTCAGACTCCAGCATGACCTCCTCTTCATGCCCCGCCTCTCAATACCAGCATCCCTGATGGTGCTGTCCTGGGCCCTCCCCCCTGCTTGGTCTCCCACCATACCTCTGAAACGGTGTCCACACCGTGTCCGCACCACAGCTTCAATTACCAACTGCAGCACAGGCCATTCGAAGTCCACCTCCCCTGCACAGACTTCCATCTCGAGCTCCAGATCCTCTTTCGAACTGTCCACTGGACATCTCCGTCTCCCAAGCAAACTCAACATATTCAAAACCAACTCATCATCTTTTTTCCAACCTGCTCCTCCCATCTCAGTAAACACCATCACCTTCCGCTGAGCCACCAGGGCTAAAACTTGCACCCCATCTTCCACCACTTCCTCTCCCTTGGCCAAAAAACTCTCTCCAATCCATCCACCACCCTAGACCAGGCCACGGTCATCTCTTGCCTCCATCTGCATCCATCCTTCATCCTGCAGCCAGAGGGATCTTCCCAAAGCACAAATGTGAACATCTCCGTGCCCACACTCTTTCATGACTCACCAGTGTCCTCAGGATCAAGGCCAAGCTTCTGAGGCTGGAGTGTGTAATTTTCACCACCTAGGTTCTGCCTCTCTTGCTGGCCTTATCTCTTACCTCCCACTACAGATACACCCTGGAGCTAGGAATTCAGCTTGGCTGCTCCTAGGATATGCCTACCCTAGCACCCTGCCAGGTAGGGCCGGATCTGAGTCATCCCTGCAACTTCTATGGCCAGCAGGGAGAATGAATAACCTGCACGGTGTCTTTCCAAGTGAGAGGGTTTATGAAGACTGGGAGGCTTGGAGGTGGTGACTGGTGGGGCAGGTGCGGGTTCTGAGGGACGTAGTCCTGGCACTTTGTCTTGAAGGAGGGAGTGCTGGCACAGGAAGGACAGGTGCTGTCAGCAAGAATGCCACCTCCCTCTTGTGACCTTTACCAAAGACATTTTCTCTGAATGTCAGGTTCATTAGACACAGGATGGGGAGTGGAGGAATTGCTCTAAGACTGAATGAGAGACAGGACAGACAGATAGACGTTACCTGGATTGTGACAAACCAGCCTATAGAGTGAGGAGACACTGTCTCTACAGGCATGTGCTCCCTCCAATTCGAGGGACAGAGCCATGCTCATCCTCCTCAGACTGAAGGTCTCTGGGTCAGGGCCATGTCTCTTCTTCAGAGTGGAGTTCCCACCACCTCCCCTCACCTCCATATTGTTCTCTGCCCCGGGGTCCCAGGGAAAACAGTACCAAGAATGGGGCCTCAGTCCATAGTGCTCATCAAATGGCCCATTAAGATGTGGTGTCCTGATTCTCAGGAGGGGCAGCTACACTTACTCCATCACCCTGCCCCTCCCTGGGACATTCAGAATAGGTCCCTGGACTTGAAGCATCTTTTCCTGCCCAACCCTATTTCTCTAGCCCAGTCCGTCATCTGAGGATCTGTGTGTCTGACTCAGAAACCCACTCTCGGTCTGCCTCATATTAGACATTAGAGAAATAGATCAGATATTTTCCCCACCCTCAAGGAGCTCTAAGTCTCATGAGGAAGACACGCAGATATACAAATATTACCAAGTGGTGGGCTCGGTGTCATGAAAGAAACAGGTCCGAGGTAGAGACATGCTGTGGAAGAGAGTCCCTGTAGGTGGAGAGTCATGAAGGGCTTCCTGTGACAAGATAACATCTGAGCTGGGCTTTGAAGGATGAATAGGAGTTTGTCACTTTGTGTGTTCTTTCTAGGAGACTTGGTTTCTGAAAACAGAATAGTCTGCTTCTGTGAGCTGTGAGCTCTCTGAAGAGCACAAGGTGACTCTGAGTCCTTGTCCTTCAGGCCACTTTCATTGCTGTGCAGCATGGTCAGGGCACTGGAGAGCAAGGAGCCCTAAGATCTCACTCCTGCTCTCTGCCTCCTGGTTTTCCTCCACAACGCTCAGCATAATTGATGGCGCAGTGAGGCATGCTGGGCACCTTCTGCTCCCAGACTAGCAGCTCTCTCCTGGTCTGCTGCCCCAGAGCTCCCAGGAAATGGGCTCCCATGCCATCGGCTAGGGTTTCATGTGTCAGTGCCAGGCACGTGTTGGGTTAGGGGGAGTCAGGGACAAGACTCAGAATAGCGGGCTTCTCCTGTCTAGGAGCTTCCAGGCTTCATGCACACATACACGTGCCACCCTCAGAACCTCATCCCCCATCCACCCCGTCTCCACCTCCCTGAAGACCTTGGTCCCCTCCTGGGGATAACTGACACCCTGACCCCACAGTTCTGCCCGGAAGCTCTGCCTCCTCTTCCTCTTCCTGCCCTCTGAGAGGCTCCTCTGCCTTCCTGGAAGCCGCCATCTCCCATCCTGAATGTGGAGCAGCTCCACCCGGCGCCTGGCTCGGCACCCTCACAGCTCCTCAGCTGCCAACTCCATCTTCACGCCTCCCAGAGGATCAGCTGTCAGCTGGTGCTGGAGATGGGGGAGACAGAGACAGGGAGAGATGCAGTGCCAGGAAGGGAGAGATGAAGAGAGGAGAGACAAAAGGAGGAAGGCAGAGACAGGGGCTGGGAAAGAAGGGCAAGAGAGAGAGTCAGAGGCCCCGTGAAGGGGAAGTGGAGAGGATAAGACAGGTAAGGGGGAGACATAGAGAAAGGGAAAGGCTGGAACAGAAGAAGGCAGCAACCCTGAAGGCGACTCATCTGCCGAAGTCCATTCCTGCCATTAGAAGTGACTGAGACACAAAAACGCGGGTTTTTACACTCTATGCAGAGAAGACAGGGAAGACATGGCCTGCAGTGCACCAGAGGAGGGGCTGGTTTCCAGGGAGGTGGGGGAGCAGGAAGAGCACTTACAGCTTAGCACACAAGCAGCACAAATACACTCGCATGCACGCACACAGTGAGAGAGATATACATATACATACGCATGCGCACACACATACAAAGATATACACACAGAGGTGCGCACACACACACATGCATGCAAACGTAGACACACACAGAGAAAACCAGAGATACACATGCACACAAGCAAACATAGACACATACACACGCATACAGCACAGACACACTCATATACATACACACATGCAAACACAGACACACACATCAACACAGACACACGGGCTCTTCAGGGGCTGAGTGGCTTAATAGCCCCACTATGGGGAGGCTCAAACCTGTCTGTGGTCTGGAATGAGGGTTCTCTTCTCCTCCACAGAGGTCACAGAGGCCAGGTCAACCCAACTTCCCACCTCCACTTTAGAGGGTGTGTCCACGCAGGATGCAGGGTATCCCTAGCCAAACAGTTTCACACTGATCCGAGTCCAAGCACCCATCATGGTGGAGCTGTCCCCAAGCTCTTTTGTGCAGAGGATAAGGAGGCACAGATAGTAAAGGGACCTACCCAGGATCCCTCAGCCTAGCTGCATGGGGCTGGCCCTGGAGCCTGGGGCACCTGATCCTTGCCTCCATCTGGCTCTGCGGCTTCAGGGATTGCAGTGGGAACTGGACAGGCTGTGGGCACAGGAGGTCTCCTGCTACTCACACCCCCCTCCCAGGAGAAACTTCTTTTCCAACCCCCAGCACAGGTCCCAGCCAAGTGGAGCCCGGACCCACTGCACCCTGAGAAGAGTGCAGCCTGGCCCTCTCTCGGCCTGTCTCAGGCCAGGTGCTCTCTAGGCTGGGTGAGGCTGTCACTGCCAGCAAGGCAGGTGAGTGGGAGGCACACCCAGTCACTCAGTCTTATCCCCTACCAGCCCGGATGAATTCTGCTCTTGGACCAGCTTTACAGGGGGTTATGAGACACTGGAAAGAGGGGACCCTCTACTGCTAGAGATGGTACAGAAGGGAAGAGGGGGCTTCGAGGTGGGAGAGAACCCAGCTGGAGGCAGGAAGATGAACAGGGTGGACCATGGAGAAACTGCACCAGAAGCCAGCCCAGAAGACTTAGAAATGCAACCTAACAAGGTCTTTCTGATGTTACCTGTGGAAGGCCCCATGCTGGGAGCTGGCGGGGAGAGATACTGATGATAACGGGCACCCATTACTGACCACCCACTGACCCAGGCGTGTATGTCATAACTCTTTTGACCATCACAATGCCTTGTGTACTGTTATTAACCCATTTCACAGGAGAGAAAACTGAGCCTCAGAGAGGTGAAGAGCCAAGCCTGAAATTCCAACCTGAGCAGCATCAAAGTCCACCTTTTTCCTTCAACACTTTTCTGTCTCCCTGTGTGCACAGAGAGACAAACAAAGAA
The DNA here is from genome assembly GCF_000001405.40 of Homo sapiens. Classification (NCBI taxonomy): domain Eukaryota; kingdom Metazoa; phylum Chordata; class Mammalia; order Primates; family Hominidae; genus Homo; species Homo sapiens. The sequence goes on from NC_000001.11 coordinate 36,695,194, forward strand.
GGAACAGATTAGAGTAGGAATTGCCCTTAAGCAGAGATTACATGTTTGTTGGGAAAAGATTTTTCATAAACTCATGTAGATGTAAGTTTAGCCTCCATGCCTGAAGCTAAGGTTACAGAAGAAGCCAAAGAGTGCAGTAGATTGTAGAATGCCAGGCTCGGAGACCACACTGCCTGGATTGAACCCTGTATCTGCTGCTTCCTGGCTGTGTGGCCTCTTCCCTGGTCCCCAAAATGGGGATAGCAAAAGCTTGTACTTGCAGATGTCTCATGAGGTTTAAACGTGGTGATTCTATAAAGTACCTAGAACAGCTCCTGGCCCATAACAAGTGCTTGATAAATGGCAGCTACTGGTGTGGCTCAGGGAGACGTTCTTCTGCTTAGCTGAGGGAGGAGGGGAACAGATGGGGAAGGGTTGGAAAGCAGGAGGGGAGACAATGGGGGAAGGAGCAGTGAGAGAGCACTGTGCACTGAGGGACCCCCCCACGACACCCCACTCCCACCACCACTCAAGTGTGGGCACATCCTGAATGCTTGGTGAGATCGGATTTGTTGTAAAAACCAATGAAGTAGCAGCTGAATTCTTCAACCCAGGTGGACTCAGAGGAAAGGGATGTGAACCAGAGACCTCAAGTCTCCCAGATCTCATAGCAATCCCAGGGAGGGAGTGGGACTTCTCCAAGACATAGAGATTGGAAAGTTCCCCCAAGTCATCACTCAAATGCAAGAACATGGAGGCACCCAGCTGGCATTTGGGTTATACAAGCTAGTGAGGTTTGTACGGTGTCAAGGCGTTGGTGTAATAATCATCTCGGCTGATACTCACTACATGCCTGTATTGTTCAAAGCATTTTACACACGTGATCTTTCTTATTTAAGCTTCAAAACAATCCTATGAGGTTGGCACCGTTATTAGTCTTGTTTTACAGATTGAAACCAGAGAGGTTAAGCAACCTGCCTAAGGTTACACAGTTAACCACCGGTGAGGCCAGGAGGCAGACCCAGAAAGTCCAGCTCCAGAGTCCATATTTTTAGCCATTACTCCTATTACTTCGTGAGGAGAACCAATGGGAGAGAGCCACACTGGGCTTCCAGGAGAGTGCCCCCCGAGCCTGCCTCATCTCAGGTCTGCAGGCATGGTCACAGCACAACGGTGATAACCCAGCCAGGAGCCCTCATATTCCTGACTCTGGGCTCAGCATCAATCAGAGGCTCCAGTGAGCTCAGGGTCTGCACCACTCCCTACTAGGCACCGATCCATGTGAAGTAACAAGTGCCAGGATTGGGGCAACAGTGCCAACCTCAGCCAAACCTGTCACAGGCCGGCAGCTCTGAACCTACCAGGCATCATCCCTCCAGCCTGAGCCACGCTCTCCACTGAACACTTGGCTGACCAAGCCTGGCCCACCTCTCTCAGCACCCCTCTCCTGGCTCCATCCCACTGCTCAGATAATGCCACCATCTGGGGCCCATCTGCAGGGAGCCTGCCTGGTTGTTAGAGAGGGGGCATCTTCCATCTGCATCCTGTGGGAGCATCTTAGGACTCCATAAATCTCAGATTGGGCAGAACAGCACCTGCCAGCAAAGGGCCAAGGCATAAAACACAATCCTCTTAGCATCCTTCTAGGGAGGACACAGGCCATGCCACTCAGGGTAACTCCAGGAAGATTTGTGCAATCAAAAAGGCAACTCGTGGTGGAAGGAGCAAGGGCTTTGGAATGGGATCCTTCATTGGAAGGGGCTTCAGGCAAGCCGATTCAGCGATCTGAGCCAGTTTCTTTATCCGTAAGATGGAGATAATATAGCACAGATGTCACTGGAACTCCATCTTAATCATTTGCATATCCTTTACACCTAGAATAGGGCATGGGAGGGCCAGGTGCAGTGGCTCACGCCTGTAATCCCAGCACTTTGGGAGGCGAGGCTGGCGGATCATGAGGTCAGGAGATCGAGAACATCCTGGCTAACACAGTGAAACCCTGTCTCTGCTAAAAATACAAAAAATTAGCTGGGTGTGGTGGCGGGCTCCTATAGTCCCAGCTACTTGGGAGGCTGAGGCAGAGAATGACATGAACCCGGCAGGCGGAGCTTGCAGTGAGCTGAGATAGTGCCACTGCACTCCAGACTGGGTAATAGAGCGAGACTCCGTCTCAAAAAAAAAAAAAAAAAAAAAATAAAAATAAAAGAATAGGGCATGGGAAAGATGTTTGTGGAATGAATGAATGCAACCAATCCGATGGCCATTCTGCCTTCATTCTTGCTAGCAGCGCCCCAATTCAGGCCAGATGACAACTGTGCCTGATGGCTCTGGAAAAGTCATGGCAACCCTGTGTCCCTTCGTGGTGACTGCTATGGGCGGGGTGGGTGGGGTGGGTGGGTGTGTGACCTAGTTCTAGCCAATGGAATACAAGGAAAAGTCTACTGGGAGTTCTGGGACAGATTTCCATCCCTGATCAAAGAAAGGAGGTGTGTGAGGAGAGCATGCTTGCTCTTGAAGCTTTCTTCCTGCTGTCAAGATTGTTAAGGAGAGTGAGGGGTTTGGTGATGAAGTAACCAACTGGCAACCACAATTGGAAAGAACAACATCATCTGAGGATGGCAGGAGAGAAAGAGAAGAGCATGGATCCTCAATGATATTATAATACACTGGGCTGCCAAATCAGCCCTGGGAACTCCTACCATGAAAGTTATAGTTAATTAACAATAAATGTCCACTAAGTTTGAGCCACTTCTAGTTCCTATGCAGACGCTTGCAGCTGTAAGCATTCCTATCTGACACAGTGACCAGTGAAGGAATGAATGAATGTCTTGTAGCCTGAACAATGCTATGCAAATGTTTGTTATTGTTGACAACATTAATACAGTAACACCTCATTTATTTAGCATTATCAGCAGTGGGCTTTGCTCAGAAGGAAAGATTCAAGATAATTGAAGTTTATCTCCTTTAGGCACCAAAGTATTATTTTGATTTTAACTGATTTTGATTTTTAAAAATCTGAAATGTATCACACTCCTATCTATCTCTCCCCTCTCTCTTTACCTCCCCCCTCCTCCTGTACATACACCCACACACAGGATGCTGACAAGAATTCATTTAACTTGGCTTGGACATGGTGCTCACCAACAAATGCACATCGCCAAAGTGAGAAGAACCTAGCAATTGCCCTGGAGCCCGCAGAGGTGGGGGTGAGGGTGGGGTGGGGTTGCTTAGTCTTGCTCTGATTTCCGGAGTCATCACCCCTTCCAGCCATGTCCCATCAAGCTGCCAACTGTCACAGAATGACTGCCTCTTAGAACTCTCCCCAGCTTGGACAGATTTCTCAGTCCTGAGCTGTAAAGCCAGACCACCATCCTTGCTATACTTGTGTGCAAAATGGATTCTTGCAGCAAGCTCTGACCAAGGGACTGCCCTAAGGTGTCCAGGTGAGGAAGGCCAGGCTTCCACCCCAAAGAAGGGATCGTTCATTTACTCAACAAATAGTTACCGAGCACGTATTCATTGAGGCAATAGAGACGACGAATGCAAGCTTTGGAGCCAAAGACCTGAGTTTAAATCTTGCTCCTGCTATTTACAAGCGGTGTGAACCCGGGCAGGTGACATCCCCTCCCCAAGCCACAGTTACGCTTATCCATATAATGGAACTAAAAATAACCCTTCCACATAGGAATGAGACTAGGAATAAATAAGTTACTGTGTCTAATGCCCTTAGAACAGCGACTTTTATTTGTAAAAGTAAAACAAATGTAAGCTATTGTCACCATTTTTACTATGCACTGGGCTTTTTTTCTGTGGACCAGAGCAACAATGGTTAACAAGAATGGCATGGCCTCTGCCCCAGGAAAGTAACAGTTAATCAAGCTTCTACTGACAGGAGGCAAGATCCCAGTGAGATAGAGACTCAGCCAAAGGAGAAACTGGATGTGAATGATATTAAGGAGAAACATGTCTCTTCAGGGCTTGTTGGGGCTCCCGGATTTCCTACCATATGTGGGATGCTTGCGGGGACCGTTTTACTCAAATATTACATGAAGGGTGAGCCTTAGGACCGGATCATGTAGGGACATCTGGTGCCTGGCAACTTGAGTTTATGTGTGGGAGGCACCTAGCACAGTGCTTGGCTAGGCTCCTTCCGAGAAAGGAGGTTTTCTGTGCAAAGCCAGGCACTCACAAGGGAACGGACGCTTGGCCTCGGAGAGCTGAATTTGAAGCAGCTGAGCTAATCTGCCAGGTCTCTGGGAGCCCTCTCCACTCCTCACTCTCTCCTTTGTTAAGCAGAAAATGCCAGTGCAGACTGCTGTTCCTCTGGCTATCCTTCTGGATGTTCTTTCTAGAACATTCAAATCTCAGATACTGGGGGCACTTGATTTCTAATGTGTGGCCAGGCATACACAGTCATAGATAAGACTGTGAACCAAAGTTGCTAAGTGATCAGTAGGCAACCATTTTTGGCTCTCCCTTTTGTGTTATAGCTGCAGTATTTTCCTTTCTGCCTCAGGGCCCTTGCACATGGTGCTCAGAATGTCATTCCCCCAACACCTCTCTTCTTTGCCTACTCCTGCCCATCCTTCAGATCTCAGCCCAGGCATAGCTTACTAAGGAAAACCATCCTGGATGCCAGGTTCCTTTCTTACAGAACTGTGTATTTTCCTCCAAATCTCAATCTATGCGATTATGTGAATAGTAATAGCGTCTGTAAGCCAGAAAGCACCATGAGGCAGGGATTGTGCCTGAGTTTTTTCTGCACTGTACTGCCGGCATCAGCACAGCTGGCCAGAGGAGGTGCTCACCAGATATTTGCTGAAGAAATAAATGAAGGTGTTCTTAGTCCCTGGGTAAAGGGATGAACTTGGTCCCCATCTATGGGTTCCAGGGCTAATGAGGCCCCTTAATGGCCATCTTGCCATTGTCCGGCCTCCAGGGGAGCCATTCTCCTGCTTAAATTGTGAATGATCCCCAGCCCTGGCACAACTTTTCCCACTGTGTGACTGGGCAACATTACTTGTGTGGGGATGCCAGTATGCATTCCATGACCAAGGGTCACATGGGATGTACGTTTGGAAAATCAGAAGGTAAATTCCTTCCCTCCTTCCCTCCTTTCCTTCCTTCCTTCCTTCCTTCCTTCCTTCCTTCCTTCCTTCCTTCCTTCCTTCTGTCCTTCCTTCCCTCCTTCCTTTTTACTTCCTTCCTTCCCTCCCTCCCTCCCTTCCTTTTTTCCTTCTTTCCTTCTTTTTTCCTTCCTTCCTTCCCTCCCTCCCTCCCTTCCTTCCTTTTTTCCTTCCTTCCCTCCCTCCCTCCCTTCCTTTTTTCCTTCTTTCCTTCTTTTTTCCTTCCTTCCTTCCCTCCCTCCCTCCCTTCCTTCCTTTTTTCCTTCCTTCCCTCCCTCCCTCCCTCCCTTCCTTCCTTCCTTCTTTCCCTCTTTGTCTCTTGTCTTGTCTTTTCTTTTCCTCTTCTCTTCTTTTCTTTTCTTTTCTTTCTCCTGTAGTGTTTGTCTGGCCTTTTAAATGCTAATGAACACAGTGCGTCTCCAGGAGGAAGGGTCTCCTCTGCAGCAGGCCCTGTGTATTTCACCCTGGGATTTATTGATTTCGCATAGGAAACTTGGGATTTAAGGTTAGAGGTAATTTTGGAGGAAATGTTGGCCTACAAAGTCCAAGTTTTTTAGCCTCATGCTTAAGGTCCCTAAAGACTTGGGCCCTGCACCATTCCATGCCCTTTACATTTACTCTTTGCTCCAGCTGCCCAATGAAGCACAGTTTCCCAATTACTGTGCTCTCTTGTGCCTCCATTCCCTCTGTCAGGGCAAAGGGAACCCTGTTGCCCGCTGGCTGAACTCCTATTCATCCCTCAAGGCCAAGACCAAGTATCACCTCCTCTGTGAAGCTCTCCCTGGCCTTCCTCTGTGTTCCCAGAGTCGCCAGGAGGTTTTTCTACCAGAACATGACCAGAATCTACTGTAAGGAACTGCTGACATATCTGTTCTCCCTTTAAAGTTCCCAGTGTCAAGGTCAAGGCCACATCTTATGGCCGTGTCCCCAGTGACCGATATAGGACCTGCATGTTTATTTGCATAATGTTTATTTGCTGAATAAGGGCATGAAGGAGAGTTAAAATGGAAATGTTTTTTCAGTCTTAAAAACAGTAGCAAGAGGGATGGCCTAGCCTCAAAGAGTACATAAAAGGTCAAAGAATGGGGTGAAAATGGGGATGAGGTGAGGCTCAGTGGGTGCTGCACATAGTATCTGCCTTAATGAAGGTCATAGGCCAGACTCCACTGGCCACTTCTAGGTCCTCCCCTCACAGAGCCTCTAATGGACATTGAACAGAGCTGTCCACTCTTTCCTTCCTGACATATTGACTCCTCTGGGCCTCTAGGATACCACATTCCAGCTCACTGGTACCCCCCCGACCTTGGATCTCCAAATGTTGGAGGGCCCAGGGGCTCAGTCCCTGACCTTTTTTCTGTATTCATTCCCTCTCAAGTGATATCATGGAATCCACTGGCTTTACCTGTCATCTCTCTGTGGATATCGCCTGTCTTGCCCTCGCCACTGAGATCCAGATGCATTTACCCAGCTATCGATCCAAAAGCTCTACTTGGGTGACTAATAGGCACCTGAACTTAACAAGACCAAAGCAGGATCTTTGATTATCCCCTCCCTGAAATGTGTTTCTTCTCTGGTCTTTCCATTTCAGAAAACGGCATCATTACTCACTTAGTCGCTCAAGCCAAAAACCCTTCAGCAGGTTAATCCATCAGTCAGGCCTGCAAGCTGTATTCCTAAACATAGCCTCAATCTACCCCTTTCTGGCCATCTTTGCTATCATGCCACTGTCATCTCTCATCTGGACCACTGCAACAGCATCCAAACTGGTCCCTGTTTCCTTACTTTCCTCCGTAATGCTTCCCATTGCCACAGACCACAGGGATTTGGAAAGAGTGGGGGCTTCAAAGTCAGAAAAACCTGGGTTCATATCCTGGTTCTACCATGTATTATCTGCGTGACCTCGAAGAATTGACTTACCTTCTCTGAGCTTCAGTTTCCCATTCGTAGAATAAGGATTAAAGCAACTAACTTGCTTTGGTGATGAGGTGTCCATGGGGTCTTCTCTTCTACAGTTGAAATAATGAAATGGGGCTGAATTTGAATTTACTAGGAAAACACAAAATCAGACTAAACATTATGGGAGAATTGCATTGGGAAATATGCACGTGGTAAGTCTTGTGACCATCATAATTGTACCTATTATGTGTCATGCCCTGGCTCAGGTGATGCACATATACTAATGTTTGCTTTTTAAAACAACCCCATGAGACACACCCATGTGGGAGACTCAGAGTAGTTAAGTAATTTGTCCAAAGGCACACAGCTTGCAAATAGGAGGGCCAAATTTTGCACCCTGGTTCCCTGACGCTGGAGAAGCCCGTGCTTTCACTTTGTATGGTTAGATCAGATGAGATCAGGCACATTCAGGTGGTGTGACTGTAGCCTGCATGGCTAGATCAACGTACAATACAGCCTCACCCACGTGGAGGCAGAGAGCCCCTGACTTGGAGTTGGACTTGGGCTTGAGTTTAGGCTCCGCTGTTTGTAAAAAATACGCCTCAGCCAAGCCACTAAATCTCTCATAATATCTATTTCCTTGTGAGAGAAAAAAAAAGTGTCAATACAACAGTATTACCATATTGGAAGGTGCGTTTGTCCGTTTTGTGTCACTATAAAGGAATACCCAAGACGGGATAATTTATAGAGCAAAGAGGTTTGTTTGGCTCATGGTTCTGCACTCTGTACAATCATGGCGCCCGCATCATCTTCTGGTGAGGCCTCAGGAAGCTTTTACTCATGGCAGAAGGTGAAGGCGGAGCAAGTGCGTTGGCTGGCCAGGGAGGGTGCAAGAGAAAGAGGAGGAGGTGCCAGGCTCTTCTTAACAATCAGATCTCGCGATAACTAACAGAGTGAGAACTCACTCGTTAGTGTGGGAGGGCGCCAGGCCACTCATGAGGAATCTACCCCCGTGACTCAAACATCTCCCACTAGGCCCCCACCTCCAGCATTGGGAGTCACATTTCCACATGAGATTTGGAGGGAACACACATCCCAACTGTCTCAGGTGGTGTGAAATCAAATGCACTATTATGTGCTAAAGTATCCTGGAAACTATAAACACATAAATGGTTCTTTCCTCGCATAGTATTTATGGAAAATATGAGCCCAGAGAGGCTGCGCTGCTCTTTGGGGCTCAATCCTACTTCTTCGTCGGCTCTTTTACATCCCGAATTACTATGCTGTCCCCATAGTTCCTCTTGTTTTATTGACTTAGTTTCTCTATTAAACTCTCCAGGCTCTCTCCTCCGGTCTCCGTCTTTCTCTCCCACTGCTCCAGCCTCCTGGGAACCCTGCCTAGAGTCCACACTTGGAAGAAAATATCTGCAGCAGCAACTCCCATTGTACATTATGAGTATTCGCACCCCTAGGGAAGACAAGAGTGTTTTTAACCCACATGTAATAGTAAAGATTTTCTCGAGTTCCCATTTCCGGAGATACATTTTTTTACCTGGGACTGGAGTTGGGAGAGGCTGCTACTCTTCGGACCTGCGGCTTCTTCTGCTTCCTGATTCGAGTCCCTGTGATAAAAGGCCCCAACCCATGAGGGGCGGGAGGAGTTGAGCGCAGCGATGCCTGTGGCCAGTTGGGGGCAGCAGAGGGCAGCAGAGCAGGAATCACGAGGTGCTGGCAAAGAGGGCGGGTGGTGCTGCAGCTGCAGTGAGAGGCCCTGGGTGGAACGCGTGGCCACTGGGTCTGCTCTGCCCCAGATCTCCAGGCCACACTTTCTGGACTGGCCTGGATTAGACAGCAAAGACGTGGGAACTGCTTCCAGAAGGCCAGTGGAGAGAACATGTCGGTAACAGTGTGACAACATGGTGGTTCCAAGTGACAGACTCAATTTGAACCAGACAAGGCAAAAAGAAGACTATGGCTCACGGAGCCCGGGTTTCAGGGACAGTTGCAACCAGGAACTCCAATGCTATCAGGACCATCTCCCTCCTCTCTCCGTGTTGGATTTATCCTTTCCGCCTGCAGATTTGTTCCTTCCAGGGACCGGAACCACTGCCACCAGCAACTTTTGGCTCAGATGTTCTGTGATCTGTTGTTTTCCCTCAGTTCTGATGGGACAAACCTCAGGGGAGGACCTTCCATAGTCTCAGCGTAGTGCAGTCATGCTCTCCCCTGTGGCTGGGGGTGGCGTCCTCTGACTGGCAGCCAGGGCTGCATCCGGAGCACTCTCCAGGTGAAGGGCTCTCTCTGTGGAGGAATAGATGGGCGCCATTCACATCAACACAGCCTGCGGCGGTGTCCAACACCTTCCCTTCGGCACAACGGCACCAGCCTATGTCTCTGATTTGTGAACTGACTTTCAGAAATCAGGGTGGCAACTTCACCCACCCCTACTCTTCCTGAAATGAAGGGACAGTGTCCTAGGAGGACCGCAGCGTGTCTCTCCATCTTTTTTTGTTTGTTTGTTTTTTGAGACGGAGTCTCTCTCTGTCACCCAGGCTGGAGTGCAGTGGTGCCATCTCGGCTCACTGCAACTTCTGCCTCCCGGGTTCAAGCGATTCTCCTGCCTCAGCCTCCTGAGTAGCTGGGATGACAGGCGCGCGCCTCCACGCCCGGCTAATTTTTGGATTTTTAGTGGAGACAGGATTTCACCATGTTGGCCAGGCGTTTCTCCTGACCTCAGGTGATCTGCCCGTCTCGGCCTCCCAAAATGCTGGGATTACAGGCATGAGCCACCGCGTCTGGCTGTGCCTCTCCATCTTAAATTCACCTCTCTGCCGGTTGCCTTGGTGAAAGTGGATTCAAGGAAGGGGTCATCATGAGAGAGTGCCTGAGCTGAAGGGCAGGAGAGGAGAGGAGGGGTCTGAGCACCTCAGCGAGGCCTCAATTAGGATCAGCAAATAAGAGATTGTTGCAAATGTTCTGCAAGATGCATTGTATAGAGCGATTCACTGTGTGCCTGACATTTCCTGATAGCCCTGAAAGCTAAGCAGGGGCTGCTTAGCATTGCAATAAATGTCACCACCTGAACATTATTAGTGGTGTCTTCTGACCTGCCGGGTTATCTGGTGAGTCAAAGATGACGGGGTCGGGGGGGGGGATCTGTGGAGATTTTAGGAGATCCGAGTAGTGTCCTGGAGCCCCCAGAGGAGGAGGCAACAAAGGATGGGGAGAGTGGTGCCACACACATCTGGGTGCAGGATCTGCTACGAGTCTGGTGGTTGGGGAGGCGTGGGGAGACAGGACTGAGGGACCTGGCCAGAACTTCGGGCAGCTTTTACCCAGATTCCTTACATGTGTAAAGCATTCAAATGCACCACCTTGTTTGACCCTACCAGCCTTTGGTTCCATTTTACTGTTGAGGAGACTGAGAGAGAGAGAGAGAGAGAGACAAAGACTTGTTTAGAAATCCCAAAGTCAGTCAGCAGAGTTAGGACTGGGACTCAGGTTTCCTGGTGCCCAAACCAGGCCACTCTTTGTTCTCTGGAGGGTGGAACAGAGGCAGCTGGAACAGGAAAAAAAAGAAGGCAGCTGCTGGGACACAAGCATAGACATCTGGGGATGGAGGTCATCCAGCAGGCGGCACCCGGGTCCAGGCCTTGCAGCACACTGCAGGGTGCGCAGGGGAGCTCTGTAAAGTGAGTCCCTGGGGCTGCCACACTGAGAATTCCCCATTGCTGAATGCCCTTGGAGCAAATGGGTGTGTATTGACTTTTCCTGCGGATGATTGCATCCTGCCTTTGGGCACCTTCTGCACACCCAGGTCTATCTCCTGAGCTCCAATCTACATCTGCATCTGGAACATCCCCATTAGAAAGCCCGCAGGCAGCTCACACTCCCTACCTCTCAACCTGTCCACTCTTCCTCCATTCCCCCAAACTGCCCCTTCTCTGGGGTCTGCCCTCTCTGTGAAAGGCATCTCCCCCAAATCATTCAAGTCAGAAATCTGAGCATTGCCCTCAAGCTCCACTCCCCGTCTGCCCTAAATCCAGTTAATCATCAAGTCTCCTGGATTCCTCTTCCTTAATATCACTCAAATACACCCTGGCACAGGTCCCATCCTGTGCCAGGTAAGCCAGACCATGGAAGCTGGAAGGGCTTCTCCAAGCAAACTTCTTCCCAGGAGATGGCAGGGGTCTCCACTTGCCGGTGCTGAGGTTGAGGCACGAGGAGAGATGCACCCACTGGGGAGGGGGCAGCAGACTTGGCATCCTTTGATGAGGGAAAGTGAGCACGGAACAGAACTGTTGACAGACTCCAGGCTGCTATATTGGGAAGATTTGACAACACACACAAGGAGAGAGTGAGGGTGCGTTGATGGCTGGTGAGAGGCGCGGGGGCCAGCTGGGGACGTGCTGCCACCACCCACGCAGGAGGAAGTTGGGAACAGATTGCTTGGGACCTATGCCAGCCTCCTGAAGAGCCATCCACTTCCTTCCCTCTCTCCTGGCTCTGGCACCTGCCGAGCAATCGGGGAAGGGGCTGCCTGGTTGTAGCCAGTCTGGCCAGCGACATGGGCTGTGAGGGTGTGTGCTGGGATGAGAATCTAGCTTTGCACGGAGGAGCCTCTGCCATTTGGCCTGATTCCCCCACCCCATCCCTTCCCATCCAACATCAGTCTGCATCTTTCTATTCCCATCCTGTCTCTCTCCCTTTCCTATCTCCCACCCGTATTTATCAGTACAGGACATTTCTTCAAGTTTTGTTTGTTCCTGTCTTACCTTGAGTGGACGAGGAAACAAGAGAGTGAATTTTATTTATTTTAGTGTTTGGGGTGATAATTAATCATACTCTGACTCGCCTCCCCGTCCCCCAGCTGATTAGGGACCAACTAAACAATTACATAGGAATGGGGCAGATGGAGTTCAAAGTATCAACTTTACCATTAATACTATCAATACCAGTTAATACTATCTAGAACCATCTGTGCAGTGAGAGGGGATTCCTGGCTACAGTCATGGAGAATGTGGCTTGGAAGTGTGGTCATAACTGGGCCTCCAAGACCTCCTTCTCCACACTTAGCATCCAGAAACAAGCAGAACTGGACAACAGCAGGTCTCTCCCAGGGGGTAGTCTCAGGGGCCAATCCACCTTGCACGTTCCTTCTCCCCAGTCTCCCATCAGATGAATCATTCCCTATTGCGTCAATAGGGATCTTTCTACTTCAATACCCCTGGACACATGTAGGATTGCATTTCCTGACCCCACAAGGTTGAGCAAGACCTGGCTGTAAAGTAAAAATGTAAATGATTTCTAAGTATTAGTATCTTCCTCCCTGCCCAGATGATATAGAGAAGTTGAGAGAACAGTGATTAGACTCCCACATCACTGACTAGGAAATAAGAAAATGAGAAATAGCCTCCTTTGAAAGGGCTAGAAGTGAGAGTTCAATTCATTGAACACGTGCTGGTGGCTTGGAGAGAATTGAAACTGGCCATCTTTAATTCCTCTGATTTTAATTTATTTATTTTAGGGACTGTTCTGCAACACCACTTCATTTATTCCCACCCTATCTCCTGGAGTCCTCTGAAATGGGATCTCTATTCTCACTGGACCAGCTCTGTCTCCTAGGGCAGGGAGTGTGGGGAAGATAATAGATTCTAAGAGACTGGCAAGTTTCTGCCCTTCCTCCATCTTCTCTTCCCCTCTGTGAAGAGCATTAGGAGTACATCTGTGAGGGACCCAGCACGTGGGATGGGCTGAACTTGTCTTGTTGGCCCCCCATCTTCCTGCCTGGGTCCCCTTTGGCTCTCCCTGCCTCAACTCTCTCATTGTCGCCTGGCCTCCTTCTCAGTTCTCCCCATCACATGCCCACCCGGCTTCCTGACCTGGCTGGAATCTGAGTATGTTCACAATGACCTATTCTCTGGAAAACTGCTGGTGCTGGTGAGGTCGGTGATCACCTGCTTCGTAAGCTTTTTTTTTTTTTTTTTTTTTTTTTTTTTGGAGAGGAGTGCAATGGCGCGATCTTGGCTCACTGCAACCTCAGCCTCCCGGGTTCAAGCGATTCTCCTGCCTCAGCCTCCTGAGTAGCTGGGATTATAGGCACCCACCACCATGCCTGGCTAATTTTTGTATTTTTAGTAGAGACAGGGTTTCACCATGTTGGCCAGGCTGGTCTTAAACTCCTGACCTCAAGTGATTCGCCTGCTTCGGTCCTCCCAAAGTGCTAGGATTACAGGTGTGAGCCACCACGCGTGGCCAGCCAGGCACTTTTGTCCCTCATGCCTCTCAGTGACAAGGGGTCTTAACTGCCATTCAGAGACCTGGGACAAAGTCCAGCGATGAACGAGTTCCTGGGAGGAAGGACTTGAGCAGAACTTGTTGATGGCATGTGTGTTGGGGGTGGGGCCACAATCTGTGAAGACCCCTAAGCTGACCAGTTAATAGTATCTAGAACCACCCGGGCAGTGAGAGGGGATTCCTGGACTTAGGGTATTAGAGTCAGATGTCTGACCATGTTTTGACTCTGACAGTTAGTAACCGTATGACCTTGGGCAAGCCCGTTCACCTTGTGGGGCGTCATTGTCCCATTGTGCAATGGGTGCCTGTGGCCCAAGTGACTCCCTGCAGGGTCCACCGATGAGAGCATGGCTGAGAGGAGCCCTGGAGCGCCAGATGCTCTGCAATTGCCATTGACACTAGGGACTGGCAATTCTCACCAGTCATCACCTCTGACATTCTGGAAGACAGCCGAGTCAGGTACCCAGGGCAAGGACAGGGCTTCTATCTGGGGCACCCTGGAGGACTTTGTGGAAGAAGCCTACCTGCTGGTTGGGCCCGGAGGAGGGTCAGGATTTCAACAAGCAGAGACAGAGGCATTTCATGCCAGGGGTAAGGCTCATGTGGAGGTTGGCAGGCTGAGGGGGCGCTACCTAGAGGTGGGCATTGAGGCATGTGGGTTGATGTATGAGGTTCCTTGGAAGAGCAGATTTGCAGAAATTCTGGCATCTCAGGCCAGGGAGGCTGGAGAGCTCAATGTGGCCAACTCATTGTTTTCACAGATGAACAAACCAAGACTCAGAGAGGGGCAGGGGCATTAGTGCTCCACAGCGAATTGGACAGCTCAGAACTGGGATCCATGGCTCCCGATTCCTCCAATTCCAGAGGCCTCGAATGCCCAGCTAAAGCACTGGATTTGATCCTGCTGCCCCTGGGAAGGATTGGATGCCTTCTGAGTGGGGAGGCATTGCTGAGAGACAATAGTGGACAGATGGGTTGTCTTTGCCTCGTGTCTTGTTGCCCCTGGGTGAGCACGGGCCCTTTCGGCCTATGACACAGACATCCCGGGGTCTGCTCGGTGTTGTGCCCTCCTCAAGTCTGGATACTGAGGTGAACCGTGGGCCCGCCTCTAGATTGGATGTCCCCAGTCCTGGCTGCATGTCAGAGTCACCGGAGAGCAGAACAAAAGAAAGATGCCCAGCCCAGCTCAGGGCTGTGAAACCCACTCTCTACAGGCGACTCCCTCCGGGCCAGCCTGGTCCTCAGGGTTCCATGAGGAGATCACAAAGTCCTCCTGGAGGAGGAGTCTGAGAAGAACATGCTGGAAGTGTGACTTGTTATAGCTGTATTTGAGGAAGCACATGACGAGGGCAGGGATGGGCCACGTGTGTCAAACACCCCAGCCCAGACCTGCTGAGCTGCACATTTCCATCCCATCCCATGCCCTGTCGGAGGCTCCTCACCCTTCGGCAGATTCTAATGATACAGCAGGCCCTGCCATCTCCATCTGCCATGAATTGCTAACTATTGCTGCCTCTGTTATAGTCATTAGCAACTCAACATTAATATCCCCCACGTCCATCACTGCAGTGATTAGGATCCTGGACTTGCGGGGTGCCTCACTGGCGGGGGGGTGTGAGCTGGATCCCCAGGGCCTGGCTGCCCTGCCCTGAGTGGGTGGGGAAGGAAGGGGACAGGCCAGCTTGTTAAATCTAATTACCTGGCTCCAGACAGCCGGCCCGAGCTCTTCTGAGAGCCGGCTCTGCCCACCGTGTAATCCTCTGCCTGCCTCTCCGCCATAACGAGCCGGCCCGCCACCAGCTGCCACGCGGCTAGATGGGGCTGAGTTTAATTGCTACCCCAAATGTCAGCCCTTTCAAACCCACAGTATTTCATCACTTACCTTTAAAGAAGAGGGGAAAAAAATCAATTTGGATCGTGAGTTTTGGCAGCAAAGCCTGCAGAAAGGGCTGCCCAGTTCTTCAGGGGAGCGGCTCTTTTCATTAAAATAGCTATTTTTAAAACTCTCTCTCTCCCTCTCTCTCTCTCTTTAACACGAGATGAAAAATCCCAGCTACAAGAAGAAACCCTTTCATGAAGGAATAATAATATAAAAAAAGAGTGTAAAAAAGCCCACTTCTAAAATGGGTCCCCTTTTTTTTAACCTCTCAAAGGTTAAAAAAAGAAAAGAAAATGGTTTTATTCTCAAAGGGCTTTCACACGTGTGATCTCGTCTCAACCTCACGGAAGCTTGGAGTGCTGGGGGAGGGCAGGTGTCATTGTCCCCATTTTACAGATGAAGGAATGAGGCCCCAAGATGAAGGAATAAAGGCTCTGCTGCGGGGAGGGTGGTCATGCATCTATTTAGGGTGCAGGAAAAAGAATCCCCATTTTCTACTTTCCTGACTGGACTCTTCTTATGGGACCACGTGTCCTGTCCCCAGATACACCCACATGCCAAATTCAAGCTATTTACCTACTAGTCAGAAAGTAGAAAAAGGGGACACTAAAAAAAAAAACAACAACAAAAACAACCCACAGAGACTCGTTGGAGTTTAACACTCATTTAACTCTCCGTGAGATCACAGCCATCCTTTCTTCCCTGGGGAGAATTTTCTTCCCCATTCCTTTAGAAGAAAGGAACGTAATTCTTTTGGAGATTACATTCCCTGTAAACTGGTTTCTTAAGCTCCCGCCTGAGGAAGTGTTCCAAAGTCTGCAGACTAATTAACCCCA
The DNA here is from genome assembly GCF_000001405.40 of Homo sapiens. Lineage (NCBI taxonomy): Eukaryota > Metazoa > Chordata > Mammalia > Primates > Hominidae > Homo > Homo sapiens. Next base: position 36,711,207 of record NC_000001.11, read on the forward strand.
TTGTTCAGAATTAATCACCTCAGGAATATTTGGAGTCAACAAGAAATGTATCAATTGGGCTCTTAATAAACCTAATGAAACGACTCAACATAAAGGCATATGAAATAGACTTTTAAAACATTAGCATAAACCACCAGCCTCTCAGAGCTCTCGGCAGCACAATCAATCTTAATTGACACTTTATTAGCACCAAGAATTGCTATCAACTTGGCAGGTCCCCCCATATTGCCTGCTGAAATAATAGATGAAGTGTTTTTTCTTTCTTTATTTTTTTTTAAAGAAAGGAAAAAAGAGAAAAGTGGCTTGCAGATTTTGGTGAATGAAGACAGAGGAGAAAGTGAATCAGAGTCGTAGGGTAGAATGGAAGTGACTGGGTCCACAGCTTCTCCCTGGCTCACTGGGAGTCCACTGGAGGCAGGGGTTTCAGTCACCATATCCTGCAGGGTTAAGGAACTGTCATTGACACATAGCAGGAAGCTGCCCCAATTGTCTGCTTGACTGTGTTTACCAGGAGAGGCATAGCTGGAGTATTTGGGGGCAGGGTGGGGCGCAGGGAGTCTGGGCCCAGATGGAAATGAGAGAAACAGAAAGCTGTGAGAAGGAGCTTGGAATTGTTTTTGCATTTTTGCTTCTACTGGGATGAAACACTTGCTCCCAAAGGTTGGGGACTGTTTCTAATCCTGTATTCTCCGGTCCCTCTTAATTTCTAATATTTCTGTCCTAAGCTTGGAATAAATGTCAGAGGAGCCCAAATTCTCTCTAGCAATCTCAAGTCAACCATGAGCCGGGAGATAAAATCCCCTGGGGTTTTATTTCAAGGGACTTCACACCATTTGGTTGTCTGTCCTGGGTGTCTATGACTACTGTCCTGGGTGACTATGTCCTGGGTGTCTATGTCTATGACACGGCCATCTTCTCCCTTCCCTTCCTCCTCTTTCTTCTCCTTCCCTTCCTCCTTCTGTGATTCTTAGGGACACAGTTTTAGGGCTTAGCTCAGCTGGGCAAGGTGGCCCCACACTTTATGGTGTGAGTCCTGCTTGCTTGGAGCAGCTTGGGAGGAAGAAGGCTTAGGAGGAACATGGCACTGGCCGCCGCAGAGCATGAAGCCCAGGGACAGAGAGTCTGGGAAGTGTAGAGGAGGCAGCTCGTGTTTGATTTAAGACCGACAGGACAGGCTGGCAGGTCTGGTTTCATGCCCCCAACTTGGATTAGAGTTCTGCCTGTGCAGCTATTACTAATATAACACAGGCTCTGGGGCCAGTCTGCATAGATTTGAATCCTGGCTCTGCTGTTTCTTAGCTGTGTAACTTTGTGTGCCTCAGTAATTTCATCTGTAAAATGGGATGATAATAGTATTAGCTTCTGAAAGCATTGTTAGAAAGATTAAGTAAATACTGTAAAGTTCTAAGAACCATGCCTGGCATAGAATAAGCACTATATCAGTACTTTCTTCTTGATATTTATAAAAGAAACTAGAAGACAGTAGTAGTTAGCATTTATCGATCACTGATTCACTATGTGGCGTGATGAAAAGCTTAGGGTGGAAGGAGTTGTGATAGGGGAGAGTGAACAGGGTCAAACGCTCCAGATTGATAAGATACTGCCCACTGAGACATTGGTGAGCAATGGATCCAGACTTGTTGGGATATGAGGTCGGGTGACCTTAAGGCCAGGCACAGTTGCAAGCACTTCACACGTGCTCTCTTATTTTGTTCTCACAGAATCTGATGACGTAGGTACAATATTTACCATCATTTTACACACAAGGAAGCTGAAATACAGAGTAATAACTATTTTGCTCAAGATTATATAGTTAGTAAGTAACAGAACTAGGATTCAAACCCTGGCAGTCTGGATCCAACATCTGTAACCTTGATCAGTTAGCCATGCACTTGTTGGGCCGTGGTGCTTCAATTTTGAAAGACAAATTCAAATCCAACATCAAAGAACATAACCAAACATAACCACAACCGTTTCTCTAAAATTCCTGCCAGAGCTCAAGTCTGAGAGAAGAGGACTCTGGGATCTTTCTCTGAAGGTGATTTAGTTTGTTCTTCCATCATAATGGACAAACTGATCCTAAAACTCCTATGGAAATGCAAGGGACTCCAGGTAGCCAAAAACAATCTTAAGAAAGAACAAAGCTGGAGAGCTCACAGTTCCTGATTTTAAAATTTACTACAAAGACATAATAATCAAAATGATGTGGTACTAGCACAAGGACAGACACATAGATCAATAGAATAGGATTGAGAGTCCAGAAGCAACCCCATACATCTGTGATTTTTGACAAGGGTGACAAAATCACTCAATGGGGGAAAGAATAGTCTTTTTTTATTTTTTTTGAGATGGAGTTTCCCTCTTTTTGCCCAGGCTGGAGTGCAATGGTGCAATCTCGGCTCACCACAACCTCCGCCTCCTGGGTTCAAGCAATTCTCCTGCCTCAGCCTCCCAAGTAGCTAGGATTACAGGCACGTGCCACCACGCCTGGCTAATTTTGTATTTTTAGTGGAGATGGGGTTTCTCCATGTTGGTCAGGCTGGTCTCGAATTCCCAACCTCAGGTGATCTGCCGGCCTCAGCCTCCCAAAGTGTTGGGATTACAGGTGTGAGCCACTGTGCCCTGCCAAGAATAGTCTTTTTAATAAATAGTGTTGGGACAATTGATTATTCACGTGCAAAAGAACAAATTTGGACCCTTACCTCCCACCATATAAAAAAGTGAATTCAAAATGCAAAGACCTAACTGTAAGAGCTAAAACTATAAAAACTCTTAGAAGGAAACAAAAGTATAAATCTTAGTATCTTGGATTAGGCAACAGTTCCTTAATTATAACACCAAAACCACAAGCAGCAAAGGAAAAACTAGATAAACTGACTTCAACAAATTAAGAATGTTTGTCTATCAAGGGATACTATCAAGAGAGTAAATAAACAACCTACAGAATGGGAGAATATATTTGCAAATTATATATCTGACAAGAGTCTAGTATCCAGAATATGTAAAGAACTATTACAACTCAACAACAAAAAGACAAACAACCCAATTTAAAAATGGGTGAAGGATTTGAATAGACATCTTTCCAAAGAAGATTTACAAATGGCCAATACACACATGAGAAAATGATCAACATCATTAGTCATTAGAGAAACGAAAATCAAAACCACATGAGATACCACTTTGCACCCACTAGGATGGCTTCATAAAAAACAAAGTGGAAAATAACAAGTTCTGGCAAGGATGTGGAGAAATTGGAACCCTCATACAGTGCTGGTGGGAATGCAAAATGGTGTAGTCATTGTGGAAAACAGTTTGGCAGTTCTTCAAAAAGTTAAACATATAGAGGTACCATATGATCCAACAATTCCACTCCAAGGTATATATCCAAGAAAATTGAAAACATATGTTTCCACAAAAACTTGTACACGAATATTCATAGCAGCAATACCCATAATAGCCAAAAAGTAGAAACAATCCAAATGTCCATCAAATGATGAATGGATAAACAAAATGTGGTCTATCCACAGAATGGAATACTCATCAGTAGTAAAAAGAATGAAGTACTGATACGTGCTGCAACATGGATTAGCCTTGGAAACGTTGTGCTAAGTGAGAGAAGCCAGACATGAAAGACTACCTACTATATGCTTCCATTTATATTAAATGCCCGGAATTGGCAAGTCCATAGAGACAGAAAGTAGATCAGTGGTTGCCAGGGGCTGGAGAGATTGAGGAGTTGGGAGACACTGCTAACAGGTATGGGGTTTCTTTTCGGAGTGATGGAAATGTTTTGGAATGAGAAAGTGAGGATGGTTACACAACATTGTGAATATACAAGCCCCTCCCCCACAGAATTATACATTTAAAAATGGTTAAAATGGCAACCCAGCACTTTGGGGGGCTGAGGCGGGAGGATCCTTGAGTCCAGGAGTTTGAGACCAGCCTGGGCAACATAGTGATACCCTTATCTCTACACAAAATTAAAAAAAAAAATTATCTGGGTGTGGTGGTGTGTGCCTATAGTCCCAGCTATTTGGGAGGCTGAAGCAGGAGGATCACTTGAGCCCAGGAGTTTGAGGCTGCAGTGAGCTGTGACTGTGCACTCACGCCTGAGTGATAGAGCAAGACTCTGTTGCCAACCCCCCCAAAAAACCAGTTAAAATGGTGAACTTTATGCTATGTGGATTTTATCTCAATTTTAAAAATTGCAAAAGAAAAGTACAAGAAAAATGACCTGATCGTGTCAGTCCTTTGCCTGAAACTCTGTCACTGGCTTCCTGTCCCTTCTGAGGCCTGCCTGTGCTGTTCCCTGCCACCTCCCAGTCTCATTGCAGCCCACTGGCCCCTTCCCTTTGGATTCCAGACTTTTTTCCTTCAATATGAAGGGAATGTGCCAGGCTTCCCACCCTCCTCTGCGCCTTTGCACTGGCTGTTCCCTCTGCTGGAAACACGCTTGTTCCACCCTCTCCATCTCTCAAGGAACATTCCATGCCCTTCCAAACCATGTCAACACATCACTCCTTGTTCTTTCCTTCTGAACATTTGCCCCTATTAGCATGTTTATGTGAACGTGCACACACACAGAGACAGATTATTTGACTAATGTCTTCATTTCCTACCAGACCCTAAGCCTTACTCACCATTTTATCCCTGGTCCTTCACATGGTGGCCAGCCAGCCACACAGTTGCTAACTTAATCCTCTGTTGGTCCCGCCTGCTGGGGATTCAGGGACCAACTTCACCAGGCCCTTGTTCTTCTTGGCAGCACCATTGGTCCCGCCTGCTGGGGATTCAGGGACCAACTTCACCAGGCCCTTGTTCTTCTTGGCAGCTCCATTTCCTTCCTCTAGCCCAGGGTTTCTCAATCCTGGCTGTTCACTTGGATTACCCAGGGGAGTTTTAAAGAATGCCCACAGCCAGGCTCCAGTCAGACAATTTAGTTTCTGGGGTTGGGACTTGTGCAAGGGTAATGTAAAGGCTGCTCAGGTGTCTGATGTGCCGCCCTGGTTGAGAACTGCCCCCTCCAACCTCATTTCTGTCCTCTCCAAACCACTGCAGAGTGGGAGGGATTATCCCAGCTTTTCTTCTCATCCTGCTCAACTCAATCCATCTTCATTTATTCTGAGCACCTACAATGTGTCAAGTCCTGTGCAAGTCCCCGAGAGCACAAAGACCTAAGACACCATTCCTGGAGACAATGTGTCCCTCTTTGGTGTTTTCTTAAGGGCACATAAATACCAGCTACTACCAAGAAACAAAGTCAAGCAAAGAAAGCAGCAATACATTTCTGAGCTAGCAGAAGGAGTGGAAGTTTCCAGCTCACAGTTATTGCTGGGGACGCCTCTGAATGTTGCTATGACATCTCTTGGCCTGAGGCTTCCTCAGCACCTTGTCCCTGCCTTACTTTTGCCCACAGCGAGGGGCTTCTCCAGTGTTCTTACCCAAATGGGTAAGACAGAAAACCCTAGGGGGTGGCTTCAGATGTTCAGAAGGCTAGAGTAATACACGTTTGCGACTCTAGCCTGGTTCGGCCTCAGGAGGCTTCCATCTCATGCAGAAAACCCATAGGGTGGCTCCAAGTTTCTTCATGGAAAGGACTGGGTTAACAACGTGTTTGGAAGCAGTTTGGGGTAGGGCTAGGAGATTTGTGTTGCAGCTACATTTTTATGGAAAGCACACAATTTTAACTTAGGTTGTATTAAAGATGACTTTATTTATAATTCACATGAGGCAGAGAACATCAATTGTCCCTGTTGGAGAATATTTCTATTATTATTATTTTACAGTAGCTCTGAGGGTGAGATACTGGTGAAGATTTTGGTGGGTCAAAGCCATCCCTTGGCACTGTCTCTAAAGAGAGTTCTCCAATCTTCCTGGGAAATGTTGTCTTTAACTATTCTGTGAGCTTAAAATGAGAGCAAAGCTCACATCCTTTAAATCCTGGGCATGGCATCGGCAGGTGGAGCAAGGTGACAAGAGATTTGACCTCAGTTTCCACTGTGACTTACTGTGGGATGTAAGAAAAGTAAGCACCTCAGTTTCTTCATCTATCAAATGGGGATAGTAACTAGAACCTATCTCTTTGGGTTTTGGGAGACCCAATGAGATGATACATGTACAGACATGCCTCGGAGATATTGTGAGTTCAATTCCAGACTACTGCAATAAAGCAAATATTGCAATAAAGCAATTCACATGAATTTTTTGGTTTTCCAGTGCACATAAAACTTATGTTTACACTATACTGTAGTCTATTAACTGTGCAATAGTATTATGTCTAAAAACAATGGATATACTTTAATTTAAAAAACTTTATTGCTGAAAAAATGCTAGCAATCAGCTGAGCCTTCAGCGAGTTGTAATCTTTTTGCTGGTGGAGTAGAGGGTCTTGCCTTGATGTTGATGGCTGCTGACTCATCAGGGTAGTGGTTGCGGAAGGTTGTGGTGACTGTGGCAATTTCTTAAAGTAAGACAACAGGAAAGTTTGCTGCATCCAGTGACACTTCCTTCCATGAAAGATTTCTCTGTAGGATACCATGCTGTTTGATAGCATTTTACCCACAGTAGAACTTCTTTCAAAATTAGACTCAGTCCTCTCAAACCCTGCTGCTGCTTTATCAACTGAGTTTACATGATATCCTAAATCCACTGTCGTCATTTCAACAATGTTCACAGCATCTTCACCAGGAGTAGATTCTATCTTAAGAAACCACTTTCTTTGCTCATCCATAAGAAGCAACTCCTCATCCGTTAAAGTTTTATCATGAGATTGCAGTAATTCAGTCACATCTTCAGGCTCCACTTCTAATTCTAGTTCTCTTGCTATTTCCACCACATCTGCAGTTACTTCCTGTACACAAATCTTGAACCCCTCAAAATAATCCCTGAGGATTGGAACCAACTTCTTCCAAATTCTTGTACAAGTTGATATTTTGACCTTCTGCCATGAATCATGAATGTTCTTAATGGCATCTAGAATGATGAATCCTTTCCAGAAGGTTTTCAATTTTCTTTGCCCAGATCCACCAAAGAAGTCACTATCTATGGCAGCTCTAGCCTTACAAAATGTACTTCTTAAATTATAAGACTTGAAAGTCAAAATTATTCCTCGATCCATAGGCTGCAGATTGGATGTTGTGTTAGCAGGCATAAAAACATTAATCTTCTTGTACATCTCCATCAGAGCTTTTGAGTGACCAGGTGCACTGTCAATAAGCAGTAATATGTTGAATCTTTTTTTTTTTCCAGAGCAGTAGTTCTTAACAGTGGCCTTAAAATAGCTAGTAAACCATGCTGTAAGCAGATATGCTGTCATTCAGGCTTTGTTGTTCCATTTATAGAGCACAGGCAGAGGAGATTTAGCACAAGTCTTAAGAATCCTAGGATTTTCAGAATGGCAAATGAGCATTGGCTTCAACTTAAAGTCACCAGCTGCACTGGGCCCTAACCGGCTTGTCCTTTGAAGCTTGGAAGCCAGGCATGGACTTCTTCTCCCTAGCTGTGAAAGCTAGATGGCATCTTCTTCCAACAGAAGGCTGTTTCAACTGCCTTGAAAATCTGGTAGCCACCTTCATCAATGATCTTAGCCAGAGCTCCTGGAGAACTTGCTGCAGCTTCTACATCAGCACTTGCTGCTTCACCTTGGCTTTTATGTATGGCCATGGCTTCCTTCATTAAGCTTCATGAACCAACCTCTCCTAGCTTCAAACTTTTCTTCTGTAGCTGCTTCACCTCTCTCAGCCTTCATAGAATTGAAAAGAGTTAGGGCCCAAGGGGAGGGAGAGAGATGGGAGAACATCTGGTCAGTGAAGCAGTCAAAACACACACAACATTTATCGATTAGGTTTGCCATTTTTTATGGGTATGGTTTCTGGCACCCCAAAATGATGAATATAGTAACATCAAAATCCCTAATCCCAGATCACCATAACACATATAATAATAATGAAAGCATTTGAAATATTTAGGGGGCACAAACCCCATCATGAAGGCAGAATTGCAGAGGGACTTCAGAGACGGACTATCACTTGCCTAGTTCTTAAACTCTCTGGGCCTCAGCTTCCTCATCTGTAACGTGAGGAATTGTAGTACCTTAACCTGTAAGGTTGTTGCAAGGCTTAAAATGGTGCCTGGTATGTACTAAGTGCTTAATATATGTTAGTTACAGTTATTACTGAGCCTAGGTCCTCATGGGAGCAGTGTAGAACTTCCCATCTCCTCCCCCACATTCCCTCACAAGAGACTGGGCACTCTAGAAGAAAGGGACTATGGCTTGTTCATGTTTGCATTCCAATGCCCATCACAGGACCTGCCACACAGCAGGTGCCCAGAAAATGCCATTAAGTCCCAAGACAGTCTTACAGGATTGGGATTGTGAGTTCTACTTTACAGAGAAGGAAACTGAGGCTCAAGGAGGAGCAGAAACGTGTCCTAAGCCATGTGGGGTTGCCAGTGAAGGATCTGGGTTTGACTCCAAGTCTCTGGCTCTTTCTCCTCTACCAGGGGGGTGATCCAGGCCTTCCCAGTTCAGTGGCCAGTCCCACCCAGCCCTGAAGCACCTACCCAGCATGACAGCTCACTGCTCCCCCCGTGGGGAAATGGGCTTGGCAGAGCCACCCCTACTTGGGGGCCCAGCATGGCAGCTCCATAGCAACCTGAGAATGCAGCAGTGGGGTGGGGAGCTGATCCCGGAGGAGAGGGATAAGAGGGGGGAGCTCCACAAACAGGATCTAGAACAATTCCCACACCTGTCTGAAGAGTTTCCTCATGCTGGGACTTTGTAATCAACCTCTCCCCATCCCCGACCCTTGATCTGTTCTCTGCCCCTGTAGTTTTTCCTTTCTCAGAATGTTGTACAAATAAAATCAACAGCTTAGAATCTTTTGAGGATGGCTTCTTTCACTCGACATAACGCATTTGAAAGTCATCCGTGGTGTTGTGTGTATCAATAGGTCGTTCTTGTTTACAGCTGAGTAATATTCCATTGTATGGCTGTACTACATTTTGATTATCCATTCACTTGTTTAAAGGACATTTGGTTATGGAAAAAGAAAATTTTAAAAAAAAGGACATTTGGGGTGTTTCCAGTTTCTTGTAATTATGAAAATTTATGTAATTTATGTAATTATGTGCTGGTATCAACATCTGTGCACAGGTTTTTGTGTGAATGTAAGTTTTCATTTCTCTGGGAAATAAATACCTGGGAGTGAGATTGCTGGGTCATATCACAAGCATTTTGAGAAACTAACAGGCTGTTTTCTAGGATAACTGTACCATTTTGCATTTCCACCAGCAATGTATGAAAATTCTAGTTGTTCCACATCCTGTCTAGCACTCAGTAATTGGCAGTATTTTTTTTACCTTTGCTATTCTAAATAAGATGCACAACCCAAGCATGGAATTGTGACAAAAAATCTTAATAAATGGTGTCAGTGGCTACAGAAATCAGAATAAGGCTTGCTAGAGTGAGCTGGAGCAAACAATTACATCTCAGACACTAGAATGGTGGTGGAGGTGTGGGAGGAGGATGTCCTGGAGTGATGGAAGGAACTGGGTTGTTTAAGATAAATTCAAGGGGGACCTGGGATTGTGGAGTGACTCTCCGGGGTCAGGGCTGCAAAGACTTCAGACTATCAAACTGCATCATCCCTCCATTGCACCAAGGCAGAGACCGAGGTCTGGTTGTCAGGGAAGGGTCTGCCTAGCCACAGGAAGTACAGTGGCTTCTTAATAAATTTGTGAATGACAAAGCAGCAATTGTCTTCAGGCTTCCCCTGGGGCTGGGGTATGGTGTGGTGCTCGCCTGGAGGTAGCAGGTGCACTGATTGACCTCTCCTGGGTCATTTGGACAGAGGGCTTCTTCGTGAGGGACACAGCTCAGAAACAGCTCCTTGTGGCAATGCCTGGCCCAGAGGGACCCCTGTGCCCACTCTAAGAAGGAGGACAGGCTGTGGGACCGGGAGGGTGGGAACTGGGGAGTGTCACAGGGTTGTCTGCTCCGGAGGTATTAATTGTTCCCATTGCATGAAAAGCTGGTCATTTCCCTTCTTCTGTGTGACCGTCAAGTCTCTGAAGGCATGGCATCCTCATTAAAGCCCCCAGACCTGCCCCACAGGGGACAGACAGCACTGACTAGGAAAGAATCCAGCCTGTAGCTCCCCTAGGCCTGTAGCTGCCCAGCCCTCACTCCACTCACCCCTCCTGCCTCTGATGTTCAACAGGGAAAGGCCCCACGGAGGCAGGGTTGAGTGGATGGACTATGGCCCTGGATTCTGGGGCTGAAGGAGGTGGCGACCCATGATTTCCTAATGTGTCTGAGCCAGGGTGTGACTTGGCCTTGACCTCAGCTCCCGCGGTGAGTTGGGGAGCTCTTTGACTTGTATCTCACACGAGGAAGGAGGGGAAAGAGGAGAAAACCCCTATTCAAGAAGCTCATGGCCATATACATTGCTCAAGGGGGTGGCCTGTGCCAGTGATTGTAGCAGCAATGGCCATCTGCCTGTCTCTAAATCTCACTCCACTGCCCTGCCACCGTACCTGGAATTCTACCATTGGGGTCAGGCCTTTGATTAAAGCTGTGACTCTGGAAGAGCCCTGTGAAAATGTATCCACATTATTTAGAGAGGGCAGGCATTGTTTTGTGTTGCCTGATTAAATTAACTGCTGCCACTTAGAGAGTGCCTACTGCAGGGTTCCGAGGGGCTGGGACATGAGAGGGGTAACTTGTGATGAGTGAGTGGGGGAATGGAAGAAGAGAGATTGGTGTGAGCAAAAGGCACCGCCTGATCATGGTGGGCAGCATGTGCTGGAGGCAGAGGTGGCCCAAACTGGGGGGAATAAGTGGGGAGGTTGGTGGGGGAGGCAGACTGACCACAGGGCATTGAAGGACAGGGGTGTGGGGCAGAGGAGGGTGGCGTGGGATGGGTCTGAAGCCTCCTCTTTGTCTGGTGTTTTCTGAATGACTGACACAGTTTGAGAAGACTTTGTGATCCTGAGACGTTTAGATGCTGCCATGGAGCTGCTCTTTGGGGCATACGGGAGAGTCCTCTAGGATTGTGGCTCTTCCTCCATTACCTTCTTTCAAAGCAGACTTTGGCTTCAGGAGCTTGTGACCAAGGAAAAGGGCTCCTACATTTTCCGGCACTGGCAACATCAAAGGTGACCATGCCACCTCCTCCCAGTTAGTGCATTTGGTGCTGAGGAGGTACATTGTAGTATAGACAACAAACATAGTGATGACAATGACAACATCTTGACAATGTCTTCATCAAATGCCATTGCTGAGTGTTTACTTCCCACCAGGTGCTGTGTAAGCAGTTCACGCGCATTTCATGTAATGCTCACAAGGACCCTATTGTCACCCCAATTTATGGAGCACGAGATGGAGGTACAACTTGCCCAGGAGCATGTGGTGAGTACAGAGAACAGCTGGAATCCAGATGTAGACCTGACTGCAAAGTAGATGCTTTTGACTGCCACTCAAGGTCAAATGGAACCAAAATTGTCACCCCTTTAATTCAGGTGGACAGAGGAGTATGACATGAGGAGTTCCTAGAATTCTAGGTCTGCGCTGGATGGGGAATAGGGGACCTGGGACCAGACCTTGCCCCAGAGAATCCCAATCCATATGGGGGAGATGGGGTGGGGGAGGCAGACTAACCACAGGGCATTGAAGGACAGGGGTGGCACTCTAGGGGGATGGTGACAGTGCTCTCTGCTGAGCAGCACCTACCCTTGGTTGGGCATTCACAGTGGGATTTCCCTGTCTTGTCCCCATCGAATTTTATCCAAGGAGTATGTGACTGTAAATTTTTCCAACTCTGCAGCCACCCGGCCCTGGCCCCAGCCTCGGCCAGTGGATGCTGCTGAGCAGACATCAGATTTGTCACTGGGCAAGTCCCTGAGCCAGCACAGCTGTCAATGGGGAGGAGTGGCTCTGCATGGTGGCCGTGGCAAGTTTACCCTTGAGTGCGACAGGTGCAGATAGAGACCTCAGAATTTGTGGCTCTTCCCTCTGAGTGATGGATGGATCTAGCTCCTTGAGCCTGGGCTCCACCACTTGCTGTCAGAGATTAGTCCAGCTCAGTGGGGTGGGGAGTGAAGCAGAGGGCAGGATGTGCCTCTGAACACCGTTGGGACCACTTTCTTGGTGGGCAGGGCTGGGCGTGAGTGCAGTGACCTTGCCCAGGATGGAAGAAGGGGGCTTGAAGGTTGTGAGCTTGATGTCTGCTGCTCCCGGCTGCCCCCTGACAGCTTCCACTCCGTCCCTGCACAGCAAACAACAGCAGGGCATGACTCTTGCTTCCTTTCTCTCTTGCTCTCTTGCTTTCTTCCAATGATCTTCCAGTGATCCCGTGACAAATATTTATGGAACATGCACCCTTTGCAGGCACTGTGCTAGGTTCTGGGAAAAGAGTTGTGAGCAAGACACCTAATCTCCCTGTCCTTAGAGTCACATGGGGGCAGAAGCCAACAAACACCTTAAGAGACGAGAGACACCTCAGGGAATTGCGAGTCCTATGCAGAGAATTCGGAGTGGTGAGGGAGAGTGACCAAGCAGCCACTTTATGTGACCAGGAAAGTGTCTCTCAGGAAGTGACACTGAAAGATAACACAGTGCCAGCCATGTGTGGTTTCAGGGAAAAGCCCAGTAGGCAGAGGGAACAGTTGATGCAAAGGGCTGAAGGCAGGAATAAGCTCAGAGGTTTCCAATTTGAGAGCAAAGTCATTTTGGCTAGAGTGGAACACGTGCTGGGGACATGGCACAGAATACAAGGCCAGGGCTACTTCTTCACAGGGCCTGAGTCAGCATGAGGAGTTTGAGTTTTATCCTGACTACTGGGGGATGGGCAGCTATTGGGGATTTAAAGTAGGGGAGAGGCAAGATTTGATTTATGTTTTGAAATGATCACTCTGATTTCATTAGAGCAGATGCCACTAGCAAAATTCAAACTTGCTGGAGTTCTCCAGCTGACAACACACACAGCCTGCCTAGAATATCCAATGCTATTTGTCCTGGTGCCATTCTGACCATATAGAATGCACTGTGTCTAAAATGATTTTAAATATGTAAAGTTTTGTATTAATGTCATTGTACACAGACACATATCTCATGAGTATTTCTTTATGAGACATGTGGACAAGGACCAATCTTATCCAAGCAAGATACAGAGCCTTGAGTGAAATTGGCACCATTACAAACCATCCTGAGTCCATCAGTTACAAAAACTGCTCCAAATAAATTGAGTAAAGTAGGGAAGCTAAATGCAAGAACCTTAGAAGCGTGGGCCCATTGGCTCAAAGGGATATTAACAGATTGGCATTTGAGTGTTGATGTTTGTCGAGCTTTGGGCAGCATCGTAATTCAACACATGGTTTGGTGTGACAACGCCCAGTGTGATATGCTGAATCTGAGATGAGCATGTCATATATAAAAGAGAGAAGAGCTAGCCCAGAGCTTAGAAAGGAAAAGGAGACTAAAAATTGAGAAATGTGTATTAGAGCATGATAGGAAGGAATTTCAGTGTCCTGGAATCGAATTGGAAAGAACAGCATGAATTTAGGATGTTAGCATTCTGCTTAATCCCCCAAATAACCCAGGTTGCCTCTGGGCTGATGCATGGGGTCCTGGTGTCATGACATAACTGTGTAGTCCCACTGACCGTGGATTAGTCCTTTAAGTCACTTTGTATCCCAAGGAAGCAAGGGCTTCCTGAAGGATAAGGTGTGCTGGATCTTGGAGAGGAGATGTCTTGGTTTTGGAAGGCAGTGATGCTTTTTTCTTTTCTTTTTTTTTTGAGACGTAGTCTCGCTCTGTCGCCCAGACTGGAGTGCAGTGGTGCGATCTTGGCTCACTGCAAGCTCTGTCTCCCGGGTTCACGCCATTCTCCTGTCTCAGCCTCCCAAGTAGCTGGGACAAGGAAGGCAGTGATGCTTTTAAAGATGCCTACAGGAAAATTAGAATGAGCAGCCAGCCCAAAGAGACTCCTTCTTACCTCCTGTTAGTATGCCCAAGCAGGGACAATCTAAGCATAAAAGTCAGTAATTACGGGCAAATGGCACAAACCAAGTCTGTAAACGAGCCTGAGTCCATAAGCCTGTTGAAAAATGAAAGTTAATGTGAAGTGTGCCAGAAGAAGTTGGAAGGCACACCATCAGTTTTTCCATATGGTTTACTGAGAGATATTGATTAAGTCACATGGCTAGAGGCTCACACCTACATGTGGCCAGCACCTAGGTCTCCGATCCAAATTTTTGTCAACTTGTTCCAATAATTGCTTAAGAGATTAAGATGCAGAATCATGCTATTCCTTATGATGTTTATTTGGTTGTGCCCAGTGTTGGATGTTTGTAAAAAGCCGGGGTGGAATGCAGTGAGCTGCAAGCCTTATTTCAAACACTTAGGAAGCACCAGTATACACAGACCCACAAGATCCAGATTTTGTCATTATAAACCATTGCATGGCACATCCACATTGTCCTTTGCCCAAGTGACTTTGTCACCAGGGAACAGGTATATAGCACACCCAAAAGAAATCAAGATGTCTTGAGAAAAGGTGAACAGGATGGTCTTATTGTCCTGAGGCCAGGACCACTGACACTCCAGGGTCATATTTAGGGTCATGTACCAACAGGTACATGAGTACACGTGTGGTTTTTTGACCTTTATAAGTTAAAAAAGTGAATTATTGTAAAATTTAAAATGAGAAAGATTTTACACATAATCCTGATTTTTCCATTTCTTTTGAAAAATTGAAAGATCTTCATAGGAGGCTGGAGGTGAGTAGGGACCTCCCTCTAGACGGAGGCTGCTACTCCAGTTAACCCCAGTCACCACCACTCCCAGTCGTCTCCTATGTAGATTATCTTCTTGAGCTCCATAGATATTTGAGTGTTTGATTTCTGCTAGTGATAGCAATGGAGGACAGAAACAGTGAAGGCCCTATTATTGCTGCTTTATGGCTAAGGAAACTGAGGCCTTAGAGAGCTCAAGTAAATTGCCTGAGGTCACAGGCTCTGGGAGGAACTACTAGTTGGCTGCCATATCATGCATCCTCCTCTTCCTCATTACTAACAGAACTCTATTAGACTTTTTCTTTTTGAGACACAGCCTCTCTTCCTGTGTTCCCCAGGCTGGGTTGAGCTCCAGGGTTCAAGCGATCCTTCTGTCTCAGCCTCCCACGTAGCTGAGACTACAGGTTCACACCACAGTGCCCAGCTCACAACCCAATGTGGCCTGGTGATTAAGTTCTGGCCAATGACATGTAGGCAGCATTATAAGGACCATTTGAAAAAGCATCCTGGCCAGGTGTGGTGGCTCACACCTGTAATTCCAGCACTTTGGGAGGCCAAGGTGGGCAGATCACTTGAGGTCAGGAGTTCAAGTCCAGCCTGGCCAATATGGTGAAACCCCATCTCTACTAAAAACACAAAAAATTAGTTGGGCATGGTGGCAGATGCCTGTAATCCCAGCTACTCAGGAGGCTGAGGTATGAGAATCGCTTGAAACTGGGAGGTGGAGGTTGTGGTACACTGAGATGGCACCACTGTACTCCAGCCTGGGCGACAGATCGAGACTCCATCTCAAAAAAAAAAAGGCATCTTAAGTTGGAGGGAGATGTATTCTTTCCCCTTTTGTCCTCATTCCTCATGCCTGGAATGCTGATATAATTAATGGCTGGGGCCCTGTCAGCTATATTGGGTCATGAAGAGACTCTGAGAATGGAAGCTGTGAATTTCAGAGCAGAAAGACAGGAATTGGATTTTCTGATGAATGCGTGGATCCACCACACCAGTCTTGACCTATGTGTTTCATGATAGCTAATAAACCATGTGTGTTTTAAGTCAAGTCTTGCTTACTGTAACTAATACAGTGGTAAGGCCAGGATTCACACTCAGTCTGCCGGACACCATTGCCTGGGCTCTTAGGCACTGCAGTAATAGCCAATCGCAGACATTCCCTATTGCCTGAAGCTGGCCTAACCACCCTCTTCTTTGCCTACTGGTATTGGAGGAGCAATTGAACCACATGCTTGGTCTGGCTAATGGCAAGTAGCAGTCTTCCAGTTCTACAGAAACTACAAAACTGACCCAAACAAGGGCAGTTTGGGAGTTCTTGGTTGGGAACTGCAGTTCCATATGTCACCTCACTATAAGAACAATAGCCTCTGAGCTTCTGTTCTGGGCTGCCCTCCAAGGCCAAATGACAGATAAACAATAACCAAAAGGGAGTGGGTTCTTCAGGGAGACCCCAACAGTCTGCTGAGGCTGTCACCAGCTGCTACCTTATTTTTATTAATATATAGTGTATTCCTGTAGTGACAAGTGTCCTTTTAGTTCAAAGTAATGGATCTCTCTTGCTTAAGTGGTTGGGATTATTAATTTTGCTCTTGGACAAGAAAAACCCACATGAGGCTGGGCATGGTGGTTCACGCCTGTAATCCCAGCACTTAGGGAGGCTGAGGCAGGCAGATCACGAGGTTAGGAGTTCGAGACCAGCATGGCCAACATGGTAAAGCCCCATCTCTACTAAAAATACAAAAATTAGCTGGATGTGGTGGCAGGCACCTGTAATCCCAGCTACTTGGGAGGCTGAGGCAGGAGAATTGCTTGAACACGGGTGGCAGAGGTTGCAGTGAGCCAAGATTGTGCCACTGTACTCAAGCCTGGGAGACAGAGCAAGACTCCATCTCGAAAAGGAAAAAAAGAGAAAAAACCCACCTGATAGATATTGAGATGTCTCTGGGGGCTGTGAATGAAGATGGCCTTCTGGTTGGAAAATTCGCAAGGTTTATGCTCAAGTCTGTCCAGTCTTAAAACCGATGATGATGATACTAACATTGCTTCCAGCCATGACACCATCTTCCTTCTTGCCTTCTCTTCTCCCAAGAATGATCTCAGCTCCTTCTTCCCATCACTTCCCCTCCCTTGGTCTCCTCACCTAAGTGGCATCTGCTTCCACCCCCACCACTCCCTGGAGGCCACTCTGGCCAACGTCACCACCCACGTCTGGGTGCTAACCCAATAACAATCTAATCAGCTGCCAGCACAGCCAGAATAAAAGCAGGTAGAAGAATGTGGAAAGACTAGACTGACTGAGTCTTCTGGCCTCCATCTTTCTCCCGTGCTGGATACTTCCTGCCCTCGAACATCGGACTCCAAGTTCTTCAGCCTTGGGGCTCTTGTACCTTCGACCACAGACCGAAGGCTGCACTCTCGGCTTCCCTACTTTTGAGGTTTTGGGACTTGGACCGGCTTTCTTACTCTTCAGCTTGCAGGTGGCCTATTGTGGGATGTCACCTTGTGATCATGTGAGTCAATACTCTTTAATAAACTCCGATTTATATATACATCTATCCTGTTAGTTCTGTTCCTCTAGAGAACCCTGACTGATACAGATTTTTTTTTTTTTTTTTTTAGTTTTTTAATGTGATTGGACCTCTCTGCGGAGTTTGGTGCTACTGCCACTCCCTCCTTGAATATTCTGCTCTTCTGACTTCCTGATAGTAGGATCTTTTGGTTTTCCCTCCGTATCTCAGGGCAGTCCTTTGGTCTGAAGCTCATGTGCCCTTGTTCCTCATCTTGGTCCTCTCCCTGCCTCCCTCTCCTCCTTTCTCCTTCCCTTCCTTTCTCATCTCACTGTGTGCACGGTCCCCAGGCTCTCTCTCCAGTTCCCTACATTTATCTCACATGCATGCAGCGGTGATGCCTGACTTAGATTAGCTTCCTCAGAAACAGACTCCGAGATGGAGATTTGCTGGCAGAAAGCTAAGTGGGGAGCATTCATGGGAACAACACCTGAGGGGGATGAAGGGCCAGGACAGCAAGGGCGGGTTTACACTGAGATGTAATTCAACCAAAGGCCTTGGCGATAGGCCAGGGGGACCCTGGACCTCGGGGGGTCCTTCAGGGATCTCCTGAATTGAGGCCAGAACTTAGCTATTGTGTCCCTGCAGCAGACAGTCACTGGATGTGAGCTGCCCCTAGGGAGGGGGCATCACCTTGGGTGTGGCTGCTTCCTTTTACCAAAGGGAATTCCTAAGACTGGCCCAGCTACAACTGACAGCAGCCGATGTTGCCTGCAGCTGGGGAAATGACTGTTTCCGTCCTGATCGGGGGATCTGGGCAGAGTCACAGGATCCACAACACAATCCCAAGTCTAAATTTATAGTCCTGACCGTTTTCTGAGCAAGCACTAGGCTTACCTATCCACCTCTGCTGAATGTAATTCCCGCCCTGCAATGGCTCCCCAATCGCAGCCTGCTGCTCACACCGCGGCTTCCTCGTAGTCTCTCCCCACTGCCTGGGACATGCACTCACATGCTATATTTATCCATTCTACATGTGTTTAGGAAGTGCACCCCTGCCAGGCGCTGTGCTAGGACCTGGGGCACTTGCCAGGGGCTGGCTGACTGGAATTCAGCTATTGGGCTAGAGTCAACCTGTCTCATTCAGGGAGACTGAGTAGGCAGCTCTTGATTGATGGAAGGCAGGGTGGGTGGCGCAGAGTCCACAAGGACCTGGGCAGGGCCAGGCTCACTGGCTCTGAAACCTCCTTGTGTCCAAGCAGTGGGATGAGGGGGAAAGCAAGATCCAGGGGGGTGGTAGCAGGAGCTAGTCTGAGGGCCTGGGGCAGAGGCTTGGACGACAGGTCAGATGTGTGCAGGGCTTGGGGGAAGTGGAGCAGGGTGCCTCCTACCCCACGCAACCCCTGCCTGGCTCCCTGGAGAACCACAGGCACTTCTCTGCTGCGGCCAGCTCCCCAGCTGCAGAAATTGACCTGTAGTCCCCAATGCCTCAGAAGGGCCAGCCTGTGCCTATCTAGGTGCCCACAAACACACCTGAGCCCACTGTGCACACATACATGATGATACTTCTGATTCCCCCAGAGGCATGCACATAAGCACATCCATGTTCCCCACACACATGCACATGGATGGACATACATGCAACTCCCGTACATACCTGTGGCTCTGTGTCCGCACTTGAAACCCCATCTGCCCTGGCCCACACAGGTGAGGCCCATTTTCTCACTGGTACACACACATGTGCAAGGACACTCACAGACATTCTCATGTACTGGTGCGGGCACACGCCTTTGCATGCTAGTTTGGAAAGCCTGAGTGACAGCTGTCACAATGCGGCTTTGTGGGCACCTTCCGGAGGAGTCGCTGCTGCAGGGCAGGAAGAATTATGGCTCTGGTTGCGTCAGCCACCGGAGGGGAGAGGTGAGGCTTTTCTCTTTTCTCTTTTTGGGGCCAGCCTTCTGAAGTGCCATGAATAAGAATTCAGTTGCCTTTCCTCCCCAGAGACCAGGTTGCTCTCTAAATACCAAGGCAGGAAAGTGGAGACTTAAAAAGGTCATTACCAAACATCGAGAGGGTGGTATTTAGCTGGTGAAGCAGCTCCTGGAGAAGAGACCTCAGACCCCAGCAGGAAGCCTTTATTTTCACCTTCATTTGCTTCCCTGAGTCTGAGAGGTGGGGAGGAGCAGGAGGCTCCATCCTCCAGGGTTGAGCTGCCCCTTGAGCTGGGGGGACACACCCCCAAGTGCGGGAGTGGGGCCATTTGGGATCACAGAAGGCTCTAGATGGGAAGCAATGGTAGCCCTATAGGTGCTGATCCTGGGGGTGCGGGGCCTAAGGGAACTCCCCACTTTTTCTGGGAAGGAGGTGGGAGGAGACAAGGCAGGGATTCAGTTGCCACCTAGCACTACAGAGGCCTGGCAGGGGCCACAGAGGCCCATCTCTTTGCTTCCAGACCTAGGCAGAGAGGTTTCTGGGACAAGACAGTCATTCCTCCCTTTGGGAACACCTCCGTCTCTCCATTCTTTTGTAGCTAAAGTGGAAAAAACACAGATTACTTAACAGCTTGACAGCACAATTCCTTTTAGGGTCTTTGTTTAGGGAAATACCTTGCTAAGCTACCTGGGCTAGAAGGTGAGGTCCTGAGGGCAGCAAGTTGACAAGAGCCAAGGCAATAAGAACAACTAATTGGCTCAACTGTTCTGCATGAGAAGGTGAGAGGAACTGGTTTTTCTGCAGAGAAAATGGGAGAGAGAAGAAAGGCTGGGAGTGGGGGCGGGGAGGTCAAGGGAGAGCCGAGGAAGGAGTAGGAGACTAGGGTGCTGGGTCTTCTCCATTCGTCCCTCCAGGTCCTGTGCCCACCCTTGTCCACCCTGATCTGGGCCCCTGGCCTGACCTGTGTGAACACCTCTGACCTCAGGGCTCTCCTCTGCCTCTGGCCTTCAGTTGGGTTTGGCCAATAGGCAGCACTGACAGGAGATCAGAGGGTGGGAGGAGAGAGAGGTGGGGCATTTACTCCTTGCCTCCCTTCCTGCCTGGCTGCAGGTCACAGGCCCCCGAGTGGAGACCCCCTTGACTATGGTTATGCACACAGTCCTGCCTCCTTCCTCCTGGCTCAGCCAGGCTTGTTTACTGAAATGCTGAGGTGACGTCACTAAAGACGGGGTAAGCCTTTGGGACAGGATGCTACTGTTTGCTTCTAGCTTGGTATGGCCACGAAGAGAGGAAGGGCTGGCACAGGTGGATGGCCATGGGGCCATGTTTGGGGCATGTAGTGGGGAAGGGATCATTAAAAGGAGGCGCATGGCCCTGACGTGGGGCCTTCTGTGTGACAAAAACCTTGAGTTGCCAGGCTCTACTGCCTGTGACTGGTGAACTGCCCCCTGCTGCTCAGGATCAGGTGGTGCCTGCTCCTGGTCTACTTGTGGCCACCAGGAGAGGGGAAGTGGGGTGCAGGTAGGAGAGAGGAGCTCCAGGACCCGTGACTTGCGAATGGGTTTATTTTTCTGGTTCCTGCAAGACAGTGGGGATCGGGGGAAGACAGGCAGAGGGAAGGCTTTCAGGACCCATTTTTTTTTTTCCTGACTCATGATGCATAATGCAATCAGATGACATTTAAATATTCATGTCATAAAAGAGGATGCAGATGCAAGTGTGAGACTGGTGGGCTGGGGCGGAGGGGAGGGAGAGAGGGGTGAAATCCACATGTGGCGTTTTGTGGAACCACAGGATCTCCGCGTGAAAAAGGGTATTTGGGATCATTTAGTTTGACTCTTACCTGTGGTAAGAATCTCTTTATGGCATTCCTGATGGTGGGCACCCTCCTCACCAGGCTCACTCTGTCCTAAAATGAGACTTTCCATCATGGGGCAGCAATCCTTGCCCCGGGGAATTCTTCCTTAGACTGAGCTAAAATCTCTCCACTGCTACCCTCACTGGTCTCCCCCAGTGGTCCTAGCTCTGGCCCCAGAGACCACCTATGATGTGGTCACTCCAGTGTCCCCTGACAGCCCTCAGAGATCTCCAGCAAGTGATTCTGTCTTCCCAGCTCTAAACCAAGCAACCTAAGCCCTTCTGCTCCTGCCCACAGCTTTGTTAAGGTGCTGCTCAAGAGACCTCAAGAGGAAAGGAAGGAGAGAGCGTGCATCTGCAGATGAATGCTCATCCTGAGTGGGGGCTGAGCCCCTTGGACTGTCCTCATGTCTGGACATTTGCCACCTAACTAGAGAGTGGATAATGCCTGGCTCTTTGGGGATCCAGTGAGGGAGTGGGGTGGAAGGGAACCAATGCAAGTTTGGGAATTAGGAGATTTGAGGTCTTGATCTAACCTGGATACTTCTGGCTGTGCAAAGTCATTTCACCTCTCTGAGCCTCAATTTCTTCATCTGTAATGTAGGGACACCTCCCTTATGAGGTTTCATGAGGATTAATGGGAGCTGGGAAGAGCAGTGTCCCTTGGCTGAAAGGGCCAGGACACTCCACTGGGTTTGGGGTTCTCTGGCTCAGTGCTTGAGGCAGAGGGAGAAGAAAGCAGATACTTGAGGTTCTTGGCCAGCCAGGGTCCATCCTGGCAGACTCCAGATGACAGCTACTAAGTGACGTGGCTGGAGGATTGATGCACCTGCTCAGGGCTGGGCAGGAGGTCTTCGTGGTAGTGGCAGTGGCCCCAGCTGTAGAGTGGAATAGATGGGACAAAGCCCAGAGCCATAGGGTATAGTTTTTCTCCCCCACTGTCTTTGCGATTTTGGGGAAAAGTCCTAACTTCTCTGACCCTTACTTTCTCTATTTGAAAATAATAGGAAAAAAATGGCCAAATCCTTCTGGTAGATGTTCTAAAGATAAAAGAGGCATTAATTGATTGAGTTTAACAGGAAATGAACCTGAGTGGGCAGGGCTTCTCAGAATAACAGGATGGGTAGGGGGTAGGGTCATAGGTGCTCCCAAGAGCCATGGGGAGCCATGGGGGATGGAGGAAGCTGTCAACAGGACACTGGCCTGGCCAGATCTAGCATTATCCCTCCCAACCTGGAGGCAGCAGTCACACCCTGTCCCATGCCTTTAGAACCCAGGGCAGGACAGGACATTGAGGGCAGTAGTCCAATGGCCCACCATTGTATGTGGGAATCCCCACTACAGACCCCAGCTGAGATTTTTTTTTTTTTTTTGTGACAGAATCTTGTGTTGTTGCCCTAGCTGGAGTGCAGTGGTGCGATCATAGCTCACTGCAGCCTCAATCTCCCAGGATCAAGCAATCCTCCTGCCTCAGCCTCCCAAGTAGCTGGAACTACAAGTGTGTACCACCATACCCAGCTAATTTTTTTTCTTAATTTTTAGTAGAGACAAGGTCTTGCTATGTTGCCCAGGCTGGTCTCAAACCCCTGAGTTCACCTGACCTCAAAGTGTTGGGATTACAGACATGAGCCATGATGCCTGGCCCCAGCTGAGATTCTTGGCTTCAACTTCCTGACTGAGGTGGAACTCACCACTTCCCACAGTACGCCATGGCATTGCCAGAGGGGCTGATAGGAACTCTCCTTCATGCTAGAGTGGGTTTTCCTTTCCCCACTGACCCCTCAGCTTTCTTGACCCCAGACAGGCTTGAGAAGGTTTAAGAAGCTTCTGGCCTTGAGGCTGCAGGAAATGGACATCACAAAACAGAGCAGTGAACAGCTGCAATGAAAGAAGGGCCCGAGCTAACCTCCTGTCCCTGCTCAGACACCTTTCCTGTTCTCAGGGATAGCTGAAAGCCCTCGCTACTGTCCCAAGCTCCCTCCTGTCCCGGTCTCTCCAGGCAGAGGCCCAGCCTCTTACTTTCCTTCTGTTGAGGTCTTCCTGGGACTGAGTCTCCCTCAGCTCCCTGTCCCACCACACTGCTCTATGTCTGTCTCTGTCCTCACACTGTTCCTCA
The DNA here is from genome assembly GCF_000001405.40 of Homo sapiens. Taxonomy (NCBI): domain Eukaryota; kingdom Metazoa; phylum Chordata; class Mammalia; order Primates; family Hominidae; genus Homo; species Homo sapiens. The sequence continues at coordinate 36,734,418 of NC_000001.11, forward strand.
GACGAGCTGCTCTTCCTCTCACTATTTGGTCAACCTTCCCTGCACCCTTGACTCCTCCCCCAGCCCCTGTACCCTTGTCTGCATGCCTCCACCTTCTCTCACGGGCCTTTCTCCATGAGGAACTCCTCTCTCCTGTATCACAATCTCTCTCTCTTTACTGCCTTGCCCCCTTTAGCCCAGAAACCTCCTGAAGGCTCTTCCATTGTAGAAAGAAGCCAGCAAACAGACATACAACAACCTCCCTCCCTAGGCCTGGTGGCTCCTTTGGCTCTGACCCTGTCTCTCCCTTGCCTTGAATCCAGGCTTCTTGAGCAGTCCACACTTCTCTTCTCCCATACCTGTGTAATTGGTCTTCTGCTCCCACCAAGACCTTTCCAAGGTCATCAGGTGACATCCTTGATGCTAGGCCTGATTGGACACCCTCTGGTCCTTATCTTGCCTGACTTCCTTGCAGCTTTTGGGACTGGCGATCACACTCACTTTCTGTGCACATGCCTTTGGCTTTGAAGACACCACTCTTGCCCAGATTTCTGCCCAACATCTGGCCCTAGCTTCTCAGGTCATCTTTCTCATAGCTGAGTATCTTCAATATTGATGCACTTGGTCTTTCTTTCTGCTCCTCACACTCTCCGTGGATGAGACCATCCAGTGGGTGACCATGATTGCATCTGTATGCCATGGACTCTTGAATCTCCATCTCTAGCCAGGACCTTTCTCCTGAGCACCAGACCTCATATCCGACTGCCCACTGGACGTCTCTATTTGGATGTCCTTCAAGCTCACCATGTCCAATACAAAGTTCATTGTCTTCCTCCCCAGGGCTCTTTGTGTCAGGGAATGTCACCCCTATCAGCCATCACCCAAGCCTGTGGTCCCCCATCGACTCCTTCATTTCTCTTGCTCTTCTACTTCCCTCCAATGAGTAGGTGTTTCCAGGTCTACTTTCAAATATCTCTTGACTGTGCCCTTTCCTTTCTATTTGTGAATACTATTGCTCTGGTCCAGGCCAGCAGTATCCCTTGCCTGGATACTGACACAGACCCCTACTGGTGCCTCGGCTTTCATTTACTCCCTGATCCCAGCAACACTAGCAGTGCTTGGCCCTAGGGAGGAGGTGAGGTGTCTGGAGAGGTCATTGGGACAGGCCTCTAGCCTTCCTATCTCTTGGACCTTGGCTGAACCTGGGCAAATCTGGAGTTCTGGTTCCTTGTGAACCAGGGCCTGCCCTGGGGGTAAGGAGTACGACTGTGTATGCGTGTGTGTGCTTGCACTGTATGGGTAGTGTGTGTGTGTGTTTGTATGTGCAGGAGAAGAGGGACGATCAAGGAGGAACTCCTGGCTGGGTGCAGTGGCTCACATCTGTAATCCTAGCACTTTGAGAGGCTGAGGCAGGTGGATCACCTGAGGTCAGGAGTTTGAGACCAGCCTGACCAACATGGTGAAACCCCATCTCTACTAAAAATATGAAAATTAGCTGGGCGTGGTGGCAGGCATATGTAATCCTAGCTACTCGGGAGGCTGAGACAGGAGAATTGCTTGCATCTGGGAGGTGGAAGTTGTAGTGAGCCGAGATCGCGCCATTGCACTCCAGCCTGGGTGACAAGAGTGAAACTCCTCTGTCTCAAAAAAAAAAAAAAAAAAAAAAGGAGGAACTCCTATCCCCACAGCCCCCAAAGATGTTTCCCTAGAGCCTGTCTCCTGCCCGCAGCCTGCCCACGTGGGAGGACAAAACTCTTTCTGGCTGACTGCCGCCCATGTTAGCTGAGACAAGAGTTGTACATCTCAATTTTTATCACATGAAAATGAAATAAAGAACACTAGAATAGATCCTGAAGAGGCAAGATTGAAGAGATGACTACTTCTTTGCTGTAGAGACCCCTCGTCCCCTCCACACCTCCCAGTAGAGCTGTTCCTGTTGAGATACCATCACTCCCTCTCCTTGGGGCTTTCAAAGCGGGTGTCATGGCTCTTACATTTTAAAACATGGGAAGAGTTAAACGCACGACAGCAGCAAGAAAAGCAGCTCTGAAATGCAGCGAGTGTGTGGTGCCAGCCCGCGCGGCACCGCCTTCACAGCCTTGCCTTGACTAGACAGAAGATGTTTTCCTTCTCGATTAGGAAAAATCCACAGCTTCACGCCTGCATGGGAGGTGGCAGCGCTGGAATTAGCACTGGGGGAGGGGAGGTGACAAGGTGACAAATATCTCCCTTGCCTTGGTTTCAGCCTTGGCCTGGTCCAGATAAACATTTTGGCTTCCTTTGGGTCTTTCTTTCCCTCCCTTCCCTTATTTACCCAAGCAAAATGAACTGGAGCTACTTCCTACTCTGTGCCAGGCCTTGTGGAAGATCTGAGGTCACAGAGAAATAAAATGTGGTCCCTGCCCTGGGGGAGCTCAGAGCTAGTCCCAGAGAGTGACGGTAGAATAGATAAACCCAGGTGCCAGTTAGACTCTTCTTGCCCTTAAGATCCAGGTCAGCTCAATTCAAACCCTCATACAACAGACTGTACACTAAAAATCTCCTGAGGTTCCCGCACATTCCTGGAGGGCTTCTCACAGGTGGTGGTTAAGAGCACAGACTCTAGTCAGACTGCCTGGGTTCAAATCTTAGCTCTATCTCTTGCTAGAGCAACTGACGCTACTCAATTGCTCTGTTTCCACATCTGTAGAAGGCAGATAATAATAGTACTGACTTCATCGAGTTGTTGTGAGAATTAAATGAGTGAGTTCCTGTGCAAATGCTCAGAGCGGAGCCTGGTGCATGGTAAGCACTATGAAAGATTAGCTCTTATTCTCACTGTCATTTCTAGCTCTCAGCTCTTGTTTGCATTGAATTAATGCAGTTTATGCATCTTCTTACCTCCTGCTGGTGTTGTCGGTTCCACCCTGAGTCAGCCCAGACATGGACCTCAATCCTTTCCTTTGTGTTTCATTAAAAAAATCAGCCTCACCCCTAAAACAAAGCATAGCTGGGCACACAAAGTCTCTGTGGGTAGCAGACATTTCCAAAGGATGGGAGAAGGGATTTATAGATTGCAAAACCGCCAGCAGTGTAAAAGTCCATCTTTGATATTTCCATTCCTAGAAGTCCCTCAGCTTCCACCACCTGAGCTTCCACCTCCTGTTACATTGTTTTATTATTTTCTCCTTTGCTCTTTCCCTCTCTCCCCTACCTCCCAGTTCTCACTTGTTTCCCATGCAGAGCATTTTACCTATCTCTTTCAGTTCCTTGTCTCTTGTCAAATCATACCCTTAGGATGTTACCTCAAGTGCCTTATCAAGGTATTTTCTTATACAAAAACATTTGCTTCCCTAAGAGGAAATCTGGTGTTGGATGTTATATCAGCCAGGATCCAGCCAGGAAAACAGAAACCTCGAAACGTTTAGGACAGAAGGGATTGAATGCAGGGCTTCGGTTGCCGACAGCAGAAGGGTGGAGGAGCCGAACAGTGTGGCTGCTCTGGTAGGTGATCTATTGAAATGTTCCTGCTGGTGAAGAGCCGCCGTCCCCCCTGTGCTTCCCCCACCCGTCCTCCCCATAATCCAGTCACTAGAGCGTTCACCCCGTCACAGCAGGGAGCCTCCGGGATCTGCTCCAGGGTGTCTTTCTCTGATTGTTAAATATTTGGAATGTCACTGCCAGTCTGGATGAATGGGGCCATGGTGAGTGGTAGCAAAGGAGTAGCAAAACCTGATGTGGAGACTGCAGAGGATGGAGCAGGTGGGATGAGACTGGAGGCAGAGGGGGAGTTAGGAGGCTCTGTGGTCAACAGCCCAGGGGGAAAATCTGACCATCTCATTGCAGTTTGTTTCTTGGCAGCACTCCCTCCTCACCAGCGATGAGATCTGGGTGGGACATCAGCCCCATCTTTTTATGGATAGGGAAATTGAGGCCAAGGAGACTGAGGTTTGCCACATCACAGAGCAAGCAAGGACCAGAGCTGGGGCCCCCAGACTCCAGCTGAGGGCTTTCCTCACCATGCACATCCCCAGAGCTGGGTTGTTACATGGCATATCCAGGTCAGGAGGAGGAGAGGAGAAGCGAGGAGGACCCGAAGGTGAGCAGAACCTGCTGGAGGGAGACGGTGGGGACCAATGAGTTCTCTGCAGGACAAAGCAAAGCTGGAGGGGCCTTTGAGTGACTGCAAAGGGAAGCCACAATGGAGCAGTCAAGGACACACACGGCCCCACTTCTGTGAAAGGAGGAGATGAGCTGTAATTGGGGGTGGTGAGAAGTGTTTCCAGGGTGGCAACAGGGGAAGGAGATCAATGCTCTCAAAACAAACCTAGCACCAGGGCCCTGCTCTCTGCGTGTTAACTTCCACTTATCTCATCAATGCACAGACTGTTGGAATGGAAGACTGTCAAATGGAGACGGAACATCTGGTCCTTGGGTGAGTCCGGGTCAACCTGGTTCTTGCTTGAAAGTAACAGAAATGAACTGTGGTCAATTTAAGCAAAAGGGCATTGACTGGAAGTCTTTGAAGTTATCCCAGACCCAGGAGGAGACATTAGGACTGGCCTTAGGCACAGGCAGGAACTAAGATGATGATGGTGAGCCCGGGAAACAGAAGGTGGTCTTGAGGCTGGCACAGGCTGGGGGTATGCAGCTGTGGCCAAGGCTGACCTTCAGCCTCCTGCTCTGCCAGCATCCCTCAAGAGTCACCTGGGAGGGGAACTGAGGCCCCATGTCCACTCCCTGGCTGTGCTAGGGTCAGGAGAAAGAAAAGCTCAGCTTTCAGGCCAGAAAGTAGTTACCTGGAATCTTCTTCCTGCTGAGACAATACTCAAGGTGGGAGAGGTCACTCCCTGCCCCCACCCCTCAAATCCGGGTGATGTTAGAAAATGGGCTTTGGGGAATCAACATCCAATAAATACTGGCTGGCTAGGGTTCTTCGGGCCTTCCCTTCTCCCTGGGGTCCCCCTCCACCCTGTACTCCCCATCCCAGTCCCTGAGCGCTCTCCTCCCTCCCTCAAGTTCTCCCAGGGACAGTTTTTCATTTCAGCTGCTGCAATATCTGCTCCGGCAATCATCTCTCCCTCTCCACTTTCCTTTGGCAGCTCCTTGCTGTTCACTCTGCAGCCAGGACATATTTAAAAGAGAGAAACTTTAAATTAAGTTTGGGAGCGTCTAAATGAAAGAAAACAAACCCTCACCATTATCACAGGAAAGAAAAGGGCTTCTGGCTCCTGGTGGAGAATTGTAGACTTTCCTTCATTTTGAAGCCAGGAAGAAAATCAGGAGGTTTTTTTCCTCTACCTCACCCCCGGACACCCTGCCAGCCTCCTGCCAGCCATGCACCAGGTTAATGGAATACGGAGCATTAGCCTCGCTCTCTGAGTGCAGGATTGCTTGCCCCCTGGACTCAGATGGGAATTGCTTATGGGCTCTGCAGGCTGAGAGGAAGGGGGCTCCTGACTCAATGATTTCATTCTCCCTGCAGCATCCTGAATCTCTCTTTTGGAGGAGGGGCAGTGTACTTGAAGGAAGGAAGGAAGGAAGGAAGGAAGGAAGGAAGGAAGGAAGGAAGGTGGGAAGAAAACAGGCAAACTCTGGGCCCTGGGCAGGCTGCTTAACCTGGGAGGTCTCAGGAGGAGTGGCTGTCCTGTCCTGGCCCTGAGGATCTCCTGGGGTGAACTCTGTCAGGAGGGCCTCTCCTATGCTGTGCTTGGTGCTGCCGGCATGAACGAAGACCCATGTGGTATGACTCACTGCATTGCTTCCTCTGCCCACTTCTTCCAGGGTGGGCTGGGATTGAGGGCAATGACACTTACTGGCCACTGTGCTTCACCTGCCAGAGACAGAGGTTCACGTCTTCCACTCAAGGCCTCTCTCTCTCCCCCCGCTCACCTGTGGCTTTAGGCTCTTGGGAGGCTAGAGCTGTTGGGTTCATCTCAAGTGAGCATTTCCAGGGCACCCAATGTGTTGAGGCAGGTCTGACCCTCTTGGTCAGGGGCTATTCCTCTCCTGGAGAGCAAGAGGTGGATGGTTAGGCCGGTTCTGCACCAGGTGTTGGGACAAGCATTCTTTTCTACTTCTTTCTTTGTCTCCTGTTCTTGCCTGAGCTTTAGGGGCAGGCATTTGGGGTGCAAAGGTGGGGGAAGGTGCCAAGGAAGCTGCCAGGTCTGTCTGCTGTTTTCAGCTCAGAGCCACCCAGGATGCAGACTGAGGTTCCAGAGCTCCTCCTGATCCAGCTTAGGCCCTCAGACAGCAGCTGGGGTCTGGGGCTGAAGCCTCAGCCTCGGGAAGTCCCTCATTATCCCCTCCTGTCCAGCCCAGGCCCTCAGACAGCAGCTGGGGTCTGGGGCTGAAGCCTCAGCCTCAGGAAGTCCCTCATCATCCCCTCCTGTCCAGCCCATGGGAGAAGCTGGCTGCTTGGAGTTCAGAAGTTCTGTCTCTATCATCTGCCTGAAACATTAGCTCCTATTGCACTTACTACAGGCCAGGTTCAGCACTGTGAGTTCCACTGACATTGTCTCTTATTTTTTATTATGGTAAAATACATATAATATAAAATTTACCATTGTAACCATTTTAAGTGTGCAATTTGGTGCCATTAAATACAGTCACATAATTGTGTAACTATCACTAATATCAAGTTCTACCACATTTTCATCAACCCATACCCATTCAGCCATCCCTCCCCATTCCCTCTTCCCTCTAGCCCCTGGCAAACACTAGGATGCTTTCTGTCTCTACGGATTTGCCTATTCTGGGTATTTCATGTGAAAGGAATCATGTAATATGTGGCCTTTTGAGTTCATTTTCTTCCACTTAGCATACTGTCTTTGGGGATCATCCATGTTGTGGCATGTAGCAGCCTTTCCTTTTTTATGGCTGAATTATATTCCATTGTATGGATATACCACATTCTGTGTATCCTTTCATCAGTTGATGGACATATATTTTTTAATGCCTTTTGGCTATTATGAATAGTGCTGCTATGAACATTCATGTACAAAGTTTTGTTTGAGCACTTGTTTTTGATTGTCTGGGTTATATATCTAGGAGTAGAATTGCTGGGTCCTATGATTATTCTATATTTAACTTTTTGAGGAACCACCAAACTGTTTTCCGTAACAGCTGCATGACTTTACAGTCCTACTAGCAATGTTTGAGGGCTCAACTTTCTCCATATTCTTGCCAACACCTGTGATTTTCTGCTTAGAAAATTATTATAGACTTTTTTTTTTTTGAGACAGGGTTTCGCTGCGATGCCCAGGCTGGAGTTCAATGGCGAGATCTCTGCTCACTCTAACGTCTGCTTCCTGGGTTCAAGTGATTCTCCTGCCTCAGCTCCTGAGTAGCTGGGATTACAGGCATGTGCCACCAAGCCTGGCTAATTTTTGTATTTTTAGTAGCCATTTTGATATGAAGGACAGTGTAGTTTTTCTTTCTTACAATAACTTCATGAAGCAAGCACTTTTAATTACTCCCATTTTACAGATGAGGAAATAGAGATCTGGAGAAGGGAAGTTCATGTGTCCAGGACACACAGCTTGTGAGGACCAAGTCAGGATCTCAACTCAGGTCTGCTGACTCCAAAACCAAGGCCCTTCCTCACAAGGCTGCCCTCCATCCCACTTCTACTAACAGCAGACTGCCTTTGATGTGGGAAGGAACAGAGAGGCCCCATTAATAAGGTGAACTTGTGGAAGGCACTTAATGTCCCTGAGCCCCAGTTTTCTTATCTGTCAAAGGGAAATGTTGATGCCTGCTCCAGAGGGTCCGTGAAAATAGTCCATGGGTGTGAAGTGCTGCATGGTTGAGAGGATGGCTCTTATTTGCGGAGGGCTCCAGACCATCATCCCAACACACAGAAAGCAGAGATTAAATCAGCGTTCACAGGCAGACAGATAGACAGACAGGGTTTTTTGAAGGACAGCACTGAGATTTGGAGGAGATGGAGAAGCACTAGCACTTATTAGTATTAGGGTGCAGAAAGTTTAATACTTAAATACATATCTAACATGAAAGGGTACACGTGTGTACCCTTTCACATTATTTGGATGATAAAAGCAATCCATGTTTTTTTTTGGAAGCCCAGAAAATTTAGAAGAGCATAACGAAGGAAATAAAAATGATCCAGAGTCTCACCAGTTAGAAACATGTATGGTTAACATTGCCTCATGTTTTCACATCTTCTTTCCCTAGACACGATGCAGCATGCAGGGGGCTTCTCAGCCTGTGCAGAGTGTGTCCTGCTCTGGAATTCAGCCATGCTCTGGCATAGCTGATGAGCTGGTGACACAGGGCCACCACCATCTCTTCTGGGACTGAAGCGCCTCCTGGAAGAAAACTTATCCTGCGGTAAGAGGCAGCCAGGCAGGGCCAGCTCTGGGTCTGAATATCGGCTCCACCATGGGTGGGTGGGTGGACTTGGGCCCATTTTCCTGCTTCCTAATCTATAAGACGTGGGATAATAGTGGAGCCCAATTCACCAGCTGTTTAAGATGGTTGCATGAAATAACAATACCTGTAACAAGGCACAAGTGACAGCATTTTCATATCTAGAAGCTATCAGCGATTTCTCTGTATAGACCAGAGACAGAAATGGAGTAGAGCTGTACAGGCAATCTATGTGAGGCTTCCTCAGAGTAATGCAAATATAAGGCCAGCAAGCAAACTTACTGAGGTAGGAAGACATTTTTCTCTGTGTGTGTGTGTGTGTGTGTGTGTGTTGCATAATAAAAGAGCTGGTACCCTGGATGCTCAGGTGGTGCTGGCAGGATTTACACCTGTGCATGGACTGGTTGCGCCAGGCAGGCAGGTCTGGTCTTTAACAGGAACATTCTGTTTCTCACTCTATTGGTGTTTGGAAGCAAGTTTGACTCCTTAGGGCTTTGAATAACACAGAGGCAATGAGGATTGAGGCCTTGAGATGGAGTCACTGAACTGTGCGATTAATATTGGTGGGCATTTAAATAATTGGAAACTTACTAACAGATGTGTCTGCATTTTTACCCCCACCTGCTGAGCTGGGCCCTTGCTGGTAATAGGCAGGTTAAGTACTTTGAGGGCTTGGCACACAAAATGTATACAATGAATAGAAGTGGTTATAAGCTGTAGGGCCAGATGGGAGAGGTGAGGCTGAGCATATAGTGGGAATTATAACTCAGGTTTTCCCTTGGGCCTGACCTATGAACGCCTATGTGTGCCCTTGGGAAGATAGAGGGGAATTAAGCAAAAATGGAAAGAACACTTTGACTAAAAGCTCTATAAGTCCTTGGGGACATTGACAGAGCTCTTGGCATACGCCCTTCCCCAAGAGAAGAACAGACGAAAAGCCTGCCTGCCTGCACCTGTTCCCTTCTTCTGGGAGCTGCTTCATCTCCTATCCCATGCCACCCTGTGGTTTGAGTGGGAGCTACCAATCACGGTATTCATCCTTATAGTCACACAAGTGATCACATGACCCAGGTCCATCCAACCAGGGACTTTCCCTGAGAATTTTTATTTGGAACAAACAGAGAAAAGCCATTCACCCTTATAGTCACACAAGTGATCACATGACCCAGGTCCAGCCAATCAGGAACTTTCCCTGAGAATTTTTATTTGGAACGAACAGGGGAAAGCCAATCCTTTAAAGGCAACAGCATGAGCTGTCATCCTCCAAATTATTGTGGGCCTGGTGGACCTCCCCCACCTTGTGGGAGAGAGCAATCTGAGTAGCAGGAGGCAGAGCTAATCCATCAAGAGAAGTGGAGGTGAGAAATGGAGTGGTGGGGGTTGTTAGAGGGCATTCAAATCCTGGTTGTGGTCATTCCTATACTCCAACTACACCCCGTTACTTCCCATGGTTTGGACATGTCACCCAAGATGCTCTTCTTTTCATCTGGCTACCTCAAGTTGGGATTCCAGAACTTGAAGGTCCTGTAGTACTAGGTGATTCCACGTGCATTGATAGTAGTTTGGCTGAACATATTGGGAGCCTGGTTGGGGGTAATGGCACCTGCTGAGAATGGCCATGCCCAGCAAAGGTGGTGTTATCTCATAGAAATGGCAGAGACACCCAGGAGAGAAGGCAGTGCTGGGGAAGATGCAGTACCCGGCAGAAGCAGCAGAAAGTTGGGGGTGGGTGGAAGTGGGCACAGAATTGAGCAGTCTTATTGGTGAAATCTATCATACATACATACAATTGATGCAGTCTAGTATTCTTTTTATTTCCACTTGCCTTTACACCTAGGGCATTTTCCCTTAAAATTAAATATGAGTGGAGAACATGATTTTTAATGACCACATAGCATTCCATCATATGAATCCAACATAATCTACTTAACAAATCCCCTAGTGTTGGAGATTGTAAATCAATTGTCTTCATATTTTTTGTTTGCTTTAATTTTTTTTTGTTATTGTATACTATGCTGCCAGGAACCTCCTTGGAAATAAATCTTTGTGTACATTTCTAATGGTTTCCCTAGGAGAAATTGTTATAAATGGAATTGCCTTATCAAAGAGTATGGACATTTTAAAGCCTTTGATCCATATAAATAAATTGCCTCACAGAATGATTGTGACAATTCATACTCCCACCATAAGGTAGAACAGTTTCCTTTCCTCTGAACCAGTGCCAGCCCTAAGTACTATGATTTTTTAAAAGCTTGGTTAAGATGACAGGCAAAATATATGTCTCATTGTTTTAATTTTGATTTCTTTTATTACTAGTGATATGGAAATTTTTCATATATTTATTGGCTATTTGTAGTTTTCTATTGTACCTTTCTTATTTATGTTCTTTCCTCCTTTTTTTAATGGGGTTTCCGGATTTTCTTATTGATTTGTAAGAGTTATTCACCTTGTCTGTGATGTATGTTACAAATATTATTTCCTAGTTTCCTAGTGTGTTGTTTGATTTTTAATTTTGTTTACGATATTTTGATATATGTAATGGTTTGATTTTTTTTCTTTTCTTTCTTTCTTTTTTTTTTTAGATGGAGTCTCGCTCTGTTGCCAGGCTGGAGTGCAGTGGCGTGATCTCTGCTCACTGCAACCCCTGCCTCTCAGGTTCAGGTGATTCTCCTGCTTCAGCCTCCTGAGCAGCTGGGACTACAGGCACGCGTAGTACGCGCCTGTATTTTTTTAGTAGAGATGGGGTTTCACCATGTTGACCAGGATGGTCTTGATCTCTTGACCTTGTGATCTGCCCGTCTCGGCTTCCCAAAGTGCTGGGATTACAGGCGTGAGCCACCGTGCCCAGCCTGATTTTTATGTTTTTAGATTAGTTATTCTTTTTTTGTGCTTTCTTCTTTCCAAAGAAAAGAGTGCTTTGAAATACTTTCCTCACTCCAAAGTCAGGTAAATATTCACCCATGATTTCTTCCTGTTCGTCTAAAATCTAATAGATTAAACTTCCTTATCCATTTAGAATTTATTTTGATGGAGGTGAGGTAAGGATCAGATTATTTCCCCCTCCAAATGGTAAATAATTTGTCCCAACACCATGTGTTAAAAAAAATCTATTCTTGGCCATAATTAAAAAGTAAAAAAAAAAAAAAAAAAAATTGGCGTGGATGTGGTGAAAGGGAACACGTTTACACTGCTGGTGGGAATGTAAATTAATATGACCAGGATGGATATTCCTTACAGAACTAAAAGTAAATCTACCATTTGATCCAGCAATTCCACTACTGGGTATCTACCCAAAGGATAAGAAGTCATTATCTGAAAAAGACACATGCACACACATATTTATAACAGCACAATTTGCAATTGCAAAGATATGGACCCAACCTAAGTGCCCATCGGCCAATGAGTGGATAAAGAAAATGTGGTATAAATATATGATAGAATGCTACTTAGCCATTAAAAAGTATGAAACAACACTGTTTGCAGCAACTTGGATGGAGCTGGACACCATTATTCTAAGTGAAGTAATTCAGGAATGGAAAACCAAATGTCACATGTTCTGACTTATAAGTGGGAGCTAAGCTATGAAGATACAAAGTCATAAGAGTGATATAATGGACTATGGGGGCCGGGTGCAGTGGCTCATGTCTATAATCCCCACACTTTGGGAGGCCGAGGCGGGCAGATCACCCGAGGTCAGGAGTTCGAGACCAGTCTGGCCAACATAGTGAAACCCCGTCTCTACTAAAAATCCAAAAAAAAATTAGCCAGGCATGGTGGTGTGTGCTTGTAATCCCAAGTACTCAGGAGGCTGAGGCAAGAGAATCGCCTGAAGCCAGGAGGCGGAGGTTGTAGTGAGCCAAGATCGCACCACTGCACTCCAGGCTGTGCGACAGAACGAGACCCTGTTTCAAAAAAAAAGGACTGTGGGGAGAGGGGTGAGGGATAAAAGACTTCATACTGGGTATGGTGTACACTGCTTGGGTGACAAGTGCACTAAATCTCAGAAATCACCACTAGAGAACTTATCCATGTAGCCAAAAACCACCTGTACCCCAAAATCTATTGAAATAAAAAAAATAAATTATTTTACCACTCATTTGGAAGAGTACCTTATCACCTACTGAAGTTTTTTAAGTGCTAGGATCTGTTTCTAAGCTTTCTGTTAGGTTCCTCCGGTCTATTTGATCATTTTTGGACAATAATGTAATTAAAAAACCCAAACCATGAGTCCTTTTTTTTCCATGGGGAAGTTTAATTCAGTTGTATTTCTTGTCAAAATTGATTATATAATTTTGCATTCTCATTGAGTTTAATGCTTTTTTTCTTTTTAAAGCTTTTGTGTGTTGTTCACTGCTGTATCTTCATTGCCTAGAATAATGCCTGGCAAAGAGCAGGAACTCAATAAATGCGTATTAAATTAAGGTATATGTGAATTTAGTATAGGATTAAAGTGGCCATTTAAGTGAAGAAGGATAAGTAATGTTTCTGGCTAGTTATCCAGAAAATAAATAAATGTACATTCTTACTTTATATCATGCACAAAACAAATTTCAGATAAATTAAACATTCAATCTTCAAAATAAACTAAACAAATATTAGAAAATGTTGGGGGATGTGTTTATAACAGTTGAGTAGATAACAGTCCTTAAGATAAAAATGCAGAAGCGACAAAAAAAGGTGGATTATTCTGTCTACCTCCAAGTTTAAAACTTCCCTAAGACAAAGATGTCATAAACCAAGCCAGGTAAAGCAACCGACTAGGAGAAAATACTTGCAATATGTATAATAGACAATAATCAGAATAAATGAGATTCCACAAGTCAAAAGAAAAATAAAGCAAAATTAGTACAAAATAGGGCAAAAGATATGAATTGGCAATTCACAGAGGGGAAAAATGGCCAAAAAAAGTTTAAAATATTTTGATAATCAGGGTTATAAAAACTAAAATGACAGTGAGATAATCATCACTTATTTGGTTAGAAAATACCAAGCAGTGGGTTGGCTAGGACATAGGGAAGGAGTACAACCATACACGGCAGAGGTGAGTGTAACTGGCATCATAGAAGGCAGTTGGGCAGAATCCATTAAAATAAAAAATACACAGGCCCTTGGATGTAGCAATTCCACTCCTTGGTATTTACCCTCCCTAAGAATTACTCTCACATGTGCAAAAAAAAGCAGCTATAAGATGTTTCTCCATCTTTGTGAGGTTAAACAATTGTAAAAATCTTCATTATCTTTTTATGGAAGAATGATGAAATAAACTGAGGAATATTCATAGTAAGAATTTTTAACATATTTGTGCCATGAACCCCACTGGTAGTCTGGTAAAGCCCACAGATTCGCTCTCAGAATAATGTTTTTAGTGCATAAAATAAGATAGATAAGATTACAAAAGAAGCTAATTATATGGAATGCAATTATCAAACTTATAAAACTCAGACATGGTGATATATGTATTCTTTTAAGATCAAGATTTAGCAGCAGGTCTATTAACTACTAAAAATTTCAAGTTAAGATGAATGTAAATAATATTTTGAGATACTTGCAATAACTGTAATCTGAAATAAAAATATCTGTGATTTCTGTTGGTGACAAGGTGCTAATTCCACTGTTTTTTGTCTCCAGCTATATTCATTTCCCATTGCTGCTTCGTTTATTACCACAAACTTACTTTATTATGTCACATTTCTGCTGGTTAGAAGTCTGAAGTCAGTATCAATGGACTAAAAGCAAGGTGTGTCGGGGGCTGTGTTTCCTTTAGAGGCCCAAAGGGAGACTCCATTTCCTTGTCTTTTCCAGCTTCTGGAAGCTTCTTGCATTCCTTGGCTCATGGACCCGCATCATTCCGACCTCTGCTTCTGCCGTCACGTCTCCTTCTCAGACTCTGACTCTCCAGCCTCCCTCTCATAAGGACCCTTGTGATTACATTGAGCCCACTAGGATAATCCAGGATCATCTCCCGATCTCAGGATCCTTGATTTCATCCCGTCTGCAAAGTCCTTTTTGCTTTGTTAGGTTCCACAGTGACAGATTCCAGGAATTGGGACATGGATATCTTTGGGGACCATTTTCTGCCAACCACTCCTATACTCATAACTAAAAGAAATGCTAAATTTCAGTTAGGGTTTAGTAGAAATAAATATGCAAAAATTTTCTGCTCAGGTTCATAGACTGCCCTTGAATTCCACCCATGAACCTTAGATCCGGTATTGATACCTATTAACAAACTGCCATCTAGAAAGATAGTACTGATTTATACTCCCTCAACAGGCTATAAAAGTGTCCATTTCCCTCAGGTTGTTACCTAGATCAGGTTTTATCATTTAAAAAAGAGGGAAAGGAAAGGAAAGTTAGAAAGAAAAAGGGAAGGAAGGAAAGAAATCTCTGCCAATCTGAAAGAGGGGGAAACACATATAATTGAGAATTTAGCTTTATTTAGACATTACGTTACTTTTTTTTTTAATTTTTTTTTTTTTGAGACAGAGTCTCGCTCTGTCGCCCAGCCTGAAGTGCAGTGGTGTGATTTCAGCTCACTGCAACCTCTGCCTCCGGGGTCAAGCGACTCTCCTATCTCAGCCTCCCGAGTAGCTGGGATTACAGGCTCACGCCAACACACCTGGCTAATTTTTGTATTTTTAATAGAGATGGGGTTTCACCATGCTAGCCAGGCTGGTCTTGAACTCCTGACCTCGTGAACTGCCCGCCTCAGCCTCCCAAAGCTCTGGGATTACAGGCATGAGCCACTGTACCCGTCTATGTTACCTTTTAATCTCAAAACTTGCTTGAAATTTCAACACCATCTTATGAGTCTAAAGCAAAGGTTGGCAAACTTGCTGAAAATGGTCAGATAACAAATATTTAATGCTTTTTCTGCTTTATGGTTTGTGCTGTGCTGGACACTCGATTCTGCCATTGTGGTATGGAAGAGCCATAGATAATATGTAAACAAATGAGCATGGCTGTGTCCCAAGAGAGCTTTATTTACAAAAGCAGGTGGTGGGCCCAAACTGGCCTGTAGGCCATAGTTTGCCAATCCCTATTTTAGAGCAGTACTTTATATTAAAAATATAATGCAAGCCACATATGTAATGTAAAAATTTCTAGTACCCACATTAGAAAAGTAAAAACAAACAGATGAAATGAACATATTTTATTAGATTCAACATATCCAAAACATTATCATTTCAACATATAATCAACATAAAAATTATTGAGATATTTTACAATTTTAATTTTTCAGTATGTATTCACAATCTGGTGTGTGTTTTACACTTTCAGTGTTTCAGTTCAGACTAGCCACATTGCAAGTACTGAATAATCCTATGTGGATGGTGGCCACTGTATTGGACAGTGTAGTTCTGGAGCATAATTCTAAGCCCAATTTTATTTTTTCTTTGCAGAAACCAAGTCTTTTTTTTTTCTGTTAAAAAATTAAATTTAACGAGTATATATTTAAGTAGACTATGTTTAATTTTTTTCAATATTTTTGTCTGCTATTTAGAGATTGCTTTCAAACTGTGGACTCAGTTTTTTAACACAGAACACATTTCTTCTGTTATATCCTTGATTATTGCTTTGGTTCTCTTCCTATATATATTTTAGCAGCACTAATTATTTGTATATTGGGTCTCAATTATTTCTCTTACCTGTTTTTTAACCCCTTTTTCTTTTGCATTATGGAGAAACTTTTAAAGCTTATTCTTCACATTACTAATTCCATTTTTATGCTATTTTAAAAAAATCTTTATAGGCTTCTAATGAAGATATTGTATTATTTACAATATTTCCTTATATAGCCCTCTTTTTATTGCTGCCACTCCGCCAATGAGTTCTTTTCATATAAACCTTTTGACTTATCAATTACTTTCCTCCCATTTTAAATTCAATTTATTCAACATAAAAATAAGTTTATTCACTTAAACCTCTGTGAAAAACCTTAAAATATTATCTTTAAACTGTCTAGTGTGTTTGTCAGCTACTGCCACAATCATGCTATATAACAAGTCTCCCAAAACACTGTGATAAACAACAATAAATACTTAGATTCTGAGTGTTGGTTGCAGCGTTCTGCCTGAGGCTGTGGCCTGCATGTTGACTGGGCTGGCTCTGCTCCACGACTCACTCTGGGCCAGTCCACCTGAGACATGTTATTTTCACAATGGAATGCAAAGTTCCCTGAGAGCCAAAGAAGAAACGCTGTATGATGCTTAAGTGTGAGGCTCAAAACTCACACAGGATCACTTCCGCTCACATACCATTGGCCACAGCTAATCATCTGACCAAACTCAAAATCAATTGGGTGGAGCTTTGTCAGTTCACCCTTCATCACTTGTTTTAAAGAGTCAATTTGGCCGGGCATGGTGGCTCTGCCTGTAATCCCAGTACTTTGAGAGGCTGAGGCAGGCAGATCATGAGATCAGGAGATCGAGACCATCCTGGCTAACACGGTGAAATCCCGTCCTACTAAAAATACAAAAAATTAGCTGGGCGTGGTGGCATGTTCCTGTAGTCCCAGCAACTCGGGAGGCTGAGGCAGGAGAATCGCTTGAACCCAGGAGGAGGAGGTTGTAGTGAGCGGAGATTGCGCCACTGTGCCCCAACCTGGGTGACAGAGCGAGACTCTGTCTCAAAAAAAAAAAAAATAGAGTCAATTTATAAAACCATGATGATATACTATTACATACTTACTAAGATGGCTAAAGTAACAAACTGACCATGCTGCTTGTGAGGATGCTGAGAAACTGGAACTCTCTTGTAACGCTGGTAGAAGTGCAAAATGGTATGGGCCCTTTGGCAAACAGTACAGCAGAGTTTATAGCTAAATATACATCCACTATGTGACCCAGCAATTCTACCTCCAGGTATTTACTCAAAAGAGATGAAAACTTATACTAAGTGAAAGAAGCGAGATTCAAAAGCCTGCGTACTCAAAAGGCTGTGTACTGTGTCATTCCAGCAAAGGAAAGACTATATAGTGACAGAGAACAGATGAGTCAATTCAAACAATGAATGCAAACAAAAGCTGAGGCCTTTCTAAAAATGCCCTTTGTTTCCTTTAGTAAATTGTTTTCATAAGAAGG
This sequence comes from Homo sapiens, assembly GCF_000001405.40. Lineage (NCBI taxonomy): Eukaryota > Metazoa > Chordata > Mammalia > Primates > Hominidae > Homo > Homo sapiens. The sequence goes on from NC_000001.11 coordinate 36,751,850, forward strand.
CTCTTCTCCTTGGCATACAGTGCTATAACCTCTGTTTTATATTGCAGCATATTTCGCAGCCTGTGTTGTTGGATTTTCCCCCTTTCTAGTCATTTTGTTTGTTTGTTTGTTTGTTTTGAGACAGGGTCTCACTCTGTTGCCTAGGCTGGAGCGCAGTGGTGCGAGCCTTGACCTCTCAGTCTTAGGTGATCCTCCTACGTCAGCCTCCCAGGTAGCTGGGACTGCAGGTGTGTATTACCACACGTGGCTAATTTTTTTTTTTTTTTTTGTAGAGACGGGATTTCACCATGTTGCCCAGGATGGTCTCAAATTCCTGAGCTCAAGTAATCTGCCTGCCTCAACTTCCCAAAGTGCTGGGATTACAGGCTATTGTGCCTGGCCTCCTCTCTAGTTTTGAATGAAAAAATTTCTATCTACATCTAGTGTTTAACCCTAATTGGAGAAGGTGACTCCTCCTTGGTTCTTCTCATTCTCCCTCGTTGTAATTTTTCTATCTGATTTCAAACAAGAAGGTCCGTATCTACACTGGTTTTTCTGTCACTCATGGCTGGGCCTGGCTCAGCTAGCATCTCTGCAGGCTATGCTGGCACCAGAAACAGTGTCCAAGGGGCATCATATGGCATGCCAGGGGGCATGTCCTAGACTTAGGGAATCCAGTTTTAGGAGATGATGTGTGATGCCTTTAGTGATGCCTTTAGAGAAGGCTGCCCGGGAAAGGGGCCCCAGGACAAAGGAGACCCAGGCCTCTAGCTTGCTAGGCTAGGTGACAGCTGAGCCTGAAGAAGTTACGGGGACTTATTCCATCCCCTGACCTGTCAGGAGTGTGGTGAAGGCAGAGGAACCAGGTGTTATCCAGGCTTGCCAGCCCTTGGGCTCCTCAGTTTGCATAGTTTCTTTTCTAACTGAAACCCTCCTTACCCTCCTCCATCAGCCCCAGCTCAGCCCCCCAGCAGGCAGAGTGTGCATTAATAACTAGTAGATTTATGGCTAAGAAGCCTGCCTAATTCTGCAGAGATGAGCTCCCAAAGGAAGCTGGTGGTTTGGCTGGTGCTCCTGGCCACCTCCTCTTGCTTCTGAAATCATCTCTGGGCAATCAGTGACTTCCTTCCACTGCATGGTCTGCTGTGAGCATGCAGGAAGCCCGCTGGTCTCCTTGGGCTGACGCTTGGCCTGGGGGATGCCATGGGGCAGGGGCAGCCAGAGGGCCCAGCCAGGGTGAGAGCAGGGCCTGCTGCCACCCCACCCCCACCGTGCCCCGGAGGGCAGCTTTCACTCCCTCACCCCTGAACTCCACTCACTTTCCTGGACCAAGCTTCCAGCTTGACCTGGCTGGTGTGTGATCTCGGGAGAGGCCCTTCTCAATTATTCAGGGAAGTGACTCATCCTGGGAGGAGAAGGAAGCACTGGGGTGATGGGTGGTGGGTCTTGGACTGAGGGAGGGAAAGTCACCTTTTGTTGCTGGGCTTGTGTCACTTGGGCCTGGACTGAGCTGAGCTGGCCTCTGCGAGGCAGGACAATGTTCACCAAGGGACCTCACACGTGTACTGGGCCTGTAGATTCAGAGAGAAGTCACAGACAATTTTACCTGTAGGTTACTCCATGTTGAGCTTTTCTTCTGTTATTCTTGAACCTTCAGCAACCTTGTTAAACGTCACAGCCGAGACTCAGATGCACTGGGGGACATATGAAAGGCTGTCCTCCCCTTGTGGGACAGAGTGATAAAGGGGCTGTGGGTCCTGCTTCTGCTGCGGCCCCCTTGGAATATCAGCAAGGGCCTGAAAGGAGGCTGGTGCCTCACGGCGGTGGAGGGAGATGAGGCGGTGTGGCCATGTGCAGAAGGGGCTCTAGGGGAAGGTTTGCAGCTTTGACTCCCTCACCCCTAAACTCCACTCACTTTCCTGGATCAAGCTTCCAACATGTCCTGGCTTGTGTGTGATCTTGGGAAAGGCCCTTCTCCTAGGTCTCAAAATGTCCCCAGCGTGCTGTCTGACATTTGCTCAGGTGGCCTCCTTGTGAGGGCAGATGGTGCTGGACAGTCTAGTGTACTCTAATTAAAAACTTCCTGGGAATGGAGCCTCCTTTTGCAGTATCCACCCTAGAAGGTGGGGACATTCTGGTGATGGGTTATTCCCGTTCTCCGCGAACTCTGGGGAAGAGACATGAACGAGGTGCCACAGAAGTGCCTTGGAAGGGAGGAGTGTGTCCTTCAGTTTGGGCGGGGAGAAAGCTTTCCAGAGGGGCTGTTGGAGTGGCTCTCAGAGGGCACAACAGCGATCGTCTTAGTCCATGTACCTTCCTCTGTTTCTCAGGCTATTTCGTTAGGACAAATTCCTAGAAGTGAAATTTCTGTGCCCAGGATAGGGCATTCATCAGGATTCTTTTGCTGTAGTGGCCAAAAAGCCCCCCTAAGCTGACTTCTCTAAATGAGACAAGTGTGGGTGGGGGTTGTTTTGGCTCACTTGGTGTGGGCAAGTCCTGGGGAGAGACACGGATTCCGTCAGGTGGGACCCAGGACTCAATCCATCACCCTGGGATTCATCCTCTCTCCCTTCATCTCTCTGCTCAGCTTTCCTCTGAAAGGAATTAATTTCCTTATTCTGAGGCAGGCTCTTCTCCCTGCTGGAACCCCTGGAAGCTCCAGACTTATCTCCTGCCAGCTTAGCCATCTGCACAAAAAGAGAATCTTTCTCTTTGATTCAGTCTACGCAAGACCTGGGCTAAGTCCCACTGGACCAGCTTGGGTCCCTGCATTGGACACAGGGCTGGGAGGGGCAGTGCCTTCATTGGTGAGTCTTGAGTCCTGCACCTACTTCTGGAACCTGGAGGGAGTGCCCACCCAAACCAGTGGATGCACTTCCCAAGGGAAAACCAAGATCCTGCTACCAAGAGAAGTTGCACAGCAAACTCCACAGATGTCCACTACCAGCAGGGCCATTCCTTACCCTCTCGATACTTCATCAGATTTTATCTTCAGCAATCACTCAATGGTAGGAGAAACCTGTTGGAGCAGAGGATCAAGGAAGGCTAGAAATCCTTGAGAGAGTCATTTATTTGCTGGATTTATTTATTTTATGGATTGAAAGCTGCTGCCTGTCAGCAGCTGCTTGGAGCTCTGGAGGAAGAGTGACTACATAGTCAGGCGCTGTCCTGGGCCCAGGGGGTTACAGAGTGAACCCCCTGGTTACTGTCTCAGAGGGCTTTCATTCCGGGTGGGAGAATGTGTGTACAGAGATAATGGATGAGCAGAGTTAGCAGGTCACAGGGTGCTCCGAAAGCACTGTGGCTGGGCACCTAGGCTGGTGGGAGTAGAGGTGAGCCTGGGCATGAGGGTGCCTGGAGATGAGGCTGGGCTCTAAGACTGGAAGGATGACTGGGGGTGGGATGTTCCAGAGAGAGGAGACAGCCCAGTGAGGGTCAGAGATCCAGGAGAAGAGAGGGCATTCAGTAACTTCCGATGGACACGTGAGGCTGGAGGGTCCAAGTGGGGATGGGCCTTGGGGAGGGATGGTGTCTGCTGAGGCCCAAGGGTTTGGTAAAGAAAACTAATGGGGAAGGAGGTCCTTGCCAAGGGCTTGGGCTTGATTCTGGGCAATGGGAAGACAGTAAAGGGTTGTGAGTGCAAGAGTGGCTCATGCAGGTGTGTGTGGTCTGGGACAGTGGGGGTGGTTCACATGGGGGCCTGCACCTAGGCAGCCAGGGGGCCGGGTGACCTGTGGAAGATGAAGAGTAACACGGGACCATAGCTGTCTCTCTTTCTCCCCCTCCTGCCTCTCCTTTCTCCGGCCTGTCTTCCTTCTTCTCTCCCTCCCCTTTATTCCCTCATCCCTTTTGTCTCCTTGGAGGGTGGAGAGCTGCCTTTCCAGAAATAGGAGTTTATGGAGAAGTTTATCCTTGGCACGAGAGACATCCGCCTCACTCCAGAAAACCCAAGATAAAATAAATCTAATTAAATCTGTTACTGTTCACAGAGACTAGTTTTGTGGGCAATTGACCTGTTTTATTTATTATGTAAACCATCATGAAACCCAAGCTCCATATTATTTATGCTAATGGAAGGGAATAGGTAATAAATCCCGCATGAGGATGTGGGCAGACCAGATGGTACTGGTGGCACTTTGATGGCTCGTGCTGGAGGAGCTGGTGCCAGACGTCGCTCCCAACCCCAGGAGAAGGGCTGGGAGGGGCTGGGAGGGGGTGGGATTGAGTCCTGGGGGCAGCTTCACTTTCAGCAAATTGAAAAGTGCTAATGAGAAGATGGGGGCTTTCTGGGTCATCTCCTTCTCCCTCTTGGAGGAAATGCCAATCTGTGATACATCCCTTGGAGAAATCGGAATAAAATTAGATGGCGCACCTCCCATTTGCCCCACACTAGGGCAAGCCTGCCACCTGCATGCTCACATCAGATTCCACAGCAACCCTGAGAAGTAGGCCTCATTTTCCTCCATTTTATAGGTGAGAAAACTGAAGCAGCATCAGGGCTGGGGTTTGAACCCAAGGTGTTTGAACTTGGACATGTAAGCCTCAAGTCTTCTCAGGGCACTGTGGCCTTTGGTAATACAGATCTGGGAAGGAAGGGTAGAGACCAGGGGAGGAGAGAGGAGGACAGGAGGAAAGAGGGAAGGGCAAAGAAGGGTGGCAGCAGTGAGGGGGGCTGGGAGGATTGGAAGTGGGGCAGGAAGGAGGGGAGAAGGAGAGGGAAAGGAGAGAAGGGAGGAAGGTAGTGTGAGGCAAGGGCAAGGGGGAGTGGGTGGGGAAGGGGGACGAGGAGAGGGAAGGTACTTCTCTCTCCCCCTGAGAGCAGCTGGCCTTAGATCTTCAGAGGAAATGAGAGTTAGACAAAGGTGGTAACTGTTTCTAGCTGTGAGGGCAGCTGCCCCTTAGAGAAATGGAAAAGCAGGGAGTGTATTTCCTGCCAAAGGCTGAGAGCATCATCTTCCCTTCAAAGAAAGGAAGAAAGAAACATAAGTCAGGAGGCCATGGAGAAGAATCTGAGTTTGCAGTAGCCTTGCAAGTAAGCAGAGTTGGCTGCCAGCCTGCACGGCCTTCCCCAGCCAGCCCCACCCCTGCAAGCAACACTAGGCACATGCCATTGCTCTTTTCTGCATGCCAGGTGCAAATTCTTGCTTTGCTTGCCCGTCTTGGGCCAAAGGGCCTAAAGAGAGAATTTAGTCCCAAGGCAGTGTGATTTATTTTCAAAGATTGCAAAGGCGTTGGGTCTTCTATGGCAATGGGAAGGATTTGAACTTGCCATGTGGACTTGAACAAGTTACTTGGCATCTGTGATTCTCAGTTTTCTCAAGGGAATAGCAATGCCCACCTCCAATGTTGTGGATGAGGACTGAACAGGGCAAGGCATGGGCCCGCATGGTGCCTGGCACAGAAGAGGTACTTGCTTAAGTCAGATTCCCGGGGGGCACGCTCTTGAGATGGGGGTCCCAGGAAGTTTACTGCAGTATATAGAGGAGGGAAGGAAGTAGGATTGGGCAGAGGAAGGAGTTCAGTGGTGGGTCAGTTGCAACAAAGGCCTTAGCCCTATAGGAACTCTGGAGCTAGGATGCATCTGCAATAGTGACCAGCTGGCCCAGTTTTCCCAGGACTGAGGGGATTCCTGGGATGCAGGATTTTGGTGCTAAGACTGGAAAAGTCCTAGGGAAACTGGGATGAATTGGTTACCCTACCCTGCAGAGATGTCCTGCTTGTGGCAAAGGGGCTGGACCTTTATGTCTCAGTGGATGTGAGCTGCCTTGAAGGAGGGAACTTAACCTCGGGCAGGGTGACTTTCTTTGGCTGAGGGCAATTCCTGGAGAGGGACTCAGCTGTGAGCCATCAGTTGCCAACACTCCAGGCAGTTGGGAGAATGAGTATCTTGTTTCTGAAGGTGGGATCTGGGCAGCGTACCACAACATCCCCTATGTTGCTGGGTAAATGTAAATTCTCTCCCCATCTCCTGTGAGGCAGGCTGGGGTAGTTGTAAAGAGAAGTTCCAAAAGGTGTCACAACTAGTGACACTTTAAGAGCTCAAGGAGGTCTCCTCCAAACTCTCATCTTGGCTTGTTCAAAGGGTAAGATCTTGCACCTCTGCTGCAACATAGAGGCATAGGATCTGCACCCCACGGCACCAGGAGCTCCCCATTACAGGTATAGTCTCTTGAAACACCAATGTGGGGCAGTGGAACTCTTTACATTTTTTCAGCAGAAGAGCTTTTTGCTTTCCTTCCTGGTGATTATTTTTCCCTTCCTCTAGTCTGGGAGACCCAGGCTATCCTCATCCTAGATAATTAAAAATACTTATAACACAAATAATAACAGCTGACGTTTATAGAGCCTTTACTCATGTCAGGCACAGTTCTAAAAGCTTTACATGTAATGCATCATTTTATCCTCCCAGCTGTCCTATGAGGTAGATACAGTTATCCTTATTTTACCAATGAAGAAATTGAAGACCAGAGAGGGTTATAAATGGATGAAGTTTACATAGCTAAGAGGTGGTAGAACCAGGATACAAACCCAGGCAGTTTGCTTCCTGTGCTCTTCTCGTGGTGCAAATGACACCGTTAGATTGAGACTGTCAACTCAGTCCAAACTTGCAATTGGTTCCTGCTGGTGGTTCTGTCCCTGCATTCTTTCACAGTGATAACAGCAAGAAAAACAGTGAGAGTTATAACTTACCAGGTTTTAACTCTGTGTCAGACACTGTGCTGACTGCTTTACCTTCATCACCTCTTTGATGATTATCATAAGCCTACAAGGTAGCCTCCTCACTTTATAAATGATTGTCACTTACCCAAGGTCACAAAACTGGTAGGGTTGTTCTGGATACTTACTGCTGAGTAACAAACTCCTACAAACTTACGGACTTAAAACAAGGGCCATTTTCATCAGAGAAATGCAAATCAAAACCATAATGAGATACCATCTCACACCAGTTAGAATGGCAATCATTAAAAAGTCAGGAAACAACAGGTGCTGGAGAGGATGTGGAGAAATAGGAACACTTTTACACTGTTGGTGGGACTGTAAACTAGTTCAACCATTGTGGAAGTCAGTGTGGTGATTCCTCAGGGTTCTAGAACTAGAAATACCACTTGACCCAGCCATCCCATTACTGGGTATATACCCAAAGGATTATAAATCATGTTGCTATAAAGACACATGCAAACATATATTTATTGCAGCACTATTCACAATAGCAAAGACTTGGAACCAAGCCAAATGTCCAACAATGATAGACTGGATTAAGAAAATGTGGCACATATATACCATGGAATACTATGCAGCCATAAAAAATGATGAGTTCATGTCCTTTGTAGGGACATGGATGAAGCTGGAAACCATCATTCTCAGCAAACTATCGCAAGGACAAAAAACCAAACACTGCATATTCTCACTCATAGGTGGGAATTGAACAATGAGAACACATGGACACGGGAAGGGGAACATCACACACTGGGGCCTGTTGTGGGGTGGGGGGAAGGGGGAGGGATAGCATTAGGAGATATACCTAATGCTAAACGACGAGTTAATTGGTGCAGCACATCAACATGGCACATGTATACATATGTAACAAACCTGCACGTTGTGTACATGTACCCTAAGACTTAAAGTATAATTAAAAAAAAAAACAAGGGCCATTTTATTATATCTCACTATGCTGTGGGTGAGGAATTCAGGCAGGGCTCAGCTGAGTGGTTCTTCTGCTCCATGCCACATTGACTGAAGTCACCGGTGGTACTCAGCTGATTGCTGGACTGGTCTGGAGGGTCCAAGACAACTTTTCTCATGTGGCTGGTGTCTTGGTGAGCCCAGCTATGTCTCTCTCTCCCTCTCCTTATAGTCTCAGGGCATCCCCATGTGGTCTCTCCAAGCGGAGTCATTGGATGTCTTATGTGGACACTCAGGATCTAAGAGTGACTGTTCTTAGAGGGAGGAAGTGAAAGCTACTAGTCCCTTAAGGCCTGAGTCTGGAAACTGGCACAGCATCACTTCCAACATGTTCTGTGGCTCAAAGTTATGACAGTGCTCATGCTAATGCAAGGAGGAGGAACAGACTTCACCTCCCAGTGAGAGGCTTGTCAAATAATTTATTGCCGTCTTAAATCTACCACAGAGACCAAGTCTGTCTGCTTCCCAAGCCCTGGTGTTTAACCCACTCCCCACATGCATGTCCACCTTCCCTTAGAAGCTTTCTCTTTTCCCTGTGATTCCTCTTCACTTCAGAAAACCCAGGGGCTAGTCATTCCTCTGCTCCTCAGCCTTCAGAGCCCTGAGCTTGGCCAGCAGGGTCGAACTGTCTGGCCCTCTGTGCCCCTCTCCCTAGCAGCCTCCTTCTCTCCCCTTCTTTGCTCACCTTCCTTGCCTGTGCTACAAGCCTCCAGCCTGCCTGGCAGCTCTGCCCTGGACTGGCATGGGGGTCCTGGCAGGGGATGAGGCCGACCCACAGGGCAGCACAGTGGCTCAGAGGAGAAACCCACAAGTGAAGGCTGGCAATGGAGGTGGGCAGCAGTTAGGGTCCACCTGGGTCAGTGCTGATGGGGGCTCTAAGGCAGCACAGTCTTGCCAGCCTGGGAGACTCCAATGTGGTCGGGCCATCTTGCCCCTGCTGAAAACTTCCCATGGCTTCCTATTGCACTCAGGCTGAAGTCCTGCGGGAGCTGATGTTGCCTGCTCTGCAGCCTCACCCCTCAGCATTTCCTGCTTTTCTTCCTAGCCTTCTTCTCTGGCCACACTTTTGTTTATCTGGGAAGACATGGAGGTTGAAGTGCTGTAGCTATGTTGAAACCATAAGAGGCCTGGGAGGGGAGTGAGAAAGTGGAAATGAAGAGAGATAGAGGGAGAGAAAGGGAAGAGAGAGAGGGAAGAGGAGAGAGAGAAAGGGAGAGAGGGAGAGGGAGAGGGAGAGGGAGGGGGAAGAGAGAGAGAGAGAGAGAAAATCTGGACAGTTGTTTGAGACTGGATCAAGCCATATGTGATTAGGTATACCCAACTTTCCAGTCACATGAAGCAATGTATAGTCTATATGTTTCAGCCAGTTTGGGTTGGGGTTTCTCTAATTTGTAACAGAAAAGCACCAGTGTTGGTGAGGGTCCTGAAACTCGGGCTGGGTATTCAGGCCTTGGTAATGATAATACCTTTCTACTCTGGGGAAAATGCTTAGAACTTGGCTGTCTTGGCTGGAAGGCCCCAACTCATCACTGTTTAGATGGGGAAACTGAGGCCCAGAGAGGCAAAGTCACATGTAGAGGGAGTGACTGCCACTGGAGATGCTTCAGCAGAGAGGACCTGGGCTTTCTACTGAGGCAGCTGACCTCACCCTGCATGGTGGGACAGTGTGTGAGGCTCTGTTTACACACAGAGGAGGGACAGGAAGGACCAGACCTGACTCACAGGAAGCCATGGTAGTTGGACCTGACCCAGGTTAAGGAGTGGCTGAGACCCACCAGGCAAACCCTGAGCCCCTGGTCTTAGTAGTAAACAGAGGCTGCAGGCCCAAGGGTCAGTAGGGACTCATGAATGAGGGCAGATGGGGCAGCCTCAGGACCACCTCTGGCCAGCACAGGAGGCTGAAGGGCTGCAAGACTGAGGCCTAGCTAAGTGGGGTGACACCATGTTGTCCTGCTCAGCTCACTGGATTCCAGCCACCCTGGCCTGCTCTTTTCTGAACTGTGCCTGGCAGCTTTGGCACCAGGGCCTTTGCACATGCTGTTCCACCTGCGTGAAAACTCCTTCCACCCTCACACTCTGCCTTGCCATCCTCTCCTCATCTTCCAGGCCACAGCTTAAATGTCACTTCTCAGTTTTTCTTTTTGAGACGGAGTCTCACACTGTCACCCAGGCTGGAGTGCAACGGCACGATCTCAGCTCACTGCAACCTCTGCCTCCCAGGTTCAAGCAATTCTCCTGCCTCAGCCTCTCAAGTAGCTAGGATTACAGGCGCCTGCCACCATGCCTGGCTAATTTTTTGTGTTATTATTACAGATGTGGTTTCACTATATTGGCCAGGCTGGTCTCGAACTCCCGACCTCGTGATTTGCCCACCTCGGCCTCCCAAAGTGCTGGGATTACAGGCGTGAGCCACCGCGCCCAGCCTAGGGACATCCTTTCTTATCTGCCTTGAATCATTCAACAAATATTTATTGAGCTCCTAATATGTGCCACATACTTTTCTAGAGACCAGCGGTGATTAAGACCAATTTGAAGTTATATTATCCCTGGGCGGTGGAGGCAGGTGGGTAGAACACACACATATGCAGACACACACACAGACACTCCCAGACACACACTCATATAGACACACATAGATGCACATACACAGACATAGACACCCAAACACAATCACACACAGACACACAGATACAGACACACACACACATACACAGACACTTCCAGACACACAAACACAGGCACTTATACACAACACACAGACAGAGCCACCCAAACACACTTATACACACACACACAGACACCCAAACACAGACACACACACACATACACAGACACTCCCAGACACACAGACACAAACACAAACACTCATACACACACACAGACGTGGACACCCAGACACACACACACACACACTCCCAGACACACAGATACAGACAAACGTAGACACTCATACACACACAGACAGATATAGACACCCAAACACAGACACACAGACAGAGACACGCAAACACACACACACCCACACTCCTACACAGACACAGAGAAACACAGAGACTCATACACACACATACACACACACACTCACAGATATAGACACCCAAACACAAATACACACAGACACAGACCAGACACACGCAGACATAGACAGAAACAGACACACAGGAAACCGAAACAGAGAGGTGGGGGAATTGATGCTGGGGAAAGGGATAAAGAGTTTCCAATTGCATGGTTGGAAAATGGCTCTCTGAGGAGTCTACATCTGAGAAAGAACTTGAATGAGTGGAAGGAACACTCTGGGAGAGGGGTGTGGCATTCTAGGCAGAGGGAACAGGGGAGGGGATGGGGTGGGCCACCAGGCTGGGTGGGAGCCGTGAGTGAGGGGAGGAGCGGAGGGCCCGGGTGCAGGCAGAGCTACAGGTCAGGAGCCCTGGCTTTTCAGGTCCCATGAGGACAGGGAACTATACAGGATTTTGAGAAGCCACTGAGGGCTTTTTTTTTTTTTCTTCAACTTTTATTTTAAGTTCAGGGATGCATGTGCAGGATGTGCAGGTTTGTTACATAGCTGAACATGTGGTGGTTTGCTGCACAGATCATCCCGTCACCTAGGTATTAAAGCCCACCATCCATTAGCTATTCTTCCTGATGCTCTCTCTCCCTGCCACGCAACAGGCCCCAGTATGTGTTGTTCCCTGCCATGTGTCCATGTGGCCTCATCACGCAGCTCCCACTTATAAGTGAGAACATGCGCTGTTTGGTTTTCTGTTCCTATGTTAGTTTGCTGAGGATAACGCCTTTCCGTTCAAAGGATATGATCTTGATCCTTTTAATGACTGCATAGTATTCCTTGGTGTATACATACTACATTTTCTTTATACAATCTATCATCGATGGGCATTTGGGTTGATTCCATGTCGTTGCTATTGTGAGTCTACAAGGACCTTGAGCAAATCTACAAGACAACAAACAACCCCATTAAAAAGTGCGCGAAGGACATGAACAGACACTTCTCAAAAGAAGACGTACATGTGACCAACAAACATATGAAAAAAACTCAACATCACTGATCATTAGAGAAATGCAAATCACACCCACAATGAGATACCATCTCACGCCAGTCAGAATGGAGATTATTAAAAAGTCAAGAAACAACAGGTGCTGGCAGAGAAAGGCTGCAGAGAATAAGAACGCTATTACATTGGGTAAGAGTGTAAATTCGTTCAACCATTGTGGAAGACAGTGTGGCGATTCCTCAAAGACCCAGAGGCAGAAATACCATTTGACCCAGCAATCCCATTACTGGGTATATACCCAAAGGAATAGAAACCATTCTATTATAAGGATACGTGCATGCGTATGTTCATTGCAGCACTGAAGACTTTTTAAGAAGGGGGTGGCGCAGTCTGAGTCACGCTTTAGCAGGCTCCCTCTGGCTGCCGTGGGTGGTGGACAGCGGGTGGAGGTGTGTGGAAGCCGGAAGCCATGCCAGCCGTCCAGGCAGATGACGGTTGCTGGGGCTGGGACAGGAGCAGTCACAGTGGGGAAGGGGTTGGTTTTTGGATATAGTTTCAAGGTCACACCAGTGGGATTTGCCTGGATATGGGGCATGAGAGAAAGCAGGCAATGACTTTGGCCTGAGCTTCTGGGTGCCGCTTAGTGAGATGCCGAGGCGGGAGAGGAGATGGGTCTCAAGGGAAGCCTGAGTTTCATTTAGGTTGTATAAAATTTGGGTTGCCTCTCAGGCCAATGGAATGCCTAGCAGGAAGTTGTATGTGTGAATTTCATGTTGGGAGACAGGGTTATGGCTGGAGACCCACATTCATGCATCCTCATTTTACAGAAGGCATCTAGCACTGCTTTGTCCTTGATGAGCTCACCTAGGGAGAGAGGGTGGAGAGAGAAGCCCAAGGCCTGAGCCCCAGACATCTCTGCTTGCTTCTGGGACGTCACTCTTATCTGGTTGTCCCCTAGCTGGTTCTGAGGTCAGGACTAGTAGAGGGCTTGAGTTCATTTCCTAGAGCTGGCGTCACAAATTACTCCAAACTGCTAGCTTAAGAAAAAGCAATCTATTCTCTCATAGTTCCAGAAGGCACAGCTCCAACATTAAGGTGTCTGCAGGGCTGTGTCCTTTCCAGAAGGTCCAGGGAAGAATCTTTTCTTGCTTTTTCCAGCTTCTGGTGGCTTCAGGACAGGGGTGTACCCCAGACATAAGGAAGGCTGGGGGAGAGGCCCCTGCTGAGCAAGTTACTGGTCAGTCCCAGGGGTTGCCTTCAGGGCTGGTGGGCTGGGAGCAGAAGCTCTGAGCTCTTCTTCTTTCTAGAAAGAAATTCACCCTCAAATCCTTTCCTAACACCTGGGGAGTGCCACCCACCCTCTTCAGCCAAGGTGCCAAATGCTAATCCTGGTCTGGACCCAGATAAGCTTCTGTTTAAATAGTCAGAGATTAGTTTTCAAATTGACAAATAGAGCCCATCTGGAATGCTCGGAGCTGTCCCCTCCAGGGCCTGGCTGAGCAAATCCAGTTTAATTAGTCTTGGTGCTCAGCCCGGCAGGGGTGGGGATGGGTTGGGGGAGGGGGTGGTGGCCTTCTTCCAGCTCAGTTACTGGCCTCCCCAAGGCAGTTGGGCTAGCCCTTGTCTGTCTGTCTGTCCTAGTGCTCCTCCCCACTGTGCTGGGCCCTCAAGAGTTAAAGAACAGGAGGGGGTGTGAGGATTCACTCTGCCTGTCCCCCAGGAAGGATGGACCTGAGCCCCTCCTTCCACAGCCTCCCCTCTGCTTCTCCTCACTGTGCACTAGGCTCCAGCTGCAGGGAGCCACCTGAAGTTCCTTCACACACCTCAAGCTTTTACCTGTGCCTGTGTGTGCCACTGCATTCATTCATTCATCTGTCTAATAATTATGGAGCACCTACTATTGGCTGGGCACTCTTCTAGGCACAAAGGAGACAAAGTCTCTGACCTCTGGAGCTTTTGATTTAGGAATGGGTGACAGATATTGGCCAAATAATCACACAAAAGGAAGTTCAGTCCCAGACTCTGAAATGTGTTGGTAGAGAACTGCACAGTGTTGGGAGAATGTTGGGGCTCAGTGTGGCTGGCAGTAGCGGGGGACATAGAAGGGTTAGAGGAGACTCCAGAGGAAATGGCATTTGAGCTGAGATTTGAAGGGTGATAGGGAGTCAGCCAGGTGAGGGAGAATGAGCTGAGAGAGAGTGTATGTGTGCACGCACTTGTGTATGTGTACATGTGCATGTGTGCACACATGACATTCCAAGCAGATTGAACACTGGGCACTTGCCCTGAGGTGAGGAAGGCTGGTGCCCCTGCACACCCAGTAGAAGGCTTGTGTGTTTGGGAATGGGAAACGGGGTGAGGCAAAGAGAAAGCAGGGGCAGGAGGCTGGGCTTCCTTAGCATCCAGTCCATCTCAGTCTTTGAACCCAAGAACAATGGGAAGCCCTTTCAGGCTCCAGGCAGGGCTGCATGGTCAGATTTACATGGGAAGAGACTGCATTGTCTGCAGTGTGGAGATCAAACCCCTCTCTGCCTGGAATGCTGCCCTAGACACCTTGCCTTCCTGGGCACCTGGCAGGGGGAGCACCTCCCTGTCCTCACCCACCACAGCCCACGGAGCAGGCAGCATGGCTGCCTGTTCCCACGTCCGAGGCTCCCCTTGCATCTGTCTCTGTCTTTTCAGTGCCCACCTTGGTGCTAAAGAAATGTGTTGAATGAGTGAGTGAGTGAGTGAATGAGTGTATAACTGAATGAAGTTTTGGCTCAAGTGTTACCTCCGTGATGAATAAAGACAGTCCTGACTGAGCTTGGGGCCAACAGATTTACCCACTCCTTCCTTTGTGTGTTCACTGACCTGCACAGAATCTGTCATTTCCCCAGCCCCAGGAACTGGTGCTGTGCTGGCAAACAGGTAACAGCCAGCTCTCCAGAGGGGGAAAAGCCCTGCTTTGTGGCATTTGCTCATCTAAGTAAACATGCCTGCTCACCATGGCTGATTTGAAGCTACTTACCTGACATCACTTAACACAGAATTGGGTGAGGAAGTGCACAGTCAGCCGTTGGAAGCTGAACAAGGCAGCTCCAGCCAGCACTCCCTGAAAAACTCTACTGTGAGAGGAAGCCAGGCCCACAGTCTGGTCAGGGCTGTGAATGGCCCGGATGGGCCTCAAGCGGCCATGGATGGTTGGGAGAAGCAGCACAGTGTCATGGTTAGGACACAGGCTCTGGACCCAGACTGCCTGGCTTTGAGTCCTGGCTCCTCTGCTGATTAGCTGTATGTCTGAGGGCAGTTAGCTAACATCACCGTGCCTCAGTTTCCTCATTTGTGAAAAAGGGGTGATATTGATCATTATAACTCCCTTCCTGGAATGGTGTCGGGATTAAATCAGGCACTGTTTGTAGAGGACTTGGAAAGGTGCTTGGCACACAATCCATGTTTAATAAGGCCTGGTGGTGCCCTCAACAAAGAGGCCTCCTTTCTTTCTTTCTTTTTTTTTTTTTTACTAGAGATAAACAGAACATTTTATAATCATAAAATGACCATTCCATCGGGAAAACATAACAATTACAAACATGTATGTCCCTAATAACAGAGGCCCAAAATACATGAATCATTAATAGAATTGAGGAAGAATTAGATTCAGCAGTAATAGTTGTAAATTTCAATATCCCACTTTTCTTCTTTTTTTTTTCTTTTTTTTCTTTTCTTTTATTATTATTACACTTTAAGTTTTAGGGTACATGTGCACAATGTGCAGGTTAGTTACATATGTATACATGTGCCATGCTGGTGTGCTGCACCCATTAACTTGTCATTTAGCATTAGGTATATCTCCTAATGCTATCCCTCCCCACTCCCCCCACCCCACAACAGTCCCCAGAGTGTGATGTTCCCCTTCCTGTGTCCATGTGTTCTCATTGTTCAATTCCCATCTATGAGTGAGAACATGCGGTGTTTGGTTTTTTGTCCTTGCGATAGTTTACTGAGAATGATGATTTCCAATTTCATCCATGTCCCTACAAAGGACATGAACTCATCATTTTTTATGGCTGCATAGTATTCCGTGGTGTATATGTGCCACATTTTCTTAATCCAGTCTATCATTGTTGGACATTTGGCTTGGTTCCAAGTCTTTGCTATTGTGAATAGTGAAGAGGCCTCCTTTCTATCCACCCTTCAAGGCCACTGCAGCCGTACCTGCCTGTGAGCACCCATCCCCTGGGCCCAGGCTCCTTACATCCCCTGAACATAGGCAGCTCTTCCTGGACCCTCTTTTGGTCTTTAGAAGGGAGCCTTTTGTCTACAGCTAGTGACTACAGCGCTTCCGCCCCCCATGCCCAGATCTGAGATCCCAGACCTGGTTCTTTGTGGGGAGCGTCTTGGGAACCCACAGAAACTGCTAAGATTCCAATGATACAAATTCTGCAAAGGAAACTGGGGTTATAATTCAGGAATTTTTAGTTGAAGTGACTTAGAAATGTTCAATTTAATGAGATGTACACCCTCTAAAAAACTGGGAAATCGCAGTCGTGCCCAAGGACACACAAGTTCAAGGAAAATCCAGGCAGAACTGAGCAAGTAAGATTCTCACTAATCATCATTTGGTGCTTATTCATTTGTTTTATTCTCTCTGAGTAGTGAGAGACAAGGAGGACCTGGATGTTTAAAACAAAATTAAAAAGGGGAAAATCCTGAAATGGGAGAAAATTGTATCCACTCATTTTATTTTTTCCTGCAGATTTGGAAGAGACAGTGTCTATTGGGGGAAGCCTGGTGAGGGACAGATGGCATACTCAAGTGTTTATAAAGGTGAAGAGGGGGCAGGGGACCCCTGCAAGGTGATGGAAGGTGGTGGCAAGGGGTCATCACCACCCTGGCTCCAATAAGTGGTTTCTAGGATGCAGAGAACATGGCCGGGGCACATACACTGTGGCCAAAGTCTTCCTCTGATATCCTGGCCTGGAGCCTGGGGCTGTGCATAGGAGGACTGGACTAGAGGATGTATTGGGTTGCTTTGTCCTTGAAACCCCACTTTGTCTTCTCCCAAGTTTGCTGCAAGTCTCAGTGGGAAGGAAGGTGTCTGGGGCTTGCTGAAAGAGAAAAAATAATCTCTTGTGAGAGTCTTTGCAAACAGTCCTTGGGCACCCCAGCCAGGCTTGGCCTGGACACATACATGCACAGTGGACCGGCAGCTCTGCCATCCTTCAGGGCACAGGCGGGAGTTGGTCCTCGAGTTGGAAAGTGGCAGTTGGCACAACAAAGCTAGGGCCAGGCTGGGTGGAGGCCAGGGCTCCCTGATGGGTTTGCTTTCTTCCTGGTGATTACCCATTACCTCCCGTCAGTGGGTGATAAACTGTTATCACGGAATTATCCGCCACAGGCTCCAGCATCAGTATGAAATCCATTACTGTCCGTCAAGCCCTGTGGCTAATGGGAAAAACCTGGCAGCTGCCCGGTGTGCCAGGCGGGGCTCGGACTGATCCGTTATCTGTCTATTACTTCAGCAATCACACCTTATAATGGAATCTTGGACAGGAAATGACAAGAAGTCCCAGGATGTGTCGTTCCGACGGGCAACTGGTGGGTGAGGCTACCTGGTGGGCTCTGGAGTGTGGAGTGTGGCAGGGAGGTGAGTCAAAGGGTCAGCCCCATTGCCAGCCCCATGAGCTGCAGGGAAGACTTTTGCTTGTGGTCCATGAACAGGTTCCCAGTAAACAGCCAGACAAACATGTGGGTGGATAGGAGGCTGACTGGCTGGATGAATGAACGGATGGACAAAAATATAGATGAATGGATGGATAGATGGATGGACAAAAATATAGATGAATGGATGGATAGATGGATGGACAAAAGTATAGATGGATGAATGGATTGGTGAATACATAAACGGATGAACAGAAATATGGATGGATGGATGGATGGAATCTCAGGCCACATCCCAGGAGGCTGGGATCTGTGCCTTGCTCTGCTCCTACTAGCCCCCTCTTCCTAGGCTGAGTGCCTCTCTTGTCCAAATGCAGGGATCGACCAGTGTGGCAGCCTGGTGTGAGTGTGGGCACTGGAGTCAGACCTGTGTTTGAAGCCCAGCTCTCTAGCAGCGTAGCCTCAGACAACTGACTTCACCCTTTTCTGCCTCTATGAAGCGGGATGATACTAGAACAATATCACCTGGCTGATATTTGGTGCTACTGGATGGTGAGGGAGGCATCCGTGCTCTTGTCCCTCCCTGTTGAT
Source organism: Homo sapiens (assembly GCF_000001405.40). NCBI lineage: Eukaryota > Metazoa > Chordata > Mammalia > Primates > Hominidae > Homo > Homo sapiens. The sequence continues at coordinate 36,769,756 of NC_000001.11, forward strand.
GACATCCAGTGATGTCATAGAGAGTATGTGCTCATTAAGTGCTTAAACACGGACCCTGAGGCATACTGCAACCTGAGCGTGGGCTAAGCACTTCTTTTCCCCAACCCTCTCATGCCTCATCTGTTAAAGGGGGCTGATGGTACGTACCTTGTGGTATGGTAGAGGGGTTTTTGTGAGATCCATCACCTCTCTGGCTTCATTTTCAGTCCTCTCCCTTGACTCACTCTGCTGCAGCCACAGTGGCCTCTTTGCTGTTCCCCAAACATGCCATGCTCACTCTTACATCAGGGCCTTTGCATTGGCCGTCCCCTCTACCTGGAAGGCCCTTCTCCAGATGTCCACACATTTGGCTCCTTCGGCGGATGCCGCTCTTCACCACATGTCCCCAATTCTACAAAGCCTTTCCCAGCCACCTGATCTAAAATTACAACCCTCCTCTCTATTTCCCATCCTGCTGCCCTGGTTGTTTTCCCCCTAGGCACTTACCACCCCATTTACATACTCTTCGCCTAGCTCCTCCCTCTAGCATGGAAGTTCCCAAGGGCAGGGAGTTTTGTCTCTTTGGTTTGCTGCTGTATCCCCAGCAACCTGGGCAACGTCTAGTTCATAGTAGATGCTCACTAAATATAAATGTGAGTGAATGAATGATAGTTAGATACGCATAACACAGTCTCCTCCCTCTGTATACCCTGAAATGTCAGGTTGAATTAATTCATGGAAGCAGAGGAGGTATCTTGGATGGGGAAGGATTGGGAAGGAGCTAAGCAACCAACTGGCTCAGCCAGGCCCTGAGGAGACTTCCAAACCCAATTAGCAGTTTTATTAAAGACAATAGGATTAGAAGTATTTGCAGCAAACGTTTACTTGGCTTGAGCTCTCTCTCTCCACCCCCCAGGGCAGTGCCTTGCTTCTCTGTCTCCCTGCTCAGGAGACAGGGCTCCCAGCAGGTCTGTGACTGGACCCAGAAGATGGGGGCTGGAGATCTGTAAGAATGGACTCTCCCTTCTCTTCTGTCGCCCCCCACTCCTACCTGCTGCCCTAGCAGGGGTCCCTCCCCTCAGAGCAAAAGTGGGAACTTCACACCCCTGGGCTTCTGCTCCCTGCAGGGGAAAATGCTGAGTACATTTCCGTAATCAAATTTCCTTTATGTTTACCCTCCTCTGGGCTTTTGCACTTGCTGTTCCCTCTCCCCAGCTCTTGGTGTGGCTGGTGCCTTCCCACCCTCTAGCTCTATGCCCAAATGTCACCTCTTTAGGGACACCCTCTCTGACTACCCTACCTCAAGGGGCCTACCAAAGTCACCTTGCTTATTTCTTTGGTAGCTCTTATCCAAGTGAAATGATCTTGTTTTGCATTTGCTGTACAAGTAAATGATCCTGACATCAACCTTGTCATGTTAATATGATATTACCCCCATTTTACTGATAGGGAAACAGAGGCACAGAGAGGTTATGAAGTAAATCTCTGAAGCCACACTACAGGCTGGGGGTGGAGCTGGGAGTAAACTGAAGTTCAGTAAATGCAAAGTTCCCGCTCTTTCCTTGCCATCGCAGGGAGTCTCTCCTTAATGAATGGAGGGTCCTGGGGTGACCTGCATTCACAACTCCTGTATGCACAGCCTCATTCAAACACAGAGAACACAAGAATCCCAGCTGGGGGGTGGGGGGTGGATGCGTAGCCCAGCAGGCCAGCCTCCACGCCCCCAGCCTGCTGACTGCTAAAAGCAGAGGTCAGCCTGTGGACCCAGGCATGGGAGGGACAGTCACAGGCTGCGTGTCCTCCAATCCTCAGCCCAGTGGGGCCAGGAGGCTTCACTACATCGGGCAGCAGTATATTCCCACCTGCTGCAGATATTAATTTGGAGTTTATAGAAAAATCCATACGTTGTGAGTTATCCAGGGCGGCGGTCGTGGGGAGAGGCACAAAATCAATAGTGAGAGATTGTCCTCTTTCATGGCTTCTGTAAACAGGGCTGCCTGGGCCACTCAGGGTAGGTACAAGCAGCCGGAGGTCAGTGGGCTTCCGGCCCTGTGTGGTGGCGCCTCTGGCTGCCAGCCCTCAGGAGACTCGTTTCGGCGCCTGCTGGGACTGATTTGTACTCTCGCTTGGCACTGTCAAAGGGCTCGGTAAATATTTATTAACACTTCTCCGCAGGTGATTGCGCCTTCTTGGCTGCAGCTCCTTGGGCATCAGACTGTGGCAGAGATGCTCCTTGCCATACCCCACAGCTTGCCTGTGTCACACAGCAAGGGGGCCCCCAGGGAGCGCAGAAAATGAGGTCCCAGCCCAGGGTGGAGGCAGTGGCTCCATCTTCAGGGAGGGCTCATGAGGTTTTTGTCAAGGAGTCAAAGTCGTGGCTGGGCAGATGCTGAGTCTGAGAGGACCTCACCCCCACCCCCAGTGACTGCTGGACTCACAGCTGGATCCACTTGCTTTCCTTTGCAAGCAGTGTCTCACTACTGGCCGGGATGAGAGGCGTTGGAGCAGCGCTGTCTAATAGAAATCTAATGTCAGCCCCAAATGCAATTTTAAAATTTTCTAGTAGCCACATCAAAAAAAGGAATGGGCCAGGCACGATGGCTCACGCCTGTAATCCCAGCACTTTGGGAGGCTGAGGTGGGTGGATCACCTGAGGTCAAGAGTTTGAGACCAGTCTGGCCAACATGGTGAAACCCCGTCTTTACTAAAAATACAAAGATTAGCTGGGCGTGGTGGCCGGCGCCTGCCATCCCAGCTGCTCGGGTGGCTGAGGCAGGAGAATTGCTTGAACCCAGGTAGCGGAGGTTGCAGTGAGCCGAGATCATGCCATTGCACTCCAGCCTAGGTGACAAGAGCGAAACTCCATCTCAAAAAAAAAAAAAAAAAAAAAAGGAACAGGTATAGTTAAGTTTAGTAACATCTTTTACTTAACCCAATAGATCCCAAATGACATCTCAATATGTAATCAAAATGAAAAGACATAAATGAGATATTTCACATTCTTTTTGTTATGCCAAACCTTTGAAATTGGGTGTGTGCTTTTATGTTTAGAGCACATTTAAATTTGCACTAGCCGCATTTCAAGCACTCAGCAGGCACAGCTGGCTACCACATTGGACAGCACAGTTCCAGAAGGCAATCTGGGCTTCATGTCTCTGCCCAGTACCAATACAGGGCCAGGTGCAGGGTGGGTAAGTGGGGCTGGATGGGTGGCCTGGCAGTGTTACCCACCAGATCTTTCCAGTTCTCTTGGGCACAGAGTAGGCTTGAACTTGCTCAGTCCCAGAAGGTGGGGGTGATCACATGACTTGCTTTGGCCAGGGAAGTAGGAGTGGACATAGTAGGTGAATCTTTAAGAGCCAGGGAGCAATTCACCATGCTTTCCTTCCCTCTGCCACAGGGACCAGCAACGATCCAGATGGTGGCTGTGCTCTGTCTGCGTGGGTCCCAGAGTGAGAAGCTGAGGTGCCGGCCTTGTTGAACAGGGAGGGCTGCTCTCTGCTCTGGAGATGGCACTGTGCTCTCATGTCCACATTGTGGAAGGCGGAAGGGCGAGAGAGGCTGGGTGACACCTCTTCTGTAAGGAGCTTAACGAGGGCTCTGCCCTCAGTACTTAATCATCTTTCTAAAGGCCCCACCTCTTAACACTATCACACTGGTGATTACGTTTCAACACATGAATTCTGGGGGGACACCATCATTCAAACCATAACACCAGGTATCACTTGCCCTGTCCACCTTCTGGGGCTGTGGGATGCCAACTCCGGGGTCGCTGGATCTCACAGCAGGCTCCAGGTATGTGGGGTGATGCCTAATGAGTGAGAAGTTTCCCTGAGTGGCTCTGGAACCACAGTGGGGCAAACAGAAGCTACTTAAAGTGCTGGCCATTTTATGCTGGCCCTTTCCCACGAATGCCTACTATTTGCTAAGGTCCTCAGAGTGCACACCTGAAAAAGTCACCTCTGTCTCTATAACTTTCAGGGGATGGGCTTTCCTTGGGTTCTTTGTATATTTCCCAACCACAGTCATCCTAGGACTTAGTGGGAGTCTGGGTAGACAGCACACCTGGGGAAGAATGGCTGAGGCCAAGCTAAAAGCTATATATCCACCATGATGGCTGTAGAATTATTTGTGATGACCCATCTGGAAGCAGCCCTCAGAACCATCAGTAAGGAGTGGAGGGTGCTTCAATGATGGGATCCTGCTCCATGGAACCTCTCCTACCCGGTGGATATGGCCATGATGGTTACTGAGCAGCCCTGGGAGGCCCCCGCCACAGCTGGCACTGAATGGCGTCAGTGCCCAATGACTGATGCAATCATACGAAATGTGCAGGGCAGCCAAAGGAACTCAAAAAAGGGAAGAGTGAAGAGCCAAGTGATTAGAAATGATTTTCTCTCTTTATCTAAAGAGTCTTTATTGTTTGTGGGGCAGGAGGAGTGATCATTTACCACCGCTCCGGTTCGCAGGGAGAAGCATTTCCACTGAAACATCCTCCAGACCTAGCTCTTCACTCGCTCACCCCCACCTCCCCTTGGGAAGAGGAGGAACTCCTCTGATTAGTGGGTTTGGGTGAAGGCACTGAACATGCTTAGCTCCTGCCCTGCCTCTCTCTGGGTTCTGCCTGCCTGCAGAAAATTCCCTGCATCTTTTTTCCACTAGCGGAGCGGGCTCTGCCCGGGCGAGGCAGATCTGCAGTTCCAGGGAGGAGGTTCTGTGTTCTCCTGTGCACCGAAGCTGGAGTTTTGATCTCCATTTGTCTGATTCTGGTGGGAAGTGAGGGATGTTATATTGGGCTTTCTTAAGCCTCATTGGTGTCAAAAATGTATCTTGCTAAAAAAGGAAATGGATGATATATATTTTTTAAGTCAGGGTTTTTGCAAAATGCTTCACTTCAGACGCAGTGTCCAGTGGGCGTTGCCCTCAGTGCTTCACCTGGGGGGCTCCACTGAATGCTGAGGGTGACCAGATCATGTCACAGTAAAAAGTAACTAAATGGCACAATAGGAAGTACCTGGATCTGGAAGAGGCTGGGTGGTGAGGCCCACATGTTACCCAGCCAGGAGGGCACCAGTCTGCCATTCACTACCGTGTGTCCTTGGACAAGATGCCTCAACAAATGTGGGGTGTGGACTTTGGAGTCAGACAGACCTGGGGGTGGTGTCTGACTTCCCCACTTAACGTGCGATCTTAGGAAAATCACTTAACCTCTCTGAGACTCAATTTCCCCATCTACCAAATGAGAGTAAGAAGCATTCTTCCTCCAGGGGTCCCAGGGTGCACATGATGGTGCTGAGCTTAGAGCACCATGACCTTTCACCGCTGGTGTACGGTGGGATGGATGGATGGAGGTAACCAAGAGATACCTATGGGCCTCGGAAAACTCTGGAAGTGCTGGAATTGGGCTATTTTCCCTTCCCCCTTGTCTCTTCTGTTCCTCATCTGTCTAATAACCTTTCAAAAACTCACCCCACCGCCCACCACAGAGGTAGGGAACATGTTCCATGGTCAATGTTCGACCCCCACCTCAGTGTTTTGGGCTGATTTCACGCCAACACGTCTTTGCATTTTGACTCCACCAGATTGAGCCTCTCTGTTTCACTGCAGAATTGTGGGTTTTTCTCATAAAGTGTTTACTGGGTATGTAAAATATAATCACAGCTTTATGAATATGAACTAGATTATTTTAATGATTGCAGGTAATTTAAAACTTAAGGACAATCACATTTTCCAGTTGTCTTTCAGTGCCTTAGAAACACGAGCGAGTGGTTCTGAACAGCCGCGGTCTTGCATGCCTGCCCCTCAGCAACGGCCCTGCTCCAAACCGGTGTTACAGTGATCTGATTATTGTAATTGATGACATTAGGAATAAGGAATCCACACAGAATAATACAGGTGCCTGTCATGCCAGAGTGGTTTTATTCATTGTTAGAGAAGTTCATAAAGTTGAAAGAAAGCATCTACATGGGCTAGAACAGCAAAAAGCATGTTTTAGTCCTTTCTTAATTTGTGAATAAAATGATGAATTCCAGAAGCCTATTTTCACTGACAATTGAAATCAGCCCTGTACACCCCTGCACCTGCTCTCTACCCCTGGGAGTTCTGCTCTGTCTTCCAGTCTCTGCGGGAAGCTCCCGCCCTGGCCAGCCCTAGGCTCCCTGCTGTCCCCAGGCCCCAGCTTCTGTTTATTCTTCCATGCTGGCCTCATGCAATTTCTCCCTTGGACCCTCTCCCCAGTCTGGCTGCAGAGCCAGTCCCTTTTGGGTGTGACCACTGATAATAGACATAGGGATCTGGAAACTGTCATTCATCTTTCTAGAAACCAGATTCTCTTTTTAGGGGGTAGCTGTAAACTCTATGGATTTCTGCTGTCCATTTTACAATTAAATATAGGATATCTATCATTTCTTGAGTGTGACAATGTGCAGGTGTGGTGTTTAACTGCACATAGATTAGCTAATGGAACGGCTTACAGCCACCTCATATTATTGATTTTCTTATTCCCATTTTACAGATAAGGACTCTGAGGCTCAGAGAGGCTACATTATTTGCCTAAGAAAGTACATTTTAGTTAGTGGCAGTGACAAGATTCCAGGTTTTGTGTGGCTCTTAATGGCTACAAAGTTGCTTTTCCTCAGAGAAGGGAGGGAGGAAGAAAGTGGGATGTGCATGCAGGAAAATGTGGGTGCAAAGGTGTAGAGACGTGGGATTTGGAGACGTTCCTGATAATTCTTGGAGGCTGTTTTTTTGCGGGGGAGTGGGAGGGGAATTGGAAGGCAGGTCCTTGGCTGAACAAGAGATAAGGAGTTAGTTGAGTGGCAGAATGCAGATTGGTGAAGAGGAAAGAGATTTTAAAATATGGAAGAGGAGAGGTGGAAGAGTTTATGGATCAGATGCACTTAGGAGGAGTTGAGAGTTCAGATGAGGGAGATGTCTAAGAATGAGGAGACTCTCCAGACCACATGGTTGCACGAGGTTGTGTGATGTCCTTTAGTCATGCGGGGGGCTGTGGAGATGGAGAAGAGGTGAGAGGTGAGAAGAGATGTGAGGCTGCCTCCTGGTCCTCACTGCAGTGCGGGCAGGCAGGGGTTTGGGGGGCGGGGTTGGGGAGCATAATTCATGCAGCCCCAGCCCATGGACTACAGGGGACTGCACCCAGGCTGCTCCCACACCCCCATCTTCACCTCTTGGGCCACCCAGAGGTGCACTTTGCAAGGTGACGCTGCAGATTCCCAGCTCAGGGACATGGTTAAGACAGGATGATTTTCCTCTCATTCCTGCTAATTTGCTGCTTCTGCTTAAGCTCATAAAAAGTTTCCTAGCAAAACCATTTCGGCCTGAGTTCCTGCTGGAGCCCGCTGAGCTGCTGTAATTAAGCTTTGATTAGCCGGCTATAAATTCCCTTTCGGAAGCCAGCATTGCCCTTGGAGGGCCCCAGCAGCGTGTTCGGTGCATGTCTGCCCCAGAACTTGGGTGATGATTCCCAGTGTCAATGGTCAATGAGCATTGTCAGGGATGGAGGCAGAGATCATCCTACTCAGTCTGACTGAGGTGGGCATGTGCAGGAAAAAGACCCAGGCCAACTCACTACCTCCCAGAAGTGGGACAATGATGGGCTGGGGTTCTGGAGGCAAAGGATGCTGGTATGAACAGTCCCTTTGGAAAGCCCTTCCTGGCTTCTGTTTTATAACTCCAAACAATAGGCCCTGCCAAATATATTTTTCTAACATCACAAGCTTGTTGCAAAGTCAGTTTTATGGATGCACTAAACCTGCCTTTTAAATTATCATCAAGTATAATAAAATGGCAGAAAATCATCAATTTTCCGAGAATGTGAGTAAAGTGAAAGTTAGTTACATGTTGGCATGTGGGCTGCAGTCCAGCTGTGTCTATAATCGGAATTAAGCCCTGCAAGCTTTGTGGGAACAGCTGTTTTCTGATGGAACAGCCAGGCTTATATTTTATTTGGAGGAGGTAAGGCCAGAACCTCAGAGAAGTGGCCCCTGCCTGGGAGAGGGAGAACTGAGGGCCTGCATGTCTGTAACTCACCCAGAGGCCACTGAGGAGGAACAAGAGGTTCTGAATGTTCCCCGACAAGGACCCACCTTCCACTCCAACCCCATCAAAACAACTTCCAGCTGAAAGCTAAGACAATCAAGATTCAGGATGAGCTGGACTATGCAGTGGGGAACAGACAGTAGTGTGCTACATGTGTTTAGTAACTGGCTCTCAAAAAAAAAAAAAAAAGCATGATGTGGCTGGGCACAGTGGCTCACACCTGTAATCTCAGCACTTTGGGAAGCTGAGGTGGGTGGATCACCTGAGGCCAGGAGTTTGAGACCAGCCTGACCAACATGGTGAAACCCTGTCTCTACTAAAAATACAAGTAATTAGCCAGGTGTGGTGGTGGGCGCCTGTAATCCCAGCTACTCAGGAGGCTGAGGCAGGAGAGTCGTTTGAACCCGGGAGGCAGAGGTTGCAGTGAGCCGAGATCATGCCATTGCACTCCAGCCTGGGCGACAGAGCGAGACTCCATCTGAAAATAAAGAAATAAAATAAAATAAAATAAAATAAAATATATATATCTCTCTTTAAAAAAGCATGATGTGTAGCATTTGCTAGGCTCCATGATGTAAATACTAACAATTTCAGAGTACCAAGGTTGGTGCCACCGAGTGGAGCTGGGAAGAGATACACAGCAGTGCACCATTGTGGTATTTCCACCATACAAATTCAGTAGACATAAATAACGTACAGGAGCATCGACGAGCGCAAAATATAGCACAATAATTAAGACATGATGAGTTTGAGCATTCATTACCTTTGTTTCAATATAATTTATTTAACTGTAAGTTAATATAATTTAATTTTTAATAATAGCTGTGTCTGGCTGTGTTTAACAGCTGGCTTGCACATTCTTGAAAAATTAACGATGGACTCTTACGAGCCTGCACCTGCAACCACTGGCACAGGTCTGGGAGTGTCCCGCCAGATCACAAAGTCTCCCAAGGCAGGACCACCTCTGTCTAGCTCACTGCTGGATCCTTTTCACCCAGCTCAGTGTTCAGCGCTCAATAAATATTTCTTGAGTTTATGAATAACAGGTGGCAGGAAATGTCCTTTTACAATAGTGTTCTCCAGGGGCTGGACTGATTCAAAGCCAAACAGTTCAGCCCCGCCACTGCCTGGATCCGCCAGGGACACCGCCAGGGACACCACCAGGTCATCCTGGAGAAGGGAAGGGGAGGGAAAGAGAAGGGGAGGGGAGGGAAGGGGGAAGGGAAGAATAGCCAAGAGGAGGGACAGAAATAGATACAGAAGGCCAGCACCTTGACTTTAGCCCCATGAAGCTGATTTTGGACTTTTGGTCTCCGGAATGATAAGAAGATCAATTTGAGTTTTATTTTTTTAGAGGAAGGAATACATCCCAAGTCATTAAAATGTGTGTTATTTTAAAGCCACTAAATTTGTGATAATCTGTTACAACGGCAATAGGAAACTAACACACCTCCTGAGATACACACCCAGCTTCTCACCACCATGTTCCCTCTGACTCTCTGACCTGCCAAGCCTCTCCTCCAACAGCTGACCTCCAGGAGTCCCATCTAGGCTCTAACTTCCAACTCTCACCTCCAGTCCTGACCTCTCAGGGTTCACGCTAATCTTTGACACCTTGAGTCTCCTCTCTGACGCCATATCCCTGATACTCACCTCCTATCTCTCAGCTCCTGAGGCTGACTTCCAAACTCCAATCCGCACTGCTCACCTCCAGCTTCTCACTCCTCAAAGTCCCCCCTCCAACATCTGGTCTTCTAGCCTCCCGCTTCCTCAGTCCTTGGGACCTCTCCCACTTAGACCTCCAGATAGGCCCCCTATAGCCCAGCACATGCAGTGAGAGGTCAGGTGCCTTTGGGATGGCTTTGCTTGCCTGTGTTTATTTATATTTATTTATTTATTTTTAACTTATATTCAGGGTATGTGTGTAGGTTTGTTACATAGGTAAACTCCTGTCATGGGGGGTTTGTTGTACAGATCATTTCATCACCCAGGTACTAAGCTTAGTACCCAATAGTTATCGTTTCTTTTCCTCTCCCTCCTCCCACTCTTTACCCTCAAGTAGGCCCCAGTGCCTGTCGTTTCCCTCTTTGTGTTCATGAGTTCTCATCATTTAGCTACCACTTATAAGTGAGAACATGTGGTATTTGGTTTTCTGTTCCTGTATTAGTTTGCTGAGGATAATGGCCTCCAGCTCCATCCATGTCCCTGCAAAGGACATGAACTCGCTCCTCTTTTTATGGCTGCATAGTATTCCATGGTGTAAATGTACCACATTTTCTTTATCCAGTCTGTCACTGATGGGCATTTCTGAGAAGTGCAGAGGTGATAAGAGTGCGCAGAATTGTCGGCGTGTGGGGATTAGCAGGCCGGCATGTTTCCTCCTGCAGGCAGCCCTGCTTCTCAGCGCTCAGAGACATAAGGCATTTCAGGAGAAGCATCGTCTCTTAAGACTTTGGCAAGGTGAGGCCTTTCAGTATCCATGGATGCCACCTGTCAGCAGGAACCCCTAGCTGATTAAGAACCCAGCCCCATGGGTTATCTAGGTTGATTCCATGTCTTTGCTATTATGAATAGTGCTGCGATGAACATTCACGTGCGTGTGTCTTTGTGTCCTTACGGTAGAATGATTTATATTCCTCTGGGTATACACCCTGTAGTGGCATTGCTGGGTCATTCCCCCTGTTTTATATGGTCCAGTAGCTGCAACCACACAATGGCAGAGCAACCGGCTGAAGAGGGCAGAGTTCTACATTATCATCAACTGGGAGAAAAGAACTGGCTTGTTTTGACAATATACTTTAATACATTCAACCAAGTAGTCAATAAATATTGAACTGAATTGACCTGAATAATCTAATAATAATCAAAGCTACTGTTTATTGAGGATTTATTATGAGTCTGGCACTTTAGCTACATTTTTCTTCTAATTCCTATAGTTACCTCTGGGAGAAGAAGTACTATTATTTCTCTCATATTATGGGTGAGAAAATTGAAGTTCAGAGAGGCCAAGGGAATTACCCAAGGACACACAGCCAGAAGGTGGTAGAGCTGGGATTTGAACCAGTGTGGTCCAGGGCTCAAGTTCTAACCATACTCTTAATGATTTCTTTTCATTCAAGCCTCAGTTTCCCCAGCTGTAGAAGGGGGATCATGGCAGTACCAACCTCACAGACTGGTGTGGTGGTAACTGCAGAATTTCTCTGGGGTTCTTGAAATGCCAGTAGAGCAGTTGGCCCCTGATGGCAGGCCCCAGCCCGGGCTGGGCACTGGTCACTCTGGTTCCTCAGGGACCCTGCTCCTTTTGTGCGGAGCCTATCATTCCTAGAGAGCAGCCACTCTTTTCCCATGGCCTTCCCTGGGTTTCCTTTTAACGGCTGCTCCGTGCCTGGACGATGCTTTTCCTGAAATGCCTTATGTCTCTGAGAGCCGCGGAGCAGGGCTGCCTGCAGGAGGAAATGTGCCGGCCTGCTAATCCCCACACGCTGACAATTCTGCACACTCTTGCCGCCTCTGCACTTCTCAGAAATGCTTTTTAAGTGGCAGATGCAGCTTATATTTCCCCTGTGCCAACAGGAGCACTTGCTGCCAACACTGACGGCCGCCCTCAGACCTGGAGACAGCCTCATGAGTCCTGGGAGATGCAAATGCTTAGGGTATCTTGGGATGGGGTGGGGCTGGGTTCTAGAGCAGCTAGGGGTCCCTGCTGACCACAGGTGGCATCCATGGATACCGAAAGGGCACACCTCCGCCAAAGTCTCCCCTATCCCAGTCCTGACGTGGTGCTTACATTTCCCCATCAGTGCCCTTAGGATAAAGGGCCTAGCTCCAGAAGGCCCTTATTAGAATACAAATGTCCTATCTAAAATGAATGAGACATTAGTAAAGCAGGGCCTGGCTTCCTTAGGGACCTCTCAGGACTGCGAACACCATGAGTCCCCCTGAGGGAGGTGCGGAAACAGGGTTCCTAGCAGTGCTGGCTTGAAATCAGAGGTAACCCAGGGTGTAGCCTGATCTGCCTCCTACCAGCTGGGTGACCTTGGGCCGGGATCTTAACCCTTGTTTCACTTTAAAATGAAGCAAATGATGGAATCTATCTTAAAGGGTGTTGGGGGGATTAAATGGGAGAATGCACCTCAAATGCTTAGTACAGTGCCTGCCTCTTAGTAAGGGACCAATAACAGACAGTCATCTGAGATCCTGAGGACACCAAGCTCCAGAGCCCAAAACTCCCGGGCCCCAGGCCCCGTCGGCTCAGGACAGGGTGGTCTCTCTGCTCCTGCTCCTTTCTCTTACCTCTAAACCCAGCTCAGGGTGAACGTTCCCGGTTGGATATGGGCTCATTGGTTATTCCGGTCCTCTTCTGAGCTTGCAGACTGCCCCTCTGTCCTCCTGCCTGGATCCCTCTCCCCTGTGCTTCCCTCATCCCTGGGCCAGCTCGAGCCTGCATCCACACTCCTTGCCCTTGCCCATCAGTTCCTGACTCTCCTAGTACCTGCATCTCCCACCTGGGGCCTAGGGATGTGGATTCACATTCCACCTGCCTGAGGCCCTGGGAGCTGCCGAGTGTCAATTTTCTTAGGCAGTCCTCGAACATATGAGGTGGAAACTGCCCCAGGGATCTTCAGGCTCAGCCCCCTCACTGAGCAGAGGGGGTGCTCTGAGTGCTCAGAAAGAGAAGGGACTTCCCAAGGCCCTGCAAAGTGCCAGGGGGTAGTACCCATATTCTCTGGCAGGGGACATAGTTCTGGGGTTAGACAGGGAGGATATCCTAGAGGGACCTTTAACTTCAGGAGAAGCTCCCAGTGAATTGTGGGGATCTGTTGACTCTTCAGGGACCCTGTTTCTGACAGTCCTCTTTCCTGGTTGTCCACGTAAGAAGCTCTGCCTTTATTATCCCAGCTAGCCTCTGAGGAAATAAAAATATTTCACTTCTTTGACATGGTTTTTGCACTGTTTTGCTTTTACAATCATTCCCTTTTAAATGCATTTAGTTTTAAGCTCCTCAAATCCTGTTTAAGTACATGGGGATAAGACTTCAATGAATAAAGCAATAAACAGAAATAAAAAGAGTTGTGAATTTCCTCTTCTTTGCTCAGTCCCTCTCTCCATGAAGCTGGTACCAAACGCCCCTCCTGACTCACAGTAGCTCAGGGCCATTCCCCACAAGGCAGGGGTTCAAAGTTCACCCAACAGCTAGAAGCTCAGTGTCTGGGTGTGAGGCCTGTCTGCCTACTCAGCCTGGGCCAGTCCCAGGTCATGGCCGGGTTCCAGGGCCACCCCTAGACCTTAGACTCTATTTCTTGGAGCCCTGCTTGGTGTCTGTCTTAGGTTCTCTAGAAGCAGAGCCTGAGAAGGGGACTTAGGTGCCCAAAGTGTGTTGAAGGAATGTGTTGCTTTCAGAAGGAAAGTGAGGGATCAGGATAAGACTGGGGCAAAAGCTGAGTGAGCAAGGATGAGGTCTCATCTGGGCAGGTGGTAGCTTCAGGCAAAGTACCACAGACTTGGTCCCATCTTAAGAAAAGGGGATGGCCTTTTTCTGACCACGTCATAGGTTACTGGCTGTGACCTGCTCTGGGTGCTAGAAAATGAGAATCTTAACCTCATGGGTAAGAAGGCACCTGAGAAGGGGACAACTGGGAGCCATGAACAGCCAACATTCCCAGCAGTGGAAAGACACGTGCACCATGGAATCAAAGGGGTCTGGGTGGGGAATCTCCTTTGTCCACTGCAGTGGCCCAGGATCTCCAGAATGGGCCTCTGCCTTCCTCCACCAGGCTTACCCACTGGGGGCCAAACCCCAAGGGGATGAACATTTCGGATCCACCTCACTGCACTTTTATAAGCTCACAGGGCAGGGCTTCTGAGCGCTTCTTTGCTGAGGAAGCTCAGAGAGGTTGAGCAATGAATCCAATGTCACACAGCTGTTGAGTGGTAGAACCAGGGTTCAAATCTAATTTCCAAAGCCCCTGCTGGCCCCGTGTTCTTGTCCCTGTGTCTGTTAGTCCTCCCAGACTCCACTTTCAGGGACCCTCATTATCTCCTGCCCAACTGCTCAGCATCCTCTACAGTTTCCCCTAGGGCTGATGGTTCCACTTGATATATTGTCCTCACCCACGGAAGTCACTCATTTCTGGCTTCTGGTTCTCTGCCCTTCCCCCCACACAGCTACACCTATCTGTCCCCCACCCCCCTGGTCCTGCCTACCCCACCTTCAGGGGCCCGAGTTCTGGCAGGAGCTGGACATACATGACTTGCCCACAAATTACGTCTCGCAGGGAGCCTGGTTCCACCACCACTGCCTGTGCTGACACCTCCATCAACACAGATCCTCCTTAAGACAACAGACATTTATCCCTGACAGTCAGAGGCACAATTGCAATCAGATGCTGGAGACCTGAATTCTGGGTTGTCACTGAGTTGATGACGGCCCTTCAGTCAGAGGAAAGGGGCTGGAGGAGAGTAGGGGAGGACTTTAGAAATAGTCTGTCTTCTGTAAGGAGCTATTTCCCCTGGGCCACGGCTGGGCTTCAGCTGATGGGCAGTGGGGGCCTGTGTTTCCTCTGCCGCTCTTTGGGAGGAGACATGACAGAATTGAAGGAGAAAATAGGAAAATTGCCAGCAGGGTGTGAGTTGGCTCTGGGTCCAGGAAGATGAAGTGGATGTGGGTGCAGGAAAGGGCCTGTAACCACGCGTACGGAGGAAGACATCACTAGTGCTTACCAGGATCTTGCTGTCTTCTCCCTCCTGGGCACAGGGAAGATGCACTCCTACTTCCACTTGCAACTAAGTGGAGTCACATGTCTAGCCCTGGCCTCTGAAATGTGGCTGGAAGGAATGTGTGTGGCTTCTAGGCTGAGGCAGCAAAAAGCACTGATATGATTCTCCAGCCCTTTTATTCCTCAGCTGAGGCAATTATGAGAAGACCTCTTGCTGAGATGATGGAATCACAAGATCAGAGCAGCCTAAATCACTGATTTTCACAATGGACGACAGCTGACACACGGAGGAATCAAAGTGCAGAAGAAATAAAGTTCGCTG
This sequence comes from Homo sapiens, assembly GCF_000001405.40. Taxonomy (NCBI): domain Eukaryota; kingdom Metazoa; phylum Chordata; class Mammalia; order Primates; family Hominidae; genus Homo; species Homo sapiens. The sequence continues at coordinate 36,784,831 of NC_000001.11, forward strand.
TGTAAAGCACCAAGACACTGGGGCTTGTTGTCACAGCATGGCCTGCCCTATGCTAACTAATACAATTGCCGTTCATTGATCATTTACTATGTGCCAAGTGTAGTGCTGTATGCTTTCCATGTATCATCTCACTAGATCCTTGCAGCAGCCTTCCATGCAGGACCTCCTATTAACTGCATTTTACAGATGAGGAAACTGAGGCTTAGAGGGATTAAGTAACTTCCACAAGTCAGACAACTAGCAGGTGGCAGAGCTGGAAGTCAGGCCTGTGTCCTGAGCCGTAATTCTTAACACACAAACTCTAAAGAGGCCACCTTGGGTTTTCTGCCCTTATTGGGCTCCTGGTGCCAGGGCTTGGTAGGACACACAGGAGCATGTGAAAGCGATCCCCAGTGTGTTCCAAATGTCAGTGGAGTCAATCCCTGAGTTGTGCTTAGTCCAGTGGGTGGGAGTCAGTCATGAGCCACGAGCACACCACTTTCTGCTCCTGTGGGGCTCATAGTCTGGAGGAGGGACTGGCTAAGCAAATGTCGAGGTTGAAATGAGTATTGGGTGGGGTGTGTGTCCCCGTGTGGGTGCATGCATGAGCAAGAATTTGATAGAATGGGTTCAGCAAGGAGGCTGGCCAGGTGGGTTTAGCAAGGAGCCTGGCATGCTGATGAGGAGGGAGGAGGGTATGTACCAGGCCAGAGAGAGAGAATGGAGCCCCATCCCCATCCTCTCTAGAGAGAAGTAGAGATGTTAGGTTGAATGGGCGCATGGGTCTGCCCTCCACTCATCCAAAGCCCTCCTGCTCTCAAGCTCCATCCTTCCCAAGAGGATCCCCTACCCCCTGCTTTCTGTTGAGGAGGCAGGAGACTGCATCTCAGGGGACCTCTTCCTGTTTCAGGGTTGCAGAGTGGAGCTACAGGAACAGGCGAATGGTCCCAGGAAGCAGAGTGATGAACTCCTTCGTGGACTATGGTCCTGTCCCCACTCCAGGGGTCAGGCTACCTGCTCAGAAGGCAGGGAGCAGCTTTGTTTGGCTTAGTTTTAGCTTTTGCAGAGTCCAAGGGCTGAGTCCTGAGCTGGACATAAGACGGCATGTAGACTAGAAAGAGGCAGACAAGCGTGAGTCCAAATCCAGCTTTTACCACTTCCCCATGAGTGACCTTGAACAAATCTCATTCTGTTTATCAGTATTCTCATCTGATCAATGGAAACAACCACCTTTCCCTCGAAGGCCACTTATGAGGACTAAATGGCACACAGGAAGATCCTCTCCCTCCCTCCAACAGCCCCTGGAGGATGGAAGGCAGACCATGGGTCCTCTCTGACTTGGGAGCCCTCCTCGAATCCTTCTCTGGGCCATGGACAGAGGCCTGAGAGGGCTACCAGAGGCCCTGCTGTAGGTGGCCCTGCCTTCATCTGGAAAGGAAAGATCATCTTGAACATAAAACTGCCCTAACTTCTCCCAGCATCACGTCCCTGGAGGGAGTTTTCAGGCCGAGTAATGTATGGCTCCATTTTTAGATGTTGCCGAATTCCATTTGCTGGAGATCTGTGTTTTATTGCCGTATCAGTGTTTCTAAATTGCACTATATTTTCTTAGCTTGATGGGAATTTACAGCAACTGGATTGGAGCAGAACTGGGCTCTCCCCGAGGCTGGGAAATCACTGGGGTCGACTGCTATTGCTGCTGCCTCCCCCTCTGATTGTTTCTTCTAATTATTCTTATTAGGAAGGGATCTGAATCTGAGACTAGAGGCCTGGGAGGCCCACATGGTGAGACATCCATCAGGGCTGGGAGGTCTGGGGCTGCTCTCTGTGGGGAGTTGGGCCACCCGGGAGGAGGTGGGAGGGCTGTGGTGGAGGTGCTTGGGCAGAGATGACTTCCAGGACTGGGAGTTGAGGGAGGCCCAGCCAGCCGCCAGCCTTGGGATTGGTGTATCCAGGGAACACTAGACATGAGGTTGATTGCCACAGTAATGGGAACCACAACGCTGCATGTCAGAACATCCCTTAGTGGCCCCACAGCCTTTTATGCCTTCTTGATTCTCCCGTGAGGAAAAGAGGACAGGGAATACCAACCCCATTTTCCAGATGAGGAAACTGAAAGCCTAGGGAGTTAAGTCACATGGTAGAGCTAAGGTTAAAACCTGGGGCTGTTTGAATCCAAACTGGTGTTTACTCTCACCCCCACACTGGTGGATTTTTGTTCCCTCTCCATTTCCACACTGGAGACTTAGGCAGGGTGCTCTCATTTATGGAGCCCTCACTATGCATCAGGCACTGCGCTATAAGTTCCAGGCATTGTCTAATTTCACCCTCCTACAGGTGGGGGGTACTCAGCCCCTTTTATGGAGTAGCCCCAGGACGTTAAGGCACTTTTGCAAGGTCAGAGAGTGACTCCTAAGCGACAAAGATGAAATTCCATCTTAGCCACCATGCTCTACTGCTTCTAAAGACACCAGCTCTTCCAATTTCTGCTGATGTAGGAATGAGCTGCCTGGCTGTGGGGTGGGAGTCCCGATGCATTCTGGGAGTCAGGTGGTGCCTGTCTGGTGCTGGGCATCCACCAGGCTGCGGGTTTGCCCCATGAAGGCTGGGTGCTCAGGCTGCACCTGCATTTGAAAGATACCGTTTCCCTGGCTCCAGCCTCCCAGGGTGACACGGTACCACCCAGGGCATTGGACAGAGAGAGGAGAGAGTCCCAGGAACACAGCTGGGGATTGCAGGAAGTTCTGGCCCATCCCGCTGGCAGGTCCAGGCAGTTTATCTCACTTGGCAGCGATCCTCTGTCTAAAAGCACGTCTGACGCTTTGTGCAATAAAGTTAATGGACTTCTCCATCTTAGAGCAGCTGAATTCTCTTGGAGCAGATGCTGAGGGTTATGGATGTTCTAATTAGGAAGCTGCCTTTGGCACTGAGGAAGGGAGGGGAGGCTTGTGATGTTCCACACGCCCTGCAAAGACCCCCTGCCAAACTGCTTTCCCTGAGCCTGCCAGTGCGGACACGCTGTGGCAGAGGAAGGAGGAGAAAACATTTCCTTCCTCTCCCATCTTCCACTTCCCTTCTAGTACCAATGGTCCTCCGCACTGAGCCGGAAGTGACCAGGGGGTCCAGGCAGTGTGACCATAGCCTCCCAGGTCTGAGCAACCACAAGCAGAGTTAGGGTTGTGATCAAATAAAACTCACAACCAAGTTAATCCGACACATTTATTGATGTGCATAATTGTTATTGGACTGCACTGCAATTAGGCATAAATGGTAGGTCGTTCCTATGAGTGACTATAATTAGTAATTCTCGGTTTTGGCCCAATCAAGTTTGGATGTTTGTTTTCCATAAGCACAGACGTTCCCCAGTGTCTGTAAACAGCATTGATATTGACTGTTTTCTGATTCACTCATTCATTTGTTCATTTCCCAAATCTATGAAACAGAGGTCCCAGACTGGAGCCCTCATTTTGTTGCTTACTGGGTGATTGTGGGAGAGTAATTCCACTTCTTTCAGCCTTGGTTTTTCACATCTGTAATATGGAGATGACATCTCTAGCGTATAGGGTTATGCTGAGAATCCTATGAGATGGGCATGCTCAGAGCCAAGCACAGTGCCAGGTCTAGAATTGTCACTCAGTTAGCTGCATCCTGTTGTTATTAGCATTATTAATATTATTATTTTATTTTTATAGAGATGGGGTTTCACCATGTTGCCCAGTCTGGTCTCAAACTCCTAGACTCAAGCAATCCACTCACCTTGGCCTCCTAAAGTGTTAGGATTACAGGAGTGAGCCACTGCACCCAGCCCATTATCATTATTGATATTCTTATTATTATTGATAACAACTTCTCCTGGAAAAGACCTGAGCACTAAGAGCTCTGAAGCCTTCAGTCTCAGATGGGAGGATGATTCTGAGTGCAGAAGAGGTCTGTCCCTTGGACTTCACTGGGGCTGGAGGGGTCTGGATTGTGCAAGAGGACACAGAAAGTGACATTTGGATTATGGTGACTGCTGTGGCCTCATCGTTACCTGCAGGCAAGTGGGGCTGGGAAGCTTCAGGTTTTCCACATCTTTAATTTTACCACTGCCCAGCTCCTGGGAAATATGGAACTGGATTAAATCTCCCTACAGAGAGGAGAGTGCCTGCACAGGGCACGGTGCTTAGAAGGCTCTCATGAAATGCTTGGCTCTGTCCCAGAGGATGTGTTATTGGAGTTTAGAGAATTCTTAGTGATCTGAGGCTGAATTAGTGGGAGGGAGGGGAAGCTGGTTCTCACAGCAAAGGGCAAGTAAGTCTTTGGGCTAGACAGACAGAACAGAGGCCTTCTACCTCCTGAAGAAAAACCTCTCCACATCTGCGAGCTGCTGAACTCACCGGGAAGAGGGTGTGCTTTGCCAACACACTTTATGCTGGGACGAGATGATCTGGGAGGTAGTCTGGAGCAGGAAGACATTGTAGGGGCTGTCAGCGAGGCCAGAGCTGCAGGAAGGAGTGTGGGGGGTCTGGGGTCAGGTGGGAGTCTGGGCAGGGACCCTGGGAGCCTGAGCTTGCCCAAGGTCCAGTGAGGCACTATTGGCTTTTAGAGCCTGGGAGGCAGAGAGCCCTGGGTTAGACTCTGCCCTACCACATACTCCCTGGACCTTGGGCAAGTTATTTGGCCTCTCTGAGCCTCCGTTTCTTCATCTGTGACATGGGGCCATAGCACATACTGTCAGTGTCTTGCCCTTACCCCTTCTGGGCAAGCTGCCTGACTTCCCACTGCAAAGATGGGCACTGCTCTGCCTGAGGCTTTGTCCTGGCCCAGAGTCCACCTTGCCCCCTTGTGGCATGCCAGAAGTACCTGGGATTGGCTGTCTCTGGGGGACCAGTCCTAAACCAAAGATTGATAGGACTTGGTGTATACATACCCCAGCTCCCTCACTCCTTCAATGGGAGATTCTTGAGTTGCATGTTCTCTGCTGGCTCCCAGAGTTCTTCATGGAGTTAAGTTCCAGCTGCCCACAGGGTTGACTGGCTTGATGTTGTACCCCTTATAAGCTGGCTTCCCTTTGGCATCTCACATCCCTATTCCCCTATCTTTGTCTTGTATTCAAGCCCTTGTCTCAGGGGCCTCTTCCAGGAGATCTCAAACTAAGGGGATAATATCATGCTTTTCTCCTAGCACTATGGGCATGATGTGAATCAAGTAGCTAACATATTTCGCTTCCCATCTTTTCCCTTATATCCTGTTGGGTACGGGTAACTTAGTCTTCAAGGGGCTCTGGCTATTGGGGAATCAGGGACAGAGGCCTGAGCCAAGTGGGCTGACATTCAGGTCTTTGCAGATAATGGGCCAGGGCACTCCTGGGATGGAGGCAGGAGCTAGGGGCTTGTCTGGTGGGAAGCCGAGTGTTGCAGGTGTGGTGGCTGCTCCGGAAGTCCTCTCCGTGGGGAATCCTCATCTCGGATCCTTTCTGGAGGCCGAGGCAGGCAATAAATCCCCTTGGTAGAGCTGGTCCCAGCATGGGCCACCCTGCAGAAAGGCTTCATCAGCGGCCTCATTTGCATAAGATAATGAAACCGCAGTAAAAATAGTAAAAGAAAAAATGGCCTGGCAACTTCGTTTCCATAATGACAGATGCTTCTTAAACATTCAGCTTCTGTTTCCCAAAGAAGTGCCATCAAAGCTCCAAGGGAGCCATGTACCCTGGCCCAGCGTGGTTCTTGGAATAGGGGCCTGCAGCCCCTGGGGCGCTCCAGCCCTGACCTCCTGCTGCTCCTTGGCTTGCTCCAGATGGACCTGAGTGGCAGGGCGGTAGGAAGGGAGAGAGGGGAGAACTGACTGAAGAGTGAAGGAGCTTCACAAACAGCCCAATGCCTCACACTTAACACATGCTTTCACATGTCATTTAAAAAATTCTCACGAGCTCCCTGTTACAGTCAAAATGGGCACTCCCAATGCACAGGTGAGTAAACTGAGGCTTATGAATTGTCCAAGGCCATCTGCTTAAATTAAGATGGTAGAGGGATCTTAGAATTTGCCCCCTATTCCTAGTCCCTGTCTCCTGTCTGGGCACCTCCATGAGTGACAGGAGGCCCTTTTCACTGGGAATGGCTGGGGAGAGGGCAGGTCCCAGACCTAGAGGGGGGTGGGGGACCTGTGGGAGGTGGGAGCCATCTCCACAGGTCTCAGACCCCTGTTCCTTGAGCAGGGTGAGATGACCAAGGTCAAAAGAAAGGGGCCACTGTGGGATGGGACTCTCCCAGACCTAGAGAACAAAAATAACCATATCAAAGTGTGCTTCAGAAATATTTTGTCCTCTTACCTCCAAGCCACCAGGGCTCTGCAATGACTGCCTTGGAAGCAGAACTAATGACAATAATAATAGTAATGAATAAAATAGTGGCATGGGCACTGTTTCCCCAGCTCAGAGGAAAATCTCTAGTCTAGTTGCACTTGGCTAGGGTCAGGGGTTCCCTGCCATAGCACCTCCTTTCCTCTAAGTGTTTGGGGCAGAGTCCTGATTTCCTGATTCAGTGAATGAGGGCTTGGCTGCATGGGTTGGGGAGAATGGGAACGGAGCAAGTTTTCAGGGCACAGATGGTCCTGACTCATGCAAGATGGCCAGTGGGAGTCACCTGGATGCTAAGGCAAGTGTCATTTTGAAGCCACTAAGCAAGACATCTAGAGAGGCACCTCTCCAGGCTCTGTACTGGACTCATGCAGGTAGAGATGGTGGGTCCATTCCTCAGGGCTCCCTGGGGCTGGCAACTGAACCTGCATGTTCTCCCAGAACCTGGGAGGCCTCTGCAGTGGGCTCCATCTCTGTCTGGTGGTCCCTCCCCAGTTCCCTCCCAGCCTGTGGAAACTTTGGCCAAATTTGAGAGGTAGTGGAGAGGAAACTTCCAGATGTTTTGGGTCGTAGACTGGGACTAACAACTTTGCACTTAAAGCTGAGTATTTGACCACCTTTGTTTCCTGATTCCTCTGTGCCTGGGCTAGTTTCCCCCTTGGCATATTTGGGAGGGGTCAAGTCATTCTTTACCTTCCCTCCACAGTAATAGCTAACGTTGGCTGAGATAGACTGTGTGCCTGGTGTGGACAATCTCATCAAATCCCTATAACCTTCCTCAGCGAGGTATGGTGGTGAGCACCTGTGGTCCCAGCTACTTGGGAGTCTGAGGTGGGAGGATCACTGAGCCCAGGAGGTCGAGGCTGCAGGGAGCTATGATTGTGCCACTGCACTCCAGCCTGGGCCACAAAGTGAGACCCAATCTCCAAAAAAAGTGTGGGAGAAAAGAAGACACAGAGCAAGAAGCAGAACCCAGGAAGCTGGACTCCAGAGTCCCTGATCTTACTGCTTGGGGAGGTTTGCCCATCAGTCCTAGCAGAGGGGTCCTGAGCGAACTTGAATCCTGAAGGACTTGGGGCATTCCTGCCAGCATAGATATTCTGGGGCTAGATAAGACAGAAAAATATGGAAGTGAAGTGGGATGCTCAGTTAATCAACATTTCTGATGGGGAACTAAGGACTCAAGGGAGGATTCATTTCTATGATGCTGTTGAATGGGGTGAGCGGGGCTTGTGCCTTCAGAGCATGGAGCAGGAGGGTTCCGAGGCCTGTGCTGCATTCAGTGACCCCTCCCCACACGCCCCCACCATCATCCCACCACAGCCCGGCCACTTGCTGTGCTGGCAGCAGGCCAAAAGCCCAGCAGCCCCTGCGAGCTGTGGCCAGTGCAGACACCCAAGTCTGTCCCAGACGAGTGGACCCCAGCCTTCATTTGAACAAGATCCTCAGGGCATTTTCAGAAGTGTGGGTCTACAGTGACTCGTCAGATATACCTGTTCTCTGAGAACTCCACCATCCAGCTCTCTCTGCTGAAGGAGTGGGTGGACGGTTTGGAATTGGGACATTTTCACTGACATGGGCCCTGAAGCTGGGGGGACCTGAACCAAGATGGGGGTGGCCATGTCCTGCCTTGAGCAAGGAAGCGGAGGGGGGAGGAAGGGAATGAGAGATAGAAAGAGAGAGAGGGAGAAAGATAGAGGGAGAGAAACTTGACTGTCTTCCGTCAGACCCCTTATCATGAAGCCCCCTTTTTGCCCGGGTGAGTTTGAGTAGGTGTCTGTTTCTTGCCACAGCAATTCCTGACTGAGGGGCCTCCTTGAATGTCTTGCTCCAATTCCTGACTGAGGGGCCTCCTTGAATGTCTTGCTTCTGGGGACTGGTGCACTAGAACTAGGAGCCCATGTATGTCCTGGAGACGAGAGGAGCACAAGGCATTAGCCAAGGAGAGGCTGGGGCAGAAATGGCTGAGGTTATAGAAACAGGAGCCTGAGCCAGGACAGCTACATCACTGCTCCTGCACCCATTGTGCAGTCAGTAATCTGAGAGGCCTGGCTGGCCCCCATCCAGAGCCGAGGATATCACAGATAGGCTTCTGAGTTAGGGTTAGTCCTGGAGGGAGGAGTCCCCCTGTCTATCCAGAGAGCACTCAGCCCATAGTAGCTCCTAATTTTTCTTCTCCCCATCTTTCTCCCTTTTCTTAATGAAAATAGCTGGCATTTATGTTGGCTTATGATGTGCCTGCCCTGTGCTAAATATGCAGTGTGCTTTTTCTCGTTTAATCCCCACAAGCACTCCATGAGGGGGCGGCTTTCACACTCATGCATTTTACAGATGAGGAAACAGGCTCAAGGATGTGAAGTTGCTTCTTCAAAGTTACACAGCTAGTAGCTGGTAGAGCTGGGACTCATACATAAAATATTTAGTTAAGTCTGTGAATGAATGAATGGATGGATGGATGAGCAGATGGATTGATGGGTGGATGGATGGATGGGTGGATCAATGGGTGGGTAGATGGATAAATGGATGAATGGGTGGATGGATGGGTGGTGGATGGATGGATAGGTGGATGGATGGATGGGTGGATGGATAGGTGGATGGATGGATGGGTGGGTGCTTGGATGGATGGGTGGGTGCATGGATGGATGGATAAAAGGGGGGATGGATGGATGGGTGGATGGTTGGGTGGATGGATGGGTGGGTGGATGGATGGATGGGTGGATGGATGAATGGGTGGATGGATGGATGGATGAATGGATGAATGGGTCCTCTACCTATTCTTTCACCCCCACTGTGGGCCTCATTTCTACCAGGTCTCTTGTCCATATCCCCCCACTCCTTGCTGGACCTGCAGCCTAACCTGACCTTCAGGGTGCTCCTCTCCAGGGATGGTCCCGACCTTGCTTCTCAATGGCTGACACCTGCAACCCAGGGCCTTTCTTCACCTCCTACCTGGCTCAGACCAAAGTCTCCTCCTGGGCTGTGGCTCTAGGTTAGACCAGAGCTCCCAGACAATGTGGCCTATTGGGCCCCGACCTCCTCTCCATTCTGCAGAGATTACTGCTGGGGCCGTGGCTTGGCTTCCCTGGCACTTGTCAGCTGATGGAATGGGAGGTGCATATTTTAGGAGACCTGCCAACTCATGTTGCCTTTTTTTTTTTGACTTCTCCAGTTTTCTCAACTCTCCTAAAGCAGGGATCCTGGGTCCCATAATTGTATTACGTGACCCCTTTCTCCCTCGGGCCACAGCTAATTGGACCACAAGCGGCCACTTGACCCAAGCTGGTGCAATCATAGCCACTTTCCTGGTAATTAGGCCTGGGACACTTAAGCCCGTGTCAAGGGTGGTGGACATTTGGACTGAAAAGTCACGCAGAGTCAGGGTCTGAGATGTGTCAGGGTTTGAGGGACATCTCTCATTCAAAATAGATCATATGTGTTAAGAGCTTAGCCTACCACCTGCCACATGGAAAGTGCTCAATAACCATGAGCTATTTTTAAGATGATGTCATAGGAGAACATGGAAGGTTCTGGTTGGAAAGGGGTCTCTACCAATTCAATCTGTTTGAATGAGAGTTGGAGGCAGAGGTGAGGCAGAGGCCACCTTCCCACTCCCTTTTGGGCTGTTTCTGTCATGGGAACATGAGGTTTTTCAGCAGCTTCAGTCCACTACTCATCTCCAACTTCCTGGGTGCCGAGGAGCACTATGATGTGGGGTGGTGGCGGCCCCCGTGTCTTGATGGAGACTTCTTGGACCCTGGATTGCAGCTCTAGGGTGTGTCTTTCCCTCCCAGCTCTGGCACAAGGCTCAGAGGTGGTCATGCACTGGTGGGTCAGTTCTGTATTATTCTGGGAGCCATTCCTGGAGGACCAAGTTGGCCAGGCTCCCTCATCTCTTCCACTGGTTTTATAAACCTCCATACTGAATCCCTTCCTGCTGGAAATGTCCCGCCCTGTACTCTGATTGTATGAGCAGTTTCCGTCTCCAGAGGGCAGTTGACATAGAGCTTTCTCATTTCCAGTTTGAAAAAGCTCAGGCCAGACTGTGGCCAAGCTGGGATAAGGTGTCTACCCGACCTCACTAGCTGTGACCAAAGGGACAGGGCCACGTGAGTAAGTATGTGGCAACTCCCAAGGGAGTGTGTGGATGGAGATGAGGGAGGGGTGTTGCCAAGGGAAGGGAAGACAGAGGTCAGACAGTCTCAAGGACAGACCCCACATCCTCAATGTCTGAACCAGGAGCCTGGCTGGAGCCACCCGCCTGCTGGGCACCAGGGTCTCTTGCCTGGGACACAGTCATCCCTGGGGGAAGATGACAAAAGTTCGTCGCCCAGCACCTTCTCATTCTAAGGAGAGAAGAGAAACAGAAAACACGCCTCAAGGGAGCCCTGTTTTCTAGAAACATTTTATTTAAAATTTAAAACCATATTACTTCATACAGCAAACTGTGCACTTTGATATATCACAGTGTCTTAAAAAGGAAAATAATCAGATTTGTTTGGAAATTTATTTACATCAGCCTAGAATGATTGGCAAGTAACACAGTTACTATGAAACCCAAATTGTTACAAAATGTTTACAAAAAACTATATTCATAGAAATTCTGCATGTCCACAAAGGGCATCCCCTGAATGGCCCAGAGACCAGTGTGTGGGAACCATGTTGAGTGGGAGTGGGGGGCGTCCAGGCACTCTGGTCTGGGTGGTGGGACAGGTCTAGGGTCTCAGAGGCCCATGGTGCTCCCTGGGGGCTCAGCCCAGAGCCTGGGAACTGAGGCCCCTACCATGGGAGGCCCAACCAGGAAGTCGGCCCAGGCAGAGGTGGGCTGGGGGCTTGGCGCACAGTGGTAAGAGGACCCATGATCCCTACGGAACCAAGACAGGATGCTCCTCATGGGGCTGGAGTCAGGCGTGCTTGGTCAGGGCCCCAGAGGCAGACCCAGAGTTCAGTGCAGACCAGCCTGACGCCTGAGGCTGAAGCTGGGGCAGGCTGCTGACTGCACGGAAGCCCACCTCAGATATCTCCTCCCCTGCATGCTCCAGAGATGCTCAGACCTGCGAAAGAGGCTAAAGGAATGGAACTGCAGAGAACAGACCGATCTGGGTGAGCCAGGGACAGAGATCTGCAGCCTCCTGGGGAGGGGGCACTCTGCCAACTGCCCTGCCAGGATGCCGCAGGGGAGAGAAAGGCAGACAGATGGAGCCTGGGCTGTGCTAGGATAGGAGCTACCTTCTTGCCTCTCATCTTTCACCCCTCTGGCTCTGAGGTCGCTCCCTGACAGCTGGTCTCTGGGTCAAATGGGGCTGGGGAGGTTGTCTGAGGCAAGGCAAACCCTTGGCTGGCATTTGACTGAATCTATGGCTGCTTCTTCATGTCTGGAGGCCTCAGAGTTTCAATCCATAAAATGGAGACAATCTGGGAGGTGATGTGAGGTCCACTGTTCTAGAAGGCAGGAGGACAGGATCAGTAACAGGGGCATGGGAACACTGTATCGGCATGCTGGCCATGCCCTGGGGGCATTCTCTTTAACAAGTGCTTTCCCTAGTTGTGAGCTGTGTTGTGTGCAAGTTGTGACTGCTTCTGCATGTGGGTGAGAATCAGAGGCAGAGGCTTTTGCTACCTAGAATAGCCCCGCCTTCTAGGGTATCCTAGATGGAGCCTGAAACCTACCTGTGATTCTGCAGGCAGGTGTGAGAACAGGCCTGGGGAGTGGCCTGCTCTTTCCCAGCCCTTCTGCTCCTGATGAATTGCCCCAGAACTAGAATGTAATATTGGCACAGGGGCTGAGTACTAGCATGACATTGCTTCTCAGACACACCCAGCTGTCCTGCCTCAGACAGGCTCGGATGGAGATGAGGTCCGTTGGCCATTCCTGCCCCTCCCACAGGAGGCCCTGGCGGTGCAGGACTCACCTGGCAGCACCATGTAGCTCTGCCCTCTTCTTCAGGGTCTGGAGCTCTGATGTGTGGAGGGCCTTCGCCACCCCAAGGGGCTCTCTGAGACCTCCGTCCCAGACTTTGCTGCTGCAGCCCCCATCTCTCATCTGGTCCTCACCCGTGCTGGCTGGGTTCTGTACACTCCGTGTGCAGACGTGCAGGAAAGGGTTGTATACACATGGGCTACAGGTCATATATACACTGTGCATATATATATATATATACAGTATATATATATATTTTACATTCATATATATATTGTACAGAACATTAACCTTCTACCTAAAAGTTTTGTGACTCACGTATGACCTCAGCTCTGAAATTTTTACTCCAGGGCAAATCCAGGACTGAAGGGAAGGCCTGATTTAAACTGCCATGGGGACAGAGGGCACGGCCCTTCCATGGCAGCCAGCAGCCGGGCCACTTCCAGATGTGTCCACTTGACCTGCAACTTTCAGATGTGTCTAATCCAGAGACCTGCCCACAGAGTTGGGCTCATTTCTTGTATCTGTCCATGAGGCTGGGCCCATCCCAGATGATAAGTCCATGCAGCTGTTTGTCCAAACCTCTAGCCCCTTTGCAGATGGGTATCCACACAGGACCACTCCAGATGTGAGCCAGAGAGGCCAGCCTACTTTCAGATGTTTGTGCATGTAGCTGGGAGTGGCTCAGGGAGGGACCAACTTCATGCTGAGTGATGAAGCAGGAGCTGTGACCCACCCCCCACACCCAGTACCCCTGGAAAAGTAGGCAGAAAGGGAGCTTTTGATCGTTCTTGGTGAGTGCACGCCTGGTGGAGGGGAGCAACTTCTAACCTGTTTGGCCCTTTACCCTGGCCTGGGCCAGGATTCCCATCTTCCAGGGCCTAGGGCATGGCAGGGGTTGGGGGTGGAGCCAGAGTGTGCTTCCAGGTTAGATAGAGTCTCGGCTGTGAGGAGGGGGTGGCCCTCTTACCCCTCAGACACTCAAAGTCCAGCACACTGGCCAAGGGGGCGTCACCCCTCGCGAGAGACTCTTGCAGCATGGGGCCACTTGAACATTGACAACGCTTTCAGGATTTTCTTCTGTCCAGAGCAGAGAAACCAGCAGCAGGACAAGGGGAGAGTGATTGGGAGGGCTCACTGTCCTTAGTCCCAGGGCCTCGGCAGGGGCGGTGGGGTTGGTGTCTTCTTACCACTGCCCCTCAACTTGGCCAGCTTGAGCAGGTGGAGAGGAGGCACTTGCATTTGGGGATGCAGTGGGGACATTCTTCTGTTCAGGGCTGGCATGTGGCACCACGCAGGGACAGTCCAGCATCTGCTCAGGCAGGTTCCTTCTTCTGCTCCATCCAAGCAAGCTTTCATGCTTCCCATCACCTCTCAGTGCCTGCGTGTGTGCACACACACTACACATGCATACACACACATACACACACACGCATGCACCTGCCCCAGCTCAGCTCCATGCCCACTGGCAGGACAGACCTAAACTTAAAAAAACACAAGATCTGCCTCACTGAAAACACCTCCCCACTCCGTCCCACCTCACAGATGTAGCATCATTTTCAGTGCCCCGGGAGAGACAGAGCTCATGCTTGGGCAGCTGTGGTCCCCACTGCACTTTGAACACTAGGCTGGTCTCTAGGACAAATGCAGGATATTGGCCAGAAGCCAAATATCAGCCACACCGACAACACCTGAACATCAGGACGCAAGGTTTGCCTGGGAGAGGAGATGAGGCAGCATGCCCTCCTGCTTCCACACAGGAGTCTAAAGACCAGTCGGTACATTTTGGGGGGTTTCTCGAATTGAATTCTGCCTCTATTTATCCACTATTCTTTGTTCGTTTTATAAAAATTCTCACCACTTCTTCTTCCTCCTGTCACAATCCACATATATGCATAGCCTCTGAAGAACATGCTCATGTAGCATCACACACACAACACATGTGTGAGACAAGAGCAAGAATGAGGCACGTGCTCTGAAACTATACTGGACAAAGTAAGACGGCGCTTAATGATTGTGTTTGCTGACAGCAAATTGGCAAATACCTTCATTAGAATCCTGTTACCTGGGAATTACAAAAAAGAGTTTTCCCTTCAAACAGGACATGATGTCCACAGCAAAGGCATCAGCAGCATGAGCCCCTGAAGGGTTGTGCCCCCGTCTCCTGGCAAGTGTGCCCATGCAACCTTGGAACCTCTCTGTGACAAATGATCTCTCCCATGACAGAAGTGCAAACAGACCCTGGTGCCCGGCCTTCCTGATTGTCTGTCTTTGCTTCCACTGTGACCTGGAACATATGTGTGTGTCCCACACACTCGGAAACTTCAACTCCACGTGGCTTCTTGTCTACAGCATGCATTGACCCATGTCACACGACTCTCTGGTCCTGGCCTTCCCCCCGCTCCCCACTGTGCACACATGCCTGTACACATGTGTTCACATGCACTCAGACATGGACCCCTTGGTGACATGGCTTCTCCTTTTACGCATATTTGGCTAGCTGCAGGTAAGATCCTGATCTCCATCCTATGCCATTCAGTGTACATGTGCACACACACACACCAGCATGCACACACCTATGCATGCATGCATGCTTACATATGCATACCCACCAGGGCCCCATTATGACATGGCTTCTCCTGTTTTTACATATATGGGGCCTTGCTGCTTCACATATTTGTCTCCCTCGTCCCCAATTCACTCAGATACACATACGCACGCATATGCACACATCAGATCCCCAAGGATTCACCTATTATTGCATGCCCTGGACTATGTTATATGTCCAGATCTGTCCTGTGCCCCAGCCCCCGAAGCTCACACATACAAACACAAAGACACAGACACACATGCACACGCCCTCTGTACCCTGAAGCTTATGACAGCATGGCTTTTCCTAACATTACATGCATGGGGCTTTGGTGTATGTCTAGCCCTCCTCTCCCTCGTCCAATGTACATAGCCAGTCAGAGCTGCTAGGATTCTGGGAACCTGCTGGTTTGGTCCTGCAGCTCACAGTCTGGAGGAGGGACAGTGTTTATCACATGAGCCCACTGTGGTCTCCTGCTTTGCTAGAGATTGCCCTTCACCCAGATGAGAAAGCCCTTGAGATCCAAATGAAGCTCTTCCCTAACCGGGCTTCCCAAGCAGCATGGGACAGAGGTGGGAGGGGAGTGGCTGGTATGCCCCAGTTCTCATCCAGAATCCCCAGAACCTCCCTCCCCTGTTCAAAACCTGCCCCTCCATCCTTGGCCATGGTAACCCTGCTGGCCCATCATGTTCTCTTTAAGGACACTTTGTTCCTAATCCTTCATGTCTCATTCTTTTCCAAGACTCTTAAAGTCACAGACCTCTAGAGCATTCATCACAGCAAGCTGGAACTCATAGGTCCACCCCCTGGCTGGTACCCAACCTGCTGCTACTTCTCTGCTGTCTTCCCCAAGCCCCACAATGCCATAGCTGCTCTGGACAACAGACAAGGGGCCAGGATGGCCTCATGTCTCTGTGTGGGGTCTTTGGTTAATTCTCCAGGAGGCAGCTTCTTCCTCCCCACCCTTGGGGCCTCTGCCAGCTATGATATTATGTCCCTGGAAACTTTCTTTTCCTGGGGAGCATCTCTAGGTTTGGTAAGTCCAGGAGACCAGAAGTTCTTTTGGTCTCTTCTGGTTTCCCTCACCTAGCCCAAAGTTAGTCTGTGTAGTAGGACACTAACTCCTTTTTTGAGGAGGGACAACTTGACTTTCACTTCAACCAACTCTTCTTTCAAAAAGACAGAGTGAGGCCAAGGTCAACCAGCCAGGAATGGGGAGTTGTTGATGAGAAGATGGCAAAGAGCCCAGGTTTCCAAATGTGAACAGGGTTTAGACAACAGCTTGCTAACCAGGAAAGTGAGATCCATTGGCACAAGAGCCGGTGGGACTTCCATGGAATCTGCTTTTCCTCTGCTGGGCTTCAAATACCGGCTGCATCTTTGGGCATCCTTTGTGAGAAATTCAGGGGGTCCTCTCTCCTCTGGCTAGAAAGTGGAGAAGAATTTTCTGTGGCCACTCCCCCACTTATATTCTTAGAGACCTCCTAGAGGATTAGGAACCACTGGGTCATTGTCCATAAGAATCCAAAATGGCGGCCTCTGTTTGTGCATTCTCTTCTCTCCCATACCCCAAACTCCTCTTTTCCCCTGTGTAGCTCTGTCTTCAACTCTGCCAGAACAGGGGCTGCCAGGGGCAGCGCCAAGTTCAGAAGATTAGGACCACGTGAACAGCCCCAGAGGGATGAAGTCTTCCTTCTGCCCAGGCATATGGGATGGGTATCCCTCACCATGAGCTCCCATTGGCAGCCATGCTAGAACATCCTTAAGGCGCCGAAGGCTTGTGTCTCTGGCCTCACGGTCAAGCTGTAGGAGGCCTGGGCTCTTGTGGAAGAAATGGCAATATAAGAGCTGTCTTCCATTTTCTGTGCCCTCTGCAGGGCTGCGGCAGAAACTTCTGACTCTGGAGGAGAGTTGAGGGGCAGGTGAGTTTGGCCTGAGAGAGGCATGTGCTTCCTTTGGCCTTGGCTATCTCGGCTGGCAGCTTTAGAAACCCACAGAAGATCTGAGGAGGATGAAGCCCAAGCAGCTGGCCTGAGAGCCTGCTGGCTTCCTGGCAGGTAAGGGCAGGAGGCTCCTGGCCCAACAGGCAGGTGGCAGCTCTGGTCCCCAAGCCCAGTGCGGGGACAGGGGACGTTCCTTCCAATCTCCTTTGCTTTCCTCTGCCCAGCCCCCAGGCCTGAGGTCCCCACCCCAGCTGTGCCTAGGGGAACACAGGGGCTAAGGATGTGCTGCAGGCCATGCTGTCCTTGCCGGGAAGCCGGCGGTCATTGAATGTGTGCATGTTGATGACGGCGTCAGTCTTGACCATCATGGGAGGCTGAGGCTTGTGCTTGACTCGACGCTGGCAGGTAAGGGAGAAACGGATCTCATCGGCCACGGTGCTGCAGAAGGAACGCTGCAGGAGGGTGGAGGAGAGGGGTCGGAAAAGGGGCACAGAGTGATGCCCGGTCTTGCAACTCCAGCCAGTTCCTCCCCTTTCTCCCAGAGTCTGTGCTAAGGTTACCCGTCTTTCTCACACCTTCACCCCACCCATCCCTCTGCCACCTGCAGGATGATTAGTTTGTGCAGCAGTCTACAAAACCTGACATTCTTGTTTGGAGACTAAGGTAGGTGGGGCATCATCTTAACCTCATTTATACATGAGCAAACTGAGGTTCTGAATGGCATGCACATTAACGTCTGAGGAGCTCTGGTTTACCTGTGCCATTTTTCTTCACTAGACTCGGAGGGCAGGAACCAGCCAGTTTCATCCCCATGGGCCCAACTTTCGAGCCCTGACCAAAGCACTAGCTTTGGCCCAGGGTCAGGACTGAAGAAACATTTGACGAATGTATGGATAAACTTTCTCCTGGAAGGGCTTCCAACTAAGGGGAAGAATCAGTGTCTTCCCACTCAGGGAAGTCCAGCACATGTTTCTCAAGGTGGAAAACTGGGAGGCAGGTCCCTCTAGGGCTGTTGGGTGGCAGTGACCTTCTTTTGGCCTGGGTCCCTGCACATAGCCAAGAGGAACATCAAGAGCGCAGCGTTTCCCGCAGGTATCTGATGATGGTGGCTTCCAGAGGTTGTCCTGCAGCTTGCATGGAAGGCAGTGGGGGATGCTGATATCTCAACTTACCTAGTGAGGCCAGGGCACTAGCACCAGGACTACTTGTGTGCAGGGGCTGGGGACTAGGCTTTGTATTCTTGCTCTGCCTCCTACCAGCTGTGACCCTCCAGGCTTCCCTTTCCTCACCTACTACATGCAGAATGTCATCCCTCCTTGCCTCCTTTTCTTCATTCCACAAATACTTAATGCGACCCTACTATGTGCCAGGCACTGTTCCAGGTGTTAGGCATGCAGCAGTGAAGAAGACGGATAAGGCCATAGCCCACTCAGGGAGCTTGCGGTCTAACGATGAGATGGAATAGATAATGAACACGTGAACAAATAAATAATTTCAGACAGTGACAGCCATTAGGAAGAGAATCAAGCAGTGAAATGGGATAGAGAGGGGCTGGAAATGGGGGCAGGTGAGGAAGGCTACTTGAGGAGGTAACATTGGAACTGAAACAAGAATGACCAGAAGATGTCAAGAACACACCCTCTGGGGGAGGAGCATTTTAGGAGCAGCATGTGCAAAGGGCCTAAGGCAGAAATGTGCTTGGTGTGTTCAGGACTGAACAGGAGTGGAGCAGAGTAGGGGAGGAGAGTGAGGGAAGGAAGTGGGCAGAGAAGTGGAGTAGACAGATCCTTTAGGCTTTTTGGTGGAATGAGGAGCTCTTTTTTATTTTCATTTTTTTATTATTTATTATTATTATTTTTTGAGACGAAGTCTCTGTCTCCATGCTGGAGTGCAGTGGCGTGACCTTGGCTCACTGCAACCTCCACCTCCTGGGTTCAAGTGATTCTCCTGCTTCAGCCTCCTGAGTAGCTGGGACTACAGGTGCAAGCCACCACGCCCAGCTAATTTTTGTATTTTTAGTAGAGACGGGGTTTTACAGTGTTGGCCAGGGTAGTCTCAATCTCTTGACTTCGTGATCCACCCGACTCGGCCTCCCAAAGTGCTGTGATTACAGGCGTGAGCCACCGCACCTGGCTGGGAGCTCCTTTTAACTGTAATGGGAATTCTCAGAGAATTTGATTGTTGTTCTTTTTTGATGTATCATAATTTTGTATCAACAGAGAACCATTCTCTGTTGTTAGACATTTAGGTGTTTACCCCTCCCTCCCATCTCTTCGTGTTATAATTTACACTTCAGCAAATTTCCTTGTAAATAAAACCATGTCTATCTTTGACCACTTACACAGTGTACATTTCTAAAAGTGGAAATTGACAGGCCAAAATGTATGGATGCTGTGGAAGACTCTGAACATACCGTGAAGTTGCTTTCCAGAAAAGTACCTGCATAGACTTCCCTCAGCAATGCTGGACAGCGTCCCTTCGGTTACACCCTTGCAAATTCCAACATCGAGTATTATCTTTCCCCCTCCTCTTTGTTGACTAAGGCTTGCTGGTTATAGAGGATTCCATTTCGTTTTTTACGGATATGTAAGTTGCTTGTTTATAATGGGCCCTTCTATATATAATTTAACTGCAATATCCTTGAACTTCTCTGTGAGTTGTGCTTCCCCCAGCCCAGCGGCCCTCATCTCGGGCACACATTTAAATCACCCTGTAGGGTTTTGTAAAAGCATAATGCTGGCTCCACCACAGACCAATTAAAACAGAGAGTCTCTGGGAGTGAGTCCAGGGCATTAGCACTTGAAAACTTTCTCCCTGTGATTCTAATTTGCTACTGGGACCCAGAACTACTGCCCAACCATGCTTGAATTAATCAGAAGGCCTGAGCCTAGTTCTACTGTCTATATGCTTGGGCCAACCCTGTTAACTTTTCCTTTTTAAACTTTTGATTATGGAAATTTCCAAATATATGCAAAGGTAGAGAGAACAGTATAATGAAACCCTATGCAACCATCACCCACCTTCAACAATTACCCTGGAGGGTTTTATGCAGGAAAATGATATGGTTTGAATTAAGTTTTAAACAAGGTACCAGTTGCTGTGTGAATTGTGGATGGTGTTGGGGAAGCATGGAGGCTGGAGGGCCAGTTTGAAGGCTGCGGCATAATCCAGGCAGGAGGTGATGGGGCTTGGCCTGGGGTGGGGCAACGGCGATGGAAAAAAGTGCCAGGTCAGGACAGAGGTAGAGTGGCAGGGCTTGCTGGCCGACTGGATGCAGGGTGAGCTGTTGTGAGGCTGAGATGAGACACCACTGTGTGCCTGGCACATACAGGAGTGAAATCAGCGCGAATCTCCATTTCCCATCCTGTGCAGGCTCCAAGCTCTAAGGCTTACCTGCTCTCTCTCTGCTGTTTTGCGGAGCTTGTACACAAACTCGCCCACGGCCACCAGCACAGAGAGGACCAGCCCGGCGGCCAGGACAATGAAGATGCCCCCGATCTTCTGGATCCCCAGGGCACTGGCCTCTTTGTTTTCCTCCTCAGGACACCCGCTGCCCCGCCACCACTTCTCCTTCATGATATGCAGCTTGTCCTCCTCCTGAAGCTGCAGGATGGCGATGGTGATCTTGTCCCGGTATGGGGAGCCTGAGCAGGGAGAAGGGACCCCTAGCCATCAGTGGCGTGTGGCCCATTCTGTGTTTGGCTCTGCCAACACCCTGGTCAGGTCACCACCACTAGCCCTCTGGATCAGCTCATGAAAGGGGGTCCCTATCCCTGTGAGTCCCCTTTAAATCGACGCATGGTATCTGGGTGAGTGGAAATGTCCTGTTTGAGCAGGGAGGTTGTGCCCATTGTGTATCAGTCCCTGTGGGCTCCCTGAAGTCCCAGTGCCCCTGAGCTGCATCAGCAGGGGCAGGGGCAGGAGAGGGAAGGCAGGAATGGCCTCTGGGAACTGTCCCCAAACCTCGCGTCTGTCCCAGCTCTCATTGCTCAGGCCAGGGCCACCCTCACAAGGCATGCAGCTCCATCCCTCTGCTTCTGGGCTGAGAAAATGTCACTTTTGTCCAGGTGCGGTGGCTCATGCCTGTAATCCCAGCACTTTGGGAGGCTGAGGTGGGGAGATCACGTGAGGTCGGGAGTTCGAGACCAGCCTGACCAACATGGAGAAACCCCGTCTCTACTAAAAATACAAAACTAGCCAGGCATGGTGGCACATGCCTGTAATCCCAGCTACTCGGGAGGCTGAGGCAGGAGAATCTCTTGAACCCGGGAGGTGGAGGTTGCGGTGAACCGAGATCATGCCACTGCACTCCAGCCTGGGCAACAAAAGCGAAACTCCACCTCAAAAAAAAAAAAAAAAAAAAAAAAAGAAAAGAACAGAAAAAAAAGAGAAAACGTCACCTTTATCAGCCCCATGGAATGAGCTGTGAGACGGAGTGTGAGGGGACGCGGGGGTGGAGCCCTCCCTCTGCCCACACACCCACCCCTCCCACAGGCAGCCCCTCGCTCACCCATGGGCGTGCCGATGCCGTAGCCCTTGGAGTCAATGAGGCCCCCGATCTGGGTGAGGTTGCAGTTCCTCTGCGTGACGTACTCGATGGTGGTGGACTCCATGAGCAGCGCGTAGTCGGCCGTCAGGGCCCTCTGGATGCCCTCCTCGTTGTTCTTCACCAGCGCCGATGGCTTGCTGCTCATGAAGGCCCACATCTTCTCGAAGGTGGAGATCTTGGATTTCTGGGCCGTGAGGGAAGGGGTGATGCACACACCGTTACTAGGCGCACCAGGGACCAAGCACCGCATACCCTGCACAACGTGGGTTGGGGCCTTGAACTCGGTCTACAATCTTCAGAGAAAGGAAGTGCTACACGGTGCTCAGATATAGAAATTGAGGCCCCGGGGCAAAGGTCCCCAAACACACAGCTGGCCAATGATAAAACGGAAATGTAGACTCAGGCCTGCTTCCTGGAAACCCTGGCCATGGCACAAGTGGTCTTCAAGCTGACTTTTTAAACATGGATTTTCTTTCTCTAAAATTTATTAAAAGTTAGCACGTTCAGGCTTTGTTCTAAGTGCTCTACCTGCATTAACTCGTTGATTCTTCACAGCGCTCACAGGAGGCAGGCACCATCACAAGCCCCATTTTACAAATAAAAAGATTGAGGCACAGCTAAGTCACTTGCCTAAGTTTACCCAGGTACTAAGTAGCAAAGCCAGGCTTCAAACCCAGGCCATCTGGCTCCAGAGTCCATACCCCTAACCCCTCAGCTGCCCTGCCTCACAGAAACCACTGTGAGGGTGGAGGGGGAGAGACAGCTGCTCATCGGGGCAAAGCTGAGTGGGTCCTGGGCCTCCCCTTTCACTTCAACCAATGGAGGCCTCTTTTATGTCCTGTTTCAGGGGAAGATTTTGCCTCAGACATGTTCTACTTCATTACTGTGAGGAAGGAGCAGGGTGCGAATTGCAGAGGGGGAGAAAAGTAAGGGCAGTCAGGGTAGGTGGTCTGCAAACCCCCTTCAGCTACACCAGAGCCCAGGGCTGTAGGGTCCTGGGCTGGACACTGTTGCTTGAGCAGAATCAGAATCCCTAAGACCAGGTCCAGTTGGTAGGATGCAATGCCTATGCTGGGGAGACGCAGAGAGGTCACTGGGGCCAGGAGAGAGGAGGGCAAGGGCTGAGTGTCCCTTGCTGCCTGGGGAGACTGTGCAGACCAGGGTGCACGGCATTCATGAGATTTCTTGGGAACTTAGTGCTTTGCCAACTGCCTGCTCCCAGCAGGGATCAGCCCTGTCCTGGCTGATCTCAGGGGAACAGGTGGTTCTGCAGGCCCCACTGAGCCCGGCTGGTTCCAAGTCTAGCTGTGTCTGTCTGTGATGTCAACCTGCCTGACTGGCACCCGGCCCAGCTCCAGTATGCCTGATGTCATGGGTGCAATTGAACAGGCTGGCGCAGGACTGGGGCATGGGCAGGGGGATGGGGAAGAAGCCATGCCTGCTGGGAGGGAGCTAAGGAGCCTGGGAGGAAAGTGTACTTTCTATTCTCCAGGTGCTTCCTAGATCTGGCAAGGGCTGTCCCCTCCTAAACTGGCTTCTAGAGACCCAAACATGTCCTGAGGAAGAGCAATGGGGACAGGAAGGGGCCCCAAAGCCACAGGCAGGACCCCTTAGAATTACATCTGAGCACCATATCAGTTGAGTGCCAGTGATGCCTTCTTTGGGCACAGGGCTGGGGGCACCTTCACAGATAAGCAGCCACTCCCCAACCTACAAATTTACCTGCCCCAAAGCCAAAGGCATGGAAGGGCCCAGATGCCTGCAGCTCTCACTGGCCTCTCCCAGCCCCTCCTAGTCCTCAGCCTGCCCTTCTTTCAGCCATTGCTACTCTCCAGCTACTCCAGCTCTGCATGACTCTCTTACCTCTGCAATCCCTGCCTCCAAACCTTTTGTGCTCTCCGCTCTCCCACTTCCTCAGCTATTCTTCCACCTCAGTGCTTCCTGTGGCCCAGGCTGTGCCCCACGCAATATTCTTGCCCTTAAAAATCTTCCTGGTGTTCAGCTCTTCTGCCTCCCCCAATGTTTCTTATTTTCTAGAAAATTTCTGATAAGCAGATTCTCCCACCTCCAACCTCTTTTACTCCCTCTGTTCCTTTCTTACTCTGCTACGCTGTCTCCCCAGATTCTCCTGTTGTAGAAAGCTTCTAGATGGCTCCTACAGATCCCCATTTCTGGTATTCACACCTTTGTGTAATCCCCTCTTCTTGAATGTGAGCTGAAACTAGTGACTTGCTTTTAACTCTCCACAAAAGTGATGGGATGTCATGTCCAAAATTAGGTTACAAGAGACTGTGACTGGTACTCTCTCTGGCTCGTCTCACTCTGATGGAAGCTGGCTGTCATGTTGTGAGTTGCCCTATGGAGAGGTTCCCAGGGCAAGAAACAGAGGGCAGCCTCTGGCCAGCTATCAGTGAAAAACTGAAGCCCTTAGTTCAGTCACCTGGGGGGAGCTGAGTCCTGCCAACAAGCATGCAGTGAGTTTGGAGAACATGCCTTGAAATGACTGTAGCATTAGCCAACACCTTGACTGCAGCCCCATGAGGGACCCTGAGCCAGAGGACTCAGCGAAACTGCCTAGATTCCTGACCCACAAGCTGTGAGATAGCAAATATTGTTTTAAAACATGAAGTTTCGGGTAATTTGGTATGCAGCAATAGATAACTTATACACCCTCTCAACCACATAGTCACATAAGCGACTTCTGCTCCCAGTATGGTTGCTTTTTCAGATAATCATCAATTCCAACTATTCTTCTAATCAAAGTATCCTAGTCCAGTCATCTCTGCTTTGCCAGATACACGTGTTCCTGATACTCTACCATCCTGGTTATTGGAACCTAAATACTTTTCTCCCTCCAGTGATTGCAGCTCTTCAGTTCCTTTCCATCCTTGTCTCTTCTGCTTTCCCAGTTCTCCCTCTACTACTAGAGGTGAGAACCAAAGGTAGATGAAGCAATCAGACCTCCTAATGCATCTGCCCATCTAATCTATCCTTCCAATTACCCATCAACCCATCCATCCATCCATCCATCCATCCACCCACCCATCCATCCACCCATCATCCATCCATCCATCCATCCAACCACTCACCCACCCATCCACTATTGTATCTGATCATGCTATCATCCACACACCATGTACATACTAGTTAATTCAACTAATCTGACTATCCACCTATCTATTACTTATCTATCCATCCATTTATCCATCTATCCAACCATCTATCTATCCATCCATCCATCCGTCTGTTCTCTTACCCACCTATCCATCCCCCAATCATCCATCCCTTTCTCCTTCTCACCCATCTTACCCACCCACTCTCCTATGTCACCCACCCTCTCAGTCATCCATCCAATAAATCTCAAGTCCTGAGAAAAGTAACTTGACAATGAATCACTCAGGAAGCCCCACCTACTCCTTCTGTCTCAGAATGGGATAAGCACTTCTTCTCTTTCTCTAAACTCCTCCTTGTATCCTCCCCACACCCCAACACTTTATTCCTCCTATATACAGGCCTGCCTGACACCAAACCATATGCTCTTTCCAGTAACACAACACCATAGATGGAGACAGAAATTTCAGTTGGGGGCTGAAGGGAGTGTTGAGGCAGATGGGCTCTGAGGAAAGACACAAGAAAGGCACCAGTGGGTAAAGGAACTGAATGAGGAAGATGGGAAAGGACACCAGAGAGCTTGGGCCAGTGAAGATGCAAGGTGAAAACAAGGCATGAAGCTGGCTGTGACGTTAATTTTAAGAGGTTCCTGGTTCTGGAGCCTCCTGGCTCCAGCACCAACTAAATTATTACCTCCATCACCTTCAGGTAGATGTGTCTGAAATCTGCTTTCCTAGAATGGTCCCCACTGTCCTTGTCTTCTGTCTTGGGGCCCCCCTTCTCAACCCCATCTCCTCATGGTCTCTGCTTCCCCTTAAGTGCTGTCCTTCTGTCCTTGAGCAGTTGAGTGATTCTGGGGCACAACCCTGTAAAGGTTCCTTGTGGCTTGTCTAAGCAGGGATAGATAAATCCAGAGCCCTTCATGGACTCTCAGGTCCCTCTCTCCCATCTCTGGGAGAGTTCCCATCACAGGCCTGAGTTCCCATCACTGGCCAGAGCTATCATCACCACCCTAGGGAACGAAGTCTCACATACCTACAGCTCCTGTGTCATCCTGCCTGTCCCGGCCCTGGTTGGAACCTTAATAAAGATTGTTTCAGGGCTAGTCACCCAAATCAACTAATGGAATCATCTGGAACAACCAATACACGGCGGTGTGCCAGGACAGAGATGCTTTTTTTATCAGCAAAATTGGCAAGAAAGTAAATTTCAGGCTCACGACTTTCAATTCCAGCCTCCTCAAAGAAGCAAATTGATTTTCCCTGACTGAAGATACTTAATCTTGAGAATTTAACATTTCTGTACAAGAGAATGTATGTAAGTCTATATATATATAGCAATTCCAAAGGGAGCTGAATTTCAGAGAATGTGTGCAGAGATGCAGTAGCAATGGGATTGCATACAAGACCTTGGTTGTTTTCCATACTGGAAAGAAGACCTTTTTCCATATTAATTGGCTTTCTTATCTCTGAGTGTGGAATCTTTGGCCTTACTGGATCCATGGATTTGAGCAGTTTATCATTTTTCTTGGGTCATTTCTGTGGGGACAGGAGGCCTCTTTGGAGTCCATGGCCTCTGCCCACTGCTACAGGCTCCCTGGTAAGGACAGTCTAGCTCCTAGTTCACCTCCCCCCATCCCGGCAGCACATGCCTGAGGCTTGCTTGTGGGGGGCTACAGGCTGGGGGTGGAGGTAGTGAGAGGGGTGAGCTCCACTGCACTCTGGTGTCACACCAGCTTGGACTCAAATGCCAGCTCCTTTTGTGACCACAAGCAAGTGACATCACCTCTCTGAGCTTCACTTTCCATATCTGTAAAACGGGTGTTGTAAGAGTACGTGCTACTTAGGGTTATCGTGAACATTCAACAAGACAAGGTGTGTGAAGCGTTTAACACAGAGCATGCCCCTAAGGCTCCATAGGTGGCCGGAGTCACTCTTTCCCTTTAAGGCTCCTTAATTCTCTGTAAGGCCCAGTTTTCTCATCTAGAAACTGGGGAGAAAAATCTCTATAGTGCTGAGTTGCTATGGCACTTAAAGGGGTAAAAACTCAAATGCTGACAGGGTCCAGGCAGGGTATTGAAGTAACTAAAGAAGGCTGGGGGGAGTCTGTAAACTGGAGATAAACATTGCCTCTCAGCTGCTGAGAATTGCTGCAATTGATGTTTTAAAAAATATACATATATAAATAAGCGATGTGTGGCCCCTCCAAATCACGTCTATGGGCTGCACAGGCCTGTGTATCACCAGTTTGCAACAATAAACAATAAAAAGTTAGCATTCACTGCATGCCTACTTTGTGCCAGGTAATGCTGTGAGGTGAATACATGAATTATCACATTTAATCATCTCAATGGCTCCATAAGGTGGGTGCCCTTTAGCTGGTCATCTCCAGTGTGCTCCAGTTAAGTAATCTGCCCCAGGAGGGAATTTCGGGGCAAGAGGAAAGGGTCCAGCCTGCCTCTTTGGTTTCTGTTCAGCCAACTGGAGGGCTGTGTGGAAGAGAAAGCCTTTGACCTAAGTCCTCCTGTATGCCTGGCTCTGGGCTAACCACTGTACATACAGGAGCTCACCGAACCCTCTTGCTAATTGCTGCATGGTGAAAATAAGTATCTGTGTTGTACAGGGGAGCAAATGGAAGCCCGGATAAGTGAAGTGACTTGCCTAAGGTCACCAGCAGAGACATCATCCCAGACTCAAATCCTGGTCTGTCTGACTTTAAAACTGATGTAACTTGATGACGACAGGCGGCATCACACTGAATTCTGCCTGGGCATTACATTTTGGTCCCCCTACCTGCTTCTGCTTGAAGGCAGGGCTAAGACTGTATGTGAGAGAGGCCAGCAGATGGGTCAGGAGAAGCTGGAAGCTGAGTTTGGGGAGCATCTTCCTAGGCCCTCCAGCTCAAGGAAGGGTCTGTCATGCAGCTGGGAGGCAGGGTGTGGACCAGGTGACCTCTCTGACAGCATGCCCAGGTCAGATGCTAGGAACCGAGGCTGTGCAAGGGGGATGGCCTGACAATGACCAGGGGCCCAGGGAACCTGGCATTCTCGGGCTCCCAGCTCCCACTCCTTTCCTAAGCCGCTATCCCTCTCATCTGTTATGTGCTCTCCCACCCCCAGCACTGAAAAAGGTCTAAGTGCTTGGAGAAGCTGTCTTCCGATGTCCTCTCTCTTCAAAGCTGTGCAGCCCTCCCTGCAAAGAACACGCTTTCCCAACGTTCTCCTTTACATTTTGCCTACATATTTTTATAGCCAAACAGTGCTTTCAAAGGCCTCTTTTTTCATCTCCTAATTAATTTTTATCTTCCAAGACGGAGGGAGGACAACACAGGAGACGCTGTTTGTGATGTCTGCTGCTCCCTGACAACTCTTCAAATGAAATTCCTCTGGAATGATGGGTCTGCAGGGTGGGGGCGAGGGATCGAGAGCCCCCCGAGAGCCCAGCATCCCGCTTCCTGCTGTTGTCGTCTTTGGACAGAAACAGGTTCCCTCCCTTGTGAGTTCTACTCTCAGTCAGGGCGTTTTTTTAAGACTGTGTGCTTCCTAATCAGGAACATGCTAACCACAGAAATCAAGTTCATCTGTCCTGCACTCTGGACCTTCAATACAGGCTGCCCACTCAGTTCCTAGTCCTCGATATTATCTCCTGCACTTGTGCCACTTGGCTGCCGCCATCTTTAAATCCCATCCTTTCACTCAATAACAGTATCCACTCAACACGTATTATTAGAGCAACTACGACGTGCCAGGGCTGTGCAGGGCTGGGTATGTGGTCAACTGACTGTGGCTTCACTTTTCCCCAACTGCCTCCTGAGGACTGTGGCTGGGTCCTTAGAGAAGCCATATGAACACAGTGACCAAGAGCATAGGCACTAGAGCCAGGTTGCTTGGGTTCAAATCCCAGCTCTGCATTTCACTAGCTGTGGGATGTTAGGCAAGTCAGTTAGCCTCTCTGGGCCTTCCTTTCGTCATGTTTCAAATGGAGATGATAATAACAATCTACGTTCCAGGGCTGTTATTGAGGATGTTATAAACAAATACAGGTAAAATGCTTGGAATGGTGCCTGGCACAAAGTAAGTGTTCATTAAGTGTTACTGTTATTGTTGACTTTGCCAATGTCTCCTAGACATCTGATGGCTCCTCCTGGAGCTGCCTCCTGTTCAACAGTAGTGCAGCCTTGCCATATACTCTCATGGTCAGGGGAAGACCACCTCTCTAGGAGAAGACCCTAGAGTGGATGTGGGAGAGGGCACTGTGCATGAAGACAGCATGTCTGACCTTGTACCCCGCTCCACCACTGATCTGCTGTGTGATAATGGGCTGGGCCTGTTTCTCTGGGTTAATCTCAGGTCTCCTTCCAGCTCTAACCTGCAAACATTCTGTGCTAACCAGAAGGCTATCACCTGGCCCGGGGGGAAGGTCTACTTAGGAAGTCCAACTACAGAGGGCAGAGGGGTGACAAGGCAGGGAATTGGTTCATCCAGGGACCTTCAGCGGGGGCGGGGCGGGGGGTGGTGCTTCTAGCTCATCATCTGAGGTGGGGGGGCAGTTAATGTATCTACATTCAGGCTCTTCTCCAATATGTAACAGTCCCATTGCTGCTGCTGATGACAGGGAGTCTGGGCAAGGAGAGCTTCACTTGAATTAAGGCAGGAGACAATGTGGCCAGGCATAAAGAGGAATTAATTGACCATAGGGACAGGAAGAAAGTGGAGTTAGTTATGCAGGGGGTGTGGAGTTGTTGTTTCTGACCCACAGACTCCTGTGAGCATGGGCCCATGAAGCCCCAGCATCCCAGACAGGTGACAGCATTTGTATGTCTCTTCTGCCCTCCTCGCTGTGCCATTTGCACGGAAGGTGGGTGAGGGCAGAGGAGGCTGTGGGAGGTGCTGCTTGATGGTGAGGGCAGCAGCTCGGTGGGGAGCTGGGGCTAGCTTCTTGGAAGCCAATCTGAGCATCTTAGCATGGAGGGAGGCAGGGACATCCAATCAGCGGCAATGAGCCTGCACCAGGCTTATTTATGCCGTTTCACTTTGATCGGGAGCCCTGCTTAGAGATGGGTTCATGCGTTATGCATGAGAGATGCTCTGGCACAAAGGGCTGGGCCACAGCCTGGGGATAGGCAGGAGCAGGCAGGCATGTGTGCACATACACACACATACACATGCAGACACATATGCATGTACAGTTCATTATACACACACACACCCAGAGACACATTCATATGCATGCATGGACCATTATACACATACATAGACCCCCCCCCCCCACACACAGAGACACATATGCATGCATGGGCCATTATACACACATACATCCAGACATATATACATGCATGGATCATTATACATGCACACACAGATACATATGTATGCACAGGCCATTATACACACACACACTCAGATTCATGCATGCATAGGCCATTACACAGGCATACACACACAAAGGCGAGTATACACACACATGCCTGCACAGGCCATTACACACACACAGGTCCATCTGCCCTCCACTTATCTAGACATACCCATGAGGATATCCAAGCAGACAGACAAATGTATTTTCTCTGTACCCATATACAGGTAGACCCTCGGGTACACACTTGTACACATTCACAGGCACATGTCCACATGCCCAGATCACAGAGATGCATCACACATATGTTCAGCACACATACACATAGATGCAGACACGTGTCCAAGCACAAATACACACATGTCCCCACACAGGCAGAGTTGTGCACAGGCACATGTGTGCACATACACACACGTGCACATTCCCACATATTATATGCTGCTACATGCACATGTGAAGCCATGCATGTATACACATCCTCACCTACTCACTCATAGGCAGGAACACATACAGAGTCCCATAGTGTTCCCAACATGCCTTTGATAATGCCGTTGTCTTCCCCTCACTCTAAATACACAGCAGTGACCTCTTAGGCAAGTCAACCAACATCCCTCTTGGCAACATCCAAGAGGGAAGCTCCTTTCCTCACTCACTGTCTCTTCACTACAAAGCTGTTTCCAACCTCAAGGAGGGACATGGTGGGGGCTGGGCAGCGGGGAGGGGAGAAAGTGCCAGGGGGCTGCAGTGCCCAGGAGGTAGAAGGCTTTCCCACCCAACCCCTTCCTTCTCTCTTCACTCAGGCCCCACTGGAGGCTCCATCTATCATTTGGAGGCTTAGCCTAGGAGGAGGCAGCGGCTGGGAGATGGGGAATTAGAGCCCAGAGGAAAGGAAAATACCCCAGGCTTCCATTCCAGGTTGATTGAGAGCAGTTGATTAATAGATAAACATATAAATAAGTGGGCCTGCAGCCACAGAGTTCCTAAATCCTAATCATTTCTGGGAAACCTTTGGAACAGTGGTTCTCCAAGCACAGAACCTGGACCAGCAGCTGCAGCGTCACTTTGGAACTTTTTAGAAATGCACATTCTCGGCCCCATCTAGACCTCCTGAGTCAGAAACTCTGAGGGTGGGGCCTGCAAGCTGTGTTTCTTTCTTTCTTTTTTTTATTTTTTGAGATGGAGTCTCACTCTGTCACCCAGGCTGGAGTTCAGTGGCACGATCTTGGCTCACTGCAACCTCTGCCTCCCAGGTTCAAGCCTTTCTTCTGCCTCAGCCTCCCCAGTAGCTGGGATTACAGGTGCACGTCACCTGTAATTTGTATTTTTAGTAGAGATGGGGTGTCACCATATTGGCCAGGCTGGTCTCGAACTCCTGACCTCGTGATCAGCTCACCTCGGCCTCCAAAAGTGCTGGGATTACAGGCATGAGCCACCGTGCCTGGCCTGCAAGCTGTGTTTCAACAAGTCCTCCAGATGATCTGAATGCACACCCAGATCTAAGAACCACTGGCTTAAAACAGGGCCCTCGAGGAAGGTAGGCCTGGGTCGCACCTGGTTCCTCCAGCTGGGCATCCCTGGACAAGCCACTTAGCTGCTCTGGGACTCAGTTTCCACACGTGTAAAGTAGAAATAATTCGAGTACCAGCCTCCCAGGATTTGTCATGAAGATTAAATGAGGCCCAGCATTTAGCGCAGCTCTTGGCCTACTGTGAGATCTCAGTGGCAGTAGCTACTGCTATTACTACTTTAATTTCTGGGAGAACCTTTGCAGCTTCTGGTTCTCAGGGCCAGCCAGAGTCTCCTAAGCCCTCAGCTACTCCAGTAGAAAGTGGAAAACATTAGGGCACTCAGCAACACTTCACAGAGCAGGAGGAGCAATGAAATCATGGCCAGATACCCATTAGAGCAGTCACTTGAGCAGGTGACAGGGATTTTATCTGCTGACACCAGCATTCCTAGAGTGTAACATGCTCAGTAATGTCTGTAAACACTTGTTCAAGTTCTAAGCCTCCTCCCTTCCTCTCAAGATTTGGCCCTGCTGCTGTCTCCCCAACCTCAGGTTAGCTTCTTTGAGATGGACGGCATTGAGGTCTGAAGCCAAGGGCGGGAAGCCCCTAGGGCCTGTGTGTCTGGGTGGCTCTTCCCCTCCTTCCCACTTCTCCAGGCCCCTCTCTTCATCTGTCTCCCTCTGATGACTTAAGGAATCATAACACATTCACATTGCTCATCTCAGGCACAGAAACTTCTAGGATTTGTGTCGAGGCCAACCCAGTTGGCCCACATCACCACAGCTCCCCAAAGTCAACTAGTCCAAACACGGTGGGGCTGAGAGGGCTTCTGACCCATTGGCCATGCGTGGTTAGGGAAGGACAGAGACCCCCTTTCCTCTTCTGCTCAGTAAAGGGTCCGGAGAGGATCAGCTCACGGTGCTGCAATAGGAGGGAGAGGGCCTCACCTTGAAGAAGGTCATGGTGGCCCCATCCTTGACAGCCCCATACTCGATTTTGGTTTGCTTGGCCAGGTCATCAGCAGAGTCAATGGGTGATTCCATGCGCTCCACGGTCAGAAAGGCAGCCAGGTTGGCCGTGTAGGAAGAGATGATGATGAGCGTGAAGAACCACCAGATGCCACCAATGATGCGTGTGGACAGGGCTTTGGGCATCAGCTCAGACCCTGGGCGAAGAGAGGAGATAGTCAGTCCCTTACAACATCCAGACTAGCGCTGCTCAAGTCCCCTGGGTCATGGATTCCTCTGATACTCTAATGAAAGCTAAGGCCCTTTCCCAAGACCAGTGGTTCTCAAAAGTGTGGTCCCTGGACTGGCAGCAACATCATCACCTGGAACTTGTTAGAAATGCACATTCTTGGGCCCTTCCCCAGCACTCACTGAATCAGTAATTTCTGAGGGTGGGAACCAGCAATATGTTTTGAGTAAGCTCTCCAGATGATTCTGACGCAGGCTAAAATTTAAGAATCGCTCTTCTAGAACAACATATACATTCACATTTCACAGGCTCATCAAAACCTCAGATGCCTAACCATGGACCACTTATGTGGTCCCAGCTTAAGAACACCTGGGAGTCAGGACCCTTGGGTTCTCGAGTGAATCCTGCTCCCAACTCTCAGTGTGATCTTATGCCTGATACTTCCCCTCTCTGGGATTCTGCAAAACATGAAGAATTGTCCTTCCTCTGTCCCAGCCTCACATAAATACTGTGGTGCTGCAACGATATAATTTGAGAAGAAATTGCATTGGAAATACAAATGGTATACAAATACAAGATTGCTATGCAGTGCTTTGCAGGAGGGGAAAAAAAAATCAACACTTTTTGAAGCTCTTTGCCGAAATATATGACTTTTCTTCCCCGACCTTAGGTGGGGAGCACAATAGAGATGACACCTTCTAACTGAAGTAATTAACTAGGTGGCTTTCAAGAGATTTAAATTGCAAGTGACTCCTGAACTTTCCAGAATATTTGGACCTGCAATCTGAAAACCGTCTGCTTTGATATGATGTTTTTTTTTCTCAAAGAAGTCACTCAAGGGAGAGTTTTTCAAATACATAACTATTTTTCTCCCTCCTAATCAAAACCACATGGAGAATACATCAAGGGCCAGTGCTTTGAATAGCAGCAGGAGGTGGAAGAGGAGAAGCTATTACTGCATTGAGGGGCTTCCAGGTCTTTCCCAACTGTCACCGAACAAAGACGATGGACAAAAAAACAAGGTGAGGCTCCAGGACACTCATTAATAGCAAGGACAGATTGAGGCACTTCCCTTGAAAGCTGCCTGTCACTTCCTAGCTGCTAGAGACCACTGGGGCTCTGTGTCCCCTCCCCAACTGGCCACTCCCAGCCTCCCCAGGTTGCTCCAAACCAGGCTTTGGGCTGCTCTTAGAGGGAGAGCAGCTTATTTGAGTCACTTGATTGCTGAGTTCTGCCAGCCTTGCCAGACCTCTGCCCAAGTCCCTGCCCTGGCCTCTGCCATGGCCAAGAGGTTTCTCGCATGTGGGACAGATTTGCTTTTTTCCTCTCCTCCTTCATTCAAGTGCCCAGCACAGAGCCTGGCATGTAGTGGGTGCCCAGGACACATTGGGATAATGCCATTTGCTCATTCATTTGGTGTTTACTGATGGATATCTACTGAGGACCAGGGTTTGTGAAGGTTATACACAGATGACTGAGGGACAAGGACATTTTCTCTGTCCCTGGAAGCCCCTTCCCTGCCTGCCCCCTAAGCAGGTCCCTCAGTGAAACTCTAACAGCAAAAACTTGTCTGCACTCCCTAAGATAAGAGACTCTGGACATGGGACTCCACCTGCAGAGGGAGTGAGCACATGGCTGGTGGCCAGCAGGACCAGGGGGCGGTGTCCTTTCCTGGCTGGTGGTCCCCTCTCCCTGTGCCTGCCCTCCTGCTCCCTGCTGTCTCTGCATCTGACTCCTGGCAGTTAGAGCAGGTGCTCTGCTGCAGATAGTTCCAAAGCACATTGGCCCTCCCTCCAGAGGATGTAAGAGAATTGCATCTTTTTGTGTACCTCATCTTTGAAGCACTCGGGCTGAAGTCCCCAACTCAGCCATGATCCTTCCTACTCCCAGGCACCTCACAGCCAAGCGGCCACGGAGTCCCATCCACAGTGTATCCTGAAGCTCTCTTAGTCCATTTCTGCCTTCCACTCCCAGGGCCACCACGAGGTTCAGGTCTCATCACCTCATTCCTGCAGTGGCCTCCCACCCAGACTCCCTGCCTCTGGTCTCCTTCCATCCACAGCCCAACTTGCTCAGCTGGATTGTGTGGTGATGAGGCCATGGGCAGGGTCAGCCGCAGCCAGCAGGGTGCTCTATGTCCACCTCAGCTGGAGCAGGAGGTGGGGGATGCGTCCCGCATGCCCTGGGCTGGGTGGTTTTCTTAGCTTTAGACCCTGAGCCAGCTCCAGCCAGAGTGAAGGTGGAAGTTAGGGGTCTGGGGCAAGGGCACACACCTGGGTATCTCGATGTCTCCAAACTTCTGCCGGCTCATCAGGGTCTGAGGCTACCCCTAGAGGTGTGGGCTGGCTCTGCTGATGCCAAAGAGGCTGAAGACCGCTTGGGGAAAGCAGACCCTGGAAGGGGAGGCCCTGGGAGAGGGTGCATACCTTGCTGCATCAGGGATCCCATTCCAAACCAGAAGCTGTTAAGCAGAGTGAAGTTATTTTCCACCACCTCGGAGCCAGGGTTGCAGGGGTGAGCATCGTACCACTCATAAGGGCTGAACCTGCCACAGGAGGAGAGGGACAGTCAGCCTGGGAAGCAAGGGGCATCCACGCCCCAGCAGGCAGTGGTTTAGCAAACACAGCTGTGCCAGCCGCCTCAGCGTCAATATCCTCATGGTTCTGCTGGGAGGCAGGGCAGGGGAATTTCTTCTTGTTCTTTATTGTTAGTGCCCTTTTCTGGTTATAAAGGTAATTCACCAGCATCTCGTAAAATTAAAAGTGCACATGCCCTTCAGGCTCCCAGTTCTGCAACTCATTATCCATCCCAGAAAAAGCACTCTTACGGGAGCATCAAGAGAAGCACACAAGGGTGTTTATCAAAGCATTGTTTGCAATTGCAAAAAAAACCTGGAAACCACCAAAATATCCTTCAATAAAGGAATGATTAAATAAATGATGCCACAACTATACTGTGAAATATTATGCAGCTGTTAAAAGAGAATGAGATACTTGAGATGTGCTGGTGGGGAAAGATCTTCAACACATATTGTTGAAGATCTAAGCAATAAAAATATTAAAAGCAATGTATTAAAAGCAATAGAAAATAAGAACAATATGACCACACTTAAATAAACAGACTCCTAAAGACATAACTATTCAGTGCTTTATGTATACTCATATGCAAATGCATACTAAAGGGTCTGAAAGGGTCTCTAGATAAAAACTATCAGTGTTTACTTCTGGGGAGGGGCATCAAAATAGCAGAAGGAATTTCAGGAGCCTATTGCTCTATCTGCATTACATAAATTTTTAAAAGTGAGAACATGCTTTTGAATTTTGGGTATAATAAAAAACCTTAAAACGGAAAAAAAGCAGAAGACACATTTTATAAAATATTCAGACAGTATAGATGAATACAATCTGAAAGTGAATGTACTCCAGCATCCTATCCCCCGGAGAGAACAATGCGTTATATAATTTTTTAGATTTTTGTCTTTGAATATACAAATATATATATGACAGGGAAAAAATGATTACTTAAAGCCACCTACTGCCTTCTAAGGAAGAGGAGTCCTGATTATTGAATTGAAGGGAGTTTTTGTTCACTGCGTGAGTTCCAGTTGAGGATATGTATGTTTAAAGAAGCTCGAGAGGTTGGGGGGACCCTAGAAAAAGTCCCAGGCTGGTGGACATTTTCTCTAGATTTGTGGGGGAGGTTTTAGGATGCTGAGAGGACACATCTGGAAGGAGAGACAAGTCTAGTGGAATTTTGTTTCATTTTTTAAAGTGCAATGCCCTTTAAGTGTGATGTTGTGACCTCTCTTTTCTGTCTCCCTTCTAAAAGCTGTAATATATTATACATTGATTACCAGTGGTCATGTGGAAAGAATTTTATTTTCATGAAGCGGGAAGATCCCTCAAATAGGAAATTCTAAAGAAAGGTTTCAAACCAAGACAGGGATCTTCAAAGGAAATGACCACAAACTGGTTAGAGGCTCTAAAATCCACAGGGAAGAGATCTAGAATGGAGAAAGCAGAGATTAGAGGCTATTGTGAGAAGGGTTTTTGGAGAGAGCCTTTGGAGAGCTGGGTGTCCAGAGCCCCCGCTTCCTCTACCACATCTAGGGAGAGGGGCTTCCCAGGGGGCGAGGCAGCTCAGTGCCTGGCTCTGTAACTGAGCGGATGGACCTGGGAAGTGTGAAGGGCAGGGGTCGGGCTGATGGGTGCTCTGTCGGTGGAACCAGGAGAGTCCCTGCTGCACAACATTGGCCTGCAGGCCCAGACACCACCGGGTCCCAGGATGCTGGGTCCACAGTGCTTCCCCTGGACCAGATGGACCCATGCAGAAGACAGATCCAGCCCAGGCCGACTTTGACTCCCATCCTAGAAGGCAATGGGATTCCAACAGGGAGATGCCATGGGGCACAGGCTGCTGGAGGACCAGGGGCTGTGTGGGGAGTGGGCCATGAAGAGAGGCCTTGCCAGAGGGGGCCACTGGAAGAGCACCCACCTCTGAACAACCTGGAAGGTGGGAGGGAGACAACATAAAGCTGATTTCTGGTGAGATCTCCCGAGTCCTGCTCTTTACATGTACCAGGCACACATACACAAATATATAACATATATGATATTTTTAACCCCAAAAAATCCCCTATCATACCACTATACTGTCCGAAAACTTGGTTTTTCATTTAATGTTACCAACCTCTTTTCAGGTCAGTTCTTCCGGATCTACCTCATGCTCTGTGACCACTCCGCAGGTGTTTCTAACCATGCCTTGACTGATGGGCACTTAAGCTGTCCTCTCTTTCCAGCTGTGGTGCACTCTGCTGGAAAATCATCCTTGGACACAACTCTGTCGGCCCTGATGCCCAAGGGTGGCCTTGTCTTCTGGGGCTTGGCTGCAAAGCCTTTCTAGATTTGGGAGAATGCTAAAGTGTGGCTCAATGGTGATGTTTCAACAGGATGAAGTTCCAGGGGTGGAACTGCTTATCATGATAAAAATAACCGCTTCTAGAATGGGCTTCTTGGCTATCAAATGCCGTTACAGGTTGGGGTCCTCATCGCCTCCCGAGAGGTGAAAGCATGCACGGTGCCCATTTTACAGATGTGGAGGCCACGAGGATCCTGCAGTCAGTGGGACAGAGCGTCCAGGCTCTAACCCTCCTCGGCCACAGGAGAGAAGAGGAGTGGGATGGTCGCAGGACGAGGAGGGAAGGTGTCATCTGGAGTTAATGGCAGATCTTGGATTTGTAGCTTGCGGTTGCAAGGGCTTCTCCAGTCTTGAGAGTAAATAGGAGTTAGAAGTTGACCTGGAGACACTCTGTCTCCACAGAGAAGGCTACACTCCATCCCCAGCTGGAGTGTGGAGGAGGAGACAGGGCATCCACTATGGCCAAAGCTCTTGCTTCCTTGGGATACTCAACCCAGATTTGGCTGCAATGTGGCCCCCAGGAAGTAGATGGGCTGCTCACCCTCAGCCCTGCCTCCTGGGTCAGGCACTTAGGATCATCCCCTGTCACGAGTGCCAACTGTCCTGATCTCTGTGGTGAGAAAGCACCCCCTGCTCCCTTCCTGTTTCCTCCTACCTCACCAGGCATGAAGCAGAATATCTTGGTGGCAGTGAAAGGCCTTGCACAATGCCTGGTCCCCTGGTGTGGGCCAAACAGGTCAGGCCAGGCCAGCGTGCAAGATGGACAGTCCTATGCCAACCTGGAGTTGCCCCAGAGTGGACCTGGGGACCTGTCCTCCCTTCCCAGGCCCCATTTCTTGGAACTGTGGGCAGCTGTGTCCAGATCTCCAGCAGCCAGCATGGTCACCAGGAGTGAAGGGGAGATGGCCGCATTCACCCTACAGATATGTTGTGCTTGACCCTGCCAGTGTTATACAAAATTAAACGGCCAGGCGTGATGGCTCACGCCTGTAATCCCAGCACTTTGGGAGGCCGAGACGGGTGGATCATGAGGTCAGGAGATCGAGACCATCCTGGCTAACACAGTGAAACCCCGTCTCTACTAAAAATACAAAAAAATTAGCCGGGTGTGGTGGTGGGCACCTGTAGTCCCAGCTACTTGGGAGGCTGAGGCAGGAGAATGGCGTGAACCCGGGAGGCAGAGCTTGCAGTGAGCTGAGATCATGCCACTGCACTCCAGCTGGGTGACAGAGTGAGACTCCGTCTCAAAAAAAAAAAAAAAAAAAAAAAAAAAAATTAAACTAGTGGCCACACAGAAAAACCGTGAGATGTCACATAAAAATCCAAATCTCTCTCTCAGGATCATGAGCTCTGCAACACTGGCCCGGCATCTCTGCCTGGTACAACCTGTTGGAGCTGAGCAGCAGCTGCCCCCTTCAGCCAGGTGAGCTCTCCGGGGTGCCTTAGTCCCTACCAACTCTCCGCTGCCTATCACTATGCCTGCTTCACTCCCTTTGGCCCTGGCAGGTACTTGCGTTTGTCATCCTTGATATAAAGTTGGATTTGAACTTTATATCTGGTCTGGGTTTGAAGCCCAACTGGTCTGGGTTTGAAGTCCAATTTGAACTTTATATCTGGTCTGGGTTTGAAGCCCAACTCTGTCAAAGAAAAGCTTTCTGATTCTGGGCAATGACTTAACCTCTCCAAGCCTCAGTTTCTGTTTCTATAAACTGGGGATAATTATACCCACCTCAAGAGAGGTGTGAGTGGTGGTGTGAGGGTGTTGGGCGAGGTGACAAGTGCACTCTGATGCTCTTCCTAGCTCGGCGGCCAAAACTCTTGTCCCTCTCCTCTCTTCTCAGGGGTCTCCTATCATTACAGCAGCTCTAGGAAACCCATCTCTTCTAGAAAGTCTCCCAGCCTAACCTTGGGAAGGAGGCTCCCACCTTCCGAGCCTGGAGGCAGGGTGGGAAGAAGGCTTGCTAGTGAAGGGCCAGGAATGAGAGGGGGATGGGACACACATCAAAAGGGCAGAGCGGATGCCAGAAAAGCCCGAGAAGGTGGGAGCTGAGAGACCCCTGGAGCCGCTAAAATCATGCTGCGAGCTCTGGAGAGTGGCTCCTGGCTTTCAAAGGCTTGTTAGACCATTAGAGACAAGAGGCATAAATGAAGGCCTCTCTGTGGCAGGCTCAGCGGCTGCTGCGCCCACCAGGCAGGGTGGCCATGGCAGCTTCAGGCCTCTGGCAGCACAGGGCCTG
This sequence comes from Homo sapiens, assembly GCF_000001405.40. NCBI lineage: Eukaryota > Metazoa > Chordata > Mammalia > Primates > Hominidae > Homo > Homo sapiens. The sequence continues at coordinate 36,824,464 of NC_000001.11, forward strand.
GGGAGCAGGGACATTTCATCACTCACAGCCTTCCCTTTGGTCTCTCACAGCGTGGGAGGAGGGAGCGGAAGGGAGTGAAGTGGGGGGAGGGCGGCTTTTAAAGAAGGCTCTGGAGAAAAAAAAGGCTGAAAACGCCAAGTCATTGGATCTCAAATTGCCTCTCCAGAGAAGTCTCTCTTTGCACTTTGTTAGGATTTAGAGAAAAAAAAGGACCAGATCAGGGGCTGGGGCTGGAGCCCAGAGGGAGAAGGCAGAGGGCTCCGCTGGAAAGGGGTGGGGAGCGGGCCCCAGCAGCCACCAACCCGGGGCAGGGGCGGACCACCGGACGGAGATGTGGGTCATAGATAAAAGGCTTGGTGACCCCCATGGTCAAATGCTGTAAGGTCACCTATTGCTTGTATGACCTTGGCAAGTGGTGAGACTTTCTGAGCCTCAGGTGTCTCCTCTTTAAGGGAGGCTGGAAGAACTAAATAAGATAACAGCTGTAAAGTGCAGAGCACAGTGCTTGGCGAGCACTAGGTGTTCGCCAAACACTGGGCGAAACCTGTCCCATAGTGACCTCCTCCTACCACCCACCAGCCAGGGTGCGCTATGTCTACTTTATGTGAACAACCAAATGTGCAAGCATGTTGCTAGCAGGGAGCCCAGACAGGGATGTGTGTATGTGTGCCGTGTTTCTGCATGTGGGGATGGCTGTGAGTTTACTGGGCACTGTTCCCCCTGCTGTTGTGGCTTGGATAGACACACCCTGTTTTCCAAGTTCTAAGCCACCCACTGGGCCACCCAATGTCCTGAGTCTGCTGCACCAGGTGCCTAGCTCATGTGGTGCCACTTTGGGCAACCACTTGACCTCTACGAGCCTGCCAATGGGACCTGAGGTGCAACTGCTTCATCTCAGAGTTATAGACACAGACGAGGGTGAGGACCAGGTGATTCAAGCGTGGGGGTGGGGAGGGCCAAGGCATGGAATGTTCCTTGAGGGATACAAAGGAATCTGAGCCATAGGGAGTGGAAGAGGAGTGGGTACAGCAGTGGCCTGAGCCTTGGGCTTTCTGTGCCAGGGGCTGAGGAGATGAGGACCTGCCTAACCCCTAGACCTTCAACCTTGGGCCCGATGTCTGGCCAAGGAATTGCCTTACCTGGCGATGACGAAGAGGACACAGCTGACCCCCAGGTAGGCGAGGAGAACATACATCCAGATGTCTGGGGACAGGGGATTGAGGAAGGAGAAGACGCTGGGGTTGGTGCCATTGGGCTTTCGATACAGGATGCTCACACCAAGTGTCATGAAGGGCTTGGAGAAGTCGATGGCCTTCTCTCGAACATGGGTGATGGTCAGGGGGGCCACGGCCAGATCTGCCTTCTGCAACCAGACAGAGAGAGAAAGACAGACTATGAGCAAAGTCTCAGAATAGCGGGAGACAGAACACCATTGCTGGAGGAGAGATGAGGGTGAAGTCAGTTGTCCCAGCCCCAGGTCACTAACCGCTCTTCTGTTTCCACATTTACTAACCCTCCTTCAGGGCCAGCTCAGGGTGCTGGGGAGACAATGATGAATTCAACTTAACCTCTGCTCTCTAAGAGCTCATGGTCTTGAAGAAGAGGGTGGTGGAATAAACATGCAGAGAATGGAACTCTATTAAAGCTGTAACCCATGTGCTCCCTTCTCAAAATGGTGCTTTGTCAAATAAATACAGTTCAGTAACCTATGAACATTCAAAAATAGCTTGTGCTTTTTATTTGTGTCTTTCAAAACCACAAAGAGGACACAGAATGCACCACAATGCTTATTTAATTCTGCTTTCCTCTCCCATCCACTTCTTGACTGCTTCACCACATTCTGGATTTTCTATATATCCTAAAAGCCCTCCAAATGCAAGTTGGGCAAAGATAATACCCTCCTTTGGAGAAACTAGACAGGCAGGCTGGGCGTTGTGGCTCATGCCTGCAATCCCAGCACTTTGGAGGCCGAGGCAGGAGGATAGTTTGAGCCCAGGGGTTTGAGAATAGCCTACATAACATAGTGAGACTCCATCTCTACAAAAAATTAAAAAGTTAGCTGGGTACAGTGGCACGTGCCTGTAGTCCCAGCTACTTGGGAGGCTGAGGTGGGAGGATCTCTATCTCTTGAGGCTGGGAGGTAGAGGCTGCAGTGAGCTGTGATCGTGCCACTGCACTCCAGCCTAGGCAACAGAGTGAGATCTTGTTTCAAAAAATAAAAAAAAAAAAAAAGAAAAGAAACAAAAGAAGCAAATCCAGGGCCTTTATTAATAGGAGGTGGTGCGGAGTGGAAAAGAAGGGGGTGGGGTAATTCTAGGAATGCTGTGTTAATAAATTTTAGCCCATCACAATTTTAATAAGCGGAAGAATTAAAGTTCAATTTTTTGGTCTGAGATTTTCCTGATTAAAAAACTAGATTCCCTCATTCCCATCCCATCTTTCCAGGACCCCACTGGCATCCTCCCCCATGAGGCCCCAATGAAACCACTTCCTGCTTACCACAGTCCCTCCTTCAGCCCCATGTTCTGCACATTCCACACTGTTTAGGATGTCCTCTTCTTATAGTCTCATTCCCACCACTGTCTGCCTTCCTCTGCACATCTTGCCTCTTCCAGAAACCCTCCCTCGCAGCCTCCATCTCTAAACTTCCATGAAGCCAGCTCTGCTTTGCTTGAATGGCAGTCTGTGCTCCATGCGACCTTGTGTCTGATCTGCTTATTTGCCTGTGAATTTCTGAGTGCGGCTGGAGCTGGGGCGGAGTCTCTGCTTCTTTTCTCCATCCCCAAGCCCCATCTCAGCCTCTGGAATATTTGTTAATTAATAACCTTCCCCTCTGAGAGGCTGCCCCTGGGGCTTCTGTGGATATTTACATCTCAGAATGTGAACTAAGTTATCACTTCCCTTCCTCAAGTAGGAGAGGACAGAAAGGGAGGCTGGGGCCTAACAACAGAAAGGTTAAAGACCTTTCTGGCAAGGGGGGACCTCCCTCTGAAACCCCTTTCCAAGGCAATGCCTCCAGGTGTCCATCCATTAACTTGGTCCAACTCCATTCATCCACTCATTGTGTCATGAACTCCAACAGACACCAGGGATACAGAGCTGACCCAAACAGACATGACTTCTGCCCTCATGGAGCTTACAGTCTAGTAGGGGAGATGGGCATTAATCAAACTGTTTACTAAAGGGTACCTGCTAACACTAGCTCTGACTTCACTCATCTTAGAACAGGAACTAGCAATCCAGTCAAAATCAGATGTCAAGGAGGGAAGCGCTAGTATGGATGGAATCACAGCTTCTGGACAGCTCTGCAGGTGCTCCCGGCTGGGAGCAGCTGGGAAATACAACTTTGACACTGCCTACCCAATGTTTCTCCTTCTAAAGGCAGCCCCCACACCCCATCACTGACACTTGGAGTCCAAGGATTTGATGACCTTCAGAACCTGGGAAAGATAGGGAGGAGGAGCCTATTAGAAATGGTCTTTCTTTTGTAAATGTCTGAATGTGTGAGTTGGAATTTGCCTGGCTGAAGGCAGAAGGAGGAATGGGGCAAGCTGCCGCCACCCCAGCTCCTGGAGTCCTTTCAGTTCAGGGTATATACAAAAGAAAGCAGAAAAAAAAAAAAAAACTCTCAGGGAGGGTGTAGAGTGGTGAGCAAGAGACCGAGTCCCTGGTATCATGGAGCTTCCAGTTAGTGAGCCCCTGCTGGGGCTGTAGATAGGATCCCTTGGTGGGGTGGGAGCCTGAGTGAGATACCCTGAAAGGTTCCTTTCAGTCCTCAAGTTCTAGGATTCTCTGTAATGTTGACGTGAGAGAGATGTAGAAGGTCTTTGATTCCAGAACTTGGCGTCCCCAAGTCCTGTCCCTTCAAAGTCCAGTCATGTGCTGCCTAACTCTCTTGGTCAACAGTGGACTGCGTATTCAATAGTGGTCCCATAAGATTATAATACTATTTTTGCTGTGCACCTTTTCTATGTTTAGATAACTTTGCATACACAAATGCCTACAGTATTCAGTAGAGTAGCATGCTGCACAGGTTTGTACCTAGGAGCAATAGGCCATACCATATAGCTGAAGTGTGTAGTAGGCACTATCATCTAGGTGTGTGGAAGTATAGCCTATGATGTTCCAACTACGATGAAAATGCCTAATGACATTTCTCAGAATGTATTCCTGTTGTTAAGTGACACTTTACTCTATATTGCTTTGGGAGGTTCTGTCCTCACTCCAAAGTCATTATCATTGCTCAAAATGCCTTTGGAACTGGTCTCTGGAAATGGAGTGGATTCTTGGGAAGAACCTCAAAGTCAATGGCGGTGATGAATCTTCCTTTAACTTTTGATGGCAAGTTGGATAAGAGAGTTATGGCTGGGGGACTGAGCTGTTTGTAGCCAATGATTATTCCAAGGGCTGGTGAGAAAGCTAATCACATGGCCACAGGTGATTGGCCTTCTGGCCAGCCCTTCCCCCAGATCCTCTCAGAGCCTTTGAAACCTCCCTGCCATTCTTCCTGCTCTTTGGTTTTAATGGGGTCAGGAGACCAAGGCATCCGCAGCATTCTATACCTACGGTGGCAAGACAACTGGCCAATATGACCTTCACTGGGAGTTTGGATCTGTGTTCTCCCTTGGGCTTCAGGAAGGCTGGAGTTCTCCACTGCGTTTCTGGTTAAGGCAGAAAATACTACATTTCACCGTTAGTTACGATTTCCCTGAGAAAGGCATTATTTTGTCCAACTTCCCTTGAAAGATGGGAACAGATGTCAAGCCTTTGCTGTTTCGGTTCATTACTCAGAATGAAAGGCCCAATCTTGGCAGGCTCTTCCCACTTGTGCAAGTTTTCTTTGAGGATGATTCATAAAATCATAGGCTGTCAGAGCTGGATGAGAGAACTTCAAGTCTATTCGAGGAATACATCTATTCCAACCCCATGGTTTTTATTGTTTTTTGTTTTTTTTTTTTAACAGAAGGAAACTGAGGCTCGGAGAGAAGCTCCTTGGTCTTTGCTATAATATTTATAGCAATCATGTCCTGAATGACATCAAACCCTTGACTTGTGCAACACTTTCATTGGTCTAACGAGTGTTTTGTCAGCCCTCCTGCCTCACCAAGGACCTTTCTGTACTATTTCTAAACCTCTGGACCAGGCAGGATGGTCTTCCCAGGACATTACTTCATCCCCATAAGCAGCTTTCCACTTACCAAGAATCTGTTGGGACCCTCCTGGCTTCTCCTCCTCCCAGTGTCCTCTATCCTTGCATGAGGTCACCTGGCCCCCACCCATTCTACCACACCCCCAGCTCCCCAAACTGAAGGTAAGAACAATTTAACCTGCTATAGCTCCATCTTTTGTTCCTCAGTCTCCAGATGCCCTGGTTGCTGGTTGAATCCTGCCTTGTACTCCAGACTAAAACCTGGACATCTTCCTACCAGGAATGGGGTTGGGACTGTGGCCTCAGCTCTAACAACTTGTCACTGATCAGCCTTCTCTTAGGACAGGGGTCCTCCCAAGGGTCTGAGATCTGGCCTCTGACTCCCAGCTTGCTGCCTGTGTCTGGTGTCCCTGCTGGAAGCTGCCTGCTTGGATTCCCAAGTATAGTTCCCACCAGCTTCCTCATCTCCGTTCTCCACCTCTTAGTTGGGATCCCCATCAGACAAGCCAAGCATGACTCAGTGTATTGCGTATGCTGCCTATGCCTATGCCATCTTCCCAGTATCCCCGCCAGGTGGTCAACATCCTCGTCATATTCCAGATGGGGACAAGTGGCTTAATCAGGCTAGGAGGCTTGTTTAAACTGGTAAGTGGCTGAGCCAGTACTTGGACCCAGTTCATTGTGATCTCAAAGCCCAACATTTTACCACTCTACCATGCAAGCCACATGTAGTGGATTGAATTATGCCCCCCCACCCCCAATTATGTGCAAATCCTAACCCCTGGTACCTATGAGTATGATCTTATTTGGAAATAAGGTTTTTGCAGATGAAATCGAGTTAAAATGAAGTTATACTGAATGAGGGTGGGCCCCAAATCCAACGACTGGTGTCCGTATAAGAAGAGGAAAAGAGGAGACCGGGCGCAGTGGCTCATGCCTGTAATCCTAGCACTTTGGGAGGCCAAGGTGGGTGGATTGCCTGAAGGCAGGAGTTCAAGACCAGCCTGGCCAACATGGTGAAACCCCGTCTCTACTAAAAATACAAAATTTAGCTGGGCATGGTGGCATGCACCTGTAATCCCACCTACTTGGGAGGCTGAGGCAGGCAGAATTGCTTGAACCTAGGAGGCAGGGATTGCAGTGAGCCGAGATCACATCACTGCACTCCAGCCTGGGTGACAGAGCGAGACTCTGTCTCAAAAAAAAAAAAAAAAAAAAAAAAAAGAAAAGAGGATGCACAGATACACACAGAGAAGGCCATGTGATGCTGGAGGCAGAGACCGGAATAGCAGATACAAGCCAGAAGCACCAGGGACTGCCGGCCACACCAGAAGACTGGAGAGAAGCATGGAACAGGTTCTCCTTCAGAGCCTCCAAAAGGAACCAGCCCTGCTGACACCTTCATTTCTCATTTCTGACCTCCAGCACTGGCAGTTCATGGCCATTTGGTGTGGCAGCTCTAGGGAACTAACATTCCTGCCACTTAGACCCTGTGCAGGATGCATGGGGCTCCTTCCACAGCCTGCTGCTGTCCCCACCCCAGCACCTGTCTCACTCTGAAGAGCAAGCATCATGGCTGGACCCACCCTGCCTTGTCCTGAGCCCAGTGTTGCATTCCCAGAGACGTGAACTTGACTCTGGCCCCTGACCATGGGGCTTCCCGGCATATACTTCACGTTGCCTGGCTTGGGAGCCCTGCAGCTGCAGAAAGCTGCTGGTACACCCTTGCCACCTCCAGGTCCCTCTGCTGCTTCCACAGCTGCCTAAGTAAACCAGCCTCACTCCTGCCATGCATACGGGACTATTCCCAGGGGACTCTGCTGGCATCCTGCCCACATCTTTGGTATGTGGCATCACAGAATTCACCTTCTGCTCTTTCCCCAAAGTGGTGGGAATCACCACTTTGAATCTATCCGTATCCATGGTGCTAATTAAAGTAGGTCAGGACTTCCTAATACCCTTAGGATAAAAAATTCTTACTAGGGTTGCTTACAGTCATGCGTGATCTAGTCCAGTGCTGTCCAACAGAGCTTCCTGCAACGATGAAAAGGTTCTCTGTTTGCACTGCCCAATATGGCAACTGCGGGCCACACATGGCTGTCAAGCATTTGAAATGTGGCTTGTAAGACTGAGGAACTGAATTTATACTTTAATTGAATTTTAATTAATTAAAGCTTAAAATTAAATAACCCCGTGTGGCTGGTGGCTGCCGCATTGAAAGGCACTCCAACATTTCTTACACTGTCCTCCCCATCTCTCTTCCTCCCAGGCTTTCTGCAGCCCCTCTGATCCATGTTCATCCAGCCCCTCCTCTTACCTCCGGATGCTGCACATGAACTGTTCTCCACCTGGAACCTCTTCCTCCCCAAACTCTTTGTCTAGTGAATGCCGACTTCTGCTTCAGATCTCAGCCCAATCATCACTTCCACAGACACAAGCCTCAGAGGAAATCAGAACTCCCTGGCGACTGCTCTACTGCTCTCATCGCACCAGGCACTTGTCACTCCCAGCACTGATCACAGTTGTGATTTTAGAGGCATTGGCCGATTCTCTGGGTGTTTCCACCCCCTCAGACCACGAGCTCAGGAGAGTGAGGCCGGAGCCTGTCACCTTTTCACTGTTGTGTGCCCCATGGCTGGCACAGTGTCTGGCACATAGTAGGCCTTTCATAGAGACTCTGGGAATGAATGAGTAGGATGTTGCTGGTTTAGACGAGGCACCCAGCGAGCGTGTCCTCTGGGTCAGCTGACAGAGCACATGGCCGTTTACAAGAGGATAAAGCAAGTCACAGACGGTGTCTGCTGCTGAGCCACAGCCTCCAAGCTTAAGAAAACACTGTGTCCCTCAAGGGCCTTGGACATGAACCTGACAAACCAACACCCTGAAGGGTCCACAAATTTGAACAGAGGGGAAACAGGTGCTAGCCCATTCATAAGTGTCAACCGATGGGTCAACTACTAGTACCTGTGATTCATTCACCAGCTTCCTGAGCTGACAGCAGCCTCACTGCCTAACAGTGAGGAAAGATGTGTGTACCCTTCCTGGGCCTGAGAGGACAGCCCAATTTCTGAGGCCCAGCAAGCTCCATCCCTATGCCTCTGTCCTTTGGGAAGGATGGGCAGGTCTTCCCTGCTTCATAGACCCCATAGGGGTCCCCAGGTTGGAGGCACCATGGACTCCGTGTCCCTTCAGTCAAGTTCTCTCCCCACACCTCATACCCTGACAGTTGTATTAGCCCAGACAGGGCAGGGCCTGACCTAGCACAGCCCAACGGAGCGGAAGGCAGTGGGCCCCCCTGCCCCCAAGGCTAGGTCCTGGTTACACACTCCCATAGCCCCCGCACTGCTCCTCCGTGTCTTTATCACTATGAAATTTTTATTTGTAAGTCACTGTGGGACGCCCAGCTCCTCTGCCAGGATATACAGCCCAGGAGTGTGGGGAGTGAGCTTGTTTCACTCACTGATGTGTCTGTAGGGATTAACGCAAAGCCTGGCACAATGTAGGGGCTCAATCAAATTTTGCTGGAAGAATGAGCATCAAAATACCCCCAAGAGTCCTGCTTACCCCTTACCCCAGCCTAATGGGCTGAGCTCTGGCGTCGGGTCTCCTGCACTAACTCTCGCCAGTTCACCTGATCCTGTCCCCTGCCTGCCTCTCTCCAGAGTTTAGAGCCTGCTGCTTGTGCCCTGGCCCCGGATGAACCCACCTGAACATTGCTACCCCTCTTCCTTCTGACCTGTCAGTGGACCCTAGCACCGATAGCCCTCACCTGCCCTCATTCCCACCTCAGAGAGGTCCTGGTGAATCCTCAGCTCCACAGAGCTCTCCAGTCACTGCCCTGGGCAACCTGGCTGGTCGGGGGAGGGCTGGGCTCCACCTTTGGAGCCCATCTCTTTCCCCTGCCCCCAGGTGAGCTCCCAGCATGTCCAGCTCCAAAGAGCCCTGCTCCAGGCTGGGGCAATGGGATTGGGCGGAACCATCCCTGGCATTGCAGACAGAGGTTGGGGCCAACACATGCAGGCCAGAACCAAGGTCTAGTTCCTAGTTGGGAGGAAGATGAGACACAGCGGGGGCAATGGTAGTGTGTCTTTGATAACAGATCTTCCCGTCACACCTGCCAACCCACCTGGAGGCTGGGAAACCAGAGTTCATAGTGCCATGGCCATAACTGGGGTTGGGGGACAGCTTCCCAAATCCATGTCCTCCTTCACCCAACCCTCATCACCAGTTTCTGCTGCATAACCAGTTGCCCTTCCTGGCTTCCCCTGACTGCTGCTGGTGAAGGCAACAGGGCATGGCTAGCCCTGACCTCTCGAGTCTCCAAGATCTTCCCCCAAAGTTTCCTGGGATGGGTCACAGTGACTCCCCACTGCTCTCTGATCTACAGGACCTGTCAGCCCAGGCCCCAGTCTGGGAACCAGGGAAGCTCTTCCACCCAGCCCAGAACACTTGCTCTCATTGAATATTTATATCTATTCCTATGTTCATAGATAATTGCCCATTTCTTCCACTAGAATGTAGGATCTTGAGGATCAGGGAAGGGATCCTGCCTGTTTTGTTCACTGCTGTGTCCACGGCTGCTAGCATGGGGCCTGACTTGATAGATTTATTGCAGAAATGAATAAATCAGTCACTGGGAGCACTGGAGGTTTAAAAGAGATCCCCCAGCAAGCGCTGTCTCAGGAGTGCCATCCTGCAGTTGGTGGGGGCAGGGAAAGGGGAGCAGGGGTCGGGGGATAACAAGTCAGAGAGAATATCTGTGGATGACCTGCCAGCTAGCTGTCAATCTTAACACTTGGCACTGTGGCCATCGATAACCTTGGAAAACAGCACCATGAAAAGCCCACATATATTTAAATAGATGGGGAACAGGTGCTAGAAAATTCGTAAGTATCAACCAGTGGGTCATGTCTCTGTGGTTGGCACACAGGCCTCCTGAGCTGATGGATGTCTGACAGTGAGAAAGGATGGGTGTGCCTCTCCCAAGCCTGGGAGAACTGCCTGGTTCCTGAGTCCCCACGGGGACCAGCCTGTGCCTATTTCTTAGGAAGGCTCAGTGGAATTTCCCTGCTTCAGGGCGCACTCCAAAGGATGCATCACAATCTCTATCGCCATCTCCAAAAGAATCCTGTCCCCACCCCCTGCATGTCCACAAGGGTGCTGTCTGTCCAGGGCTAGCCCTAGCACAGTCCTGCCAGTGCTCCGGGACTCCACGCACTCAGCTGCAGCCCCAGCCAGGCCCTGACCAGGTGGAGACTTCAGCAGCCTCTGCCATCCACCCAGACATGTGTCTTAGACCTGTCTGGGACATCTCTTCCTCATTCTTCAGGTAGCAGCCTAATAGTCACTTCCTCAGGGAAGTTTGAGGCCTTTTCCTCGGGGTATACTCCCAAAGCCCTCTATCTTTCCCGTTGCAGCACTGATCAAAATCTTAATGAAATATCACTTGTCTGATTCATTGTTTGCCCCCGGAGGGTAAGGACCATGTCTGCCTGGGTCACCCTCACTCCCTAGTCACTGCTCTGGGTCTGGCACAGTATCAGTTGGGTCTGGGCTCAGACCCCTCTCAGGCAGCCTTTCAGATCCTCTGGCTCTGGCCAACCTCATGCAGGTCCAATCTGACAGCATCTCAATGCCTGCCCAACTGGCCACCTCTGGCCTCCAGCCCTGTGGTTTCTCATAGACGCTGCTGCAAGATCCCAATTGGTTCCCATGGCCACCAAGCCAAACCCAGAATGCATGGGAGTCAGGAGCTGGTGGATAAACCTGTTTTCCCTTCCTCTGTTTACCCCAAGAGATGGTCCTGAGACACACTTTATAAAGTTTTTCCAGGGTGCAGACTCACAGACTGAGACATTAGTCACCCTCTATGGCAACCAGCTCAATAACACATCCTTGTGTTGCCTTCCTCCTTCCTTCTCCACATCCCTTGCCCTTGGCACTCATTCTTTCCCTGGCATCACAACCCCTAATTGAGTAATGGCATAATCCCCTGCCTCAGGTTCTGCTCTGCAGGCTCCCAGGCTGAGACATTGCTCAATAAACTTTCGTGCAATTGATGAAGGAAGGAATGATCCTCAGCAGGGGAGCTTGCATGTTTCAGCTGCTCCTTCTGACCTCGGTTTCCCCCAATACTCCCTTCATCCCTCAAGCCCTCTTGCTCTCTTACACCTGTTTGTCCGGACCTGGACCCCTGCCAGGCTCTTTCCAAGCCTTTCCCCAGGCTGGTCTCTGCTCACTGAATTCTGGAGCTGACAGTTCTGCAGTGACTCTCGATGGGGCCCCAAGTCCCTCCTGCACCCCTCACCTGCTTCCCTGGTCTCCCCAGACAGACCCTGGAGACATCCCGAGCTCCCCCAGGGCTCCACAGTCATTGCTCTGGGCAACCTGGCTGCTCCAACAGGAGTCCAGCTTTGCAGTTTCCCCTGCCCTCAACTGCCCTGTCCCCTCCAGGATTCTGACTTGCCCTGGGGGAGCTCCCAGCATGCTTTACTTGCAATTGTGCTGGCCCAGCCCAAAGGAGGTAGCTTGGGCAGAGCATTTCCTGGCCACACAAACAAGGGTATGAGGCTCCTCCTGACACCCATGCATGCGGGCCAGAACTCAGATCTGCTTCTGGTTAGAAGATGGTGGACATGGTGGGCACTGGGGTCATGGCCTTGACATAAGGCCCTCCTCTCACACACCATGGCTGGGAAGCCAGCTAGTCACGACCCCACAACAACCATGCCTCTGGGCAAAGCATGCAAGTCCATGTGTTCACCCACGTGTCCCTCATTCAGCGAGGCTGCTCTGTGTGCGTCCAGCCCATGCCAGGTGTTGGGACAGCAGCCAAGTTTAGCCCATCAAGTGCTCCCCGTCGGTAAGAAGAGTCACACAGGGAAATTGGCACTTCTAGCTGTGCCACCCTCCCTGGTCTGCACTCAGTGTTACTGGGAAGCAGAGCGGATGTGTGGGTGGTGCAACTTCTCCATAGGAAAGTATACAATATGCTAAGGCTACCAGTGATGACTCTTTGTCTCCATTGTGTTCCATACTTCATCTTGGTCCAGCCCCATCTATGAGGCAGGGAAAACTTCTTATCTGGCCATCCATACTGCAGTGAGATGTGACAACTTAGAGAGAAAAGAATCCATTTCCCGTGGCCTGCAGAGATTTTATGCATCCCCGTTAGCCTCCCTCTTGCTCTGATGCAGGGGGCTGGGAGAGCAGCCAGGACAGAATTCTGGGTCTCCGAGGGTGAAATTTGAGAATAGGAGCACTCAAGGACCCTGCTGGGGCTGACCTTGTACCCCCAGGAGGTCACGCTTGTGCCAACTCGTGGATGCTCATTCCTCATTTCCCTTGACCTCCTTGAGGCCACTGACCCTCCCCCCCTTTCTAGTAGCCTCTCTTCCTTGGGCCTCCTTCACCCCATGCTCTCCTGATTCTCTTCCTTCCCCTCCAGCCTTGCCAGCCCAGGCATCCTGTGGCTTCCACCCTTTCATCTGTGCCATTCAGGGTCCCACCCCAGGTCCTCATCTCTGCTCTCCCTGAGCAGCTGTCGTCTCCACCTCCCAGGCTCCCTGCAGGATGTGCTGATGACTCCTAGAGCTCAGCCTCCAGCCCTGCTCCTTCCTCCAAGTGCCCAGCCACAGGGCCACCATCTACAGGGACCCCAATCCCAACACATCCCAAATGGACCTCACTATGTTTCCCAAATCCTCAATTTCTCCAGGGGGCTTTTGATGTGAGCAGGACACCATCACCTCCTTAACTGTCCAGAGTAGAATTCCATGCCCTGTCCGCAACTCCTCGCTTTCCCCTACCTCCTCTATCCAACCAATCGGGAGCCTCATCAGTTCTCCTGCTTGTCTGCTGGCTGTGCATCTACTTCCCTCCTTTCCTAGAGCAGCACTCGCCCTGTTTGGGTCCCAGCGATGGCTTCCATACTGGCTCAGGTTTGGCACAGCAGCAGAGTGACCTTCCTCAAGTGCCAAGTCGATGTCACCCCCTGGCTCCACTTCAGTGGGTTCAGATTCTCCATAGCCCTCGGGATTAAAGTCCAGTTCCTCGGTTCAGCACCCGAGACTCTTCAATGCCTACCTCTTTCCCCCTTCTCCAGCAGCAGCTCTCCTCTTGGCTCCAGGCTCTCCACTCTTGGGGTTCTGCCTCTGCACTCCCCAAGTGGGCTCCTGGGCACCTGGTGCCAGGACACAGAAGCTCTGGATGGCAGATGGGGACTCCCAGTGTCAGAAAAGTCCAGTGCCCCAAGTAAAGTAAGAAGGTGGCACCTTGGTGGTGCCTCAGTTCCCTGTGTGTCTGATCAATGTGAGTCAGCTCCTCGAGGCTCCCTGTTTGGATCCAGTGGGGGTAAGGTCTAGGTCCTGGACTACTGTGGCCTGGCAGGATGACCACGGCTGAGGGGCCACCCTCCCACCACCATCACATTTAATCATGGACATACTTTAGACAGGGAGGCTGTCCCTGGAAGGAACAGTGATGAGAGGGACAGCTTCTGTGTACTGAGCATTTACTGAGCACTGGGAACTTGGCGAAGCATTTTGGTGCCATATCTCATTAAATCTTCCTACCAATGCCAGGCAGGAGGCTCTTTTGTTATCCCCATTTTGTAGACATGGAAATGGAGGCCGGAGAAATGGAATAACTTTCCCACTGTCAGCTGAAATGTGCTAGACTCAGAATTTGAACCCATTTCGGTTAGATTCCAGAGTCATCAAAACACATGGGAATAATTTAAGGTACGGATGTGAGTAGAAGATTTTTGAAAGAGGAAACAGACAAGTAGGCAGTAAATATAGACAGAGGGAAATTTAGATGAGAGATGGGGGATGGAGGGTATAATCACTGCTCTGTCTGATCGTGTTTATTGTTGTCCCTATAGTTCAAGGTGACTTGCGGCAGGCGAGTGTGTCAGCAGAAGGCGATGCATCCTCTAGCCACCCCATCTTCCTCTGTAACCCTTGGAAGACCATGTGGCACGGGACAGAGGCGAGCAGGGAGTATCTGGGAAGGGCTTTTTAAGTCCTGTTGGTCAGAGGCTCCACCCAGGGCCTCCAAATGGGCCCCGGGGGGTGGACACTTACAAAGGTGGGCATTCATCATCTTTACGCCTACATTCAGATCCCTAATAAGGAAGTAATAATATTGCCAAGCCTTTGCATGCTTTCTATGGGCTAGTGAGAAGACTAATTATCTGACGACACTAATATATGGTTATGATGTTATTAAAAATGGCACCAAGCTAGGATTAATAGGCTCATCAATTGTAGGGAATTGGGCTTAACAAGGTCCCCTGCATGTCTCGTCAGGCCTGTAACCCTGATGAATACTGGGCTTCCCAAAGCACCGCCTGGCTGCTCGGAGGCCGTGGACGACACTCCCTCCTTTTCCCAGCTGAGGGTCAGCTTAGGGAGATCAGGCTGATGCTGGGCTTCTCTGATCACATTCCCTTGCAAACAGCTCTTCAAAGCTGTGGGGCCACTGGAGATGTTGTGAGTGGTGAGGGTGGCCCAGCCCTGCTCACCTCCGCACCCAGCCTCCACCTTCCACGTGATCTTCCTTCTCCCCTGCCCAGCTTGCCTCTGCAAATGACAGCCTCAGAGCCTACCCAGAGCCCCAGACTCCAAGCCCCACTCATAAACGCAGGGGAATGGATAAGATGGAGATGCCTCTGGGGCCTGCTGACTAATTTCCATAATAATTATAGTTATTACTAATAACGGTGACAACACCACTCCCTTCCGTTTATATTGAATTCTATAATCTAGAAGCTGCTTCCCCACCAGTTGTCTCCTCTGAGGCTCACAACAAGCTGTGAAGAATGTGGAGCAGGTATTATTATTCTCACTGTCAGGTTAGGAAAGTGCAGCTCAGAGAGATAAGGGGACTTCCTGAAGCCCCCTCCCCAGCCTCCAAGGAATAGTTGTAAGGATAAAAATAAAAATAATAATAGTAAATACTGACATGGTGATGACATGTAATACACTATGTTGACTTAGTCCTCCTAACAATCTTATGAAGTAGGTCCTATTAATATCTTTTCCCTTTTACAGATGCAGAAACTGAGGCACAGAGAGGTTAAGAAACTTGTCCAGGAATGCACAGCTAGCAAGCGGAAGAGTTTGAATCAAACTGAGCTCGAGTTCATGCTCTTGACCATTTGAGTCTCCTATTAGACTTCCACAGGAGCCCAATTTGCTGGGGACTAGGAAGTGACTCCACTGGGCCAGGCTCCAGCCTTCATGCCTTGAGCTCCAGCCTCCCTCCCCACTTGCGACCTCCAAGGTCTCTGTAGGCAGCTCCCCTCAGACCGAGGCAAGGGGGCTTAACCGAAGTCCCTGATGCTGTCTGCTCCCATCCTGGAGAGGTGAAGTCATAACCTTTGGCTGATACTCTGTGGGTTGCAAAGATCTCTGCATGAACCTCCCTCTGTCCTGGCCCCTGGGGTCAGGATGGTTCTTTGCAGAAGCTGGAACACAGGGCTACGAGGCAGGGAGGCTCCAAATTCTGGCTCCACCACTTCATCTCTTTCTGCCTCAGTCTCCCTATCTGTAAAATGGGTGTTAATAACAGTACCTACCTCACTGGGCTTTTATAAGGATAAATGAGAGAAGGAATCTAAGGGGTCCAGTATGGATCAGGTCCTTGAATTCAGCAGCAGCTCCTTGATAGAAAATGCTTCAGTCAAGTTGAGGGCCCTGAGCTGGAAGGCAGGTCATGTTTATTGTGTGCCAGGTAAGCCTGTGGAAATGGTGCCTTATTTAATTCCCCCAACAACCACAGGAGCTACGGTAGTTGCTAATGACTCCTATTTTAGGCAGGGCATGGTGGCTCATGCCTGTAATCTCAGCACTTTGGGAGGCCAAGGCAGGAGGATTACTTGAATCCAGGAGTTTGAGAACAGTCTGGACAACAAAGTGAGACCCTGCTCTCCACCAAAAAAAAAAAAAAAAAAAAAAAAAATTAGCCAGGTGGAGTGCCTCGTGCCTGTAGCCCCAGCTACTCAGGAGACTAAGGCAGGTGGCTCACTTGAGCCCAGGAGTTTGAGGCTACAGTGAGCTGTGATGGCACCACTGCACTCCACCTTGGGTGATTCTGTCTCTAACAACAGCAACAATTACTCCTATTTTAGAAATAAAGAAATTGAGCCTTAGTGAGATTGATGAACTTACCCGGTCACACAACAAAACTGAGGCTTGAACCCAGACCTGCTGGGCCACAGCCTGGGCGTCTGAGAACTATGATGTGTTTGCTCACAGCATCTTACCAGGGACCCTCTTACTGAACTTACTCTAGGCCCAGTCTTCTGCCACTATGACAACAATCGCGTGAGGAAGGGGTGTCAACATGCCCAATTTACAGAGGGAGAAACTGCTCAGAGAGGTTGAGTGACTTGCCCTTGTTCACAAAGCTAATGAGGAAGAACCGGGACTCGAGCCCAGGGCCTCCTAATTCCTCCCTTGTGGTGGTGTCTCCAGCCTGTGGCTTCTCCCTCTTCCTCCCAATGTCTCAAGAAGCCCAGGTACACCCCCCACCCCCTCACCTGCCTGCTTGGGCTCCCAGCTGTCCTCAGTCCTCTCCTGATCCCAGGCAGAGGAAGAGGCTGACTCCCTGGTGCTTCCAGCCAGGCCCTGCTCATCCCTTCTTCCCAGCTCTCAGCTTCCTGGACTCCCACTAGACCCAGAGTTACTCAATGCAGTGACGGGTTTCTCTCTGTGTCCAAGAATTTGGTGAAGTGTCTCATGTGGGTGCCTTGCCCCATAGCTGGGGCATCCTCTGGTGGTTTTTAAAGGAGCAGAAGATACCAAGAAGCCACAGGCCTCCTCCAGAGCAAGTTCATCAAAGATGCCAGTGGGGCCGGCTCTGAATCAGATGGAGGCCAGTGCATCTGTGTGTGTACGGAGGAGAATGGCGTTGGGAGTATGAGCAAGGCAGCCCATGAGAGCTGGGGTGCACTTCCTTCAGCTGAGGCCCCCCAGTCCTCAAGGTTGCAGCATTCATCTCCATCACTCCTGTCCCCAGGGCCTTTTTCTGCCAGGCTGCCCAGCCCTGTGGTGCAGACAGTTCTAGGCCAAGTCTCCCCAGGGTCCTGAGCCCTCCCATGCTCCCATCCATGCTTACGTGGTCGATGAGCTCCTTGACCATGCCGTTCCACTGGCCCTTGTCATCCTGTGCCCCGTACTTGCCGTCCTCCACCAGCCGGATCTCATAGGAGAAACCAAGGATGTGGGCCAGCTCCTTTAGCAGGTCGATGCAGTAGCCCTCGAACCGGTCATTCCCGTATAGCGTCCTGTCTGATTTCCGAAACATGACGAAGGGCTCCTCCTGCAGAGACAGATGGGCAGGGTGTGACGAAGACTGAGCAGCTAGGGCGGAGGCAGGCTTGCACTGGAGAGTCAGGGCTAGGACCTCTGCTCATGTTTTTATAAACCCCTTGGAGTGGCTTAGACAAAGGGCCCGTGAAGTCAGGAGCGGGAAAGCACATGTCCTGAGAGCCAGCTGGGGGCCTCATGAATGGCTACCTGGTACAGGGCGGGAGCTCAGTAGGCACTTACTGATTTAATGGCCCAGTGGTTACAGAGCTAGTGAGCGGTGGAGCAGGGCTTTGAACTGGAGACCCATCCCAAGGCCCATGGTCTCTTTGCTGCACTAGTAATAGAGGCTCAGCGTGTGGTCCCTGCACCTGCAGCATCAGCATCACCTGGGAACTTGTTAGAAATGCACATTCTCAGGCCCCACCCCAGACCTAACTGAACCGGAAACTCTGGGGAGAGCCCAGCGATCTGTGTTTTCAGAAGCCTTCCAGGGAATTCTGATGTCCACTCAAGTCTGAGGACGCTGCTGTAAAAAGCCCTTCAGAAAGCCGTCTGCTCTAACTTCTCTTCCAACTCCAATTTAAAAGATTAGATTTACATGCTCCTGGATGCCGTTCTCTCTTTCCAAGAACCTCCTCAGTCCCCTGTGTTAGGATCCCAGGGGAGTGATTACTGGTAACAGGGACAGCTCATCGGTAGGTGGCTGTGCCGGGCACTGGTCAATTAGCAAATGAGTTTATGCCCATGGGGGGCCTAGCACAGAGTCCAGCAGAGCTCAGCAGACAGGAGCTGGTATCGCCTCATTTCACCTTAATGTCAGCCCTCTGGGGTGGGTATGAATAATCCCATTTTATAGATGCAGAAAGTGAAGTTCATGAGGATATGTGAGTTGTGCAAGCACCCCTAGCCGGCATGAGAGAAGATCTGAATTCAGGTTAGTGTGACCCCAGAGTGCGAGTTCTGTGCCTGAGGCCCATGGTGCTCCTCCCTCAGGGGCAGGCGATCCCCAGGAAGGTGCTTGTGGGTCAGAGATGCCTGTCCCATGCCAGACCCCCCACCATCCACCCCCTCCACCTGCCACAGGCTTCTTTCTTTCTGGGTGATAGGGAGCCTGGGACCGGATTTGAACAGAGCATGACTTTGTCTGATTTCTCATTTAGAAACAAACCCCTGGCAACCCTGCAAAGAATAACTGGGAGAAGAGGCAGAAGAGCCAGTGGAGAGAGGCGATCCACTTCATCCAGTCGAGATATGCAGTGTGAGGAACTGTGGGCTCCGATGCAGCAAGTCCGAATCCAGGTCAACACGCAAGTCCACGCTTTTGCCGGCACCGTCTATCTGGCTTCACTCACAAAGCCCCATCCCGTGTCCATGATGGATGCGCTGAACTCCCAGAAAATTCAACACAATTGAGTTCCTACTCTGCACCAGGCACTGATTTAAACTCTTTGTCACAGACTGTTTGACTTAAGCCTCACTAGCTTGCAAGATAGTAACACTGTCCTTATGTGATAGATGAGGAAATTCAGGCTCAGAGAAGGTCAGTAAGTTGCCCAAAATCACACAGGAACTGAACTACAGTGATGGGATCCAGTTCCAATCCTTCCCAGTCAGCTGCACCTCTCTCTGGCTTGGCTCTCCTGTCTGTTCCCTGGGGTCAGACCTTCCGGAGTTAATCTGCTTTTCCAGATCCCCAAATCAGGTAAAGGGCTGCCATCCCAGAGCCTGTTCCTGGACAACTCTAGTCTTCTTCTGACTCCCCTGAGCCTCCTTCCTTCGCCCCCTGCCCTGTTCCTGCCTATAGCTCCTAGGCCTCTTTCTGTCAGCCAAACGTCCCCAGACCTGCCTCAGCACCCCAACGTGACAGAATGTCTCAAGCCTTCAGTGGCTGTGTGACCATGGTTAGCTGACAGAATGCAGGAAACCAGGAAGCTCATGTCTGCATGCCCAGATTAAGGCACATGCTTAACTATGGAGGTGCCTCATCCTTCACTCAACTGGCGGGGCCATTCCCTTGACCTCATGAGCCCCAGGGTGGGATGGGCAGTGGAAGACCCGGTGAAGACCTTTGTCAGAGGTCCTAGGAGCAGATGCTCACCAGTAGCCTCCTGCTGGGCTCCCGCTGTGGCGGCAAGCTTGAGCCTTTGGCCCTCTCTCCCAGCAGTGCTACTTCTCTAAATCCCATCCTGCCCCATGCTTGATCCACTGGAGCTTTTCAACAGTCCCTTGGGATGCTTCAGGGAAAGAACTGGTGGGGGTGGGGCAGTCTCTGAATCCCCAAGGGATTCCCGACTAGCCAGGGATTCTGAGTCTAACTGGGTAGGAAGCTGGACCCTCGGCTAGGCGCCATGCTTAATCTCAGTGCCTCTCTCACTCGCCTTCCAACCAAGCAGGCAGCTCAACAAGGTTGGAGAAGAGTCCACGTGGGGCCTGGGAAAAGTGCTGAGGCTGGAGGAAGGAGGACATCGGCTGGTCCATGCACTGCCTTCATGCAAATTCATCTCTGGGCAATGCTCCTGCACCCTGGCATGGGGCCTGGCGAGCAGGGTCTTTTGGTTGATGCTCTTGTGCAATGGACAAGTTGCACCACTGCACCTGGTGGCCCTGACTTTAGCTGATGGAAAGGATCAGAGAGAAGGTACCATCTTTCCCAGAGGATCCACCAACCACACACAGAATCCTAGGCAAAATTTACCTCCTTCTGTAAAATGGGGAAAATAATAGAACCTGCCTTACAAGGTTGTTGTGAGGATAAAATGAGTCAGTCTACGAAAAGCACTCAGAATAGTGCCTGGCAACTGTTAGCTGCCAATATTATTATTATTATTAATCATTATCATCCTTATCTTTTTCTTGTATGCTATTTGGCGGGTTACTGCAGTGACCTTTGCAGCCTAGAGGCCACACCCAATGCATCAAAGGTTAAAACTCATGGTTGATAGCGGAAAACCATTTCAGGAAAGGTCCCTGAGATAGCTCACTTCCTGACCCTGTCTTCACGCCCCTCCCTGGCCTGATCCTCTAAAATTAGCACTTCATTTGTGAAGCCACCACAGCCCCAGAATCTATACATCTCCATATAAATACGCTGCCTTCAGAGCAGCTGTAAAATGCCATTAATTTCGGGAAGTGCTTTGCGGATGGCATACATATTTAACAGCCAAAGCCCAGAGCATTAAAATGGTGCTCGCCTTAGTAATGTGTCTCTAGACCTGCAACATTTCCTAGGGGGTAATTCTGAACTCCGCCAACTACTTATTCATGGACTATTTCACAATTTATTACTGGAAATGTCCAGACAGCCAATTCACAAGCTCTCTCGGCTGCTAATCGATTGCTCAGTGAAGGTGCCCTCAATTTCATAACTTCACGCTCTTCTATTGCTCTGGGAGAACAGCCATAGGAACAGGGGTAATATTTCTCTTCAACAAGTCACGGAAAACAGGGGTCCAGAAAAATAACCGTTTCTGACTTTCCGTTGTCAGGGCTCTTGGTCCGGTTTCTCTCCGATCACTTACCCCAGCGTGCAAGCCAGGCCTAGCGCTAAGCCTCTCCCAGTGTGACAGGGTCCATGGAGTTGGAAGAGGGAGTCTTGGGGGTTATCCCCAATTTGGGAAGGATCCAGGGATTAGCTACCTGATATCTGGGTTCTGAAGCTCCTTTCTGACAGGTAACGTCAGCCCATAGCCACACATGCACGCACAAGTATATACAATGTCCTTGGCACAAATGCACCACATTTTCAGATGTCCTGTCTGCCTAGCCCTTCTCAGACACAGAGGCCAAGGACCTTGGACCTGAGGCCTTGGCTTCAACCAGTTAGAACCAGCACACAGTATCAGGAGTCCTATTCTCCCAGCAGGAGGGGCCTAGAATCGTTCCCAGCCTGGGATAGTTCTCCCAGCCAACACTCTAGCCCCAGGTTTTTCCCCTCTCCTGCTGCTGGGTGCTGAGTGTTGGGCTTGCCTGGCAGGCAATTGAGCCTATGTGGGTCACGATGTGCACACGGCACAAATGCACCCATCACTGAGTATCCAGATACCCGTGTGTAGCTGGTCCTACACCCACCCACACACCCGCACGCATGCCCACACCGTGACACCATGGCTCACATCGGCAGCCAAACGAGTCTTGAACCTTCAAAAGCTGGGCCCCCAAGAGTGGGCCGGGTGTGTTTTCTCAGTGTGTGAGCTGAGGTTTGGGCAGATGAATTTTTCATGAGCTCGTGGAAGAGCGGAACCAGAACAGAGGCTGGGGCCGGGCGGTGAGAGGGCGGGGGAGGGCAGGCGTCCAGTCTCCTGCTGCTGCTGTTTCCATCTCAGGAATGGGGAAGGCTGCCAGTGGCTCTGAGGGGCCAGAAAGGGCAGTGCCAGGGCTCTGTCCATCTGTCTGTCCAGGGTAAGGCATCTTTAGCACCTAACGCTGGGGGTTTAGGAGAGGGGAGAATAGCAGGTAGGTTTGGTGGCAGCTCACACAGAGCTGCTGCTTTCTGCCACACCAGATTCCTGGGAAAGAAAGGGGAGGAGAAACTCCCCCTTATCAGGGGTCTTGGATCCAGGCCCTGTTCCCTAGAGGCAGAGCAGTTTGATGTTGTGTACTGGTACCTTGGGACCTGCCTGTCACTCAAAGCACTGTTGCCCTGACAACATCCTCCCAGACAGGCTGGGGCTGTGCTCTCAGCAGGAGGTGCTGGCCCTACATTCAGGCTGCGAAGCATGGGGTTGGATTTTCAGCCACAGTGGCTGGGGCTGGGCCACTCCCTGTCACCTTTTAGCTGTCCCAAAGAGCCCAAGCCTGAGAGCATCCCCTAGGGCTCCAAGACATGCAGACCATGCAGAGCCTTTTGGGAACATTCTCTGGAGCATCTGGAGCAGCTCTAGTTTCAGGGGGCCCTAGGCCAGTCCTTGCATGGGAGCGAGCATCTCTCCTCAGGAGACTCCAAGGACACTTCTGGCTAGACAGACTTTCTTGGAAGCCCATGTAAAGACTGTGTCACATCCTCTATCCCCATCAGGGATACTCCAGAGGTCATTCCCTCCATTCCCCTGCCTCCAGGAAACAGTAGGCTTCTCTCACTGCCCCATAGGGGGAAGCACACCTCACCCTCCGGTGATCTCTGGGCAGTGGGGATGGAGACAGCTGAATCATCAGTCACCCCCAGGCCATGTGAGTATTTGATACTACATGATGGGGTTAAGATGGTCAGTGGCCCCATCCATAGGCGGTGGGATATCTGCTTCAGGAGCTGAGACCGTGGCCAAGGTAGAAGGTGAGGTGGTGGTTGATCTGGAGTTCTATATCTCAGTAGGAGACTAGGACTATGAGGGACCCATGAGGCTGCAAACCCTAATGCCTCCAATGGCCAGCTGAGAAACACAACTATAAGAAGCAGCCCAGTGTAAACAAATAGGGAGGGCTCGGGGGCAGAGTGGGGGACTATGGTGAGCCAGGGAATGGCCATGAAACTGGAAGGCACTCAAATGCAAATTAAGTTTGTAACAGAACAGCCTGTGCTAGAGATCACCTCTGTGGCCATGGGCAGGGGTCTTTGGTGAAGTTCAGGGCTCTGCCTGTGGACAGAAGTGGAGATTTTCTCAAGATCTCTCACTCAGCATGCTGTATTCAAGCTGAGCTCACTGGGGACTGGATTTGTAATCAATAATAATGAATAACAATAGCAGCTGTCACTTAGACCGCACTCTGTGCCACTTAATTAATCATTCATGCTCTGAACTCTATGAAGTAGGTGCAGTTATTAACACCTCCCTTTTTCAGGTGGAGAAACTGAGGCACAGGGCGGATAAGCAATTTCTTAGGGTCATATGGCAAATCAACATCAAAGCCAGGACTCCACCCCAAAGGTCTGTGCTTTTGATCATCAAACTGTTCTTTCCTCATGTCCTGGTGGCACTGCATGTCCCAAAGAGCTCTGGGGTTGTATCTGCCCAGATGCCTTGCAGCTGAGAGGCTGTGGGACAGATGGAGCTGTGACCAGGCTATGAGCCAAGAGGGGTTCTCTGCTTTCCTAGCCCTGGGCTACCTAGGAACCAGCAGGATACTGGGAATGCAACCTCTGGGGATTCAGTGAGCACAGCAGGTCGGGGATCTTTGCAAGAAGCTGCAAGTATTGACAGAGAAGCTGTAAGCACTCACAGGTCGAGAGCATGGGGTGTCTCCTGGATTCTGCCTCTGCTTATGTAGCAAAAATCCCCTGTGCCCCTGCAGAAGGGTTTTATGCCCTTGAAATCAGGCTGCTACCATTTTAATAAAATTTAACCCCTTGATCTTTCAAGGTGCTTATATTTTGTATCCTTTTGGTATATTACCTTTAGCTTGCCTCTTACTGTTCAGAGTATTGTTTTGTGACTGACTCACCTTAGCTCATTTAATCATCTCTCTTCCTAATCTCTTAAATCATCCTAGTTTTACCTTTTTTTAATCTTGCCTTGTGAAAAGTGTTTTATTTATATCTCACATTTTATGCAGCTCTGCTTTTAATCTTTTAGCACCTTTTTATTATTTTATTTTTACCCTTTTATATTTTAGCTTTGTCACACTTTTATCCTTTTGCTTTTTGACATTTGGGTGTTACATTTTTTACCTTGTCTAGTCAGAGCTATAAATTATTTAATTTTTCATCTTTCTTACTATCTTTCCTTTTTATCTCATTCCTTATCTTCATTTTCTCTTTGTTATTTTCCTTTTAACCTTTTTATTTTGTTCTCTTTTTAACCCTCCTTTATCTTTTCTATTTTTATCCACATCAATATCCCTTTAATTGCCCATTAGTCTTCACCCTAATCCCTTTGCTCTTGTTATTTGTTTATTTTCATCCTTTACATTTTTACATCACAGGTTTTTTTTTTTTTTAACCCTGTTCCTCTTGAGATATTTTTGCTTATTGGTTTTAGCAGACTGATTTTTATATTTGTTTAGTTAACAAAAAGTTGATCAATAAAGGCCAGCAGGATGTGAGGTTTTAGGGAAGAAGATAGTAGGGGTCTTGCCCCAAAGAGGGGGACAGGTGTCCCCTAAGACCACCTCTTCAGGCTCTGTGGGCAGCTTGTCTGGAGCCACCGTGAGATCTCCATCATCTTTAGCTCAGATCCTCTCAATCATCCTAACCCCGAGGGCCGATGGTGAGACTCACAGGCTAACATTTATCTCTGGATGCCGACAGGATGCCTGGTATCTGCCACTCACTGGGCTACCTGGAAGAATGGTTTTTTCCCCATTACTTCCCTTCCTGTTCCATGACATCTGCCACCCAGCCACCAAGCACATATATGGTGAATCATCCCAGGTAGGGCCACCCAGTAGGGCCTGGTTCAGCTGCCTCTGAGGGCACATGGGTGAGAACAAGCCCCATCTGAGCACCGTGGAAGGGGCCAGGTATAGGGTGACCAGTCTGTCCTGGGTTCTGCTCCAAGGCAGCCTCACTATATCCAAAACGGGTTGAACTCCCTTTTGTGTAGAGGAATGACCCCAGCATATGGTCCTTATAAATATATTTGCTTTATTATGAGTCAGAGCTGACTAGAGCTAGCATTGTCCTCAAAGGGTCTTCAGTCATAATTCACCAGGCTGTGACTGGGCTGCCTCTCCCCAAGATGGCTCGGCTTGAGCCCCCAAAAGCAGGGCTGTGTCCCTGAGAGGATCTGTCCTGAGTCTCTGGACACCTCTGAGGCCTTCCAGGAGGGACAGGCACAGGTGGAGTGGGCACAGCCCTGGCAGCACAAGGGGGTCAGCAGCCTGGGTCTGTCCTCCTGCCCCCGCATGAGCTCAAAGGTGCAGAGAGCCCATGGGAGGCCCCCAGAGTTGCTTCTTGGTTTGAAACAGGTCAGGAGAAGGCGGTGCTATTCAGTTGGGGAATAGAGAGAAGATGGGGTGTGATTCCAGGCAGGGGGTGTGGCAGTGGCTGACGGCTCTCGGAAGGGCCACTATAGAATGCGGCATGTGTACAGGCTCCCAGCACCTGCTGGGCTCTCGAGGTGTGGCCACAGCACCCACCACAGCTGGGGTGACTTGTGGGAAAGGCTTTTGCCTGGGAACTGGGGTGGGAGAGGCGAATCCTCACTCAGGTTGCAATGGGCTGTCAAACCCCCTTAATTCCACCATCCAGCATGGTTCCTACTCAGACATCAAGGACTTGGGGAGTGAGTGGGAGTGAGACACAAAAACGCAGCGGCTTCCGCCCGTGGCAGCGAGCAGCGCTGCTGCGCTCCAGCTGCTCTCTGAGAACTTCCTGCTGACTCTAAAAGTCTCCACCTACCTGCAGCCTCCATCTTCTGGGTGGGGGGGATAGAGGGGACTCTCCAGCCCGAACGGCCACCCCACCCCCAGGTCGGACAGTCCTTCCTGCAGGGGCTGCAGGCTCTTACCAGCACTGTGGTGACAATGAGTGATCTGTTTGTCAGAGAGTCGGTGACATTAGGGCCTCGGCCTTTGGCAACCTCAGTGATGTTGAGCCCGTCGGCAGGACTCCACACCCCAACCTGGATGGACACAGACAGAAAACAGGGTGCCGAGTCCTTGGTCTACCCATCTTCCTCCATATCGACAAGACCTTCATCTCATTCCCATTCATCATGAGCCTCATTGTCATGATCATCATCATCATCACCACTGCCATTGTGTTTCCAGTTATAACCGTTCTGGACAACATCCCTGCAGCTCTCCCTCCTCTCCTGACGAGGGTCCCAGGGTGTCGAATCTCTGAATTCTGCCACCTCCCTTGCTGGCAAGCCCATCACAGCTGAAGGGGAAAATGCAGAGAGAGACAGCAAATGCGAAGGCAGCCCCAGGGGTCTCAGGGCTGAGCAGATGCCAATCAGGGGCTGGAGGGAATCAGGGGTCTATGGTCAGTGCCAGGTCTTGCCCTGGGACACAGTCTTTGTGGCTGTTTTGGGGTGGCAGCACAAGGAGGGGATGGACCTCACTGGGAAATGCTGCTGGGTTTAAAGGCAGTTTGCTTTGTGGTTTTACATTTAAAACTGGCAGACACACAGACTAAGGTAGAATAATCTCTCTCTCTACAGCGTCCTTGTGGATATCGGGCCTGAGGCTAGAGGTAGAGAAGGAAAGGTCAAGTTTAGAAATCATCCTAAAGCCCTGGGCCTCTTGAAGATCCTTTTTGACCCAACTCTGGCCAGCTCTGCCTGGTCTCAGCTCCTCTCACTCAAGGAAGGCTTCTGCATGCCCACTCTGTCCTTGGCCCAGTTAGGGGGGCTACTCAGGACACTTAATCAATTAAACAGAGAGGCTGAATGCAAACATCCCATTAAGAGAGCTGCGCAGAGCAGACAGCAGAGAGACATGTAATTATGCTTGGGTAATTCTGCCTTAATCCTCCCAAAGCCACCGGTTGGAGCTGGCTGGATCAGCTATGACCCGGCTTAGCAAACAAGTGATAATATGAGAGGCAGAGTAGCTGTGTTTGGGAGCTCAGCATCCTCTCAGGGCGGGATCCCTGCCTACATAGACCACCCAGGGCCTTGAGGAGAGGAAAGTGGTAGACGGCATCGAAGAGGCTCTTCTCTTAAGTGGGCTGAGCTCAGAGCCAAGCTCACTTTGAGCGTGCCTAGCAGAGCACCTGGGTGCAGGAGGTGCTTGGCAAACATCTGTTCAGAGGCCACATGAAGAGCACAGACCCTCACTTGAGCTCCAACTGCATGCTCTGTTAGATACCAGGTGCTATGGAGATGTGAGGCCAGTTAGGACTGAGGAGGACCCAGCCTGTGGAGGCTCTGTGCTCACAGTCCGGGTGGCTGTGACCCGGTGCCTTGGTGAGTGCCTCTGGCAGGCTAACCTCTGCCCAGGGATAATAGAGTTTTTCTTGAGTATTAGCTACGGCCAATTTGAACCAGCTGCCTGGAGGGCTGTTTGGAGAAGGATGTTGCAGGTGGGATCAGGTGGAAAGAGTACTCAAATGACGGATTATTGATGCCTTTTATGGCACAGGGTGGGAAGTAGTGGCATATGTGCCACCTAATTGCCCTCCCTAGAATTTTAGGTTATCCCTAGAGATGGGTAGCTGAGAGAGCAAAAGTGGGACAGCTACTTGAGTGAATACTGCATTCACTCTAGCACTGCCAGAGGAGGAAGGGTGCTCTCCATCACTGCAGGAGCTTAAATAGAAGCTGGAAGATCGCTTGATGAGAACTCATAGAGTTTGTGTAGGGTTGAGCAAACTGGCCCCTGTGATCTTAGGAGGGGAGGCCACAGCCCCTGTTATTAAGGGACTGATGCTATATATGGTGTGAAATAATTACAGAGTAATAGGGAGGCTTCCCCAGCCACCTCCTCCCTTGCACAGTGGCTCCCATGAGTAGGTGGGAAAGTCGGGAGAGACTGGAATAACTGTGGCCACAGGTACAAGGAGGACAGCATTGAGCTAGGCAGAGCCAGCCTTTGCCTGAGGGACAGAGGTCACATCCTGCAACCAGGGCAATTGTGTGGGCAATGGCCTGGAGGTCCAGGAGGGAGGGAGCATGATGGGGCCATGGGGTATGTTTCAGGGAAATGTGGAAACGAGGCCCAGAAGGGCCAGTTGGTGCATTTCTTGGAGAGCTGAAGTTTAATGACTTGGCACTAGGGAGCCATGGGCAGTTTCAGAGCAGGGCAGAGCTGTGCTTGGGGAAGCCTCATCTGTGTGTACACTCTGGATGGCTGGAGGGCTCAAGAACCAGGGCGGCATGTTAAAATAATCCACATAAAATGCTTGAACCAGGGCACTGCCGGGGTGGAGAGGACCGAAATCAGAGTCTTGAGCCCCAGAGGCATCCGAAGTGGCCCCTCCACTCTGCTGGCTTCTGCTCACTACATTTCATACACAGCAACTTGCAGGGTTGGGGAGGTGCCCTTGTGGCTCCCAGGGACCCACTTGCTGGGGACAGAGTGTGGCTGAGCCCCCAGAATCCAGGTCCCAGGGGATGCTGTGAATTGAGGGCTCGTATTAAATCTCCCTTCTTGGCCCAGCAGCCTGACATTGACAGAATATGCTGAAGGTTCCCAGGGACTGGGATTGGCCTCATTAAAACATCTCTATGTTAGCCAGATGGGAGGCCCCAGCCCCAGGCAGGCCCGCTTTCCTGGTCCAAACTCTCTGGAATCGCAGAGGCCTTAGAAGCCCAGAGCGAAGGAGCTCAGAATCCATGTGCTTCAACCTCTTTCCAAGGGAAAGAATCACCTTCAGTCTCCCAGACAAGCAACTGCTCTATCTTTGCTTAAATGTCTCCAGTGACAGTGAGCTCACTACTCACAGGGGAGATACTCTCTGGTTAGAAAGGTTTTATGTTTTTTATATTCTTAAATTTTTACCCAAGAACATGTCTGTCCTTCTGCTCCATGACAGCCCTGCAGGGACTCAGAGACAGTCCATCCACCCCATGGGCCTTTGTTATGCTTCCGAGGTTAGGCATCCCCAATGACCCTTACTCACAGAGTGACAGTGTGGGTGTCTGCTGCAGCCAGGCCACTGGCTTCTGTACCCTCCAGTCCAACCAGGCCTTCTTGTTCTCTGATGGGCCCCCAAGAGCTACAGGCTACACTGGACCAAGTCAATCCCTGAGGGGCAGCTGGACTGTGTCTTGCCCCTTGCCTCTGGGCCTCTGACTGAGGTCTGCCCTAGGAGATTTAAGAAGCCCCTGCTCCTCCGCCTGCCCTCCCTCTCCTGAGACCACGCACCTTCTCCAGGCCATCCTCTTTCAGGCTGATGATGTCCAGATCAAAATCCGTCCGCAAGCCACTAGTTTTGTTGAAAACAATTCGTCCAGTTAATCCTTCCCATTGAGCCTGCGGAGGGGAGAGGGCAGAGCGGCAATTCCTCGGGCTTATAAATCATCATTCGGTACAACTGTACAATGCTTCATTTTAATTACTCCTTGCACTGATACTGTTCCCCCAAGACCATGATTAATTAATAATCACCTCCATCATTGCTCGGGCTGCGGTGTGAGCCAGCGATTTCCATAAATTCTATTATGCTCTTTAGCCAGCTTTACATTTGCACCTTCTCGTGTACAACATCGATCTTGGATGCGCTCAAATGAGCCCCCGCCCTGAAGTCATGGGAAGGGGGAGCCCATGTCAGATCCTGGGAGATGGGTAGGGAGGCAGGCGGGCAGAGTAGGGCAGGTGAGGCCTGCCAAGAAGCAGAAAAGCCAAAGGGCCAAGCTGGCCTTGGCTGTAGAACCAGACGCTTGGCATAGCCCCCCGAAAGGCAGGGGAGACCGAAATCACCCCCCAACCTCCCAGCTCCAGCCCCATGTGTGCTGTGGTTAAGAACTCTGGCGTCTGAATGCTGGGTCCAACCACAATTAGCCGTGCGACCTTGGGTATTTCATTTTACCCGTCTGCCCCAGTTTCCTCATCTGTGCAATGGAACTAATCATTGTGTCCATCTTACCAAATGCTATAAGGGTGAAATGAGATAAGTCATATAAAATACTGAGAACGGTCCCGGCACAAGATGAACACTGGATAAATGGTAGCTTTTTTGTCATTTTTGTATCGTCATTAGCGTCATTAATAACACAGAGAGAGGAAGGCAGAGGTTGGGGCAGACCTAAAGTGGGAAAAGCTCCATCTTCTACATCAGGGGTTGGCGTCCTATGGCTAGCGGGTCAACCTGGCCCCTGGCTGCTTCTGTAAATGGTTTATTAGCTCACAGCCATGCCCCCCGTGTTTATATATTACTTGTGTGCTGCAACTATGGAGTTGACTAGTTGCAGCAGAGACTGTGTGGCCTGTAAAATCTAAACTATTTTCTATGAGCCCCTTTACAGAGAAAGCTTGCTAACTTGATTCTAGATAACATCTTTCCTGCGGGCTGAGAGCACTGAGTCTACGTGGTCCTTTCACACTGTTCATGCCGTGCAACCTCCACAGCAGCCATGGGAGGTGGCCACGCAAGGATCATGGTTCCCACTTTACAGACGAGGAAGCAGACCTCAAGGGGGCCATGGGTCGCCCAAGCTCACAGAGTGAACAAGAGGCAGAGCCAAACTAGAACCCGTGATCCCAGGACCCCTCGGTCTGGACCTGTTTCCCTCCTCCAGGAACTTAGGACGGCAGCTGGTGCACAGTTAAATACCCGAGCTTTCTGTGTCAGGGGCAAGAACAAGGCCCACACATCCTGGAGTCCTTGGGAACAAATGTGCACTTGGGAGCAAGAGGAGGGGAGAAAATCTGGGAGCTCACACAGCCAGATTGGGCCAGAGAGAGGGTAGGGGAGGGAGGGTATCCGGAGAAGAGGCACGGGGCAATGGAAGGTCTGAGTAGTGGGAGCCTGGCTCCCAGTCCTTGCTTTGCCGCATTGGGTTCCTAACCACTCCGAGCCATGCTCCCTTGCAGATTCTGAATCGGGCTCCACAGCCTCTCCCTGCGGAATGCCCCCAGCACCCATGCATACACTCACAGTTCAACCCACAAGGTCAGGGGTCCACAGTTCCCTGGAGTTTCATTGACAAATCCCAAATGAAAACCCTTAGACATCTCCAAGCACATGGGCAGCTCCAAGGTACTTTTACAGGTAAATGGGTAGTTGGGTAAATGTGCATATGCAAACTCAGGCAGTGGGGCTGTGCTTTGGAGGAGAGGGAGGCTATAAAACCAAAGTGGTTAGAAAGTGGGCTCTGCACAAACAAAGCAACCACTCTGAGCTTCAGGAAGAGAGAAATTACCTACTTCACAGGTATAAAAAGGCATATAGAGCGCTGAGCACAGTGCCTGCATACACAATCACAAGGATGTGACAGAGGTTATTATTTCTCCTTCGTGGCTTCCATCTGTGCAGCTCCCTTAGATTAGGGCTGGCCCTTGGCTGGGAAGGGAGGACCAGTCACTTGGGCCCTGGCCCAAGGCTCCAGTAGAAAGCTGGTCACAGAGGGCTATTATCCTTCCCCACATGAGCGCATTCAGTCCTCACTGTGACCCTGCCAGGTGGGCATCAGCATTGCCCCCATTTTGCAGATGTGGACACTGAGGCTCAAAGAGGGACTGAATGATGCAGGTCTCAAGTATTGGGTGGGACAAGACAGATTCGTTGCAGTAGCAGTGCTGAAAGTCCTGGGGTCGAGGCACCTAAGGTGGAGTCGGGGAAGCTTACATGGTGCCTAGGGAGCTGGGGACCGAGGGGTCGGGAACAGAGATTAAAAGATGCATCAGAGAAGGTAAAAGCCACTGTTTATGACTTCACAGGGAAACTCAGCTTCCCTCAGGCTGGCTCCCCAGTCCCTCCGCCTTCTCTCCTCTGTTGGCCTCACGCCTTCAGGCTATCTCTTGGCCCCCAGGGGAAATCACAGCAGGTGCCTTCAAACCTGCACTGTGAGGGAAGCCTTCCTGCCTGTCAGCTACAGAGGTATAAAATGCCAGCAGGTGCACGGCCTGTCTGTGGGCGGGTGGACAGGGCAGGCCAGGGAGTGCAGGCAGCTCCTCCCAGTGACATTTCCTGCGCTGCCCGCCCCCTCTAGCCACCGCTCAGGACTTGCTAAATGAAAGATGCTTCACACGCTCTGAACTCCGGCCTGGTATTTTCCAGCTCCTCTCGGAAATGCCAAGTCTTTAAAATGATTTACTGTCATGCAATCAGATGGGGAGACGGGCAAGTTGGAAATGGTCTGACGGAGGACTGTGCTGGGGTCGGGCAGGCATCTGAGGTTCGGTTGTGGCCAGCTGTGGGACCACAGGTACCACGGGGCTATTCTGGGCCTTAGCCATGTCCATGGATGTAAAATGGAGATAGGATAAATGTTTCTGAAAGGGTTCTGTGAGGGAGTGTGAGCAGTGAGGGTCACTCGTTGGGCCTGGGAAGGAGAATGGAGCTCCTCTTTCTATGGTGGGCAGTGGTGAATCTGCTCCCCTCAGGGACTCACGGCTGAGCCTCAAAATTTCCAAGGGTTGAGGGGCAAAGTGTAAACAGGGTGGGTGTCCCTGAAACAATGTGGCCTGGAGACCTGGTAGTGGAACCCCATTAGCAAA
This sequence comes from Homo sapiens, assembly GCF_000001405.40. Taxonomy (NCBI): domain Eukaryota; kingdom Metazoa; phylum Chordata; class Mammalia; order Primates; family Hominidae; genus Homo; species Homo sapiens. The sequence goes on from NC_000001.11 coordinate 36,856,909, forward strand.
CAGGAAGGCACAGTGATAACAGTAGCGATAGTGGAAGTAACAGTGATGGCAGCCAACCTGTTCAGCACCTGCTACGAGCCAGGCGTTGTCCCTAGTGCGACACACGTGCCAAAACTCACCAATCCTCAGAACAACCTGATGATAAGGTGCTATTTTTATCTCCACTGGACAGAGGAGGACACTGAGGCACAGAAAGCTTCAGTAGCTTGTCCAAGGTTATCCAGTTAAAAAGTGGTGAAGCTTCCAAGTCACTTTTGTCTGGCTCCTAAGGCTCCCAAATTTCCCGATTGAGCCAGAGGAGCAATAGGATCGAGGTGTGGCCTGGGACACCGACACCCTCACAGTGGCCTCACACAGTGGCTGCTCAGCTGGAGGCCTGCTGAGGAAGGGGGTACAGGGGGCCAGAAGTCAGGTCTCAGAGTTCCCTGAGAGCAAGCGGATGATTGCCCAGCCAGGGCCCTGCTCAGGGCATTGGACAGTGGGATGTCCTGTGCAGTTTTGAGGGATGGGAAGCTGGATGAGAAGGGATCATCAGGCCCTCCTATGCCAAAACATCTGGGACTGGAGTCCCTTCTAGGGGTGAAGGAACTACAAGGGACTCCAGTCAGGCACTGAATTCATCCCTCACAATAACTGTGAGGTGGAGTTTGCCGGGTGTGGAAACTGACTCAGAGATGTCCCATAACGTGTCTGAAGCCACACAGCTGGGAAGAGGTAGAGACGCGATCCAAAGGCACATGTGTGGTGCCCTAAAGCCTGTATCTTATCCACATTTATTGTTCTACTGTGTGAGAGGAGCTGTACTTGGCCTCATCTGGAAGCAGCGATGGTGAACTTGGGACCTCAGGGGAAGCTGCCCTCCCTCAACCCCCATCCAAGGTGGGGAGTTTCTCTGCTGTTTGCTCTCGTAGAGCTGCCTTTATTTACATATGGGATTCTCTCCTTTAGTGCTGTGACCTGATGCCTCCCTCTCTAGGATCTGCATGTGCACAGGCGAGTCTGTTTTAGCTCTGTTGGGCCCCCAGGGCATAGCTAGGAGCCTGGAACCCAGCTGCCAGTCACAAAGTGGGATTGAATAAATGAGTGTGCTCCTAAGAAGGCAGCTGGCTTCATTTCCGGCCCGCTGTGATTGTTACAGAGAGCTCATTTGTCCTTTCTATCCCGAGTCCTTCTAGAGGGCTTCCCCCACTGCCCTTGGTGTTGCCTTGGACATGGTCACTCCCTCTGGCCCAGGATGACTCTGCCTAGATCTCATACTCCCCAATTTTCTTTGTCTATCATCTGCTGGGATTTGACTCTGGCCAGGTCCTGGGTTAGGTGCTTTGCACATAGTTTTTCACTGTCTTCCCAACACCGCCTTCAGGCAGGCACTCACTATATCATACTGAAGATCAAAGAGTTAATCAGCTCACCCAAAGTCACATAGCTAGTTGTAACAGAGCCAGGATGCAAGTTCAGGCCTTAATTTTCCCCATCCATAAAATGGGGACAATAAGCCCTGCCATCCAAAGCTTACAAGGACAGTGGCAGATGGAGAAGCCTTTGAAATAAAAGTAGGCACTGTGTGTTCCATGGTCTAGGCAGCAGGACAGTTTCCATATTCTCTGGTTTCTCTAGAATCAGCTCCATTGATGGGGTTTTCCACAGGAGAGCTGGTACCAGGAGAGGTGGGTCCCAGTGGGGGTGCTGGCTGGGAAGTTGGTCAGTGGGCCCATGATGTGAAGATGAGTTTGTGGGGCTGATTATTATGTATTGACCCTCCTCCTGCACTAAGCACTTTCCACGCAATGTCTAACTTCATCTCACATGCCCACGAGGTAGGTTATGCTTCATATACCCATTTCACAGATGAGGTGACTGAGGCTCAGCAAGGCTCTCCAGCTCGCCCAAGGTCATACAGCGAGGAAGCAAACACCCTCATCTGTTGTACTTTCAAGCCCACGCTGCATCTTGCTGGCAATGCTGACCAGCTGCTGAGCACTTACCACATGCCCAAGATGTATGCCCCTCAATCATGCCATAAGTTTGGTCCTATGGAGCCCATTTTCACACGGGAAACTGAGGCTCGGAGACATGAGGCAACTTGCCTGAGGTCACATGGATGAGAATCAATCCTTCCTGACTCCCAGACCACTCTGCTGCTCTACAGGGCCCACAGTCCCGGGGAGACAACACTGGTGGGGGCTGTGGGGCACTCACCTCCTTGATGAAGTTCATGAAGCGGCCGCCAAAGCGCCAGGCCTTGTGCCGATGGCACTGCAGGGAGTTCACGGTCATCTGTGGTGCCCGCTGGTAGCACACGGACACGATATGGACGGCGTCGTACAGTAAGGCTGCATCAGTCTGCAGGGAAGGGCCTGCCTGAGAGCGGCTCCCAAGGCCCTCCAGTCCTCAGCCCACCCTGCCCTGTCCCCCTTCTCCTCCCTTGCCACAGGTACATGATGTCCTGGTGAGCGAACAGGCCCAGAGGCCCTGGAGGTGACTCTGTCTACGCCTCTGAGGAGTGGCCAGGCTTGGCTGACTCTGCTGCTCTACAAACATCCTGAGCACCCCCCTCTGCAGCTTAGACCTTCTCCTGCCCACCCACCCCACCCCTGCTACCTAGGCCCTGACCACACCTTCTTCTTTCTGCCTTCTCGGCCTTCACACCTGTGTGTCACAGCCTGAGTTCCTCTGTGACCTGCATCTCTGGGCCTTATTCCTGTTCTTTGTGACCTTTTGCTTACATGTCTGGATCCCCATCAGATGGGTCCCTTGGGGAGGGACTGTCTGTTTCACGTTTGTGTCCCCAATCCCTAGCCTGGGGTCTGGCTGACACATGGAAGGTCTCAAGAAGAGAAGTGGTGGAGGGAAGAAAGAAACAAGAGGAAGGAGAGAAGAAAAGAAGGGAGGCAGGTGGGAAGCCCCTGGAATTCACCTCACCCAGCCGCCTTACCATCATCACTCCATCCAGCAGGCCAGACTCGGACCGGGGAGCTGCCTGCAGCCGCTCCATGGACCACTTCTCCACAATGGCCGAGACGTGTGGGTTGTCCACATTGAGAATCCGGAATCCTGTCAGGTTCACGCCTGAGTAGCGGTAGGGCTCCAGGTCTAAAGCGTAGAGATCCTGGATAGAGAGAGGTCTGTGTAAACCAAGGCATGCTCACTGCTGAGAACTCCAGCCCCGCCTCCTACCCACTCCCTAATCAGGGCCGCCCCAGGGCCTGAGGTCGCAGCTCCCTGCAAAGCCCTGCAGAGGGGGTGCGGGATATCGGGGTAGTCACAGGAGCACCCATAGGACCACTGCACCTGGAGTCTGACTCAGAACTTGGGCAACTGATCCTCCATGCTAACCAGGGGATCTCAGCCTGTTTCTTCATCCACAAATGGGGTTCAATCCCCTTTCTAGGACCCAGTGAAATAGTTCACATAAAATACCCAGCCTCACATGCAGAGGAAGCTTAATGAGGCTGCTTCCTTTCAAAAGGGGAGACCTACTAGTTCTGGGCATCTTGTTACACAGAGGGAGGCTGAAGGGAGCATTTTATCCCCTAGAAGAGGATATTTAAAAATAGTCTTTTCTGCCTAGGACTCAAAAAGTATGGCCCTCTTCTCTCCCCCTTTTCCCCCGATCCCAGCCAGGACCTCCTCATCCCTTGCCTCCTAGGAGCAGCTGAGCAGCGGTCAGCCTGTCTGTCGTGGGCCAGGCAGGTCCTGCCAAGGGTCCAGGAGAACAGGGTCTCAACGCAGGTGAGGCTGGCTGTAGCCCCGCCCTGCAGCTCTGGGTCTGGGGGCAGGGTGGGCTGGTGAAGGAAGGAGGCAGAGAGGGGAAGCAGGTGGAGGGAGAAGCCAGGTGTCCCTAAGCTAGGAGAGATGGCGGCAGAGGACGTGGCAGGTGGGAGTGAGGAACAAAGCTGAGCTCTGTCCTGTTGAAAACCACGCAAACCTGGAAATCAGGCAGAAGGGTAGCGGTGCGTTTTTCCAACATGACAATGAAACATAGTTTACCAGGCCCTCCAGTATTACTTCATTCTTCTGGAGAATGCACCTGGGTTTGACTTCATTGTCAGCTACTTGTTAAAAGCTCAGACTCTGGGTTAATTTGCAGAATTTTGTCAAATAGAGGAGATACTCCCCAAGGTTGTGGTTTTATTGCCTTACAGGACATTAATCCATTTTCTATCCAACCTAGAAGTCTTAGTCTATGCTCCCCGCAACCCTACCTGAAATACCTATAAATACCCAATTCCTCAAATGCTCCTTGAGTCAGCTTTTCCATCCTACTGGTTCCCTCGTTAGTGAGTTGAATCCATCTCTGACGCATGTTCCTTCTATATTTGCATAAGACTCATGGTTTTGATTTTTTGAAATATATACTTGCACAGTCTAGATTGGCCCTATCCCACTAGTGGGGAAACTGAGTCTTGAGGTCACTATCTGAGCTCCTCCTCGTCTACTGTCTATACTCTCCCACACTCTCCCCTCACTAAGCTGCCCTCCTTCTGGCCCCCAGCCTGTCTTCTCCCCTGGGCCCCCCACTTAGTCACTCCATCTGGTGCTGGGAAGGAGAGGCTGGGGACACACTTGGGGTGTGCTTGACTCTCTGTGACTGCCACCGTCATGGGGAACATCCAGCCCCATCACAGCCGCAGCTTTAGTGAAATCAACAATGACTCATGGAAGGATGATGAGTGATAAAGCCTAGAGACCTTTCATGCTGGACTGGCTTCCTCTGGTCTCTGAGATGTCTCTAATGGGCACTAAACTTATCCTGTTCCTCCTGCATCCCCAAAGTGGCCTCCTTCTGGAATGCACTGTGTTGGTTTCCTCTTCAATGATTTGGGGAGTAGGGAAGGGGTTTGGAGCAGACTTGAGCCCAGGCAAGAAAGTCTGGTCCCAAGCTTGCCCAAATAAATATGGCCTTGATTCCAGGTCAGGATCTGGGATGGGGAAGGGGCTGGGTGACAGAGGAGGGAGGGGCTTCAGCAGATGCGGGCTTCCCTCTGAGATGGCCAGAGGGTGTCTCTGTGGCCCCAGTGTCAGTAGGGAGTGGGGGGTGGCAGTGCTCAGCCCTGCACAAGGACTCCATGGCTTCATCTTCACAGCCCCCTGTGAAGTAGGCATTGAATAGCACTCTATTCTATTTTTATAGATGAGAAAAGAGAGTTGGAGAGGTGAGGTGACTTACCTAAGGTCACATAGCTCATACAAGTCAAAGTTGAATTTGTACCCAGGTCTATTTCAATGGTGTGCTGCCACTGGCTCACACTGGCCAGTGGGAGCTGAATGTTAGCATTTCTTCCCAACTCTGCCTTCAGTGACATTACATGGCTAGCTTGGTATTGGCCATGGTAGGAGTATTTGTACCATGGACATTTGCAGGCATTACAAATCAGGATTTCTGTGTTTTGTCTTTTTTCTCCCTTTCAGAGAGCTGGTTGTTAAACATTGACTGATGCATCGTTGATTGTCTTACTCCAAACCCTCTATGTTCTATGTCCTCGGTGGGTGTCCAGGACAAGACATGCATCAGAGCTGTCTTTGGGGATTTTATTTTTCTAGAATATGAACCACACCTAGATAACGCTGATGCATAGTCTGTGGTGGAGCCTGGAGTCTGTGTTTTGAGAAGCCACTAAGCGATTACTCGTGACTGAGAAACACACACAGATGGGTCTGGGTTTAGATCAGGATGCCTCTCGAATCAGAGAAGGGCAGCAAAGAGGGGAGAGAATAAATATCCCAGAAGAAGTCTCCCTCCCTCAGCTCCTCCAGGGCGGCTCCCTGAGGTGGCCAGACATGGGCCAGACCACCTGGGCTCGAGTTTCACCCTCTCTCCTCATCTCAGTTGCCTCATCTGCAAAATGGGGTTGAAAGTGCCACCTACCATATAGAGTTGTCAAGGAAAATAAGTGAGTTTGTAGATGCCCTTAGAACATGTCTGGGACATATCAAACATCATGTATGTGTTTGACACATGTTTATGTTCTGCCTCGTCTGGCAGGAGGTTGTGACAGCTACTGGGTACATACAGCCCCCAGGGCAGACATAGGTTGGTGTCTTCCTACCTTACTCGTCTTGGCAATATCAGAACAAGCAAAGTCAGCTCACATTTACTGAGCACCTACAAATCTCAGAATGGCAGGCATTGTTCAAAGTACCTTACTTGTATTAACTCATTGATTCACATGGGCACACGACTAGGATGGTGTTATTATCACCCCATTTTAGAGGAAAGAACTGAACCACACAGATATTAGGCCTTTTGCTCAAGGTTCTGTAACTGGGGAGTGACAGAGTCAACACCAGGCTACCCAGCTCCAGAGCCCTCCCTCTTCCCTATGATGACGCATCTCCTCCTACCGAGAGGCTCTACCTGCCCAGCCCCCAACTCATGCCCACTGCCAGGGCAGTCACCCTCTGGGCAGGGACTAGAGGGATCTTTCTAAGGTATAAATCCAAGCCTGTCATTTCCACACTTCAAATACTTCCATGACTCCTTGTAGTCTTTTCAGAATATGGTACAAATTCCTTAGTACAGTTTTCCAAAGCTCTCCACCCCTCCAGGCTCACTTTCCTTCCTACCCTCTCAATTTTTTTGTCCCAGGATGCAAGTTCAGGCCTTAATTTTCCCAGTCTCGCTGGCCCCTGTACCCTTTGTCCTGCTTCTCGTCCCTCTGTTCAGCACCTTTGTATGCCTTCTATTTCCAGGCAAGAATGCTTGTCTTCTTGACCTCTCTTGGGTGAGCTATTCTCCAAGAATCAGCTCAAGTATCACCTCTTCCAGGAAGCCCCTCCTGATTGCTCCTGTACACATGCACAACAGAGTGCGTCAGACGCGATTCTGCTCTTATCCTGAGACTTCTGGGCTTTCATGCCACTGGTAACAACTGCTTGTGTCTGGGTCTGTCTCCCCTATGAGCTATGGGCTGAATATTCCTGTTACCCAAAGTGGAAAGAAGGGTCAGCCAGCTGAGTGGCTCCTGGGGCACTTAAGCATCACTGAGAAGAGCCTGGAATGTAGCGACAAGTGTTTCACATCCTCCTCTCAGGGGCAGCTTCAAGGAAGGGCAGATGAAAATACTAGGTTAGTGCAAAAGTCATTGTGGTTTTTGTTATTATTTTAATGGCACCAACCCAATACCCTCCCCATGATATAAGTGTTATTGCCGGGAAGTGGCATTAGTTGTCATTGTTTATCTATTAACTTATTATAATAGTTCTTTTTTCACCTCTAGGCTTTTATCTACATGTGACATGTAGCAGGGGCTCAGCTGGGGCTAATTAACTCAGGGTTATCTACAGACTGGAAGTTTAGGAGAGGGTTGGTAAACTGCCTGGGGTGGAGGATGAGATCTTCCCCAAACTGCCTTTCAACCAGGAGGGTCTGGGGAGCTGGAAGGATTTCCTTTTGGACAGTGGTGTTATGCAAGTTTGGGGCCAGGGCTGACCTGCTGCGACCATGGAAGAGAAGCTGAGCTCTGCCTACAGGGGGCGCCCTCCTCACCTTTCCTTGCATGGCATTCAGTCTCTTCTCCAATTCAGTGTTGACCTGATATCTAAGGCTTGAAAGATGCCAAAGCTTTAGACTGCCCAGGGCCTCCATGACTCGATTTACCCTCATCTAGGTAACCAGAGGCCAACCTGACTCAGTGTGAAGGGCAGCATCTCTGGCCTTGGTGGGAGCTTGGGTGCTGGTGGAACCAGCCCTTCTGGTCTCCAGAGGCAGCATTTGGTCTGTTGAGACTGACACAGAGGCTGCAGCTGATCACAGCCCGGGAGGGGGCAGGTTGGGGTGGTAGTGATTGGGATGACCTTCCTCCCTGTAACCCCTGAGCCTGGGCTTAGCTGCAAAGTGTTGTAGGGCCTGTGGCACAGAGTGCCCCCATCCCCGTGATACGAGGACAATGACAATGGGGAGCTGGTGAAGAGGCTCTTTTGTCCAGCTCCATTTTTTTTTTTTTTTTAATTCAGACTGCCCAGGGCCAAGACCCCAAGTGCTGTACACTGTGAACTGTGTGCAACCTTGCTGCTTGGCAAAAAGTTGTGTTCTCGATGCCAAATGTTGACACACTGAATTCAGTATCGACGAGGGACCTTTTAGAAACATTCAGCATAACATAATAAACTAATTCATTAGCACCCCATGGGTCTGAATGGGTAGGAGCTGAAGCTTGGAAAACATCGCCTTAAGGAATGACAGATGAAAATATCTTCCCCATGATATCACTGTTATTGCCAGGAAGTGGCATTAATTGTGATTGCTTATCTATTAATTTATTATAATTCTTTTTTCACCTCCAGGCTTTTACCTACACATGACATGTACCAGGGGCTCAGCTGGGGCTGATTAATGCGAGGTTATCTGGGAATGGCTCAAAGCTGGTTGGAACAGATAATGGCAGCTGGGGTAATTAAAATATCTTCTGCATGGAAGAAGCAAATTTGGAGAATTTTTTTTAGAGGCGAAGAGTTGGTGATGTGGGTTTCCTAAAGGGAAGGAGATAAATGCCAGATGCCACTGTCCTCCCAAATAAGCCACAACTGACCAATGGGCACAAAGAGGGAGGATCACGAGGTAGAGGCCTCGGCAACAGGGCCGGAAGTGGATCCTGAAGACCGGAAGCAGGATATGACTGAGGGAGAGGACCAGGAGCACAGCTGGTGCTCCAACCGATGGGGTTCTGCTGGGAGATACTCTGGGAGACCCCGCCCCATACTCCACTGCAGAACTGTGTGTATTGCAAGGGCTATGCCTCCCTGGAAGGGTCCATTCTTCCCGACCCTCAGATTGTGTGGGGAGGAAGGACAGTCAGCTGGAACAGCCAAGGACAGGACCAGGAGTCAGGAGCCAAGGCCTCTTGTCACTGATCTGCTATGAAACTTCAGGAAGTGCCTGATGCCAGGTTTCCCCACCAGTCAATGGGGAGTGCAAAGTGCCCTGTTGCTGGCCTCAAATGTGTAAAGAGGAAAGTCAGAGGGCTTTCTTCTTGCTTTCTTTTTTAAAGTGACAGGGTCTGGCTCTGTCCCCTAGGCTGGAGTGCAGCGGCACAATCTTAGCTCACGGTAGCCTCTAACTCCTGGGCTCAGGCAATCCTTCTGCCTCAGTTTGCCTTCCAAGTAGCTGGGACTACAGGCCTGCCCGACTATGCCTGGCTAATATTTTTATTTTTGTAGAGATAGGGTCTCACTATGTTGCCTAGGCTGGTCTTGTACTGGCCTCAAGTGATCCCCTTGCCTTGGCCTCCCAAAGAGTTGGGATTACTGGTGTGAGCCACAATGTCCAGCCCTAAAATCAGAGGGTTTTGGAACTGGTGTAGCATGGGAGCTGCTGGGATTTCAGGAGGCTCCGTTTCCCCATTGACCTCAATTACCACACCTGAACCAACATGGTCAGGCATTGTGTGGAATCTGAGCCAGCCAGAGGAGGCCAGGGAACACTTGGTGTGGACTTTCAGCATGATAGGTTTCAGCAGAGGGCTTTGGAGCTGGACAGCTCCCTGCTGCGAAAAAATCCTTGCTCTGCTCCTTTCTTGCAGAGTGACTTTGAGCCTCAGTTTCCACGTTTCTATAAAACTGGGAGAGTCTATCTCCCTTGGAAAGTTGTTCTGAATTTTGGATGGGATGGGGTATGTTGAGCACACAGAAAACAAAAGCAGGATGTTTAGTTTATTTAACACTTACACTGTAATAAGTGCCAAGCATTGTTCTAAGCATTTTATGACGTCAATGCACTCAGCGTAACAATCCTGTGAGGTAGTAATATTACTGTCACCACTGTATAGATGAGAAAATGAGGCACAGAGAGGTTAAGTAACTTGCCCAAGGGAGTGGAAGAGTCTCAATTCTAACTCAGGCCAACTGGGATCAGAGTGGTTTTAACTAACTGTTGCTATGATGATGTGTTGACAATTTCACGGATTACTTTCCACATTGCATTGCAGTCATCCATCCGTCCATCCATCCAGCCGTCTGTCCATCCATCTGTCCATCCATCCAGACATTAATGAGCACCTACCATGTGCCAGCTTCTATGTGGGTGCTGGGGACAGAGAGGTTAACTGGGCACAGTTCTTGTTTCTTATATACATGAAGGAAGCCACCAGCTTGTGAGCTTTGTGTTGAATCCATCTATGTACACCCCTCCCACCCAAGTGCCTAGTGCAGTGCCCAGGACCTTGGAGAGCATTTGTATATGGCTGCTGGATAAATGAATCAATGGATGATTAAGAAAATGAAGAAAAATGGACACTGGCCGGGGCTAGTCTCTGTTCCCTAGAGACTTTAGCACACCACAGCTACCCTGGGTACATCATATCCCAGTTGACCATCCATTCCTCCTCTGCCTCTTCTCACCATCTCTTTCTCTGATTATCACCCACTTTCCCAGATCCAATTGTGGACTGGCTGAGCATCAGTCAATGTTTCTCAATGGGGCACCATAGTTATCTGGGGCTGGACAACTCATCTCCAGAATCTTGCCCATCATAGAATGTCTAGCATCCCTGATCCCCACTCACTAATTTCCAGTCTTGGTGACAAATAAATGACTAGCTCCCATATAGCTAAATGCTCCCAGGGTGAGGGTTGTGTCACCAGCAAGATTGCAGAAACCACCCTTGGGACAGACGACGACTACTTCTTGGCCAATCAGCTGAGGTCTGCCCATGGGTAGAGAGAAAGAATGCTCTCTAAGGTCCTGGGCACTGAGCTAGGCACTTGGGTGGGAGGGGTGTACAGAGATGGATCCAACACAGAATATAAGATAGAGCCACCAAGCAGAAAGCCTTGGGACATTGGGAGGTTTCAGTAGAATTGGGGTCAGAGCAGGAACAAAATCTTCCTATCTCCTTCACCCACCCTGAGTACTGCCCTCGCCACCCACTCTGTCTGCACAGGGCTTGTGATTAAACCCCCTCTGGGCCTTGCTCCAAGTCCCAGCCGTAAATATCCTATTAAAAGCATCTCTGCCTGGCTCAAGCCTCATTCCAAGGCCGGGGTGGGGGGTCGTTGAGTTGGTAAAATGGCAGGGCCTGAAGCTTTGGCCCCTCAGCCCTGCAGCCTGGCTGACCTTCCAGGACAAGACTCTGGGGAAGGCACCACCCCAGTGACCCCAGTACCTTCCACGTTAATGCCATTGGCCACTGGGGTCAAGATCGAAGGTCTTAAAGAGAGGATCCTAGTGTCCCCGGGTCCAGGAGTTGCTCTCAGCACCCTAAGATCTCAGGATGGGATGGGGAGGGCTGCCATGAGTGGGGAGAAAGTTGTGGACCCCTGGAATGTGCCCCACCCCACCTTCCCAGTCTTGCTCCTCTGCCCTGCTCCCAGCTCTGGACAGAGGTAGAGTTTCAGGGGTCTGGTAGCCTCCCTTGACTTTCCAGGAGACAGCATGGCAGGAAGAAGCCAGCTTAGGTGGGCGGAAATCCAGAAGGGATTCAGGGGAGCTGGCTTCACTCTGCCTGATCTCATTCGCCAGCTTCCAGGATCCCTTTCTCCCAGCATGGCTCCTGGCAGGTCCCCAGGTCTGAGCCCTGGATCAGGAGAATCGCAGGGTGGCTCCTGAGCTCTGCTGTGGGCACAGGGTGCAGAGGGAGGGACTGTAGGGAGGATAAGTGCTTAATAACCAGCTCTCTGGGGGAGGCGGCTCTTATTTGTAGCATTTGCTCACTTCCATTGTGTAAGCGTTCCCGTCACAGTGATTTCAAGCTACCAACATGACATGGACTTAGGAGGAGATAATGCAATTGGCTCTCGCCCGCTGGATCAAGCCAGCTCCTGCATACCATGAAGAGCTAACTTGCCTCTTGGCCTTTGCTTATGCTGTTCCTTCTGCATACAATGTCCTTCCTCTTTCTCCCTTGGTGAACTCCTATGGATCTTTCGAGGCCTAGTTCAAGTATCTGGTTTTCTGTAAGACTGCCTCAAACTTCCCGCCTTCCACCAGACCCTCAGAACCTACGGGGTCATAGATGCTGGGTAGGGAGAGCTAGCTGGGTGCTGGATAAATGAATGAATATGGTTAGAGGCCTACAGGGCTGCAGTGGCTGGGCAGACACATACTGCAGGAGGCTTTTTGAAAAGCGACAGGATGGTCAGTGAGGCTGTCACTCACCTCAGACCTGGGATGGGTGGAATAGTCTGCCCAGGGCCCCAGCAGGGTCTGAAGGTGTCTATCTGCAAGGCAGTGAGGCTCAGGATGGGTGCCCTTTTGGCACAGGAATCTCTTTATTCTGCTGAACTCAGGCCACAGCTAATTATCCTAATGGGTTTAAATGGCCCTAAATGTTCTCAGAGTTTGGACAGGACCCATCTGGAGCCTGTAGGTGGGCTGGGCTAGCTGACAGTGAGTGGGCAGACTTCAGTATGAATGTGGACAGAATCCAAAGCGACAATTCCCGTGAGGCCCGAGATATGCGTGGGGAAGTGTGGGCTAGGAACCGAGGGCCATGATAATCATAATAGTGAATACTTCCAGAGCTCCTCATGTACCAGGCACTGCGTGTTACCTTATTAACTCATTTGGTGCTCACAGTAATCCTAGGAGGCAGAAGCCCATTTTGCAGAGGAAGAAACTGAGGCAGGGAGGTTAAGTGCCTTAGCCAAGGAACCACAGTGGTGAGCAGAGGAGCTGGTGTTCACATTGGCTCCAGAGTTCACATCCTTAATTATAACATGATGCTGCCTCTCACAAGTGGGCAGGTCACAAAGACATATTTGTGCCCTTACCTGGGGCCACCCCTACAGCCTGAGGAAGCTGCAGCAATTGTCTTCAGTGGGCTGGCCCAGGCTAAGCCACAATGAACTTGATCCATGAGAGTCCCACCCCTTTCCCGTGCCAGGACCCAGAGGTACATTACCAGAGTGGTGAAGATGAAGTGGTAGTACTCAGTCATCATGCCCATGGCCATGGCCTGCAGAAAAGCAGAGTGTTAGTGATCAGCAGGGAACCCCTGGGCAGCCCTCCCCACATCCCCACCCAGGGCTGAGAATGGGACTGGCAGTGGGTTGGGGAAGGCTGGCTGCTTGGAGTAAGGTGTCCTCTGAGACCACCTCTGAACAGTGACAATGACTGCCTGGCAGACAGCAGTGGATTTCACACTGGAGTGTGCTGTAAAGTCACCTGGGACAGATTAAAATGCAGATTTTTGGGTCACATTCTTCAAAGATTCCAAATTCTGCAGGGCCCGTGGGGTCTAGCTGCCTCTTTTGAGTAAGCGTCTCCCGGCCTGCCACACTTAGAGAAATGCTGATGGCGTCAGTCTGAGGCTGTCTTCTCAAGTGCCCTGGACTCCACTCAGCTGAGCTCCCTGTCCTGGATCCAGAGGCAGTACGTTTCCCCCCAACCCTGCTAACCCCCTGGCCTAGCCAGGCCTGAGCTGGGAGGTCTGTCTTCAGCCTCCCCAAGAAGGGCTGAGGCATCCCTGCTCCCTTAGTCCTGGCTGACCACAAAGCAGGCCACATGGCCACTGTGGAATTCTTACCGTCTGCCATCATGAAGTCTGCACTATCTATAGTTTATGTATTTTATTAGAAGCCTATAATCTATTATACTAATGACTATAATGCATTTTCTACAGAGTTCCTCAGAATGCTGGGCCCACAGAGGGCTCTGGGGAAAATGTCACCGGTTCAAGTACACTTTGCAAATGCTGCCCATTCCCTCCCGCCTTTGAAGAGTCACAGCCCACCTCAGCACGTTAAAGTCTCAGAGAAGTCCTGCAAGAAGCTAATTGGCTTAACTTCATTTAAATCTGGCTTTGGCTCAGCTCAGAATCTTCATTTCTAATTCCAGAAGTTTTAAAATCAGACAGACCTGGGAGTCCATTCTGGCTTCCTGCCTGGATGACCTTGGGTCCATTACTTTCCCCTTGAGCCTCAGTTTCCTTACCTATAAATTGGGCACAAGAATTCTCCCTGTTTCCCAGTGTGGTGATAAATGAGGAGCTACATGGACCCGGCAGAGGGCAACTGCCGAGTAAACCAAAGCTGTGATTGTCACCATTCTTCTGTTACACATGCTGTCTGGGTGGTGGGGGTTGGGGTAGGGGGGAGAAGAGGCACTGGGCACAGCTGATCGGGAGGCTAGGGGTTATAGGCTTTCTGGGGCATGCGTGTTTCCTCGACAGCAGCTTTAAAGATGCCCAACGCTGGGTGTCAACTGCCTGCTGGGTGTCAGAAGAAACTCCTGATGTTTTCCTTGTTGCACTGAAGCCTCCATAATGGTATGAGATGGGGATTATGAACCTCATCTACAGAGGAGGGGAATGACTCCTGGGCCTCTTGCTCCAGGGCACACAACGTGAAAGGGCAGAAGCAGAACTCAAACCCTCAAATGAGCCTTTTAAGTGCGGTGTAAAGGAGCTTCCTTTGTGAGGAGCCAGGGATAGAGGCTGCCATTCAGGCCTGGCACCCCCGATGGGGCCCAACTGGAGGATGGGACTTGAGCCCCTCAAGGCCTCGAGAACACTCCGGCTCAGCGTGTCTCCTCCTGCACCCCTTAAATCACCTGGACCCTGAGGGGTCATGTGTCAAAGCCCCACAGAATGCCTCCTCCAGTCACCAGAAATGCTTTCTGGGATGACATAATTGCCTTTTACACAAAGCGCCAGCTCAAATCAGTTTTTGGTTTCCGCTGTGGCACCCTTGGAGCGGGTGGTAGGCGATTTCACTGTTTATTTTCTTAGGTGACTGGCGGAGCTTGGCTCTCGTCCCCAGCAGGCCATGCTGAGCTGTGTTTGGGAACGAAGGCCCATCCAGGACTGAGAGCCATTCTCCTCCCCCTCTGTCACTGCAGAGCTGAGCAGATGGTACGAGAGCCTTGATAAAGCTCCCAGTAATAGGAGAGTAACACCAAGTGCCGTGGGCTACGGGGAATTAGTCACTGGAAGAGGCGGTGAGGCATTCTGGGGGCTGTTCCTGAGAATCTGAGGCCTCTCTGCTTCCTGGAGTGCTCTGCTCCTGTGTGGCTGTGGGTACCTCCCGGCAGCCTCTGCCTCCAACCAGCACAGAGGTGGGATGGAAACTCGTGTCTACTCAGCACTCTCCCTGTGTCAGGCCGGGCTGGGCGGATCATCCATCCTTACGCCAACTCACAGAGTAAATACTGCAGTGTCCGTTTTGCTACTGGTGAAAATGAGGCTCAGAGAGGCAAACCACCCAAGGTCACACAGCAGGAAAGTGGCAGAGCTAGGAGTCAAACTTAGATCTGGCAGCATCACACCCACATTTGGGAAGGGGACGTGGGAGAAGTGGCCAGCAGACCCCAGTCATCTGTCCCGGTGGCCAGCACTCACGCACCTGCTTGAGGATCTGGGCCGCCATAGTGTGGCTGCAGTCGAAGATAATGCGGAATTCCCGGCCTCGCTTCATCTCCTTGAGCAAGGGGCGCGAGTCGTCAGAGTCGATGGGGAGCTGACGGATCTTCAGGCGGATGTTGTATCTTGATGGGGCCATGATGAGCTCCTGCAGTCGGATGAGCCCTGAGGGGCCATGGAGCACAAAAGACACACGTGTACCACATGTATCCACAGCTCCAGGCATCCACTTGGACTTGTGTGCACACACATGCCCATGGCCACAGGTCTGCAGACATACACGGGCAGAAACGTGGCCCACAGAGACTTGTGCACGTGCATGGACAACACTGGAGAGCAGGTGTGTGTGCACATACAAACACATGGCTACACGCACGTGCATGTCAATATGGGCAGGAATACACTTGGGCTTATCAACACGTGTGTATATGTAGATTAAGGCCTGTGCACACAGTGGTGCAGTACACACATATGTAGATTCAAAAGTAGGCACAGATAGCAAATTCCCACTGACCACACCCATCTGCTTCTCTCTAACCCAGAATGGGTGTAAAGCCTTCAGGGCCTAAATCAGAGTTCACCCCTCTTCTTCTGTACCCACCCCCAACATTGTGAGACATGGGACATGATTTCCCTCAACATCTCCAGCGAGCTGCTTCCAGGATATGGGCACAAAAGGCAGCTCCAGCCTCAGTGGTACTAACCTGTACCAACCACTGGGCTGGGTAAGGCCAGGAGGTATTTGTGTCTCCGCCCTCGTCCTCACTAAGGGCAGTCTGCCTTGGTAAACCTTACCCACTTTTTCAGGTTTAGTGCAACCACCTCCTCCATGAAGCCTTCCTCTTTTGCTCTGTCCAGAAAAGATCACCCTCTCCTCCAACTCAGTGGCCTCCTCCCTCAGCAATGGCCTCCTCTGGCCCCACCTCATTCCCCTCATCCTGCCACCAGCACGTTGATATCTGGGGCTGGGTTCCCACCACCCCCAGCACAGGGCCTGGCACTCAGGTGGTACTCAACAAAAGTTTCCATAATTGGACTGACTTACTGTTTTTTGTTTTTTGTTTTTCCTCCCACACTGAAAAATCTATCCTCTACCTTGGTTGGCGTTTTTGTAAAACCACTTAATCTGAGGACTTCCAGGGAAAACTGAATGTCACTTTCTGGAGACAAATGGCTTACTTAGGTCTAATTAAGTTCGTTTCTGTCCCTATTTCAAGGTCCATTTTTGCTGACTTCTTTCTGCATAGCCTGGGAGCAAGCCTGCTTGTTACTCTGTATATACTTCCCGCCCCTTCCTCCCCTCCAAAGAAGAAGCTGAGCCAGCACACGGCCAGGTCCCAAGAGGGCCATCCCCTCCTGCTTGCTTGGTCCCTAGTCATCCCCAGGACTCAGTGTCTGGTCCTGGTGACACAGTTCACACAGCATGTCCCACCCCTGCCCCCCCACCACTAATGGCACTTCAATTTTCCTTTGGGGAAAAACTTCTCCCCCACTCTTAGTTTCTGTGACTCAGGAGGGGTCCATCGTCAGCTCTAGGGGCAAAGCACATGGCCCCAGCCTGGGAATAGGTATTGACTCAGAGATAGGTACAATACCATTGACTCTCAGAAACTGTGTTAGAACAACTGGCACAAAAAGAGGGTGAGAAACACTCCCTTTTTCACTCAACTTCAAATATGGAGGTTGTAAGTCCAGGGTCCCCACGTAGACCTCGAGAAGGATTCCACCAGGACAGATGTCAGAGAGAACAAGTAGCAAAGAAGTCCTAATGATCTTCACTTCAGCCTCTGGATCAAATGGTGCCTGAAGCTAAAATTAGCTCCAAACTTTCCAGTAAAGGAAACCAAATTGCTGCCCCCAAACTTTTTTTGCTTAAGCCAGTTTGCACTGGATTAAAGTTTTCAATCAACTGTTACTCTATCTGGAAAGAGTCCCCCTGACCTCACTCAGATAGCCCTCTCCAAAAGCCTTCCGGCAGAGAATCCCAGTTTCCAAAACAATCTCTGGTACACACCCCTGAGTCTGTTTAGCAATTATTCTCATTCCTGAGGGCTGGACATCAGGAAAGCAATCTGATTGGTGTCCATCATCTCACTTTGCTTCGGGGACAGACATGTATGCTCGTAGCCTAAGCCTCCTAAAGAGCTTCCACACAAGCTTTGCCATGACTGGGCATCAGGAACCCCCAGCCCACTGAAGACTCAAACCCATGTGCTGGAGTTGGGAGACGGCTATGTAGTCCCAGAGTGGTCTGGATCAAACAGGTGCCCTGTGCTTCCTAATACCAGACTTGATGGGGAGGAGGAAGAGGCTATCAGTTGACCTTCACATAGAAGGGAGAGGCCACAAGCTATCACAAGACACACACACAGGCTATCCCCCTCCCAATGTATCCCAGAAATTCTTGATTAGGTTGAATGATGCTTCCCTTTCATATCTGTTACCCCGTGAGGTCCAGGGTGCACAGTTTGCTCCTCCCTGTTTGGTTTTGAGACTTATGTGCAGCATCAGCAGGCATGTGGGCTTTGGGGACCCAGGCTATGAGGACTGGGACAGGCTGGATGCTGGAGCAGAGGCCACCAGGGCCTTCTTGTCAGCCAAGCACATCGCCCCATGTAATGCATGGTGACCCACATTCTCCAGCAGCAAATGTCAGCCCTCCTTCCCATCAGTGTATTCCCAAAGGAGACCAGAGGCTCCTCTCAGCCCACTCCAGCAGAGGACTAGGCTCTCTTTGTTTGCCTGAGATGAGCTTTCCTTTCTGGCTGCTCCCCTAATCAATCTCTCTTAAAATATCTGCAGTGAATCATGGTTGTTGGAATCATGCTTTTCACTCACAAAGCGCTTCTGCATTCATTACCCTATTTAACCATCTCCCAATCCTAGAAGGCATATAGAACAAGGATTTTCATTCCAATGTTACAGAGAAAAATCCCAAGGACCACAGAGGTTAAGTAACACCACAGAGGTTAAGTGATTATGGAATCATAATTAGAGACCCAATAACATTTTGACTCCTAGGCTGTAGCCCTTTCCTTCATCCCAGGTTTTTGTTTGTTTGTTTGTTTAATACCATCCTTTCACCCTCAAGATGAGTTTGTCTTTATGCATAGAATAGATAAGGCACAAAGCTCGTGGGGCAAACACTGGCTGCCTTCTCAATAGCCATTCTCCTTGGGGGAGATTGCAGCCATGACCCCAATTCTTCACCTCTCCTTATAACCACACCCTTTGCCATGTAACTTTGCAGGGCCCTCCAATTGGGCTCACCCATGTGAATTGTTTTGGCCAGTGGGATGTTGGCAGGTACCATGCAGGCAAACAGTTGAAATGGAATTGTACATTGGGTTTGCTCTCTCGCCCCTCTGCAATTGTCATGACAATGTGCCTCGGCTATCCTGCTGGAGGATGAGAGACAGGTGGAGAGCTGAATATACCTGCATTTCAGTCAAGGCCAGCCTAGATCAACCAACAGCCAGCTGACCACCAAGCAGGTGAGTGATCCAGGTGAACCCAGAAAAACGACCTAGCCAAGTTCAAGAAATCACTGACCCTGTGGACTTGTGAGTTAAACAAATGCTTATTATTTTAAGCCACTGAGTTTTTGAGGTGGTTTGTTACACAGCATTATTATAGAAAGAGATAACAACTGCACTCCCTTCCAGCATTCTAAAAGAACTGTGATTGTGTTTGGGTGAAAATGCACCAGTCCCATGAGATGACTCGTGATTGGCAGGAGCCAATCAGTGGCAATCCCATTCCCATCTGACAATGTCTAGAATAATAGGTATGGACCCAGTGAGCTATACAGGATTGTCTTCTAGAAGGTTCTGAGACAGATCTTCCTCTTTGATAAGAGGCATGAGTCACATTAAGAAAAATCTCATTGGGCTGGTTGTGGTGGCTCATACCTATAATCTCAGTGCTTTGAGAGGCTAAAGCAGGAGTTTGAGACCAGCCTTGGCAATACAGCAAGACTCTGACTCTATAAAAAAATTTAAAACTTAGCAGGGCATGGTGGTATGTTCCTGGGTTCCAGCTACTTGGGAGGCTGAGGTGGGAGGACCGTTTGAGCCCTGGAGTTCAAGGTTGCCAGGAGCCATGATTGTGCCACTGCATTCCAGCCTGGGTGACAGAGTGAGACCCTGTCTCTAAAATAAAAAAATAATGAAGAAGAAAATCCCATTGGCCTCTACCTTCTGTATGCCACCTACTGCATGCTCCGAGCTTCAGCAGCCCTATTGTGACTATGAGCTGAAGGCCAAGAGAGCTGTGGCAATACTGACCCAGCACCCTGACTTTGTCAAGCTGCTAAATCATCCCAGGAAAGGCCCATCTCCAGAATTCTTGTCAGTGAGATAACGGTTTATTGCTTGAGTCAATGTGAGTTGGGCTGTCTGTTACTTGCAGCCAAAACATCCTGATGGACACAATCTCCAAAGCAAACACAGCCAAAGCCCACTGTGGAGTATTTCCCACTCCATGGGTTTGATGACCCATACATTGTCCTGCCCTTTGACATATCTGGATTCTGGGAGCACACTTCTTTCTACCCACTATACATCATCAAAGTTATATTATTTGGCTGAAGCCAAACCTGAGCCCCTAGTGCTCATTGTCTTCTTGATCAAACTCACTGACCCATTGACTCCCCTATGTTTTAAATATTTGTTGAACTGAATTGAGTTGAATTTAACTGAATCAAATGGAAAATGAAGTTGAATTAAACTCTAATTAAATATTGAAGGAAAGAGTATAAGGATAAAAAAATGAAGATGTTGCTATCCTATCTCCTTTTGAGAAGTTAATTGTATTCCAGAGGAGTGGGTACCTGCCCAGTGATCACAGGTAATTCCAGGCCATCAGAGCTGAGAATGAAGTGACGTGTACTTATAGTCAGAGCTAAAGGCACTTGTGGGTAAGAGCTGCAGACCTGAGCATCAGCTCTGGCCAGTTTTGCTAGCATGGTATCCATCATCATGATAAAGCACCTTTTCCTCTGCAAAGCCACTTCCTCCACCCTCCACCTAGACTATGTCAGTGTCTGCTCTGACACTCTGTACCCATGACATTCCAGTTACATGTCTTCAACATTACCCTGTTCACATCCCTTTCTTCTCTTCCATTCTGGCCCCATGTTCTCTTCCAAGCACCCCTTGAATTCTGGCCTCCTTTGCTCCTGTCTGGACCAGTGCAGTCGGCTGTGCTCTAGTCTCCTTGCTCTAGGCTCTCCTTCCAACCCTCCCTGTGCATTGCTCTTAGAACCACCTTCTAAAACTCTGCTTTGATTATTCTACGCCTTTGCTCAGCAATACTCAATGATCCTTGGCTGCTTTAAAGATAAAACCTGAACTCTGAGGCTGGACATCAGAGACCTTGCATAGCCAGCTACACTCTGTTAATCTGACTTTTTCTTCCCACCTTCCATACCTGAATCCTCTCCCCTAGCCAGGCTGTCCTCTTGGTTAAGCTGCTAGGTACAGTCCAACCTAGTTTTTGCTCATGCTGTTCCCTCCACCTGTAATTCCCTCATGATTCCTCTCCTCATTCATCTATCCTCTCCTCATTCACCTATCCTGCTCCAATCTCTCCTCCTCTGGTAAGTCAGCTCAGACCAGCCAAGGCCATAGAGCTTCCATTCCCCAAGTGGTCTGGCTCTGACTAAATGTATATGCCATTTCATTCTTAGCTCTGATGGCCTAGAATTATGTGTGACCTCTGGGCAGGCACCCATTCTTCTATGCTAAGATTAACTTTTCAAAAGAAGACAGGATAACAACATCTTTGTTTCTTCACCCGTATACTCTTTCCTTCAATATTTAATTAGGGTTTAATTCAACTTGATTTCCAATTCAATCCAAACTAATCCAATCCAGTCCAATCCAACTCAGTGCCAACAAACAATGAAAAACATCTACACTGTACCAGACCCTGTGTTAAATCCTGGAGACACTGAAAGCTCCTGGCCTGGAAGCAGACACAGACTCACAGACAGATAATGATTCACAGTGGTACATTAAGAAACAACTCCACAATGCAGCAGAAACACTGGAGTGGCTGGGAGGTGGGCAGGAGTGCCCCTCAATGGCAAGGTCTTCATGCTGGGGTGAATAAGCCAGGCTGGGGATCCCTGCTCTCAAGGATCTTCTGTCGGGTGCTTTGGAAATAGCAGGAACTCAATAGATGCTTGTAGAAGCCTGAGTTAAATAAACAGCTTTCCAATTGTCTTTTCTGAGGGAGTCTCTCCCTACTATTTCCAGTCCCCATTAGGAGGTAATCAAAAGCTGACATTGAATCACAGGCAGCTGAGAGCTGGAGGGCTCTTTCAAGGCTGGATGCAGCAGCTCTTGACATGTGGGCAGAGCAAGGCCAGATGGGTTAAGTGACTTGCCAAGGTCACTCTCTCTTAAGAGGCCAGGCTAAGAAATGTCTTGGGACTCAAGCCTTTGGAAAGAAAGAGGAGAAGAAACAGCTCCATGCTGGCTAGCAGCACAGACTTTAGGCTCAAACAGGCCTGTAGGTGCATGCTGGCTCTGGCACTCACTAGCTGGGTGACAGTGCACAGGGCATGTCACCTCTTTGGGACTCAGTTTCCTCATTTCTAATTCATCGCTCCAGGGAGTTACTATGAGATTTACATGAAATGAAATAAGATCACACTTGCACCACTTGGTTCGCAGCAGGTAAACAGTAGCCTTCTTTAGCAGATGAATCCAGAAGCATGTATGAATTCCATCTCTAGGGGACTCTCCAGGTCTGTCCCTGCCCCACACATCCTCACAAGGATGACTTAAGGATGAAGGCAGGGACCAGGCAGCGGTCAGTGCCCTCAGTGGCTCTTCTCTCCCTTTTCCCTTTCCTGCTTGCTCTTTTTGTGACTTATGGCAGACCATTAGCTCTCTGTACATAGAGCTACATGGAGATGGCTCTGTTCATGCAGATGGCTATGTTGTCCCGTTTGTGTTTCCCTACAATGTAGTGCTTGCCAAGACCAAGAACTGAGTTTTGGTGTGGTGTGGTGACTCACACCTGTAATCCCAGCACTTTGGGAGGCTGAGGTGGGAGGATTGCTTGAATCCAGGAGTTGGAGACCAGCCTGGGCAACGTAGCCAGAACTTGGCTCTACAAAAAAATACAAAATTAGCCAGGTGTGGTGCTGCATGCCTATAGTTCCAGCTATTTGGGAGACTGAGGTGGGAGGATCTCTTGATCCCAGAGGTCGAGGTGATAGTGAGCTGTGGTGGCACCACTGCACTCTAGCCTGGGTGACAGAAAGAGTGGGTTTTGTTTATCTAAGTATCTCCAGCTCCTAGCAATGAATGAGATCCAAAGGAAAAGCCAGAGTGCGTTTGCTGGGTTTGTTGGTGGTTATCTGCTAGGTGTGTGCTCTGGGCCCTCTCTAAGGGCCTGGGACTTGAGAGGCAGGGGGTATCACATTGGAGCAAGGGTTTTCTGGAAGGCAGAGCCCAGGCTGGACTTGGAAGGCAGGGCAGGAGTGGGTCAGGTGGGTCCTACCCAGAAAAATGTGGGCAGCATTAGCTCTAGCTGGCAGAGCATGTGGGACAGGTGCAGCCACATCAGGGAGCCCAGCTTTGGGCCCGCAGCTCATAGCCACGGGCCCCAGAGCCCATCTCCTCTTTCTGTCCTGGCAGGATGAGACAACAGCCTGGTGCTGACGTCTGCAAGCTTGGCACTGGCTGGGGTCAGCGGTCAAGTGGGTATGGCAGGGGCTGGTGTGTGTGCGAGCAGAGCTGGGCACGTGCAGGTGTCTGTGTGTGAGTGTGGGTAGAGAAGAGTGTGTGTGTGGCGGGTGAAGGTGTGAGGAGGATGAGAAGAACCAACCTTCAGCGCTCACTGCATGTCAGTGCTTGTCACTGTCATCTTGTAATCCCACATTTTACAGATTTACATTTTATAGGAAACTGAGGCACAAAGAGGCTACTCAGCCAGCAGGTGATAGAGATGGGATTTACACCCAGGTGGTTTGGCTCCAGTGTGTACACACTTAACACTAGGCCACGCCATAAGCTATGTGTGTGAGTGTGCAAGTGTGAGGGTGGATGTGTTTGCAGCAGATGGAAATGTGTGAGCGTAAGGGCATGGGCAGGTGTCGGTGTGGCTTGCAGATGTGTGTGCTGCTGCTAGGGTGGGTGTTCAGTGCAGATTTGAACACTTGTGCTGCTAGAGGAGGAGCTGAGTGTGAGGCAGGGGTGAGGTGCGCTGGGGCTGAGTGAGATATGAGTGCCGCTGGGGTGCACAGGGTGTGAGTGGGTGCAGGGGTGAACATCAGCATAACCGAGTGGAACTGGGGTATGGAACACAGCCTCTTCCCCCAGGGCAGCTGTGCTGAACAAACAGACAAGAGCTTGATCCTGGGCCTCTGCCCCCCTCAACCGTTGCCCCCAGCCTAGCCAGGCCTGGCCACCCACCTGTACTGTCGTCATAGACCACGGTGGCTGACCGCCACTTGAGGTACTGGACCAGGTCGAGGATGGCATGGCTGAGCGAGGCGTAGTCGGGGTAGAGGTTCACGTAGAAGGTGTCCTTGTTGTCCAGCGGGTGGTGCTTCCAACGCAGCTGGATGTGGGGCACCTCCAGGGCATTGCAGATGGACTGGACGGCATTGGTGCAGGAGCCCTGTGATGGGCCGAAGATCGCCACCACGCCCAGTGCCAGCTGGTCACAGGCTGCAACAGAGGGTAGGGCAGCACAGGGGTCAGCACTGGGGCTGTGGGTATGGGGACAGTGATGCTGATGATCCTGTAAACATGTGGGAAAAACAGCAACTGGAACCCTCGGTGGGTGCACAATGGATGAGCTCTCTGAACCTCAGTTTCCTCATCTGAAAACAGGGGTTCTAACAGTCCCTGCCTTGCAAGACCACATGAAGGTGGAAAGACATGGTTGTGGGAGACTGGAGCACAGTGCCAGGGTACGTCCCTTTTCCTTAGGAAGTGCCCATGACAAAAGTGATCACCACATTCAATGTTACCATCCTGGGATTAGCATCACCATCTCTGTGCCAGGTTCTGTTCTTGGGGGACTTGAGAAACAAATAGAATCAAACTGGCTGATGGTGCTTCAACTTCAACCTCTAGCCCGGCCTGTTCCCTACCCCGGACCTGTGCATCTCACCTCTTACTCAACATCACCAGTTGGATATCTGACATGCATATCAGATCTGACATGTCCAGCACAGGATCCCCTCTTGTCCCAACCTCCTTCACCTCCATAAACAGCAGCTCCATTGTCCCTGGACCCATATGCCAAAAACCATGGTTCTGTCTTGATTCTTCTCATTCACTCATATCCCACACCCCAATTCATCAACAACTCCTGTGGCTTCACCTGCAAAATACATCACAACCTGACCACTTCCCGCCACTCCCAGCCCCGACTCCCATCCTGGTCCAAGCCGCCATCATCTTTGGCTTGGATTATTGCAGAAGCTTCCTCAGTCATCCTCCCTCCTGTCTATTCTGCACTCAGCAGCCAGGGTGAGACTTCCACAGTATAAGGTAGATTACGTCACTCCTTTGCTTCAAGGGCTCCTCAGTGCAAAAGCCAAAGTCATAGCAGTGGCCAGAGATCCTGCTTGTTGTAGCTCCTCCCTTCCCTGTCCCTACCGCCACTTTTCTGACTTCGTCTCCCATCCTTCTTTCCCTCCCTCAAAGCATTCAAGCTCCTCTGGCTTCCATGATGCTCCTTGAACATGCTAAGTGCATTCCTGCCTATTTGCACGTGCTGTCCTCTCTGGCTGGAATGCTCTTCCCTCATAGAGCCTCAAGACTCCCTCCCCCTCCTCCTTGAGGCCTCTGTGTCTGTGTCTTACTAGGGAGGCCTTCACCGCACAATTTATAATCACAATCCCTGTCCCCCCATGCCCTGTTTATTTCCTTCTTTATTAAATGATCACTGGAAGTCTTGTCCATTGGTTGACTTTCTCCTCCCAGTAGAATGTAAGTTCCAAAGAGGCAGGGCCTTGATCTATGTGGTTTACTGCTGTATCGACAGTGCCGAATCATCATCTGAATGTTGAATGAATGCCGAATCCCTGCCTTCAAACAGTTCAGGTTCTTGCAGAGGTCCAAAAACTCAGGCAGGTGAGGCAGCAGATGCTTTCCACCGGCCTGGGATGGTAGAACATCAGTGGGCACAACAGAGCATCAAATGAGCAGACCCAGGGCAGCTGGGGCTCAAAATGGGGGATTCTGCCTAAAAGATCCATAGAAAGGGGACCTCTTAGAGTCATTCTGGGGTAGGTGGGAGAGCTCCCCAGAAGCCATTCTCTCTTCTTTTCTCAACTGTCTCTAATTTTCCTTGGGGCTTCACCCCTCTTTTCCACTGTCAACCCATTGGTGCAGAGAATGCGGCTCGCACCCAGAAAACCACTCACTGACCTTCCTAGTTCACAGCCATGAGTTTAGAGGACATTTGTGGGCCAGTCAGAGCCAGTGGGATGCCATGAGATCCACTGGACTGAGAAAGGGGCACCTCCCTCTTTAAGTGAACCTTCAAGGAAGTAACAGCTGGAGCTGCAGTAGCCATCTTGTGCTCATAAAGAGGGGCGCCTGTCTGTGAACATAGTCAGTGTGGGTTGAGCAGAGCCAAGAGAGAGAAAACACAGGAGTCGCCCACCAGGCAAAACCCTGGACTTAGAATTTGCATGAACCAAGACTTACGCCATTTAGGTTTTAGTTTTCCGCCAGTTGCAACCATCGGAGATCCACCAACAGAGCATGAGCAAGCTCACCTACCTGTGGACAGGGGAATGACACTATGTGCACACATATGACATCTGATGCACACAGGAGGAGGCAGGACAGAGCACCGAAGCAGGAATGAATACACTGGATTCAGTGTATTGAGGCCTGGCTGTCTCAAGGGCCTCTGGGAATGACCCACTGGGCACAGGCCTACCCCTAAGATTTGCAGGGCCCAGGGCCAGAGTATAAGTGGAAGCCTACATACCATACGGCTAAATAGTTACATGCTGTTAGTCAAGCTAAAAAACTGTTAAACGAAACACGTCCTTTTCTCTTACCTTGACAAATGTACCTTCATCACAATCTGGAAAGTCAGGTGAGAATGGAGACTTCTCCTACACAGTGACATGGGGAGAGGTAGCACCAGGACCCCATTCTCCCCCTTTCTCTTTTACCACTGGCTCCATCCTGAACCATAAGGGGCCTTGCATTCTCTGTGGAAACCCCAGCCCTTATGTCCAAACACTGTCTACACCCACTGCAAACAGCTGCCCCTTGGTCACCCTTAGGGCCTAAAAGTGCACCTCCTGCAAGTATGGCTTTCCCTCTGGAAGACAGACCCAAGGAAGAGGCCCACGCATGTCCTAGAAGTGGGCTCAGGGGCAAGTGGGCAGGAAATTCAGGGTTCTAGATCCTTAGAGGAAAGTCTGGAAGGGCAGGGCACAGGCTCCTGGTGGGTATGTCCCCTGGTCCCACTGACTCCTTGTCCCGGGAGGAGAGGCCAACCAGAGGAGGCAGAGGGCAAGACATCAAAGCACAGGCCCTGGGAAAGGGTCCCTCTCGCCTGGGCTTAAGGATGGTCCAGATTGATCCAGATTGATCCAGAGGTACAGGGTAGTTTTGAATCCATCAGAATATGTGGTCTTGGGTTGTGTTTCCTGTTGACTCACATCCACCACTCCCACTGCCTCCTGGAAATGGGAGATTTTATATAAAGAAGTTATTTTTCCTGAAATCTGTACTTCTACCAGGAACACCAGAGATTGCCACTTAAGGGCAAGGTGAAAGATATAGCAATGTGATGAGCTGGCTAGTTTTTGTTAGGGGTCTGCTGGAGCCCCCTGTAACACGGGGCAGAACAGCAGCAGTGCCAGTACAGAGGGTATCTCCTGGGCAACCCAGGATTCATTGTGGCCAAGGCCAGGTGCAGGAGAGCACATACAACGGGGGCATGGCATCCTCCTGGTGCTTCTGTAGTTCTGGGACTGGGAGCCAAGTCGGGGAAGCACCATCTTGTTCCTGCTCTTGTCACCTTTGAGTCAACATGCCTTGGGTAGCCCTTGGTGTGAGCAGGTGTGTGAGACAAACCACAGTGATAATAAATGCTTTAAAAACAGGAACTCTGGGTTTGCTGGTGAATTGTCAAATTTAGGACTAGTTCTTTTTTCAGTTCCCTCTCCCCAAGGAGGCCATGCTCGGACCTGCACCCTCACTGCCCATTCGTGCTATTCTTCTGCCGTCTGGGGGTGTTGCATATCTTCCCCGACAACCTTGTCCCCTTCAGATTAGGCACTTCCTGAGGAAGGAGGCCATGTGTGAGTCACTCTGCAACCATGGGAGCTGGGTACCAACATGGAAGAGATGGTAACAGTGAGTGACAGCAGTCCAGGGCTTGCCCAAGCCTGAGGCCGTGGGCACCCTGTAAACCCTGTAGGTTTCCCTCATACTCTCTCCTACCTTTGTTTTGACCCTTCTAGCTGTCCCCTGATGCCTCTGGTTTCTGTCCCACTATATTATCTGTCTATTCTTTTTCCTGGAACACCTTCAGTTTGAAGACTTGGTTGAATGATTTGAATGTCTCATTCCCTCCCACCACCACCTCTACGCATCTGCCTCTTAGATTTCCTTCATTGATTGATGCCTTGAAGCAGTCAGGTCCAGGCTTCCCTGCCACTGCTACCATTACACGGCCTGGCCTCTTAGGTCATGTCCAAGGTCTGGGCATGTTGTTGGACCAAGGCAAGGGAGAGTGGACCAACACAAAGTCTGATGATGCAGAGGATTGTAAGAGTGTTCTTCAAAGAAGTGACTTTTATTTTGACACAGACTGTGAGGATTATGACAAAGGCAACTGAAATCGTTGTGATACTAAAGACCATATTGTGAGGCTGCCAATGATGATAATGGTGACGGCATTGCTGAGGGTGAAATTAATCATGTTGATGTTGTGATAGTAATGGCGGGATGGTGATGTTGATGTTGGTGTTGATGAGACTGACAATGATAAATGTGTTGGTGCCTTCACTGTAGTGGTGATAATGACAGGGGATGACGGGATGTCAGCATTGATGAGAGAGGAGGTGATCACAACGTTGATGGTACTGACAGTATCAGTGGGATGGTGGCAGAGATGTTGGTGCTGATGAGACTGGTGATGATGAAGATGTTGCTGTCATGGCAGTGATGGAGGTGATGACAGTGGGGGTAGTGTTGGTGGTGCTGATATTAAGAGTGGAGATGATACCATTGTTGCTGGTGAAAACAGTAATTGTGGTGCTGGTGTACTGGTGTTGATAGTAGAGTCAATGGTGGTGATGATGATGATGACCACACTGGGTTTCATTCTGCAAGAGATGCAGTGATTAGACTTTACTCTTGCATAGCAGGAAGCATCAGTCCTGGCCTTCACCTATTGCTTTTCCCTGGCCTCTCTCCACCTCCCCTTTCCTGTCTCCTCCATGTTCCTTCCACCCTCTGAGGACTTCCCAGCTGGGAAGAACACTGCTGCCCCCACAGGGACCAGGGCAGGGCTTACAGCAGCAGCAGCAGCTTTTCTTCCAGATGTTTCCAGGGCAGCAGCCAACTCTTGTTCTGGCAGCCCTGATCACACTGCAGTAATTACATTATTTGTGGCTTCAATTTTAAATCCATTTTCTGGTCATTTTACAGTAACTCAATGGTTCACAGTCATTGCAGGAGTCCACAGCCTGAATGCTGTCCCCCCACTCCCTTTCCATGGCAATTGTAGTTATGGCAAAAATTATCCCAATCAATTTGTGTCTTAAAAGGAATTGAGCAGCCCAGAGAATAAGTGAAGGCGGAGGAGCCTGGGGAGCCCTGGGTCAATTCCAGGCCCACTCCGGTCAGCCTTGGAAGAAAACACAGACACTCTCTGCGCTGCTGCTGCCTCTGGCGCTGCCTGGAAGTCACTCATCTTTTAATTTCCACAAAACATGAAAAGATAAAGACAATAAGAGAAAGTCCATTTTAACAGGGAAAGGCCCCCGGCCTCATGTGGAGGGAAGGACTAATTCAAGCAGAGCTGGCAGGGCAGGTGGTGCCAGGCTTTATGCCTCTGTGTCCCCTCCCCCCACAGGGCCCGAGGTGGCTGGATCCAGCTGGAGGGGAAGAAAGCAATGACGAGGACTTCTGTCTAGGGAAAATGAATTATTTCTGGATTAATTAGAATTTGCCCCAAGCCCCAGGTTCCTTGGAAGAGTCCTAAAGATGCCTCAGGAGAATGCTGTTTAAAAAACCAAAGATGAGAAGAAAAAATAAAGATCATGGAACATGGGGCTCTCCCTGAGGGATAGAGGGTACCCAAAGGGGAGTGTGATCCAACAGCAGGAATGTGCCAAGGTGTGACAGTGGTGTTGCCAGTCATAGCAGAGGGATGGTATCTGTCTTAGGCATGTCATCACAGGGACATTGAGGGTTGCAGAAAGATGGCACTTAATTTTTTTATTGAGATATAAAATATAGTAAAGTGCATTAATGTTAAGCACATGACTGTTATGAATTTTCACATATAATTTCATTCATACGTCATGCACTCATGTATGCTACACTATCTCAGTCAAGCTACAGAGCGTTTCCAACACCTAAGAAGGGTCTCTCTTGCTCCTTCCCAGTCAATATCCACTCACTGCACACTACTCCCTCTCCCAGAGGAAATCTCTTTTCTTTCACTCAATACTATATCTGTGAGGTTCACCTATGATGTTGAGTGGAGAAAGTTTATTCTTTTTTTAATTGCTGATTAAAATTCCATTGTATAATTATATCCGAATCTATCCATTCTCCTACTGATGGACCTTTAATTTACTTCTAACTTTTGATTATTACCATTAAAGTGGCTAGAAACATCGTTATAGGCACAAGCTTTAGTAGATACTGCCAAATAGTTCTCCTAAGAAATGGAAGGTTTTACTCCCATCAGCATTGTATAGAAAAAATAAGCCCAAACCCCTGCCTCCCACCATACACAGAAAATCAATGTGAGATAGATCACAGAGCTAACTATGAAAGATAAAACAACAGCATTTCTAGGAAAAAAATGAGAAAATATCTTCATAACCTTAGGTTAGACAAAGACTTCTCAAACAACACAAAATACATTAACCATAATGGAAAATATTGATAAATTGGACTTCTTTAAATTAAGAACTTTACTCCTCAAAAGAAACTGTTAAGAGAATGTAAAGGGAAGCCCACATGTAATGCATATATGCAATAGAGATATCTCTCCAACAAAGGATGCAATAATATATAAATCAAGAATATAGGCGGGGCGTGGTGGCTCATACTTGTAATCCCAGCACTTTAGGAGGCTGAGGTGGGTGGATCACGAGGTCAGGAGTTCGAGACCAGTCTGGCCAACATGATGAAACCCTACCTGTACTAAAAATACAAAGAATCATTTGGGTGTGGTGGTGGATGCCTGTAATCCCAGCTACTTGGGAGGCTGAGGCAGGAGAATTGCTTGAACCCAAGAGGCGGAGGTTGCAATGAGCTGAGGTGGCACCACTGCACTCCAGCCTGGGCAACAAGAGTGAAATTCCATCTCAAAAAAAAAAAAAAAATATATATATATATATATAGTGAGAGAGAGAGAGAGTGAGAGAGAGAGAGAGACAGAGATTCACTATATATATATAATGAGACTCACTACAGAAACCACCAGAATGGCCAAAATTTAAAAATAAAACTGACTTTACCAAGTGCTAGTGAAGATGTAGGGCAAGTGCCACTCTCAAACATAGCTGTGGGGAGTTCAGACTGTGCAGCAGCTTTGGATAACTGTTTAGCTGAACATATGTACATACTGTGACCCGCATACTTCCACTCCTAAGTATATACCCAACAAAAATGAGTATACATGTGCATCACAAGACATCTACATGAACGTCCACAGCAGGAATGCAGGTAA
The DNA here is from genome assembly GCF_000001405.40 of Homo sapiens. Lineage (NCBI taxonomy): Eukaryota > Metazoa > Chordata > Mammalia > Primates > Hominidae > Homo > Homo sapiens. The sequence continues at coordinate 36,888,120 of NC_000001.11, forward strand.
TAGCCCCAAGCAGAAACCAACACATAAGTGTAACAAAAGTGAAATGGATTTGTTTAAAATGGGGCATATTCATGTAACAGAACACTGTACATCAATGAAGACCAGTATATTCAACCACGTAGACAATCTCACGGATACGAGACAAAGCAAAGAGCAAGGCTTAAAAGAGTAGACACTGAATGATTTCATTTATGTAAAGTTCAAAAACAGCAAAACCCAGTGTGGGGCACCAGCAGTCAGAACGGTGGTGACCTTGGGAGAGGAATGACTGGGAGGGCCATGGGGGCTTCTGGAGGGCTCACATGGTCTATATCTTGATTTGGGTGGCAGTTCCTTTTTTCTTGATCTAGCTTGAGTAGGTGTCTGTTTCTTATAAACTCATGCTCCTTGACCAAGCTAATGTTCCATCCTCCCTTTCCTGCACTCTCTCCTGCAACTCCCAGTATGGCACCTGTTGCTTCATCCACTAGATTATAAGCTCCATGGTCACAGGAACCAGCCACCTCTGTCTTAAACACTTTGGGATCCCCAGCACCTGGCACACAGTGGGCGCTCAACAGACTTCTCAAGTGCATAAACTGGCTCCTTCAAACAACTTGCATTTTCCACTCCACCTTCTGCCTTATCCCACTCCTCACTCTTTCCCACCATCCTTCAAAACTCAACTCAAACCTCTCCTCCTCCAGGAAGCCTTCCTGCTTGTACCACAACACTTCTGTAGCTCTCTCTCATTTTCTGGTTGTTATAGTTATTGGTCCTATGACCTAGCTTCCTTGGGCATGACCTATAAAGGGCAGGGCCTTTTTTCCTGCAGGGATCGTAAGGAACAATGTTCGTTAAGTGGGTTTGACACACTTTCATTTGTGCATCCGATCAAACTACCAGGACTGATTTTGTGCCTCCTGCGTGCCAGGCCCATGCCAGGTTCTATAGTGGAGCAGTAAAAAGACACGGGGGCTTGCAGACAAGTGGAAGAAATGTACAATAATCACATGACCTCTCTCTCACACACACAGGTCAGGCTTGTGAAAGAAAAGTTGAGTGTTATAAGATGAAAGCAAGGAGACCTGACCTTGTCTAGGGGTTAGGGGAGGGTCTCCCTGAGGACTGGAAGTTTGAGAAGAGAAGGATGAGTTGGCCAGGCAAAGGGCAGGAGAGGGTGGGCTGGAGAAAGGGAATTACAAGCAGAGAGGGCAGCATGTGCGGAAGCCCAGAGGTGGGAGGAAGCATGGCACCCTGAGGAGGGCAGGTTTGGCTAGAACCCAGGGCCTAAGGGAGCAGATGGTATGGATGTGGCTGGAAGGCCAAGCTGGGGCTAGACTGGAAAGGCCCTCATGGGCTCTAATGACGATTTGGGGAAAGACCATGAGATGTTCCATCCAAGAATTTAAGAAAGCAAGTCATGTCATCTGGTTGGGGGGAGGCGGGGAGTGGAGGGGTTGTGGCTTTGGTCACTTGGAAGCCCAGGGCTAGATTTTCAGGAGCTAGGTTTCTGTCTTGGGCCTGCTCACCAACAACTTGGCAGTTTCACATAGGGCAGGACTATAATTTCCTGGAGGAAGTAACTCCGGGAGGGCTCGGAAACTCTGCCCTGGGGTTCCCTGCCTGGCTGGGGAAGGTCCCTGTGCTGAATCACAGGTGTACCACTAGGGAGTCATTGTATTATTTTAGTAATTTTTAGCAAACATAGACAGAAAACCCAGTCTAGCTTTTTGTGGGTGGTTGTACCCACGAGGGCCTCTGCACTCTGATTCCAGGCTTTTGTTCTGTGTCCTGACCTTTTTATTGAGCAGTTTTGGTTGAGTTGAGTCATTTTCTAGCTGGACAAGGCCGGGCAGAGGGTGTTAGCATAGACTCTCAGCAGGGAGATGGACACTTCACTGCACAGGGTAGGCTGCAGGGCATGCTGGGAAAAGAGTGGCAGGGAGCAGACACAACAGCAGAGAGAGGGGTCACGGGTGAAGGATCACTCTTCGGATGATCCAGGCTAAACCAGGGTGGGGCACCTCTTGTCTGTCTGCAGATCAGCTCTGAGATTCAGCAGAGTGGCCTCAAAAATGTCAGAATGGCCAGGCACAGTGGCCTGTAATCCCAGTACTCTGGGAGGCTGAGGTGGGTAGATCACTTAAGGTCAGGAGTTCAAGACCAGCCTGGACAACATGGTGAAACCCTATCTCTACTAAAAATGCAAAAAATTAGCTGGGTGTGGTGGCATGCACCTGTAGTCCCAGCTACTCAGGAGGCGGAGAGAGGAGAATTGCTTGAACCTGGGAGGCGGAGGGTGCAGTGAGCAGAGATCGCACCACTGTACTCCAGCCTGGGCAACAGAGTGAGACTCTGTCTAAAAAAAAAAAAAAATGTCAGCAGTAACTGCTCTCGATATCAGGGACTCTGACTGCCAGAATACAAGGCAAGGAGAAGCAGGTGGGTGGGACACAGAAATTGGGTCTCTGACCTGGTGGCTCAGTATGTGGAGGGCAAAGAAGCCAAGTGCAATAAGAGTAAAGTCCTATATGGTACTTCCTACGTGCCAGCGCTTACTATTCTAAGCACTTTACAGAAATGCATCCATTGTGCAGATGAGAAAATTGAGGCACAGGGTATTTTGTCCAAGGTCACACAACTAATATCAGAGTTGCTAGGATGCAAGTCCAGGCAGTCTGGCTCCAAGCCCAAACCAGGTAGAAAAGGCTCTGAACCTACTTGGAGCTCTGGCCCATTCCCAGGATCTTGGACAGCAAATGCAGCGCTTCCCCTCCCCAGGCTGGGAAGAGAACAGAGGCAGGAGCTGCACACTCACCCTTTTTGGTCGCCTCGAAGCTGTCATGGAAGTGAATCCTCTGTATGTCATAGGTCAAGGTTGTGTTGGGCAGCAGAGTCCTGTTCCTGTTGATGATGTTGGCAGAAAATCGAAAGGCATGCTCCTCGGCATTCATGACCTGGGCGTTGGGGCCGTCCGCATACTCGAAGATTCCTCCTGTGAAAGATGAGTAAAATTGTGTGTGGTTGGGAGGAGGGATGGGGCTCTAGCAAGGATGCTTGGCTCAAAAGATTTTATAGACAAGTTGCCTGCTCCCTGAAATGTTCAATAATATCCTAGGTAACTGCCATACCTAGAAAGTGTGCAGGAGCACAAGAAATAGGAAAATCCTCCTCATTCATTTCACTCAACCAGCAAATTCCTGATAACAGAGCCCGACAGGGCCAAAATAAGATTACCAACTTATTAATATTGCTGTGAAAATTCTCAATAGAATTATAGCAAGCAGAATCTACCAGGATAACATACCATGACCACGCAGAGTTTTATTCTAGGAATCTAAGACTGGTTCAATATAAAGAAATCTATGAATATCATTCCATCACATCAATAGTTCAAATAAGAAAAAAAATATAATCAACTCACAAAATGCAAGATGGCATTTAATAAAATCCAATATCTATTGCTGTTAAGAATGCATAATAAAATAGCACCAGAAGAAATACTTCCTTGAAACTTTTTTAGCTTAAATCAGCCTTTAATATCATACTAATGGTGAAAAACTAGAGGCATTCTCATTAAAGAAAAATAAGAGGCATGGGGGAGGATTTGCATCACGCCATTAACCAATGAAATAAGAAAGAAAAATAATTTAGAGCCACAACATTTGTAAAGAAAGAAATTCTTATTTGCAAATGATATAAAAACCCTTAAAATAATCCCTAAACATGAAAACAAGTAGGAGCTAGTAGAGTTAAGTTAAATGACCAGTTAGCACAAATTAATAGTGTTTCTTCATATCAGTGACAATCAGTAAAAAAACTTAATAGCAAATGAATTCCTTTTACAATATCAGCAAAAACATTAAATAACTAATAATAAACCAAATGAGAAGTGTGCAGTTCCAGTTTTATTTATTTATTTATTTATTCATTTGAGATGGAGTTTCACTCTTGTCGCTCAGGCTGGAGTGCAGTGGCACAATCTCTGCTCACGGCAGCCTCCGCTTCCCGGGTTCAAGCGGTTCTCCAACCTCAGTCTCTCAAGTTGCTGGGACTACAGGCACATGCTGCTACGCCCGGATAATTTTTGTATTTTTAGTAGAGATGGGATTTCACCATGTTGGCCAGGCTGGTCTGGAACTCTTGACCTCAGGTGAGCCACCTGCCTTGGCCTGCCTCCCAAAGTGCTGGGATTACAGGTGTGAGCCACTGTGCCGGACTACAATTCCAGTTTTAAAACATGACAAAAACAGGCTGAGAGCAGTAGCTTATGCCTGTAATCCCAACACTTCCAGAGGCCGAGGCAGGAAGATGACGATTGAAGCCAAGAGTTCAAGACCAACTTGAGCAACATAGTGACACTTTGTCTTTACAAAAATAAAAAGAAAAGAAAAAAATTAAAAATGACCAGCACAAAAAAAAAAAACACCTTTAATGAGAGATATAAACATAGCCTTAAATGAAGAGACATGGTGTGTTTCTGAATGGTAAAGTTCACGTGTAGAGGTGTCAGTTTTTCCAAATTAATTTTTCAGTTTAATTCCAATCAGAATCATGAAAGGATTTTTCTTTTCCTGATAAAATGACTCTAAAATGTATCTGGAAGACTAAACATGAACTAATGACCAAAACATGTTTTAAAAAGAATGAGAGGTAATTCGTACTGCCAGATTTTAAAATATATCATTAAGCCAAATAATTAAATTCATGTTCTAATAGCATATGAAAACACAGATAGATCAAAGGAACAGGATAAAAGCTCCCATAAAGAGACTCAAGTAGAGATAAGTATTTAAAACATGAGAAAGATGGCTAGTTCCAATCAGTAAGTAAATGAATTATTCATTAACTGTGCTGTGACAATTATTCAATTATTTGGAAGAAATTTAAGTTAGAATTCAATCTTAATCTAAAATAAATTCCAGATAAATTAAAGATTAATGGCAAATGGGTAAGGGGAGGAGCAGAAAAAATACTATAAAAGTACCAAAAAAGAAAATATAGGTGAATATTTTACAATATTGGGTAGAGGAGGTCTTTCTAAGCCTTTCAAAAACATCAGAAACCATAAAAGAAAGTTTGATAGCTCCACAAAAATAACATAAAACTTCTACCCATTAAAAACCATAAACAAAATTAAATTACAAACACAAACTTGAAATAAATATTTGTAACATATGTGGGAGCATAAAGATGGAAGCTCTTATTTTATAAAAAGCTCTTAAATTCTACAAAAAGGACGAATACTCCCATAGAAAAATGTGCAAAGGACGAGTATGAACCTTTAACAAAAGAAAAGAAAATAATACAAAGGGGCTATTAATGTATGAAGAAGTGTGCAACTTCCCTAATAATTAAAATAAACTCAATTTAAACCAACAATGAGATACCATTTTTTGCCTATCCAGTTGGTAAAGATACAAAATAAACCATGGCTCCAGCTTTGGTGCGGGAATAGTTGTTTAGAAAGAGATACCTGCTTAACTGTGGGTGGAGGGGGAAATGTATACCCAGCCTGTTGAGATGGACATTAGAAATTTACCAAAAGCCCTAAAAATGTCCACGCCTGTGACTCGGGAATTTGATATCTAGAAATGGACTCTAACAACAACAGTAGGCATATGGATCATGTATGGGGAAGGAGATCTAGGGACGTTCAACCAGAGAAATAGTAAACTATTGTCTATGTATTTACATATAATCACAAAAATTTAATGACACAGGAAATACCCATGATATATTTTTAAGTGAACAGTGAGGGTTTCTGGCAGAGGTGCAGTACAATTCCCTTTAGAAGAGGAAGAAGAAGAGGAACTTATGTCTTTAACATAAGAATAGAAGACATTTCTTGTTTCATTCTTAATGCCTTTCTATATTTTTTCCAATTAAACCTTTATTATTTTTGATAATTGATTTTGTTGAGGTATTATTACATTCTACAAGATTCACCTGTTTTAAAGTGTACAATGATTTTTAGTAAATTTACTGAGTTCTATGACCATAAGCACAATCCTGTTTTAGAACCTTCCCATCACCCAGTAAGAATCCCCGTGCCCATTTACAGTCAATTATAGTTTTCATTCCCACTCCCAGGCAGCCACTAATTTACTTTTTGTCTTTTCTGAACATTTCATATAAATGGAATCATGCAATAGGTGGTCTTTTCATCTGGCTTTTTGTATTTCGTGTGCTTTTGCGGTTCATCCATATTAGTGTCATGTATCAGTACTTTATTCCTCTTTATTGCTAAATAATATTACTTTGTATAGACGTACCACATTTTATTTTTCTATCCACCAGCTGATGGGTATTTGGATTGTTTTAATTGTTTTGAAAATTCTAAAAAGTAGTGGTTTCCAGTCTCTGGTCTGGCATATGACAAGCTTGAAAGTTGCCATTCTGTCCTAACAACCAGTTAAGGCTGAACAAACTGAAAAATCAACAACTCTTCTTAGATCTGTAAGAGAAGTGAGGTCACAGGGCAAACCACTGCCCCCAGAATTGGAGAGATAGGTAAATAGAGAGAATTACAAATTAATGGAGCAGAAACCTCCATGGGAATCGGTGTGCAGGTAGGAAAACCGAAAGTGTAATTGACTAGTTGCTGGAGGCTCAGTGTGGATAAGTCTGAGAGACAAAAACCTCAGGGGAGGCCTTCACTGGGCCCCCACGCTTTTGTGAGTTTTACTCCTGGAATTCTACCAGGTTCTTAAGTGAATATTGGAGAAAAATCCCCATGTGCTTCTGGCAGTGGAAGGGGAAAAGGAATCATTTCAAAATATGCCAGAGCATTCTGTTTTTAACAAGGTTTGTCCTCAGGGGAAACTAGTTAGCCAGAGCCTAACCTGCTGGGGTTTCATGAGAGACTAACTGACCTGGTGGAAGGGAAATACTCAACTCCAGCCCACCCTAGCCATCCTATCCCTTCTACACGTGTGTGTTGCGGGGGAGGTGGGGGAGAAGCACCTGTGAAGTTTACCGCCCAGGGGCACAGGCTCACCAAAAGACTGAGATGTAATCATAGCACTATAGAATGCTTCCCCCTCTCCTCACCCCTTACCACTAAATCACTAAAGGCCTTATTTTCAGCAGTTACTTTTACCCAGTGCATCATGTCCAGCTATCAAGAAAAAATTACAGGGCATACTAAAAGGCATAAAAACCATAGTTTGAAGAGACAGAGCAAGCATCAGAACCAGATTCAGATATGGCATGGATTTTGGAATTATCAGACCAGAAATTCAAAACAACTATGATTAATATGCTAAGGGCTCTAATGGATAAAGAGGACAGCATGCAAGAACAGATAGGCAAAGAGATGGGAATTCTAAGAAAAAAAAAAGAAATGTTAGAGATAAAAAGCAAAACAAAACGAAATACTGTAACAGAAATGAAGAGTGCCTTTGATGGGCTTGTAAGTAGACTGAACACAGCTGAGAAGTGGGTCTCTGAGCTTGAGGATATCTCAATAGAAACTTCCAAAACTGAAAAGCAAAGAGCAGAAAGACTGGAAGAAGAAAACAGAATATCCAAAAACTGTGGCTGTAAAAATGCCTAATGGAAATGCAAGAAGGAGAAGGAAGAGAGAAATGATCAGGAGAAATATTTGAAACAGTAATGACTTTCCTCAAATTAATGTCAGACACCAAACCACTGATCTAGGATCCTTAGAGCACACCAAGCACAAAGCAGGAAATATGTCCCCAAAATGACACTGAGGCATATCATTTTCAAACAATAGAAAATCAAAGATCAAGAAAAAAATCCCAACAAGCCCGAAGAAAAATGCATCTTATCTATGGAGGAAAAAAGATAAGAATTACATCTGACTTCTCTTCAGAAACCATGCAAGCAAGAAGAGGGTGAAGTGAAATATATAAAGTATTGAGAGAAAATAAAAACCAACCTATAATTCTGTATCCTGAGAAATTATCCTTCAAAAGTGGAGAGAAATAAAGACTTTCTCTGACAAACAAAAATCAATGAAATTTGTTGCCAGTAGATCTGCCTTACAAGAAATATTAAAAGATGTTCTTTAGAGAGAAGGAAAATAATATAGGTCAAAAACTTCAATCTACATACAAGAAGAACACTGAAGAAAGAATAAGCGAAGGTAAAATTTAAAAAATGTATTTTTCTTACTCTTAATTGATTTAACAGACAATAGTTTGTTCAAAATAATAATAGCAACAATGTATTCATAAATATCCACTTATGTATGCTTATATATGAGCAAAATGAATGACAGCAATGATATAAGGATGGGAGGGAGGAATTAGGATTATTTTGTTACTGTAAAATACTCACACTACTTGTGAAGCAGTATAACATTATTTGAGAATGAACTTGGATTAGTTGCATATGTATATTGCAAACTCTAGGGCAACTACTAAAAAAATAGTACAATTGACATGATAAGTGAGGAGAGGAAATGAAATGATAAAATATGCTCAATTAAAATCATGAAAGGCAGAAAAGGGCTGGAAGGCAAAAATAGAAACAAAGAACAAGGGCAACAAATAGAAAACAGTGACAAATAAGGTAGATATTAATCCAGTTATATCAATTCTCATTTTAAACATCAAAGGTCTAAATGCATCAACTAAAAGAGATTGTCAAAGTGGATCAAAAAACAAGATCCAACTATATGTTGTCTACAATAAACCTATTTTAACTATACAGGTGCACATAAAATAAAAGTAAATGAACAAATGAAAAATTTATTCCTGGAATGCAAGGATGGTTCAAAACAACTGATCAATATAATACATCATAGTAACAGAATAAAGGAAAAAAATGCGATCATCTGAATCAATGCAGAAGCAGCATTTGACAAAATTCAACAACTATTCATGATAAAAGACACTCAACAACTAGGAACAGAAGGGAACTATCTCAACATAATAAAAGCCATTTATGAATAGCCCACAGCAAATGTCATACTCAATGGTAAGAGACTGAAAGCTTTTCCTCTAAGATCAGTGACAAGGCTAGGATGTTCACTTTCACCACTTCTATTAAACATTCTACTGGAAGTTCTATCCAGAGCAGTTAGGCAAGAAAATGAAAAAGAAGGCATCCAAGTCAGAAAGGAAGAAGTAAAAGTGTCTGTCTGCAGATAATATGGTCTTATATGTAGAAAACCCCAAATATTTCACAAAAAATCAGTTAGAGCTAATAAAATTTGGCAAAGTAACAGAATACAAAGTCAATACACAAAATCAGTTGCATTTCTATACCTAACAATTAACAATCTGAAAAGGATATCACAAAATAATTCCATTTCTAATAATCTCACAAAGGACAAACTACCTAGGACTTAACCAAGGAGATGAAAGACTTGTACCTGCTCAATGAAAACTACAAAATAAAATGGGGAAATTATTTAAATAGGCATTTTTCAAAAGAAGACATACAAATGGCAAGCAGGCATATGAAAAGATGCTCACATCATTGATCATCAGAAAAATGCAAATCCAAACTAGTGAGGCATCATCTGACCTCAGTTAAAATGGCTTATATCCAAAAGACAGGCAATAATAAATGCTACTGAGGATGTGGAGAAAAGGGAACCCTCATACCATGTTGGTGGGAATGTGAATTAGGACAACCACCTTGGAGAACAGTTTGGAGGTTCCTCAAAAAACTAAAAATAGAGCTACCATATGATCCAGCAATCTCACTGCTAGATATATGCTCCAAAGAAAGGAAATCAGTATATTGAATAGATATCTGCACACCTATGTTTGTTGCAGCACTGTTCACAATAACCAAAATTTGGGAGCAACCTACATGTCCATCAACAGATGAATGGATAAAGAAAATGTGGTGCTTATACACAATGGAGTACTATTCAGCCATAAAAAGAATGAGATCATCTCATTTTCAACAACATAGATGGAAATGAGGTCATTATACTAAGTGAAATAAGCCAGGCACAGAAAGATAAACATCACACACTCTCAAACCAAAACAATTGAAATCATGGAGATAGAGAGTAGAAGGATGGTAACCAGAGGCTGGGAAGGGTAGTGGTAGGCTGGGTGGGGGGAGGTGGGGGTGCTTAATAGGTACAAAATAGATAACTAGAAAGAATTAATAAGACCTAGTATTTGATAGCACAACAGGGTGACTATAATCAATAATAATTTAATTGTACATTTAAAAACTAAAATAGTGTAATTGGATTGTTTGTAACACAAGGATAAATACTTGAGGGGATGGCTACCTCATTTCCCATGATGTGATTATTACATATTGCATGCCTGTATGCCTTACAAGAAATATTAAAAGATGTTCTTTAGAGAGAAGGAAAATAATACAGGTAAACATCTCATGAACCTCATAAATATATACATCTATTATGTACCCACAAAAAATAAAATTTAAAATGTAAAAAGCTCTTCAAAACATTGTTGAAGGTAATTAAATAAGACATCAATAAATGTAAATACATCCCATGTTCATGGACTGGAAGACTTAATATTGTTAAGGTGTCAATACTGCCCAAAGTGATCTGTAGATTCAATGAAATCCTTATGACATTTCAATGTCAATGAAAATCCCAATGACATTTTTTTGCAGAAATAGAAAAACCAATCCTAAAATTCATATGGAATTGCAAAGGAATCCAAATAGCCAAAAACAGTCTTGAAAAAGAAGAACAAAGTTGAAAGACATTTCCTGATTTCAAAACTTACTACAAAGCTAGAGTAATCAAAACAGTGTGATACTGGCATAAAGACAAACTATATATAGAGTCCAGAAATAAAACCTCACATGTATGGTTAAATGATTTTTGACAAAGGTGCTAAGACTACTGAATGGGGAAAGGATAGTCTTTTCAACAAATAATGCTGGAATAACTGAATGTCCACATGTAAAAGAATGAATTTGGATCCTTACTTAACACCATATACAAAAACTAACTCAAAATGGATCAAAGACTTAAATGTAAGACCTAAAACTATACAACTCTTAGAAGAAAACATAGAACAAAGGCTTCATGAGATTGAATTTGGCAACAATCTCTTGGATATGACACCAAAGGCACAGACAAGAAAAGAAAGACAAATTGAGCTTAATAAAAAATTACCAAAAAACTGTATATCAAAAGACACTATTAACAGAGTAAAATGCAACCTATAGAATGCGAGAAGATATTTGCAAATCATACACCTGATAAGGAATTAATATCCAGAACATATTCCAGAACAATTAATATCCAGAACAATATCCAGAAAAGAAGGAAATTCGGACATATGTTACATCGTGAATAAACATTGAGGACAGTAGGCTAAGTGAAATAAGCCAGTCACAAAAAGACAAATACTGTATGATTCCACTTATATGAGGTACTTAGAGTAGCCAAAATCAGAGAATCAAAAAATAGAAAGGAGGTTTCCAGGGCCTAGAGGAAGGGGGGAAAGTGAAGTTATTCTTTATGGATATAGAGTTATAGAGTTTCAGTTTTACAAGATGAAAAGAGTTATGGAGATGAGTGGTGCTGATGGTTGCACAACATTATGAATGTATTTAGTACCACTGAACAGTACACTTAAAAATGGTTAAGATGGCAAATTTTATGTTATTTGTATTTTACCACAATAAAAAAGTAAATGAATGAAGACATGCCATCCTAATATCAATCAAAAGAAAGTGAAAGTAGCTGTATTCAGATGGAGAAGACTTTGGGTCAAGGAACTTTATCAGAGACAAAGAGAAGCATTACATAATGATGAAGGGGTCAATTATCCAAAAAGACGTAACAATCTTTAATGTGTATGTGCTCAAAAGAGAGCATCAGAATACATGAGGCAAGGAAAAATGGATGAATTTACTATTCTACTAGGAGACTTCAACACCCTTTTATCAGAAATGGACTGATCCAGTTGACAGAAAATCAGTAAGGTTATAGTTAAACTCAACAACAGCCTCAGTGAATCAGACGTAATGTACATCTATAGACTACTTCAGTCAACAGCAACAGAATACACATTCTTCTCAAGCTCACATGGAACATTCAGCAATATAGACCACATTCTGTCCATAAAGCACATCTTAACAAATTTAAAAGACTAGAAATCATATAATGTCTACTCTTAGACCACCGTGGAATTAAACTAGAAATCAATAACAGAATGAGATCAGGGAAATCCCCAAATACTTGAAGATTAGGCAATGCTCCTCCTCCCCCTCCTGCTCCTCCTCCTCCTCTTCCTCCTTCTCCTCCTCCTCCTTGTTTTGCTATGTGGACTCAAACTCCTCTGCTCAAGTGATCCTCCCACCTCAGCTTCCAGAGTAGCTGGGACTACAGCCACATACCACTGTGCCCAGCTTAAACAATGTACTTCCAAATAACACATGGGTCACAAAAGAAATTTAAAAATATTTTGAACTAAATAAAAATGAAAGCATAACTTATCAAAATTTGTGGGATGTAGTGAAAGCAGTGCATAGAGAGAAATTTATAGCACTGAATGCATAAAATAGAAAAGAAGAAAGATCTAAAATTAATAATCCAAGTTTCTACCTCAGGAAACTAGAAAAAGAAGAGCAAATTAAATCCAAAGTAAGCAGAGGAAAAGAAATAATAAAAATTAGATCTGAAATCAATGAAACTGAAAACAAGAAATCAATATAAAAATATCAATGAAACCAAAAGCTGGTCATGTGAAAAGACAGATAAAATTGATAGGCCTCTAATTTGGCCAATTAAGAATAAAAAAGAGAGGATACAAATTGTTAGTATCAGAAGTGAAAGAGGGGACATCTCTACAGATCTCGTGGACATTAAAAAGATTATCGAGGAATATTAATAACTCTATGTCCACTAATTTGCTAACCTAGATGAAATGAATGAAACACAATTTGTCAAAATTCATGCAAGAAGAAAGAGAACATTTGAACAGGACTCTCTCTATTAAAGAAATTGAATTAATAATAAACCTTACAAAGCAGAAATCACCAGGCCCAGATGGGTTCACTGGTAAATTCTACTAAACATTTAAGAAAGAAATAATACAAATTCTCTACACTCTATTGGAAAACAGAAGCAGAGGACTATTTCTTAACTCATTTTACAAGGCCAGCACTACTCTAATACCAAAATCAGACAAAGACATCACAAGAAATAAAACTACAGATCAATATCTCTCATTAATACAGATACAGAAATCCTCAACAAAAAGTTAGCAAATTGAATCCAATCATGTATAAAAAGAACTACATAACACAACCAAGTGGGATTTACCCCAGGTATGCAAGGCTGTTTCAAGATTTAAAAATCAATTAATGTAATCCATTATATCAGTATCAACAGGCCAAAGAAGAAAAATCACATGATCATATCAACAGATGCAGAAAATGCATTTGACAAAATCCAACACCCCATTAATGATAAAAACTCTCAGTAAAGTAAGAATAAAGGGGAATGTCCTCAACTTCATAAGAATATTAATAGCAGAATACACATTCTTCTCAAGCACATCTACAAAAACCCACAGTTGACATCATACATAATAGTGAGAAACTTGAAGCTTTCCCACTAAAATCAGGTACAAGGGAAGGATGTCCCCTCTCCCACTGCTTTTCAAGATCACACTGGAAGTCCTAGCAAATGCAATAAGGCAAGAAAAGGAAACGAAAGAAATTCAGATTGGGGAGGAAGAAATAAAACTGTCTTTGTTTACAGGTGACATGATCCCCTATGTAGAAAATCCACGTGAATCAGGAACAAAAGAGAAAACTACCTCTTGGCATTAATAAGCAATTATAGAAAGGTGGCAGAATATACGGTTAATATGCAAAAGTCAATTGCTTTTCTATATACCAGCAATGAACAAATGGAATTTGAAATAGAAACAAGATCACTTACATTAACATGCAAAGAAAAGAAACACTTGGGTTATAAATCTAACAAAATATGTACAAGATATATTTGAGGTAAAACTCACAACTCTAATGAAAGAAATCAAAGAATAACTAAATAAATGGAGAGACCTTCAATGTTCATGGATAAGAAAAGTCAATTATTTTCAAGATGTGAGTTTTTCCCAAATTGATTTATAGATACAGTGCAATCCCAATCAAAATCTCAGCAAGTTATTTTGTGGCTATTGACAAATTGATTCTAAAGTGTACATAGAGAGGCAAAAGACCAGAATAATCAACACAATATTGAAGGAGAAGAACAACATTGGGAGATCAACACGGCTCAACTTCAAGACTTGCTATAAAGCTATAGTAATCAAGACAGCATGATGTTGGCATATAGACAGACAAATAGATCATTGGAACAGAATGGAGAATTCAGATGCAGACCCACATAAATAAAGTCGACCGATCTTTGACAAGGGAGCAAAGGCAATACGGTGGAGAAAAGAAAGACTTTTCAACAAAAGGGCTAGAACAACTGGACATCCACATGCAAAAAAGAATCTAGACACAGACCTTACACCCTTCACAAAAATGAACTCAAAGTGTATCAGAGACCTCAATGTACAATGCAAAACTATAAATTGCCAAACTTGGGTTTGGCAATGGCTTTTTAGATATAATACCAAAGGCACGACCCATGAAAGAAATAATTGATAAGCTGGACTACATTAAAATTAAAATTTTCTGCTCTGCAAAAGACACAGTAAAGAGAATGAAAAATGAAGCCACTGACTGGGACATATCTTATGATGGACTACTTTTTTTTTTGAAACAGGGTCTTGCTCTGTTGCCCAGGCTGGTGTGCAGTGGTACAACCTTGGCTCACTGCAACCCCTGCCTCCTGGGTTCGAGTGATTCTCCTGTCTCAGCCTCCTGAGTAGCTGGGATAAGAGGCGTCCACCACCACATCCGGCTAATTTTTGTATTTTTAGTAGAGACAGGGTTTCCCCATCTTGGCCAGGCTGGTCTTGAACTCCTGACCTCGAGTGATCTGTCTGCCTCGGCCTCCCAAAGTGCTGGGATTACCGTGAGCCACCACGCCCGGCCTGATGATGGACTATTATCCAACATATGCAAACCACTTTTAAAATTCAACAATAAGAAAACAAACAACCTTATTAAAAAGTGGGCCAAAGACCTTAACAGAATATATACAGATGGAAAATAAGCATATGAAGATACTCCATATTATATGTCATTGAGGAAATGTAAATTAAAACAACAACAAGATACCACTACACATCTGTTAGAATGGCCAAAATTCAGAACACTAGCAACACCAAAGTCTGGCAAGGATGCGGGGCAACAGGAGCCCTCATTCACTGCTGGTGAGAATGCAAAATAGTACAGCCACTTTGAAAGAAAAGTTTTTCAATTGCTTATGAAATTAAACATACTCTTACACGCAAGTGCAATGGCACTCCTTCGTATTTACACAAAGGAGTTGAAAATATGTCCACACAAAAGCCTGCACATGGATGTGTATAGCAGCTTTATTCATGGTTGCCCAAACATGGGAGAAATCAAGATATCCTTCAGTAGATGAGTGGATACACAAACTGGCTACATCCAGACAATGGAATATTATTCAGCACGTAAAAGAAATGAGCTATCAAGCCATGAAAAGATAAGGATAAAACTTAAGTGCCTATCACTAAGCGAATGAAGCCAATGTGAAAAGGCTACAGACTATATGATTTCAACTACTGACATTCTGGAAAAGGCATAACTATGGAGATAGTAAAAAAAAGCAGTGGCTTCCAGCGGGTGGAGGAGGGAGAGATGCATTGGTAAAAACACAGAGGATTTTTAGGGCAGTCAAATGATTCTGTATGATACTATTATAGTGAATACATGTCATTATACATTAGTCAAAGCCCACAGAATGTACACCACCAAGAATGAACCTTAATGTAAACTATGGACTTTGGATGATGATGATGTATCAGTATAAGTCCATTCATTGTAACAAATGTACCTCTCTGGTGGCAGATGTTGATAATGGAGGAGGCTATGCATGTGTGTGGGCAGGGGGTATATGGGAAATCTCCGTGCCTTCCACTCAGTTTTTGCTGTGAACTTAAAACTGCTCCAAAAAATAAAATCTATTAAAAAGAAAAAAGGGTAATATTTTAACACGTGAACACACAACTGTGTCCCTTCCAGAGTACTCCAGCATGCTTACAGTTTGTAACACTTAAGTGTGTACGCGTGTGCATCCACACAGGTGTGCATCGACATGCCGAGCACGTGCATAAAACAAGACAAGAAGAATTCGTACCAAAAGTTAAGGGTGGTTTTCTCTGAGTGGTAGGCTCATGGGTAAATTTAATTTCCTTCTTTGTGTTTTTCTGTATTTTTAAAAAGTTCTGCAGTGAACATGTGTTACATTTCTCATCAGAAAAGCCATCGTGATTGTGTGTATGTGTTTAAAGGGAAATAAATGATCAAAATACCATATGACCCAGTAATTCCATTTCTAGGAATATAAATTTAGAGAAAGTTGGAGATATATAAACACATTTATGGATAAGGTTTTTTACATAATATTGAAAAAAATAGAAACAGCTTAATGTCCAAAAGCAAGAGATTACTCAATATATTAAAACCCACCCATATGGCAGAACAACTTGTAGGCATTATCAATCAAAGCATAGGATGATACGGTACAGTGAATGAAATTGGATTCAAAATGTGGGAAGAATTTTACTCACATGATGCAAAGTGGGTACAGATGGGGCAGAAGAGGCCATGGGTTTTGCTGGGGCCAGATGAAGGGCACATGAGGATTCATTACGCTACTCTCTCTGTGTGTGTATGGCAGACATTCTCCATAATAAAATATTCCTTAAAATCATGATATGAATAAGACAAAAATAACAAATCATGTTGTTGCAATCAGAAAAGAGACACAATTAATACTACTTGCAGATGCTTATTATGGTTCTCTTAAAAACACAAGGGAATCAGGTGAAAACCTAGCAGAAAGTAAACAGAGAGCTCATCAAGAGGCCAGCATACAAATATAGAAAAACATATAGCCTCCCCACATAGCAGCAATAAACAGCAAGGAATTATAGGGGAAAAAAAGAGACCCTACTCACAAAAACAACAACAAAAAAAGAAAATACCTTACCATAAATGTGCAATTCCTATATCAAGAAAACTACAAAACTTTACTAGAGGACATAAAAGAAGTCTTGAATAAATGGAGAGACATAACTTACTCCTTGGAAGGGATGGCTCAATATTGTAAAGATGTCATTTCTCCTCAGATTAATTTATAAATTTAATGCAATTCCAATTAAAATCAAAAAGGACACACCAGAAGGACACACACTAAAATGTTAACAGAAGTTCTTTCTAGAAAGTAAAAAGATAATGGATTGCTCTTGCTTGGTGCTTTTTTTTTTGTTTTCCAAGCCCTCTGCATTGAGATAGAGCTTTGGTAATAAGAAAAAAAAAACAAAGCTTTAGCGAAATGTTCTTAAAGAATACTTAATGGCATAGAAAATTTTCATCCTCTCCCTGCTCCCCAATGCTACAAAATAATATTACAGTATGATAATTATTTATCAAACAAAAAGCATATTTACAGAAGAAAGACTGGAAGGATTTGTACCAAAATGTTACCAGTGAATATCTCTGGATAGAAGTTTATGGATAATTTTTATCTTGTTCTTTGTGTTTTCTTGATTTTTCCAAAATTATTTACAACAAGTATGTATTATTACTTCAAAATGTGAAAACAAACACACAAAAAACAAAAAAAGCCTGGAAAGAGGTCTGGTTATTACAGATCTGAAGAAAGATACCTCTACCCATCCCAAATGGGGATAAAAAGTCAGGGGACAAAGCCATCTCCATAGGGCTTCACATCCTCTTCCTGGCCTCTCAGACCTTGGCAGGTGGGGAGGAGGGGAAAGAGAGGGGCCATCATCTCAACAAGGATGGTGACATGTCTCAGCCATTAAGACCTAAGTCCAAGGGATGGAGCCTCAGTCTTATCCTATATAAAACAGCTCCATTAATACCCACTAATCTCTGCCCTGTGCCACCCTGTCACTGGGCCCTGGGATACCAAAAGAAGTCAGCACCAGGCTCCTGCTTTCAAGGAATGCTGAACCCCGCAGGGCAGCCGAGAAGAACAGACAACTAGCACATGTGTGGTGCTCCACTCAGGTGCAATACCAGGGAGGTTCCCAATTCAGGTTTCAGTGACAGCCATGCTTCAGTCCCAAACCTAGCTCTATCCACTGGAGGAAGTTACTCAGACTCTCTGAGACTCAGTTTCTCCGAGACTCAGTTTCTCCACCTGCAAGATGGGGTACACATCTCAGAGGGCTGATTATTGTGAGGAAGACATAAAACAATGGAGCTACTGCATGGCACATGGCAAGGACTTAATACACAGTAGCTATCAAAGAAAGAGTGAAACAATGAGTGCTACTATACTATTTAGAAAACAGCAAATAAAAGCTACCATGCAATTTAGAAAAACAAAGTGAAGTGTGAGCTTCCACATTTTCTAGGGCAGGGTTGACAAACTTTGTCTGCAAAGGATCGGAGGGTAAATGTTTTAGATGATAAGTATTTTTGGCTTTGTGGACCAGATGGTTGTTGTTGCAAGGACTCACTTCTGCCACTGTAGCACGCTGGCAGCCGCAGACAATGTGTCACAGTAGGCACAGTTGTGTTTCAATAAAACTTTATTTGCAAAAATACAGAATGAAGAGATGTTTCATGGGTACAAATATATAGCTTGGTAGAAGAAATAAGACCTAGTGTTTGACAGATCAGTGGGGTGACTATTAATGTAAGTTTACAATAACTTATTGTTTATTTCAAAATAGCTAGAGGAGAATAATTTGAAGGTTTTCAGCACAAAGAAAAGATAACTATGTAAGATGATGAATATCCTAAGTATGCTGACTTGATCTTTACAAATTATATGAATGTATTACTTTATCATATGTACCCCAAAACTCTGTACATCTATTATGTATCAATAAAAACATAAAATTAATTCAAAAAACAGGTGGTGAGTGGCTGGATTTGGCTATTGGGCTGTAGTCTCTACTTGTTCTGGGGGTGGGCAGCGTTTATTTCAGAGGTGAGTGAGTGTTTCCTTAGGAAAAGCACCTCAGGGCCTGGGTAAAGAATTAAGACTATGACGGAACAAAATCATGATGCAAAAGAAACAAAGACAGGATGCTGGAGTTTTGAGTGGAGAAGATGTGAGACAAGGAGGAAGGCCTAAGAGAAAGGGAACAGAGATGAAGTGGACCCCAAAGGACAGAACCCAGGCCCAAAGGTGGGCGAGTCAAGTAAGAAATTCACCACAGCAGGAGGGGGCCATGCATTTTTCATACAGTGATGTCCGATGCTGGGTTTTAAGTTGAGCCTCCCTTCCTTCCAGGAGGCCCATCGTTAGAAAAGTCAGCTACAGAATACTGACACCAGCTCCTGCTGTTTGGAGGAAGGCGACAGAAGATGGGCATGGTCCAAAACAGAGTGAGTCAGGGCAGAGAAAGGACAAGAGGCGAGATGAGAGGAGACAGAAGACTCAGCAGAAGACACTGGAGCATGAGGTCATCAGGAGAAACAGGAAGCCCTAGAGCATCCTCAGAGACATGGTGGGTGAGAGGCTGCCCCTCCACCCCCAAACTCAGTACAAGGGTGGGAGGTGTTCTAATGAGTGTGTAAGGGCTAGGTGGCTGCAAAGGCTGAATATCATGGGACATCCAAGCAGCAAATATTGAGGGGCACCACAGAGGTTCAGAGAGTGGGTTCTAGGCACAGGCAGACCTCGATTTGAATTTTGGTTCCACTCACAGGCTACCCCTTTCTCTAGGGAATTGTTCCCAGTGAGAGAGGCCCCCTTGCCCAGGAGGAGGGGTCACTCACCTGGGCCCCTGGAAGCAGCCTGCCATCAATAACCAACTAATAATGGGGCTCAAAAGACTGGGCGGTCCCTTGCTTCAGGGTGGGGACAATCTGCAGTATGACATATTCTTTGGAGCCCCTCCCCACACTCCCCACCTTGCATCAGGCAAAGGCTAGATCTTGGCAGAGGCACATCTCTGCCCAACTCCGTCCTCTTCCCAACCCTGCCTTATTCATTCCCCTACAGGGTTTTCCTGAAGAGCACTCTTCCCCTCTATAAACCCCATGCATCCGAATCCCTGCCTCAGGCTCTGCTTCCAGGGGACCTGACCTAAGACAGGGGTGACATTACTGGGGGGCAGTGTCAACTGCACTACTTTAGTGTTGCTGGAGATGGGGAAGGGGACGCTGGACCTCATTAACTGCTAAATGGCCAAGGTTCTCCACTACCCTCTCCCTCCTGGGTCCTCCTGCTCCCTCTCCCTTCTAGAGAGCCTGTAGCTTTGGGAGCTCAGGCATCTGATTGTCCTGGGTTCTGATCCAAGCTCCACCCATGCAAGAAGGGCTGCTTTGGGTCTCAGCTTCTGGAGAGAGTTCCCTGCCCCGCTGGAGGCTGCCCCCCTTTCCACTGGCTCCTCTCCATTCTCTGCCTTCCCATACATTCCTCATGATCGTTATTTAAAGAGGCTAATAAGTAGGTTGGCACCATTGATTAACGCATAATCTTAATCATGATTGCATAGTGTAATTGGCATTAATTTGAAGAGCCAGTTCATTATGAAAATAATTGTCACTGCTTTCTGCTTTAATAAAATGGAGCAGAGACACTGAGGCGGCTAAGAAATGGGATAGGGTGTGTGTGTGTGTGTGTGTGTGTGTGTGTAGGGAGGGGTGTGTAAGATGAGTCCCAGAAGACGTGAGCAGGGGTGGAACAGGGTGCAGCTGGAATATTTTCTTCAAACAAAACCTTGTGTGGAAGCCCAACGGGTAAAACAAATAACAACAACCACAGCAGTAATAACAACTGACTGTGTTCCAGGGATGATGCTGCATGCCTTCCACTCACTACATTTAACACTCATGAGAACCTCTACAACCCCATTAGAGAGGAAGTAACATTGCCTCAATTTACACAGGAGAAAATGGAAGTCCAGGGAAGTCAAGGATGTTGTTAAAACTACAAAGTGGCAAAATTCTCTTTGCAACCAAAGCCAGTGACGTGCTGCAGCCGGCTAGTACCAGCTTTCAGGAGCCAATTGTTAAATTTTCAGGAATTCTGAAAACCAGTTATTAAACCATTGGCAGCCTGAAATCGGCCATAGTGAGAGTATTTACACCACAGAAATAAGCAGATACTACAAATCAGGGCTTTTTTTTTTTTTTTCCTTCCTGAGATGGAGTCTTGCTGTGTCACCCAGGCTGGAGTGCAGTGGCACAATCTCGGTTCACTGCAACCTCCACCTCCTGGGTTCAAGCAATTCTCCTGCCTCAGCCTCCTGAATAGCTGGGACTACAGGTGCACGCCACCATGCCTGGCTAATTTTTTCGTATTTTTGGTAGAGACGGGGTTTCACCACGTTGACCAGGCTGATTTCGAACTCTTGACCTCAAGTGATCTGCCTGCCTCGGCCTCCCAAAGTGCTAGGATGACAGGTGTGAGCCACTGCGCCCGGCCTTTTTTTCTTTTTTATCGGCATGCCCCTGCCCAAACCCATTTGCATCACTGGGCTCTGAAAGACTTGATGTCACAGCTTCTGAGAAGGCTCTGTAGCTTCCTGGGCTCTGAGTGTGGCAAGAAAACCACTGCTCAAATCTAACCCCTAACTGAGAGCCAGAGTTGGGGAGGAGGGGTAGAACTGGCTGTGTCAACTGCAACCAACTTCTTTCTTCATCTTTCTACTATGATATGTTGTTATATGTTTCGGGAAACATACTGAATACCCTAAGCATTAGTGCCTATATTTTTTAAATTGCTTTTTTTACCTCTAGAAACATGCCCAATGGTGGAATTCCTCTGCCTCCCAGGTGAGGATGCTATGATGGCCTGTGTCAAGCTGAATGTGACCTCCAAAACCAGGGGGAAGCTCCTTGCTTAAGCTTGGCCCTCTGACCTCATGACTGTTTAGGTGTCCTCTGGAACCCGTTGAGGTTTTTTCCTTTCTCTTCAATAACTCTGTGCTCTTAAATTTAGCCAAGCAGCCCAGCTGGCCTGGCCCAGAGTGCAGTGAGCCTGGGAGACTCAGGCAGGACTTAAGGCCTGCTGCCATTATGAAGAGTCCCAGAAGACATTCACGCTCCCAGCACCAGGCCCAGGCTCCATTTGTCCTCAGGGGCCTGAGCCCACTCTTTCTTTTCTAGACTGCTTTGTACTTTTTCTGAAGTTTCCAAGGTGTTGTGGAGATTAATTGAGACGTGGATCAGCGAGATTGTTGCTAACAGCCTCTTCTCAGGGCCCGCCTCCCTGTCTGTTCTGATCAGGGTTCTCTTTGCTTCCTGCCAGGGCCCCCGCAGCTCAGTGCAGCTGTGGGCTGGAAGATCCAGGCTCTGCTCTCTGCTGCGCCTTAGCCAGACCCCTGGGGGAACTGGTGGTGTCTCTGAACCTGCTTCTCAGGCACCTCTGTGCCCTCTCTCAGCAGCAGTGGTGGGGGGGCGGGGACAGGGACAAGTCAGTTGCTTCCCCTGCTGGACACAGCATGTGGTTTACAGAGGTGGAGCAGCACCCAGTGAAACGGTCCAGGGATGGGCTTTCTAATGTCCTGGGAGAGGAAAGGGAGACGAGGGATGTGTGTCCCCCTTCTTGTTCATTCAGTTCTTCATTCATTCATATACTCATTAACTCATTCATTCCATAAGCAGGTAATTGGCTACAATCTGGAACAAGGCACTATGCTGGGCACTAGGTGAGTCAGTGAGAGATTAGTTTCAGCCCCGTTCTTCAGGAACTCCTAGCTCAGAACAGGAGGTGAGTGGGGGGGCATAACTCAAAACGCTGTCAAGGTGAGAACGCTCCATGTGATAACCACGGACTAAACACTGGGGAGACTCAGAGGAGAGGGCATCTTGCGGACGTCTTCATGGGGGAGGCAGCACCTGACCTGCTCGGAGCTGAGCTGTGGAAGGAACACAGCAACCAGCAGGGGCACTGGCCTTGGATAGATTATCACAGTGAGGAGGACCTGTACAGACCCACTGGGGAGAGAGGGAGGGAGGGGGTGGCCGGAGGGGAGCTGCGTGGTTGGCTTTTCTAGGATTGGTCAATAATAAACTGAGGGAGGGAGGTGGGGGTCTGGGAGAGGGTGCATCCAACATGACCCCAGTGTTTGAATGAGGATGAGGTTCAGCTAAGCATGTGGGCTCTGCAGCCAGAAGGCACCACTTCCCAGCTATGTCACCTTGGGCAAGTCCCTTTACTGCTCTGTGTCTCTGTTTCATCATCTGAAACAGAGATATTAATAGTGTTTACAACATAGGGGTATTTTGAGGCTTAAATGGCATAAATCACCTAAAGCACATTGTATGCCTTTGATAAGAATAAGAAATTATTATGAGGTGATAGGAAGGCTGGAGGGCCTTCAACGGAGCTGTAGGCAGGCATCCAGAGAAGGGGCAGATCTGAGCAGAGGATGTGCACTTCCCTGGGGTCCCAGGGGGACTCCTGATTGAGTTCCGGGGCCTGGTGGCAGTTGTTTTAATTGATCTAGTGCTATGAGGAGCTTTGTCTGTACAACTCAGGGACATGCAAGTCAAATATTGCAGAATCGACCGTGTTGGGAGGATGGCTGGAGGCTCTTGTGCTGCCCAGAGACCCTGATGAGGGATGGGCTGTCATCAGGCAGGAGGAGCAGGAGTACAATGTGGGCAGAGGACTGAGCGGGGAGCTGTGGAGGGGCCCTGTGAGCAGTGCCTGTCCTTGCTGGAGGGGACAAAGGAATGGAGATCTAGAGCCACCATGCGGGCCTCCCCCAGACACTGGCGGGGCTGTCCCACCTCCGCGGTCAGTCAGCAGAGCAATTCCACAGCCCCCTCTTCACGCACACCCACTGGCAGCAGAAAGGACAACTCCCTTAGCCTGGTGTTTGGGGCCCTTCCCCATCCAGCCCAGCCTCTCTTCAGCGTCCACTCTTCCAGGCAGGGTGTCCTCACCCCATGCTGTTTCTCACCACTCCCTTCACGCACACCTTCCTCTGCGTCTCGCTTTTCCTTCTTTCTCTGGGTTTCGTCCTGGGTCACGCTTTTCTCTTCTGAGCCTTGTGCAACAGACATGATCCTCGTCCCCTGATCCCAACCCCAGAGGCCACTGCAGACACTTCCTCTGCATGCCCTCAGCTTCCACGATCTCTGATACTCTCTGGCAAAGGCGCGGATTTGGCCAGCACATGGGACAGGCTAGGGAGGCCTGGGAGCTGGTGGATAAACGTCCAGCTTCCTCGCCCCTTGCAGGCACCGTTGGGATGCAGATTCTATGCAGTTTCTCAATAGGCCCCAGCAGAACAGAACCCCCCTCCTCCCCCCTCTGCTGCCCACAGTGTAACCCACCTGCCTGCACACCCTTGCTTGGCTCCCCTGCTTACCGGTCTCTCTTCCCTGCTCCCTCATGGTCCTGATTCCTGGAGCCGCCTCCCAGATAAACTATTTACACCCTAGCCCTCCTCACAGGGCTTGCATTTGGGGGTCCTTGACTAAGAGCTTTCCTGAGCTCCCTATGCGTCCTCCTCCGTATCCTCACACATGGTGGGGGGCTGCGTTGTGCTGTGCTGAGTCCTGGGCCCCACTCTCCCCCTTCTCCATTAGGCTGAGGTCATCTAGAGGGTGAGGACACGCCTTTGTCATCCTGGCATCTCCTTCCCTCCCCCAGTGCCTGACACACTATCTAGCACAGATAGGATGTCAACATGTTTGTTAAATATATGTATATGTATGTGTGCCTAAAACACATATGCTGCTTGTTTTAAGAAGCTAATTTGAGTTCAGGACTTTGATATTTACGTGACAAATCAAAGAACACACAAATATCTCTCAGACCATCTGTAATGATTATGCACAGCCAGGAGGACACTAGCTCCTGCTGTTCTCAAGCCCTCCGCTACCCCAGCTCCAGCAGGGATCCGCTATTAGTAGATAGGGAGACTGAGGCTGAGGGACCTTCAGTAGACACCCTGTCCCTTACAAGAGTGGATAGGGGCCATGTGCCTGGCATGAGTAGGCAGCTGCACAGAGAGGGCCTGGCTCTCCCTGGATGGGGGCGTGTCCCACCACCATCCCAACTGGGCTCATCTCCAAACCCGGGCACCTGCTCCATAGCAATGCCAGGATCAGGGAGAGAACCCTGCCACCAGCAGCCCCTCTGTGCCAGCCTGCCCACCCACAGACCTGCCCTGAGAAAGCCAGAAGGCCCAATCTAAGGTCACTCCAGAAATGAGAGTGGGCAGAGGCGAGGGTCAGGGGAGCAAGACCGGGAAAATTAGTGGAGGAGAACAGAAGCCCCCTGTTCTGCGTTTATTACTTCCATCCTCGTCTGTTGTAAATATCAATTGCTATGCAGGTTAAATACTTATCCAGATGCCTTTTAGCTTAAAAGCAAGCTAATTGATCTCTGGAGATCCTGAATGAACAGTGAAGAAATTGCACTAATTATAGAATCAACTTCCACTCTCAATTTTGTTTTGTTTTGTTTCTTCTCTAACAATACTGCTGGAGTGACAGAAAGGGGCCTGGTGGAGCAGACACACAAAGCACACATCATTCTCATCAGGTGGCAACACCACGCCCCACAGCCCCACCCCCAATCACAGCAGGGCCTTTGGCTTTCTGGGAGGAGCTCTCCCAGGCAAACCTCTCCCAGAGGCATGACTCTAAGATGCTGAAAATATCACTGCCGTCCACCATCGGCCAGAATCCACTGAAGTCACCTGCCTTCAGCCCACCCATCCTGCAGGTTCTACCTTCCTCTCCCAAATCCCCACAACTCTCCCAAAACCAACACAAATGCTGCCAAAGCTACTCCTGCTCACATATTCTGACCTCCTCTGGGGTCTCAGCTCCTGACTTGTCACCGGCCACCTGGAATTAAAGGCACAGCACAGCTTTGTTCTTGGCACAGCTCTGGTCCCTGTCTCTAGCTCCTTGTTTACCAGGGAGGTCCCACACTGCAGCCCCACGGTGCCGGGGCAGGTGTGGGAGCCTCAGCTTTCTCATCTAGCAACAGTAGAATGGGGCTGTATCCTTTCTCCCTCCCGCTTGGGAAGATGTGTCCTCTTGCTTCCTCTTCTCACCTCAGCTCAGCTTTTGACTCCACTTACTATGCTGCCTGGGGTAGAATGGAGAATGGACACCTCTGGCTTGGCTGGAGGGAAAATTGTGTCATTGCTATTTCAGTGGCCCCAGGAAACTGCAGTCAATGTGCAGAGAAGCTAAAGTCTTCTTTAAGTTGAGAAAACTAGAAGTTGAACAAGGTTGAGCAGGTTTCTTTTCTGCAGGACTTCTCTGGGCATTTGCTCTGCTCACATGCAGAGCCTCTGAGAGGTGGGTAGCAACATTTCCCAAACTTACTTGACAACCGGGGAAACCTTTTCTGGCAGAGCATCTTACTGGAAACACGCTTCTGGAAATCGCTGTGTTACAGTGACTTGGGCAAAAGTTATTTATCCTGCCTCTGAGGTGTGAGCTATTTGAGGTCCAGGGCTAGATCCTCCACATCTCAGTCAGCCCCACACACTGGGCTCCCCAGCCCTGTGCACTAGAGACACACAAGAAGAATAAGAAAGTACAACGGTGAAACTATTTGATCTACTCAGCCCAACGGGCCCCACCAAATGATGGATTTTGCTTTTTAAAGATTGATTCTGAGGCATCAGTGACCGGTTGTTTTAACACAGCCTTGGAGGTGTGATTACTCCACTAGACTCTCATTTATGCATGTGTATGCACCTGGGCAGGTGTGAGCACACATCTCACCTGGGCAGGGCACAACAGGAGGGAAGGCTGGGGAACCAATTCATCAGCCTGGTGCTTTGTGCCTCTCCCTGAGGTAGTTGTTTCAAATAAGGGATTCTGACTTAATTATTATCATTAGCACATGAGGCTGCTTGGATCTTCATAAGTTCGTGCAAAGGAATTCTGAGCGACCTTGTCCTTTATCAACACCCCAGAAAAAGATGTTCCTCCATTCAGCCCTTCCTTCACTCAACAAACACTCAGGGAGCACCCACCATGTGTCAAGTACTGGGCATACAGCAGATAAACAGTAGGGGAGACCTCTGCCACTGTGACACCTTGCTTGCTTTCTCAAAGTTCTTCATGCAGCTTAATATCTATTTGCTGTCTTAAATATCTATTTGCTGTCTAGTGTACAGTCCACCTCTTCTCCCCACCCTCAGCACTTAGAAGTTCCTTGGGCCTGCAGATCTTATCAGCTTGTTCATCTCTTTCTCTCCAGTGCCTAGAACAAGACCTGGCACATAATTGGCATTCAATAAACATTTCTCAAATATAAATAAATATGCACAAACATACAAGTATAAACAAGCATGAAATGGCTAAACAGCAAAACTCCGGGGTGGGAACAAGTGGAAAGTGGTTTTTAACCAAAGCTGCTGCCTAGGGGAGGGATATGGTTTGGATGTGTCCCCACCCAAATCTCATCTTGAATCCCCATGTGATGTGGGAGGGACCTGGTGGGAGGTAATTGAATCATGGGGGCAGGTCTTTCCCGTGCTGTTTTCATGGTTGTGAATAAGTCTCACGAGATCTGATGGTTTTAATAAAGGGGAGTTTCCCTGAACAAGCTCTCTTCTCTTGTTTGCCACCATGTAAGACATGCCTTTCACCTTCCATCATGATTGTGAGGGCTCCCAGCCACATGGAACTGTAAGTGCATTAAACGTCTTTCTTCTGTAAATTGCCCAGTCTTGGGTATGTCTTTATTGGCAACATGAAAATGGGCTAATTCAGTAAATTGGTACTGGGAGTGGTACGTTGCTGAAAAGATACCTGAAAATGTGGAAGCGACTTTGGAACTGGGTAACGGGCAGAGGTTGGAAAAATTTGGAGGGCTCAGAAGAAGACAGGAAAATGTGGGAAGTTTGGAATTGCCTAGAGACTTGTTGAATGGCTTCAACCAAAATGCTGATAATGATATCGTCAATGAAATTCAGGCTGATGTGATCTCAGATGGAGATGAGGAACTTGTTGGAAACTGGAGCAAAGCTGACTTGCTATGTTTTAGCAAAGAGACTGGCAGCATTTTGCCCCTGCCCTACAGACTTGTGGAACTTTGAGCTTGAGAGAGATGATTTAGTGTATCTGGTGGAAAAAGTTTCTAAGCTGCAAAGCATTCAAAAGGTGACTTGGGTGCTGTTAAAGGCACTGATTTTTAAAAAGGAAACAGAGTATAAAAGTTTGGAAAATTTGCAGCCTGACAACATGATGGAAAAGAAAAACCCATTTTCTGAGGAGAAATTCAAGCCAACTGCAGAAACTTGCATAAGTAATGAGGAGCCTAATGTTAATCCCCAAGACAATGGGGAAAATGTCTCCAGGGAATATCAGAGGTCTTCATGGCAGCCCCTCACATCACAGGCATGGAGACCTAGGAGAAAAATGGTTTTGTGGGCCGGGCTCAGGGTTCCAGTGCTGCATGCAGTCTAGGGACTTGGTGCCCTGTGTCCCAGCCACTCCAGCAGTGACTAAAAGGGGACAAGTTACACCTCGGGCTGTTGCTTCAACGGGTGGAAGCCCCAAGCCTCAGCAGCTTCCATGTGGTGTTGAGCCTGCAGGTGCCCAAAAGTCAAGAATTGAGGTTTGGGAGCCTCTGCCTAGATTTCAGAGGATGTATGGAAACACCTGGATGCCCAGACAAAAGTTTGCTGCAGGGGTGGGGCCCTCATGGAGAACCTCTGCTAGGGTAGCGCAGAAGGGAAATGTGGGGTTGGAGCCCCCATGCAGAGTCTCTATTGGGGCACCACCTAGTGGAGCTATGAGAAGAGGGCCACCATTCTCCAGACCCCAGAATGGTAGATCCACTGACAGCCTGCACTGTGCATCTGGAAAAACCACAGACACTCAATGCTGACCCATGAAAGCAGCCAAGATAGGGACTATTCCCTGTAAAGCCTCAGGGGTGGAGCTGCCAACGACCATGGGAACTTACCTCTTGCATCAGTGTGATCTGTCCAGTGAGGCATGGAGTCAAAGGAGATCATTTTGGAGCTTTAAGATTTGAGTGCCCTGCTGGATTTCAGACTTGCATGGGGCCTGTAGCCTCCTTTTTTTAAGCCAATTTCTCCCATTTGAAATGGCTGTATTTATCGAATGCCTGTAATGCCATTTTATCGAGGAAGTAACTAACTTGTTCTTGATTTTACTGGCTCATAGGTGGAAGGGACTTGCCTTGTCTCAGATGAGACTTTGAACTGTGGACTTTTGAGCTAATGCTGAAATCAGTTAAAACTTTGGGGGACTGTTGGGAAGGCATCGGTTTTGAAATGTGAGGACATGAGATTTGGGAGGGGCCAGGGGTGGCATGATATGGTTTGGCTGTGTCCCCATCCAAATCTCATCTTGAATTCCCACGTGTTGTGGGAGGGACCCACTGAGAGGTAATTGAATCATGGGGGCAGGTATTTCTTGTGCTGTTCTCATGATAGTGAATAAGTCTCACGAGATTTAATAAGGAGGAGTTTCCCTGCACAAGCTCTCTTCTCTTGTCTGCCACCACGTGAGATGTGCCTTTCAACTTCTGCCATGATTGTAAAGCCTTCCAGCCACATGGAACTGTAAGTCCATTAAACCTCTTTCTTTTGCAAATTGCCCAGTCTCAGGTATGTTTTTATCAGCAGCTTGAAAACGGACTAATACAGGGAGGTTGAAGAGGACACCACAGGAAAATGTCATTCAGGCCTTTTAAGCAGTGGGGAGAGATTCCTTATAGGAGCATCCAGAGCAGAAAGCTAAGCTGCTCTTGTCAAAAGCCAGAAGGACTCATACCCCCACCCCCAGTCACAGCCACTCAGAAACTCCAAGGAGGTTTATAAGGGGAGGCCAGCAGCTGCATTTGCAGAACTGGAGCAAAGTTGCAATCTCAAAATTTGCATGGGCTGTCAGCAGCCATGGAGAAGAGAAGTAGCTTGAATTTTAAAAATATAGGTTTAAAGACACTGTACTCCTCTAAACCCTGCACTTTGAACAATGCAAAGACAGGACTTTCTGTGTAACCTTCTGGTGTTAGTTAGCAGGGGAACCCAAAGCAGCTCTGAAGTCATAAAAACAAGAAGTATCACTAACACCTATAGAACCTATGTTCCAAGCCTTTCCCTTCATTATCTCATTTAATCCTCACAGCAACCCTAGCAGGTAGATTCTGATATCATTCTCCTTTTTCATATATCAGGACCCCACCTACCTTTCTGCCCTATGTCCCTTTAACCTTCTTATGCAGTGTGCATTTTTGCTGTATCAGACAGCCCCTCAGCAAGCCCATAAACTGCCACATCTTTGCCCATGTCTTTGCTCATGACATTACATTTATTATTAATGGCGACAAAGTATCTGATCCCTTCTCGTGCATCAGGTAGTGTGCCAAATGCTTTATGAACATCATCTGGTTTAATCTCTGACACACCCCTAAATATTAATATTAGATTCCCACTGTATGACAGATGAAGAAACTGAGGTTCAGACAGAGTCGTAACCTCCCTATGGTTCATACCTTGCAGCCAGGTGTGTCCAGCTGTGTCCTCCCCCAGACAATGCCAGTTGGTTTCATCTTTCATTCAGCATTTGCCCTGTCACCATTTCCACGTCTGTCTCCCACCTAGATTGTGTGACCTTCAAGAGATGTGCTGCCTAGTCTTGCACAGTGCCTGGAAACTGAGCCAGTGGGAATAAACCCCACATTCTTGGCCCTGTGTGAGCAGCCCTCTGACCTCTCTGAGCAGCCCTTCTCTCATTCATTCATTCACTCATTCATTCATTCAATTACTATTCATCGAACACCAATGACAGGCCAAGGACTGTTCCAGGCACTGGAGATACAGCGCTGAACTAAGCAAACATGCTCCCTGCCTTTAGGGCACCAACCTTGCTTTGATAAAAGCTATGAAGAGACCTATGAAGGGTGAGATGATGAGGAGCCCATAGAGGGGACTGTTTTTATGGCTTTCCCAAGGGAGGTTCAATGCAGCCAATGTCCACTGGTGCCTTCTCAGTGCTGGGGTAGAAAAATGGGTAAGGGCCAGTCCTTGCCTTGGTTTGTTCACAAACTGAAGAAGGAAAGTGTCAAATGGAGAAATAACCAACAATCAGGGTGATGAGTGCTCTACTGTGATAAACTCAGTGTTCAAGGGGAAGAAAATGGCCTGGAAGAATCCCAGAAGGCCTCTCAGAGGAAGTGATATTTGGGCTGGGCTTTTTTAAAATTTTATTTTATTTTATTTTATTTTATTTTATTTTATTTATTATTATTATACTTTAAGTTTTAGGGTACATGTGCACAATGTGCAGGTTAGTTACATATGTATACATGTGCCATGCTGGTGCGCTGCTTTAAAGAGTGAGCAGAGGAAGAGTAAAAGCACCTGACATGCAGAGGGAGCAGCTGGAGCAGCAGGAACGAGCCTGCTGGTTTTGGCGAACAGGCAGGAGTCAGGCATGGTCATGCCTGGCTAAGTCACACCCTGCCAGCCATCTCCTTCCAGGTATCAGTTTTTCTCACTCTCTGTCTCAGAACAGAAATGCTGCCTCAAGGAACTGCTGCTCCCATCTCCAGCACTGCTGTGCCCGGCTGTCAGTGGACACATGGTGATGGCACCTCCACTGTGTCTCCCACAGTGCTGGCTCTGCCAGTGAGCCCTGCAGTGGAGGACTGGAGAGTTTTGTAGGAGAACTCAGTGCCCATGGCCCCTGGGCCCTACCCGTGGCGGGTGCATATCCTCATCTTCAGGAGAGAGGTGCATGGTGTGGGGGAAGAGGAAGATGCTCCTCCTGCCTGGAGAGCCAGCTCCATCCCTGCCATCAGCAGATGCATGCAAGCTGCAGCTGCGGATGCTCACTGGATGCAGTATGGCTCCCGGTTGCCAAAAGCAAAGTGTGTGTCCCACCCCAGGCTCAGCTCTGCCAAGGGCCAAGGACCACGGCTGAGAAGAAATGGCATGGAATTAAGGAGCTGTAGCAGACTGACCCCTGAAACTGGTCTGTCCTGAAGCTGGTCGGCCTTGGTTCTGTGAGCTCATCTTGCCCTGTCTGGCTCACTTATCTAATGCCTCTTCTCTAGAGGGACCAGAGTCTAGTGACCTGGAACCAGACTATTGTGGTGCAGTTCTTGTGCCAGCTCAGAAACTAACTAGCTGTTACTCAACCCCTCTGCCTGTCAGTTTTTCCATCTGTGAAATGGGAATTTTGCCTCCCAGGGCTGCTGGACAGGTTAGAGGCTGATGCACAAGAATCCTTTGGCCCAGGGCCTGGGTGTGCCTTACCTGCTCCAGATCCCCCCTCCCTGCTGCTCTCTGCCTGAGGCCCAGGGTAAAGCCTGATCCAGAATTTACCATCCCGGGACCCCCAGAAGCCACCGTCTGCTGTTTGGGGTTGGATTTTGCACCTCCCACCAAGCCCTGGGTCTGTCTGTTCAGCACCTGCTTCCCATGCCCCATATCTCATTGGCTCTGGCCTCTTGTGTCCACCTGAAGACCCCTACAGTTACTGTTGGCCACCTCCCCCATGCACCAGCTCCTGTGCTCCAGCCCTGTTCTCTGAGGAGGATGAGCCCAGGCTGGCCTCCAAGGCCTCCGTGCCCCTCCAGAAGGGAGCTGTGGAGGCCCCAGTGCCATTCCCCACACCCACACCTGAGTTTCACTCCAGCCAAGGCCCTCACACTGCTTTCCTGATAATGGTTGGGGGAGTGAGCTGATGGGCAAAAAGAGGCTCCATTTCTCTCTGGGACCAATTTGTGAGTTTTCAGCAGCAGCTCTCACTCTCAGTTTCTGCCTCATCCCTGCATGCCTGCTGCCTCCCGCCCCCTCCATGCATACTGGCTGTTAGGATTCTGGAGGAGGCCGAAGAGGTGGGAATCACCCTCTGCTGGGAAGCCAGCATGGAAAGCAAGTGCCCATCTGGAGGTGGAGAGTGGGCATGGCGGGGCAGCCTCCAGAGGGCTGGGAGGGCCAGAGAGAGGGCAAGTCCTGTGGGTGGACACGGATGCCGAAATCTCCTCCTCTGCCATCCTTTGCTTTTGAAAAGAGGCAATAAAGCCTAGTGGTTAGGAGCATGGCTTGGAGTTAGATGAAACAGGGTTTGAAGCACAGCTCTGGCCCTGCTAGCTGATGACAGGATGGTGGAGAGGCCAACCAAGTAGGCTCCGCAGAGGTTCAGATCCCAGCTCCTCTGCCACCTACCAGCTGCATTTGACCTCAGACACACAAGCTCCATGTGCCTTACTCCATGTCCTTACTACAGATCTGGGGGATGATCTTGTTAGCACATGATCATTCTCAAATACTACTGAAGGATGATTATGATGGTCTGCGTGACCTTTAACACTGCTTAACCTCTGAACGATATCTCGATTCACAGGGTTCCATGAGGATCGGGTGAGATGCTGCACACACAGCCCTCAGAGATAGCGGGGTACGTAAAGAGCTCTTGATAAATGGCAGCTAGTGCTATTTTTATTACCATATTTCATTGATTTCAAATCACACTTTTTTTTTTCACATTTTAACATCCCTGAAATTGAGATGGGTCTTGCAGTAGAT
Source organism: Homo sapiens (assembly GCF_000001405.40). Taxonomy (NCBI): domain Eukaryota; kingdom Metazoa; phylum Chordata; class Mammalia; order Primates; family Hominidae; genus Homo; species Homo sapiens. The sequence goes on from NC_000001.11 coordinate 36,921,671, forward strand.
GATAAGAAAGCACTGTGTCATAGTATAATGGGTGGCATTTTTTTTCTTTCTTAGGGAAGTACATAAAATTATGTATATTACTGTCGATGTGTCTTAGATTTTATGAAATCAAAGCAGACCAAGGCAGGAGAAGGAGTTTCCACTGAGGACCTGGCCCTGCTTTGTCCTGAGGGTGTCTCACCTGCCCTGCTCCTATTGTAGGACAAATCCCTCGGGTCACCTGGGGTCCAGTGGCTCCTTCCCTCCCACCTCTCTCCTTTCCCCAGGAGTGAGCTCTCAATGTTCTCCCAGACAGGAATGCTGGGAGCCCTTAGAGAGGCATTTGTTTTGCTTTTATGCTGCTCATCAGGGCCCCACAGAGGGGTAGGCCCCTATGACCACAGCACCAGGCTGAGAGGTGGGTGTTGGGCAGAGTGCACACTGGGATCCAGTTCCTGTCGTGCCACTAAGAGGGTGCACAGTGGCTTTGCACCAGTGACCTCCAGAGCTACGGGAAAATGGGACACAGAGCTGAGTGGGTGGACATCAGTCCCAGAGGTTCAGGCTCAGCAGTGAGAGAGGCCACCCTGAACTCTGGGTGCCTCGTGGTTCCTGAGGAAGGAGGAGAACAATGAGAACCCCAGGAAAGCCACAATGTAGGGGAGGTCAGGCGGTGGGTTCTGCCCTGTGGCAGGTACCACCCGCCCCCTTAAGCAGCATCCCCAAGCTCCTGGAAGTTCTGCTGCTGCCTCAGCTGCTTCAACTCCCTCCCTGGGGAACCCCCTCCCTGAACTCCCCATGAGCCAGCATCTAAATGGTTAATGCCTGGCCATACAGGGGGCTTTACTGGCTGCCACCCTTCCCCTCAGGACTCGTGGTTACATATGCAGAATATCACCCTTCACTCCCCCAAGGTGATCCAGATGTTTACCAGGAATCACTGGGATTGGTCCCCAAGACAGGGGGCCATGCGCTTATTTATCAAGGAAGAAAACCTTCCTATGTTGAGTATCCACTCTATGCCTGTGCTTGGACTTCACGTAGACTTTCTCCCTGAATCCTCAAAATATCCAAGAGGAGGATGAGGAAACAGGTTCCGGGAGGTGCGGCTGCTTGCTCAGGGCTCAGATCTGTCTGCTGCGACTCCCTTCTCTCACAGCTCCCTCCACTCCCTAAACCCCTGAGCAGGGATCCAGCCTCTCCTGCAACCCAGAATCCAACAATAAAAGCAATGATCAAAGGCAAAGGCAGGAGATGGCCCTTGTCTGGAGCCTGGGGTAAAGGGAGGCTGTATTGCAGGGTTGCAGCCTGGGAGCCCACACCAGGCTGGCCAGCGGCACCCCCAGTGCTCACCCTTGGTCTGCAAAGCCATTAAATATGCAGAATCTCATCTTGTTCCTGGGAAGCCGAGGGCTCTGAGTCACAGGAGGTGACATTGCTCTCCAACAGGTAAGTTGTTCAACAGATGGGCAGTCGAGTGGCAAAGAAATACATTATTAATGTTTCTGGTTAAATTAACTGATTAAAACCACCCTAGGTAAAAATGTACGTATCAGCGCTTTGCCCACAGCAAATGAGGAATTAATGGAATATGGCTGTGTCTTTGTAATGAAACACAGAGGCTCTCTGGAAAGGTTCGCTCTCTTCAGAGGCAGCAGCAGGGGGTAGAGGGGTGGGAGGCCTAATCCATCTGTTAAAGGGACCTCTACTGATTGGAACAGGGAAAGGGCAGGGAAGAGACACCCAAGGGGGCATCCCCAGGTCTGACTGGAGACCCTAGAAATCTGACATTTTGACCCCTAATTTGCTGGAGCCAAATTTTGCAGTGGGGGCTTAAGGCAGAAGCAGCAGGCCACAAATGGGGTGGGTGGGTGAGGTGGACACCACTGCATGGGAATGAGGATCATGGAATGCTGGCCCTAGCTCTATCCTTGCAGACTTTATGCAAGCTGACTTCCTGGCAGGGCCTCAGTTTCCTCACTAGTAAATTGGAGAGGTGAATGAAACACTCTTCCGTGCTCTCTCCCAACTCCTTGTCTCACATCATAGGCTTCTAGGATAAATCCTAGTGTTTACCCTGTCCTTATTCTCATCCCATAACCTAGTGAGAAGCTGAACCCCATCGGGGGTGTATCCAGAGATCACCTCCATTGCATGGCTTTTGGGAAACACCTGTTCTAACTCAAGTCCCAAAGGCACTCTCCTATGTGTCTATCTGGTTGGCTGTAAACACATGCATGTACACACACATGCACTGGCTGACCCACACATGCACACACCTGCATTCAAGGGCCCACACATACAAGCAAGCTTGCACCAAGACACATACATCCCAGAGCTCTACACATGAGTGCACACATGTGTACACACAGCTGCATAGAAAGTGAAGTCCTGTTGTGCAAGGGCAGGAGGATGTCAGACACATTTCAGAGACAGCGGTGGGGCTAAGGGGCAGGGAGGGCACTGCCAGGGCAGAGGATCAAGGGCCAGTTTTTTAATCCACAAAATCGGTTTTGTGCCAGGGTTTCAGGAACTCCCAGAGGCTATGACCCAATTCGAGCAAGACTGAAGTTTTGCATAAATTAACCAGGTAATCGCATTTCCACTAGGGTTTCCCTTGATGCAGAGCCCTGGAGTGGCTGGAGTCCCACAACCCCAGTCATGGCTTCATCGGGTGCAACTGGACGAAAGCAGGGCCTGGTGCTGTGCAATTTTGGCATCCTCCGCCCCGCCTCCCTAGTGATGCGTTGGGAGCTCTCCAAGGTGCTGATGGCTGAGGGTAGGGAGAGATTAGCTAAGAGAAGTTGTTTTTCTCCGCTGCTTACAGGCTGGCTGTGGAGAGGGGAGGGGGAGTGGGTTGGGTGCTGAGCCCCTATCACACACACAGTCGCTGTTGCTGCTGGGTACCCGGTTGGGGGAGTAGGAGGGAGGCACAGCCAGAGCCTCCTAATGCCTCCCAGCCTGTGAGGAGGGCCACGAAGGGGTCAGCGCTGGCCTTGCAGTATCATTAGCTGTTTACCCTGGGAAAGTTCACACTTCCAGAGGCCGTGCTCAAGCTGTCAGAAACACTGCACGGCAGTGCTGGCAGCTCTGCCAACTGTGCTCCCCAGGGCCCAGCAAAGCAAATATTTAGCAAACGCCTGGCTCTTGAGCACACGTGCACACACCTTCTCGCAGGGGACACAGCATGCCAACACATGGATACAAACATCTGCACAGACTTACTCTCAACACCCACAGAGACCCAGACACACACAGACATGCACACGAAAACCCACACTCTCAGGATAATGGAATCATGTGATATGTATCAGGCATCTACTATGTGAAAGGCAGTATTTACAAATGGTGAATATGCATTATTAAATCTAATGCTCCTGACAACCCAAAATGGTAGACAGTATCATGCACCCATTATTCAGAGGATAACAAATGAAGCTCCAGCAGGAAGATTCCACAGCTAGAGCTCTTACCATTCACTACCCTGACATACATTCACCCACCCAAAGGCAGTACACTTAGATACACACTCACAAACATGGACATGCTAGCACACAGAGGCAAACTTGAACTCACACATGTGAATATTCACAGAAACATACCGGAATACACACATGTGCAGACACACACGGCACACACACATTGCACAACCAAACCCACAACAGCATACTCCGTGCACATCCCTCCTGGCAGAAGTACTCTGTCCCAGCCCCCAGGGGCCTAGATACAATGCCCCAGTGAGCCAGTTCGTGCCCTCGGAGCCTTTCCCCTGAAAGCTGCCCAGCTTCTGGTCAGGCCGCCTGGTTGATGTTGATAACAGCATTGGCAGCCACCAGGAGAGAGTGAGCTTTGATCAGGAGCAAGTCCAGATGGTGGCGGTAAGCCCCAGATGTTGTGTAGAAACAGACAAGCCTGCTGAAACCAAGAACTTGTCTCTGGCCTGGCCTTGCAGTGTGGCCCTCCCAGGGCCTGGGGCTCTGCTGGTAGTGCAGCCAGTGTGGCCACTGCCACAGGCCGAGCATGGCACAAGAGCCTGGCAACAGAAAAAGAAAGCTCAGCTCTGAGGTCCAGATTTCTCCAGAGCTCTGAGCAGCAAAAGGCCATTTGGAATGTCTGGGTCCCTGCATCCTTGGGGAGGCAAGGGTGCTCAGTGCTGGTGTAGTGGGAGCGTGGCTAAGGAACCTTGAACATTACCAATTATCTTGGTCCCCACTGGCCTGGTCCACTTGGGGACCTGGGCCTGACCTGTAGGCCCCAAGCCTGAGTGCTCTTCCCTGAAAGTCATCACTCACTAATTCACCAGATTTCTACTCACTGATTTCCAAGGTTGATGCTCTAGATCAACGCCTCACTAATTTTCAAGGTCATTGTTCACTAACTCCCAAGGTCACTGCATGATGATTTTGGTAGTCATTGGCCAGTGGTCATCAGGACCATTTTCTTATGATCCCTGAGATCACAGTGATTCCTCAGTCCAGTCCCAAGAATTCTTAGGGCCCTGCTTCTACTTTAGGAAGGCTCGGCCCTACCCTTTGCCCCCTGCCCTAACTGTTTGTGGTCCTGACAAAAAGTTAGGCACTCCCTGAGCAGTGGTTAGCACCACAAAGCAGGTGGGAGGGCAGACAGGGGAAAGGCAATTGGGGAGGTGAAGTCCAAGGCTTCAGGTGAGCTTCACAGTTCATGAACAATGCATGTACTTGAGGTTCCTCCCTCCTTTCCTCTCCCTTCATCCCCTCTACGCCCCACTTTTTTTTTTTTTGAGATGGAGTCTCACCCTGTCACCCAGGCTGGAGTGCAACAGTATGATCTCGGCTCACTGCCACCTCTGCCTCCCGGGTTCAAGCGATTCTTCTGCCTCAGCCTCCTAAGTAGCTGGGACTACAGGCACACACCACTATGCCTGGCTAATTTTTGTATTTTTAGTAGAGATGGGCTTTCACCGTATTGGCCAGGCTGGTCTTGAACTCCTGACCTCGTGATCTGTCCGCCTTGGCCTCCCAAAGTGCTGGGATTACAGGTGTGAGCCACCGTGCCCGGCCCTACTCCCCACTTTTTAAGCAGGATCTCCCAGGACTGTTGAAAAGGAATCTGCTATTGTCTCCAGCACCAGGACCAGAACCATCCTACCTCTTAGGCAACCCACGTTCTTATAACCACTCCCACTTTTTGATCTCAAGAAAAGATATTATTAGCTCAACCTCTGATCAGGTAAGTAAGTGAGTCTGTAGAGTTCTCCTGGGGAATTTGCATGAAAAGAAGTAACATGCCAAAGAAGTGACCCTCTAATACTAGAATTTCAGACGTCATAGAGCTACACGGTGAAGCTCTTTTCTAAAGTTGAACAGACACATTTCCCTTCCCCAGGTACTGCCTGAATTGCTAAGCAAGGAAAACATACACAAATAAAGTGTCATGTCCTGACATTTGATAATTTAAATTGAGCGTCAAAGAGCATCTGCTTAATTACACATGGAGCTAAGTGTGAACACTAAGAGGGAGGCTCCAGGGGAGACAGAGACCCTCGTTCAAGAGCTCTAACAGTCATGCAGCCCAGGGTGTGCAGACAGTAAGATTTGTCTTCTGAGGTTAAAATAAAGCCCACGTTTCATTTTTGATGCAACCTAATTCTTCTCGTTTTCTCCATCTACCTCCAGAAGCTGGGGCCTTAAGTGGAAAAGATGCATTGAATAGCAAATGCAATTCAACAAATATTATGACATGCTGTTCACCACGAGCCCTAAATATTTAACTGTTCGACTTTATGGGCTTTTCATTTTGTTTTATTTTCTTTTTTGCCGGATGTGATGAATTTAGCACTAACAGGCCCCGTGTCAAGGAACTGCCAGTGTCCTAGTTTGCAAAATGAACAAAGTGAATTTCGTTCAGGTGTTTGTGACCTCCGTTCATTCAGGCCACACTCCATGTCGCCTTATCTTGGCTCTGCCCAGCTGGCTTTCTAGAAAAAAATATAAAAGTAAGATAGAGGGAAAAAAGAGGGAAAAGGGAGGCAAGAACGAAGAGGGTCAAAAAGCCTCTGTCGGCCAATTCATTTCTGTTTAATCCATCTCCGCGCTGCAGAAAGCTCCTTTGTGGTGGAGGAGACCAAAGGTCGGTAATAGATTTCAACAGGTTCCGAGAGGCTGTTGACTGCTTGGAGCTGAGTGGGAGAGTGTGAGGCTCCCCGAGAGGCAGGGGGAGAGATAATTGGAGACCCGGAGCCCCGGCTTGCCCTGTGGTTCCTGATTTCACGGATTTAAGAAGAAAAAAAGATTGTCTAGAATTCCGCCTCCGGAATTGTGTATGAGAGGGAAGGAGAGCAGAGGTGGGGGGTACCAGGCCTTGACTGGCCCTCCCTGGAGCTGCCGTCACGTGACCACTTGTCCTGCTCAAAGAGAGTGGGCTGGGAGGGAGGTTAGGAAGCCTCTGAGCCAGGCCTGTTGGCTGTGAACTGCCTCTGGAGAGCTGGGAAGGCCCTTGGGTCATCTCTGAGGCTCCTTTGAGGTAGCCACTAACTTGGAAATGGGGTGAGGAAGGGAAGAGGTGAGTGGAGGCAGGGACTGGAGAGGTAGACACTGAATTAAATTTACCAGCTCTATTCTGCAAAATCTCTCTGAGTGTGCGAGGTAGCTGTAGCAAGAAAAGGAACTCCTATAGCTGTGCTTTAGCCCACAGCTACCTCCACCCCAGATTTCCAGGCCTGAGGATGCCATATTACCACTTTCACCTTTCATCGTGGCTGCCCAGGTGAACAAAGGATGGTGTGACCTGGTATACCAGATTGTCTGAATCAAAGTGGCAATGGCAAGTGTTTGGGGTGGGGGTGGAAATTATGATGTCCTTAGCTTTGGAGTTATTCCCTGCCATGCAAAACCACTGTCTGACAACGCAGTGTTTAGAACAGCATTCTGCTTGCATGCATGTAGGTTCAGCTTAATGGTATGTCATTCCAACAGTAGGCTGAGCCAGGCCTGGCAATAAAGGGCCAAATGGCCACACCTTGCCTTGCAACCCTCCCTGGTTTCCCACAATCCAAGAATCCAGCCTAGACTTCAGCGTGGCAAAAGAAAAAAAAATCCCCCCAAACTTCTTCAGCCTCATTCTTTTGTATTCTCTGCTTTGGTCATATTAGGCCCCTCTTTGTCCCCAATTATGCAGTAGGAAAATGCTCAGATGGAGGTAAGATCAGGATGTTCTCAAGGAAGGAGAACTAGGGGCATCTTAGTCAGCCTTGGGGTACAGGTGTCAAGGAACATGTCCTGGAGGAGATAGCACCTGTGCTGAACCCTAAAGAATGGGTAATATACATAATGAGAATGACTCATGTTTATTGAACATTTATTATGTTACTTGAATCCCTTGACCTTGTGGAATCATAAAATCTTTCCTATGGGATAGGTACAGTTATTCTTAGTTTCGATTTACAGATGAGGAAACTGAGTCATAGAGGGGTGAAGAAACCTGCCCAAGGTCACCTAGCTTGTAAGGGATGAAGCTGGGCTTCAGAGTCAGGCATTACAACATCCAAGACCACACTCTAACCACTCTGCTAAACCCCATTCAGCTTTGAGCCTTTGAAGATGGAGACTGTATCTCCATCTTCGAAGGTGCTCATTGTGAGCACCAGGAGTATAGGAGTGAATCTATACTCCAGCAGAGAGGCATCTGTGAACATTGTAGAATAAATGGGTGAAGGTACTGATGGATGCATGAATAAATTTAGATATATTTTAGATATATTTTCAACCCCAATAGATCCTGGGGTTAACAAGCACATAAGATTATAGTACATTGGTAAAAATCAAATGTGCTATTTATCCCAGAACAGTAATTCCCAAACCACATTCCATAGGACATGAATTTCTGGAAATCTCAGGCACAAAGGGTGTCCATCATCATGTGGGTTTGAGAAACCCTGGGTTAAACAAAACTAAATAGCTTTCTTTATTTCAGGGATTTTCTAGTTTTTTTCCTCAGTGAATATCTCCTGGGGCCAGAGACCCAGCAAATAAAGTCTGGGAAGCACCATATTCGAGTCCCTGCCTTTGGAATTTCAGGGATGGTGTATTAGCTATTTATTGTTGTGTAACAAATTGTTCCAAAACTTGGTGACCTAAAACAACAATAAACATTATCTCACAAAGTTTCTTCATACAATTAGAAATTCAGAAGCAACTTCGTTGGATGGTTCTGGCTTAAGGTCTTGCAGGAGCTGCAGTCAAGATGTCAGCCTAGGCTGCAGGCTTTTGAAAGCTTGGCTGGAGCTGGAGCAACCACTTCCAGGATGGCTAACTCATGTGGCTGGCACAGTGGCGCTCGCTGCTGGCAGGAGGCCTCCATTCCTGACAGTCCATAGAGTTGTTTAAGTGTCTTCATGACATGCTTCCCAAGAATGAGTGATCTAGGAGAGCAAGGTGGAGGTGGCAATGTCTTTTATGACCTGGCATTAGGCGTCACAGCCTGTCAGTCCCATTATATTTTATTGGTCACACAGGATGACCCTAATACAATGTGGAAGAGGAATTATAAGGACACGAATACCAGGGGGAAGGATCAATGTGGGCCTTCTTGGAGGCTGGCTTTTGAGATTGGCCTTCTGGTTTCAGCTTCTGGAACTTGGTGATAGGTGTGTGCACCCTCTTCAGACCTGCAGGTGCACACAAACTTCATGTTGAATGACCTCAGCCACCATATTTCCCCAGTGGTGATTTGGTCTTTATACTCTGTTCTCATCAGCTGCCTCTCTTGACCTCTTCAATCCCTTGACCTTGTGGAATCATAAATCCTAAGTGTCAGAGCTGGAAACCACCCAGCCCAAACTCTAATTTTATAGATGAGAAAATGGAGGCCAATACAGGCAAAGGAATTGTCCAGCATCACCATGCCTTAGTTCTTGTGCTCTGGTCCATCACACATGCCTGATGAGACATGAATGTAAGTCTACTAGCCTGAAATTCCACATGGGGCATTACATCCCTACCCAAAGCCTTGAACTGTCCACAGGCCTGACCACAATGGGCCAAGGTAGGTGGACACCAGGCCAGGGATGGTGTGAGTGGTGCCTTTGGAGTGGGGTATGGGGGAAATATTACGGAATGGGCTCCTTATAGCCCCATTTGGAATAGTACCATTTCCCTGAGTGACTTTGTCACCACTATCCAAGGGAACAATAGGAACGAGGAGTTGTCTCCCTCAAAACCTGTATCTTGAGAGCTACCCTTATCTGCCAGCATGAGCTCAGCCAACGAAACAGGCAGTGGAACTAGCTACGCTTTTAGGTAGGAAAGCTGAGTGTATGCTCCTGAGATACCTGCTGACCCTATATCTCTGGCATAGCTTGGAGGTGCACAGCATAGTCTCAGGGACCATGTTCTTCTAGGTGCGGGGCCTGCCTTTCTGGTCACCATTGCAGCAGCTGATGGAGTCAAGCTCAGCAGAGTCTCCCCTTCACTCAGTCGGTTGGAACTAGAAAGTATTTATCACAAGTCTTCATACCAGCAAGTTCTTTCTCTGTAAAGTAAATTTGTCAAACTACTATGGGAGACCTGAGATGACTCTTAATAAAAGCAGGATAAACAGGGAAATTCAATAAGGAACATGACTGAATAGAAGTAGAAACATCTGCCTGCCCTTCCTACTGACATCAGCTCCCTCTCGGCCCAGCCTCCCCTGGAGAGAGGCACAAATGGGTCCTCATCACTCCAGGTCTCAGCCTAAACCCTGCCTCCTCAAAGAGCCTTCTCTGATCACTTTTTCTGAGGTTTCATCACTCTGTTATTTATTCTTCATTGTGAATCCTGTTTGTTTCCCTCCTCATCCTTAACACATTTTGTAATTATACATGTATTTATTTACTTGTTTGTTGTCTATATCCCCTAAAAGACTGCAAGTTTCATGAGGATATGGACAATGACTGTTTTATTTCCCCAGTCTGTATTGAGCGCCCAGCACAATGCTGGCATTCAATAAATGATTGTTCTCGCCTCAGTAGAAGAGTGTTTTTCTTTGCCATATGCCTGAGAGTGGAGACATCTGGAGGAGAGTCCATCTTCCTAATTTGGCATCAGGACTAGATGAGAGCTTCTCCAACCCACTCCCACAGAGCGGCGTGTGCAGCCCCTTCTGTCTGGGTCTCAATGCTGTGTCTCTGGCATCTGGCGAGGAGTTCTGTCTGCTCCCCAGCTGCCTGGTTGGGGCTGACTTTGTGACCCCTCTCTTGTCAGCCTCTGTTTCTCCAGAGGAAATTGTCCATCACATTTTTCTCCTTGCTGATCCTGGCTGGATCTTCCAGAGGACCCAGCTCTGCATCAACTCTTTAGCCAAGCCATTCCGTCCTCCTCATCCTGTCCTGCCCCCTATCTGACCTGAAGCTCACTGTGACGGCCTGGATTCATTACCCTCTCCCCTTCCTGGATAAACTTGTTCTATTGTTGTGGCTTCCTTGAGGGGCAACATCCCACAGATCTGCTGGCCTCTCCGCTTGTTTCTCCTTCCTTCTCTAGGGCAAGGCTGTGAATTCCGATGTTGACAATTTCCTGCTGATTGACCGTAACTCCAATTTGACTGATCTTAGTCATCATATGACTTCATTCGATGCTTGTTTTAATTCTTATCATGCTGTAGAGCTTCCAGGTGTAGAAAGCTGGCCCTTGGTTTTGGTTAGTGCCCAATCGTAGAAACCTGGTGAATGCCACTCCCAAGCATGCGACAGCCACAGTCCACTCTGGCCCCGTGGGACTTGGATGTGCCACAGTCCCCTCTTGTACCAGAGTAGGAGGTGTAGGAAACACCGAGCACTTCCAAGGTCATCCTTCGTTTCTTTGTTCATTGCTACCAGGGACACTGGAAGTTCTGCATCCTTCCCCTTCCGGGTTCAGAAGTGAAAGACCACAGAGGCAACACTCCCAGGGCCTTCCATTTCCAATGAAGGGTCCGCAGCCAAGATGACCACTTTTACAGCCAGTGGCACATCTTCTATTAAGAAGCTTCTTGGCTAAAATAAGATTGCTATTACTTTCCAAACTGCCACTTGGAATCTGTCCACTCTACCTCCTAAATTAACTTGATTTTCTTCTTCTTTCATTCTCTACATTTTTGAAGAGGATAGAGAGGCAGTTACACCTGGTTGCTGTCACAAGTGTATCTACAGTCAGTTCACCCCTGGAAACACCCTGAGGCTAGGTACTGCATCTATTTGCTTGCTGTAGTATCTCCAGCCCAGGGCCTGGCACATAAATCTATTTCAAATGCACGTACTGGAATAATGGAGGGAGGAAGAGGTCATGGAGAACCCCAAATCACTGCTAACGCTAATAACCAAAACATGCCGAATAACAGATTTAATGTGAACTGATTCTGTTACAATTGCCCAATATGTAGAACCACGTTTACCATTCATTCTGCAGTCTGTTACATTGTCTGTTTCTATCTGAGCTATCTTTTTTTTGTGAATAGAGAACAAAGCCTACACTAAAGCGGCTTGTCACTGAGCAAGCTGAACTCTCTGCTTTCTAAACAGTCTGGCAGGCTACACGGGCCAGGTGACTACGCCCAGCAGCTTCAGAGCCTTGATTCTGTGCCCCCCACCCCTGCCATTCCCCACCTCTCTGCCAAGTGACTTCACTTTGCTCAAGGTGTCAAACCTCAGTTCACACGCATTACAGCAAAGTCACTCGTGAAGGTGTTTTCATCAAGGTGCTCACCACTCCATGTGCTGCCTGAACCGACTGCTGATGGGGAGGGATGTTTTCATGCAGCCAGAGACATGAAGTAAACCTAATGGTAACTATGTAGTTTCAAACAGTTGGCATCTTTTTAAATAAAGATGTTATCTCTGATTGGTAATCAATTTGATTTCCCCCTCCACCATCACATCTGCTTTTCCTATTATTTTCCTTAGAATTATTTGTTTTCCTGTGGTTTACCTGCCAGCCTGTTAATCCACTCACCGACAACTGAGTGACTAGGTCATAATCAAAGGTACACTATCTCTAGTTGCTTTGGTTGGCTTGAGGCAGCGGAAGACATTCATGTGTCTTACACACTTTTTTCCAACATTACTTCCAAGTTCAAGGACAGCAGCAAGGTATGATAGAAGGCACACAAGGCTGAAAGTCAGATGCTGCTGTGTGACGGAGGTCATGTCCCTTCTCTATTTCTTCAGCTGGGTAGACCAGGTAAGTCCTGGGTGTGTGGCAGGAACCTCACTGCCCTCTCTTCGACCTTCTGCTTTTCCCCAGAGGAAGGAGAACTTCCACTTGAGCATCTCGCCCCCCACCACCTCATCTTTATGCCCCACTGTGGGATAAGGAATTGTGAATTTGCATGGTCAGAGACCACTGGACCACACTTACAGTGGGCAGGGATACTGTGTCTTAGAGACCAGGGCCTGAGCAGTAAGGTCACAAGGGGCTGCCCTCTACTCTCTCTTCCAATGTCTCTTCTGTCTGAGGGTGAGTGAGTAGGTGGGACAAGTCTTCCCTGAGGTCCTGGTAGCATTGGATGGCACAGGGTGGTAAGGACACAAGGCTCTTCCACTCTGGATTTTCTGGGTGAGAGTCTGTATCCAGTCTGTACAGCTGACCCGATCTCCTGGGCCTCCCTCCCTCTGGCTGGCATGCAGCCCAGACAGATGCCCAGACCTTTCTGCCTGCCTACTCTCCTGTGTGCAGACTCCCATGACATTGCTCTCTCTTCCTGGTCACCAAGCACTTTTCTGAATCTCATATTCCTTATGCTAAACCCGCAGTTCCTTCTGCCCTAGTCATGGTGATCTTGTTTCATTTCCTTAAACAAAGAACTCTTCACCAGCTCAGGGGTCCACAAGGCTGTCCCCTCTGGTGGGATGCTGTCTCATCCACTCTTCTCAGCCAACTCTTATCTCTCAGGTCTCAACTCAAATGTCACATCTTCAGATAAGCCTTTCCCGACCTCCCAGTCCTCAGTATTTTCCTTCATGACTCTTATTACAAATAGTAATTAGATGTGAAAACTGCAAAGCAGAGAGATCTCTCCCAGTGCCACGTTGCTGGGGCCTCGCTTATCCCTGTACTAAGGTGCACACACCTGCCAGACACAATGGAAACACATTTAATGTGGGAAGATGGAGCAGGGGAGTTCAGCATACATCACCCAGCAAGATCATGCTAAATATCTCTTTGACATCTCTTTCCCCAAAGTTCCAATCCCAAGGCAACTGCCAGTTCTCTTCTCTTCTCTTTCATCTCTTTAGCCTCCCTCCTGGCTCCCCTCTCTGGCACCTATGTCTACTTTTCTTCTCCATATCTGGCACCTTTCCTTCCAGGCCTTGATTTCCACTTCCCTGTTGTATTTGGAGTAATTTAGCTCTTTCTTAGTTCTTCCAATCCCTTCCTCCCCATTGCCCACCAGCCAATCAAAGGATGTAAAAGGAGTAGGAGAGTAGTTAATAACTCTATTCTGTTACATGCACTTAGGTATACTTGTTCAGCAACTGTTGCCCCTACCATTTGTAAGTTTCATGACACTCACATGACCTCATGAATGTTTTATTCACCACTGTACACCCAGCACCCAGCACGGTGCCTGACACATAGTAGGGGTTCAATAAATATTGGCGGAATAAATGCATATCATGGTTCTCTAAGGCAACTCATTTTTTAATTTCAATTTAAACATCTGGGTCCCTGGATATGCAATCCTGGGTACCCATATACCCAGGTAGAAGGTCACCATAGACTGTGAACACATTGCCTGACCTTCTTAATATCCAAATACATGCATTAGCATCCAGAATTCTCCACCACATTTGGATTACCATTGTCCTATTCAGGCCGGGAGTCCTCTGAATCTGGGATAACTGGGGTCCTATGACCGCTCTGTATCTGGGGAAAGCAGCCTTCCCTTCTCCTCCCCTCCCCCATCTCTTCTCCCCACCCTGCCCCCGCACCCAGCAAAGATGAGAATGACTGACACAAGCATTAGAGATATGGAAACTTCCCTCCTGAATGATCTCACTAATGGTAAATTGATGGGATTGAATACATTCAAGTCGGAAATGATCCAAATATATGCTAATGAAGCTGAATATGCATTATTTAGACTAAAACAAACTAACTGCGAGTCAGGAAATAAAGTAGGTGAATTATTAGTTTGGCAACTCAAAGAATCGGAAAACTCAAGCACCATTCCAGAGACAGGCAGAGGCAGGCAGGAAAATGTGGTTAATGGATTCTAAACCAATTAATCGCAAATTGATGGTGCGCTTGAAGACTTGCCGCCCCGACTCCCTCAGATTGCTTTCTGAAATTTTGAAAAGAAGATGCTGTTGCCATGCACTTTTCTTGTCTTCCCTTCTTAAACATGCTGTCCTAGATACTCAAGTCTCAGGGAAAACAGAAAACTACAAACAAATCCCAGAAACAGGGAATGGGGCTATTTTGGCCACAGGGGGAGATAAATAACGCAAAGAGGAACTTCCCACCCCTTCTTTGTCAAAGAGCATCATCCTCAGACTGAAGAGTAAAGTGAGCCTTGATGGGAGGAAACTGAAGCCTGAGATGGGTGAAGAAAATACAAAAATATGCTTTGCTGGTCCAAGCTAGAATCATCCCCCCATCCTGGAGGAATCCCAACCCAGGGCAAATCAGGGGATGGCAAGGGGGCTCACTAATGGGTTTCATGAGGTGGAAGAGTCACTAGGAAGAGATGGAAAACAAGATGGCACGGTTTTCCAAAGATGGAGTCTAGAAATCCCAAAGCATTTGATGATAACCAAAGAAAATTCTCAGGTTCAATTCTTGAAAGGTTATAGTTTGCAAGATCTTAGGAAAGCAGGGAGTGATGAGTTAGAGCCAGTATGAGTTTGCCAGAAGCCAGATATTTGCTGAAAGGGCACCTCGGCTGATGAATGCTTTCCTGATCTTGCTACATAAAATAGCACTGTCTGTCCTGCCCCTGACCCACCCCATTCCCATTCTCCAGCTTTATTTACTCCCCGGCTTTATTAAAGCAGTTAACACCATCCAGCACTCACACACGTACTTGTTTATTTTCTTCTCCTCCCACGGGGATGTAAGCTTCATGAGGTCAGGGACTTTGTCTATTCCATCCTCTGCCAAGTGAGTCTGGCATGCTAGGGGCTGTTAAGTGAATGTGCGAACAAATGGAATGTCAGACTTTAACCTCATTTTTTTTTTTCTGATGGAACATTGGGATGAGAAGGTGAGGTAAATTCAGTAGATCTGGGATTTTATAAGAGAATTTAACTATCTCATGATGTTATTGTAGAAAAGATGAAGAATTGGGAGCTGGATACAACAACAGGTGCGGGGGGTAGGATCCCCGCCACCCACAGAGTGAATGATCACAGCCGGGTGGTCAATGGACACGCAGTGGAGGATATCGGGCTGTCCTCTCCACCAGTTTTCATGTTGGCTTAGCTGAAGATTCAGAAGACAGGGCCCTTCAAATTGTAGTGTGTGACACAGCCAGAAGGATGGCACTGTGGAGCAGGATGGAAGACCCTCAGCGAGCAGGAACAATGGGCTAACTCTGAAAAGATGAGCTGTCCCTGGAGTAAACTGAAGTCCTATCCTTGGAGCACAGAGTGGGATGGGGAGACACAGCATGGTGCCACGCCCTCGAGTGAACAACAAGCCCGGTGTGAATCAGCTTCCTAGATGGCTAAGGACAGCCACCACGTTCATGGAAGTGGGAAAGTTGAGAAGGGAGAAGGCAATCTCTTGTTGTACTCTGCATGCAAGGATGGAACTGGACTCAGTTCTGCAGTCTAAAATTTGATGATGGAAGCTATAATCAGCCTGTGAGCTATTTCTCATTACAGGATGACTATCTAAGACATCACAGATTTTCAGCCTGAGTTTATTGTGATTCAGTGAAACAGAAATTTCGGTGGAGAGAAACAACCCCAGAGATAAAGTCCCGTGCCTCACATGCCTAAATGATTACGGGCAGGGAGCAGCGGTGGAGCAGAGGTGACTAAGGTTTAGTTCCTGCCCTTGTGGAATTGACAATCTAGTTGAGGAAATAAGTAAGACTCAAAAGAAAAAAAAAGAAAATAAACGAACTCTTTGGAAACAGCCATTCCAATTGCGATTGCTTCAGGTTTATAATGAACAATCAAGTGTCCCATCAATTCGTAATAGTACAGGGACCACTACATCCATGAATTAAGCCAGTTGGAGGAAACTACCCTTATGTAGTCAACCTGGAGGGCTCTCACATAACTAATGGCCAAACTGCATGGAGTGGTCTCTGCTGGACAGCTCAGCCTTCTGCTAACCTAATCTGCTAGTGTACATGCCAAGCCTTTATACATTCTTTTGGTTAATCAATAAGCATTCCCTTAAAGATATACTAGGTGTCCAGCCCTGTGTCCTGTGTTAGGAACAAACCCATGCATAAGACCTAGTCCATGCCCTTCAGGCACTCATGGACTGGTAAGAGAGAAAGACACATGCAATTTCAGTGCAATCTGCACCTGCAGAAAAGGCAGCATGGAGATCAAGGGCAAGTGCTGAGGCTGAAGGGCAGGGGCAGGAAGTGGTGGATGGCCTCCCTAAAGTAGGAAATGATGGCACCATACCCTGGGTCCACTGCAGGTGACTCCAACCCAGACCAGGCAGAGAGAGAGGATGGAGGAGGTAGGACCCGTTCCAGGTCAGGCAATGGAGGTACATTCCCATAAAAAGCATGAGGGTGCTTTCAGCAGAATCCAGCACCTCTGAAACCCAAAGTTGAATGACCACATAGCAGGGGTTTGCAATGATTAAACAGTAAAACCTTGACCTGCTACTGCCGGGGAGGGAACCAGTAGTGTCAGTCAGAAATGCCGTGATGTTGCATCTCTGTTGTTCATTGGAGAAATGTGTTTTCAGCCTGGACTGACTCTAAAAGATCTCCCTGCTGAAAGGCCAGGAGATGAAAAGCCCCCACTTATGTCAGTCACAACCCAGAGTGACTTTTCCCAGCTCAAACCATCCCCCAGCAGCAGTGTTTGTGTCACCCCCCAGCCCCACCTCTTTTAGGACAGTGACTCTCATCCTCCCACTCTCAACCTGTGTTCTGAATGGGAGCTGCTCTTCTTGTACCTGAGCCCAACTCCCTGACCACAGTGACTGTTGGGGGGTTGACAGCTGACCCAAGATTAGCCAATGGAGTCCTTTCAAACAAGAGAGGGGAGGGAGAAGACATTTTCTCTCTTGACATAAAACTACAACAAATGAAAGCCTGGAGCTCCCAGAGGCTATGATTCTGGCCTCGTGGGGAAGCCAACTTGAGAGGCTGAAGATGATTCACCGGGAAAAGCAGAGGACACATGAGCCAGCACAAGACGGAAAGAGAGAGAGAGAGTTTTGAGTCTCGTCTCTTTGAGTCCTTGGCTCTGGCTGTCCCTAAGGCTAAGCCAACACTGCCCTTCCCGCATTTGGCTGTATGAGTCAGTAAATATCACTACTGACACATCAGCTACTTGATACGAGGCTTCTCTTACTGGCAATCAAAGCCTAATATCCTTCCACCACACAACGCATGGAAGTGAAACATGAAAAGCTGATCATGTGCCCCCAGAGGGAGCGGGGCGGAGAGGTGCAGCCCCCAAGGGGAGTAGCAACATCAGAACAGCAGCCTTTCTCCTGCAGGGTGCTGCAAGGGTGCTGGAGGAAGAAACTCTCTCAAACAAAGCAACAGAGAAAGACCCTGGACTTGGCTTTGCATACTCACAAGCAAAGAACAAACCCCTTCTGCAAATAGTAAGGAGAGCTACGTTGACACAAGCTGGCACCAGCCATCCCCGCTTAGAAGAGGTGGGACTAGAACTGCATGCAGAAGGCAGACGGGAGCCTCCTAGGAGGGATCATTTAGGAAGAAGAGCAAATGAGATGGCACAACACAGCATGTGAGGCCAGGGCTGTCATCAGCCCCTAAGGAAGAAAAAGCAGAAATGTGTATTACAAGGATAATGCTTTTTGATTTAACTGGTAGAAAACTACAAAGAGTATTTAATCATTGTCAATAATCCTGTTGTCAACTTCATAAAGTTTTAAGTTGTGGAAGCCCCTCCAAACACCACTCCAAACCTCCCTTAATAATTGTAACCAAGATAGTGTGCCCAAGTCTGAATGTTGCTATTTCTCAGAGAATGTGGGTAGAAGGATTCCACGTGAATCAGAGGGGGACCCTTGTTCAGGAAGGGCTGCCAGAGGAGGCCTGGTCCACTACCACTACCGTTGTCCCTGGGCCCTCCTGACACAGTCATCTCTATCATACCTGAAAAGTGTCTGCAAATGAGGTCCCTCGGTGATCCCTCAAATCCACATCCCATTTATCAAGGATCTACTGGTCCTAGGCACTATTCTCGGAGCTGGGTACACAGCTGTGAATAAGACAACACAGTCCCTCTGTCCTCAGGGACTTCCATGACAGGTGGGAACACAAGCAATAAGCAAGGAAAATAAAGGAGCGAGGCAATTACAGAATGTAATAATTATACAAGATACTGTGACGCTCAGCATCTCATGGAGAGGAAATGGAGGCCCAGAGATGGGACAGGACTTGCCCGAGCAGAAGCAGCCCAACCCCCAACTGGTACAACCCAACTGTGTCTCCACCTCCGTCCTGTGGCCCTGGTAGCCCCACAGAGGCCCTATGGCTCTATCCAGAGAGGTCCAGTGCTCTTTTGGGCAACTTCTGGAAGGATACTCTATCTGCCTTTGTCTCTATTGCATCTGATACATGATCAGAGTAATCATATGTCTTGCTGTCTTAGGGACAGTCCTAGTTGATACCTGTTCTTAGAAGTAATTACTAATACAACCCACTTTCATTTACCCACTTTACCCCAGATTTGGATGGTAAATATTCATGGGGGACCTGGGTCTCTGGAGCATCTTGATGCCAGAATGAAGTGTTTGGTATATTCTTGAGATATTGCATAACACTACGAGTCTTGCTGCATTGTGCCTCAGAAAACCTTGGGGCCTGCCTCCCGGGGCACTGCCCAGCATCTGAGGGGCCTGGCAGAGGAGAAGGTATCCCCTTACATGCTTCTCCCTGGCTGATCCCACTTCTGATACCCTAAGCTGTGGCTCTGCCTTGCTAGTTAATCTTCGCCCCTTGCAAAGGATTTCTCCTGAAAACAGAGCTCACACTCATGGCACTAGAAGCTTCTGGAGAGAATCAGCCACATCCCCAGCACAAGGGAGCACCACTGTTTGCTGACTTGGAGAGGACACACAACATTCTTCAGGGAAATATATCTCAGGGAGGAGCCTGTGGTTCCCAATCAGACCCAAACACACATGTATTTTAAATGTCCACCTCCCTTCCCAAGAAAATGTGATGATGTTTGCCATGTGTATTGGGTTCCTGGCCTATTAGACCCCCTGACCTCCTGAGTTTCTGCCCCCGTAAGTGGTTTCTTGGGTCTCAGTCTCCTGGGCTAGAAGCCCTTCTCTATCCCAAAAATGACAAGTATGGTGCAGGTGCAGGTCTCCCATGATAGAATGATTTCAGATCAGGATGGACTCTCATGACCCAGTCTCTGTGACCAAAAATCCAGGCAGCCTGGCAAGATGATCCCTGAGCCAGGACACAGCCTGCATCTACCTGTGCATGCCCACTCCAAGCGCCAGACACACAGCTGGGCAGCAGCAGGCAGCCTCTTCATGCAAATTAAATAAAACAACCTTTTTATCTGTTGGCTGATTCCCTCTTTTGAAGAAATCAACTACAAATTCATTTTTCGGGAGAAGCAATTACGATGATTGATGGAATGTCAGGGAAAGGGAATCAAACAGAAGCCCAGAGGCCCGGGCTGGGGGTGGCTTCACGGGACAGGAGAGTGGGGACAGCTGCCTTTGGCTCCCATGCTGGCTGGCTCTCTCTTTCTCTCCATCTTCAGTGGGGTGGAGGGGGGGAGTGCTGTATAAAGGCGCCCCTCCCACCGTGGCTATGGTCTACTTTGACACTGTGAGAGGCAGTCAGAAAAGACACAGTAAGAGGTGTGGCTTGTATTCAATAGACCACAAGCACCTGCTGTGCTGGGCGCTTTCTAGGCATTATCTCCTTTTGTCTTCACAACTGCCCTGCAAAATCAAGCTTATTTTACCCATTTCACAGATGGAGAAACTGAGATGCATCCATTGATTTGCTCAAGATCATGCAGCTTTTAAAGGGGAGCAGAATTATGACCTAATCTTCATTCCACTGCAATATAAGCCCTTCCAAGGAAAGCGAGTTCAAGCTCAGAATCCTGGAGACTAGGTAGCCTATCCCCCCCTCACCCTGCCTGTTTCCACCTTGCAGATGCAGGAATAGAGGCTAACTGCAGGCCATGGCACTATCGTTAGAGAAATTCATCTGTTTATTCAATGAATAATAATCTACAGGGCCAAGCACTCTTTGAGGATGCAGGAGCTCCAAGTTCAGTCCAGGCTTCCACTTGCCAGCCTGGGGTTGGGAGACCTGGAGGGCAGGAAAATCCCATGGACTTGACACAGGACCCCACTGGAAGCCGAACTCCACGGCACTACCTGCAGTTGCAGCAGCACACATTGAATTCTCCGTCGAGCAGGTCTCTGTGCTGGTGATGATGCTGGCGCTGCCACCGCGGGGTGACTCACATGAGTCCTGTGGTGCCAGTCCAGAGCCAGGAGCCCCTGGCACTTAGGAAAGGGCCGAGCTGATAGCAGCGTCTGCCAGCTTGTCAGTTCTGCGGAAACCCTTCACAGAGATGGGTCTGGGCTTGGACTTCAAAGGCTCCTCTGGTAAAGACCTGCTAATTGCTTGAAACACGTTTTCAGTGAAGTGTGAATACTCTCTCTCCAAACCTCCCGTGAATTCCAGGAGAGCTCAAGCTAGAAGGAGCTAGGGAGGCTGTTCCCTTGCCTGCAGCTGGAGGGGAACTGGGAAGTCAAGGGCCAAACCCCACCTCCACCCTTTGACCGCAGGTGGAGGTCAAACTCCACCTCATCACTTGACTGGAGGGGAACTGGGAAGTCAAGGGCCAAACCCCACCCCCAACCCTTGCCTACAGCTGGAGGAGAACTGGGAAGTCAGGGGCCAAAACCCACCCCCATGCCTTGCCTGTAGCTGGAGGGGAACTAGGAAGTCAGGGGCCAAACCCCGCCCCCATGGTTCCACCTCCCAGTGGCTCCTGGGCACTAACCATCCCAGGAGAACTGAGGTGAAGCTGGCAGCCCAGGGAACTGCTAACCCTGGGGAAGTGGGGGACCACTCTCCTGATAGGGCAGCTCAGTGGACTGAGGGTTTGGGGCTCATTGCAGACTCCCCCCACCTTCAGATTACAAGGCTATGCAAAACAATAACAACTACATGAAGCTATGTGGCAGGTGCTGTTCTAAGTGTTGTACCCACTACACATTCCCACTCACCAGCATCCCTCCTGCACCCCATGACATAAGGATGACTATGGTGTCCCTTTTTAGAGCTAAGGACACTGAGGCATGAGGAGTTTAAGTAACTTGCCCATGGTCACATTCATCTAAACAGAGGAGACTGGACTAGACCTAGACACCTGGTAGCCTCTGCACAGGGTGCAGGAGATGAGGGTGGTTGTTGGGGGTTGGGGGGGCTGGGGCAGCACATAAAACATGAAAAGAAGCATGTGGCTGCAACTCCTCCTCCCTCCCCCATCCCAGGTCCCTGGCTGAGGGGTCAAGCAAGGCAGAGAAACTGAGACCAAGGAGAGAAGGAAGGCATTGAAGCCACATAGATCTGGGAACAAATATTACCAGCCAGGTGACTAGAAGATGTAAAGTAGCCTTCCTCTGACTCCATTTCCACCTCTACACAATGGAAATTACAATACCGACCAGCAAGGTTATTTTCAGGAGCTGAGCTAATCAGGCACTAGCATGACCCTGAGAGCAATGTCTCCTTAAATATTGTGCCTGAGGCATCTCATTAGTCTCTCCCTAGTCCTGGACCTGGAGATAATTATATGTTAAGATCCGAACCAGAAAACTCCTGACAAAAGTAGACAATAAATGAGCAAATAAATAAAAGAAAATGAACGAATAGTAGCAGAATTAATGATAGCCAGCTATCACTCATTCATTAATTTATGGTCTACTCTTATCCTGTGGGCACAGCAGTCACTGGGCTCTAGGATGAGCAAGGCACATGTGCTTGCTCTCCCAGCTTACTCTCTAGGGAGAAGCCCTGGGAAGCCAGGGAGACCCATCTCTGCCCCGTGCTGCCCAACCATGAGCTGGTCTGCTGCAAGCATTGGCCTCACACTGTTTTTCCTGGTCCTGCAGGTACCTGCCAGGTATCTCCATATGGGTGAGAGCTTCATTCCAGACAGGGACTTTAGCTTGGCAGAAAGATGCCCCTGGCCCTTGGTAGCTTCTTACCAAGCTCTTGACCAGCTCAGGACATGGCATCTCACACAGGGCATCTGAGGAAACCTGAAGCTGTCACTCAGCCTTCCACCTGGGATACATACAGCTCAAACTGAGTGCTCCTCAAAAGGCTGCAACCTGTCTTATAAATCCTATTCCCCAAAAGGAGGAGGGGAAATGAAAAAGGGGTGGAGGGAGGAGAGGAGAGAGGAGAACAACTTTCCCAGGGCTTCCTCTGCTAGTAAAGAAATAGCTAGAAGGTGTTTTGTTGCTAGCAGAGCAAGCCTTGGGAAAGTGGGATGAACTTGGTTGAAGAACGTTGTGCCCTGGAGATAAATATCAGAGATGGCACAGGGAATCCCCTCAGGCCGAAGGGGCTGCAGGCTTCCCACTCATTTCTGTAGTCCCCCAAGTGTTGGAATTTGAGAGGAAGCAGGAAATTGAGAGTTGCAAGATACCAGAGAAGAGGGGAGGGAAGAAGAAAAGAGGAGGGAGGAAGAGAGGGAAGAGAGTGTTCTCAGTTCTCTGGACTAAAGCCACAAGAGAGGCCAGAGCCAGATCAGAAGGGAAGAGAAATGGGGCCTTGGAGACTTGGGGTAAGGGTTGCTGGAGTTTTCCATTTCTTGCAGTCTCCCCTCATATTGCACCTCAGTCCTCCACCGCACCCCCTTCCCTGTGATCTCCCAAGGCCACTGAGTGTGGTGGTTAGGGGTTTGTGCTTTGGGGTCAGAGAGATGTGGGTCTATGTCAATTTCCTCATCTTTAAAATGGGAGAACAACCACCTTGACGTCTCAAGGCTGCTGGTATTTTCAGCGAGGTAATGTCTGCAGAGCTCTCAGTCCACACCTGGCAGAGGACACAGGAAGAGTCTAGCGAACAGTGGCTTGTGCCATCTTTATATTATGGTCTCTAGCAGTGGCTGAGCTGACCCTGGTGCCCTCTCAGAAGGGCCAGCTGCTGAGCCTGGTGGTAGCAAGGCAAGACCTAGAGAGGCTGCCCCAGCCATGCTGGCCTGTGGGCAGCAGGTGTGCCCAGCTGGCTCCACCCCTGGCCGTCGGCCACACTGTTCATTAAGCAAATGGCCCACAGTGGCCAATGATCACTGGAGCACAAGGGCGGACGCCTTTCTCAAGCAGGCCTCATCAAAGGCCGGTGTCGAGCTAATTTAATGATCTAAGTGGAACATATTTCTCCTGATGAGGCAGTTTCAATTGACTTGTATTGTCTCCAGATAAACAGTGGAATCACAGCAACTAGTTTCTGGACAAAGCACCAGTTTAGGGTAGAAGAAGCAGTGGAGTGGAGGTTGTGGGGAGTGAAGTGAGACTGGGCAGCTAGAGGGGGCCTGAGCCAGTCTCAAAGACCAGGCCTGGGGCCTCTGCCTGGTCAGGGATGGGCTCTCAGGCCTCTGGGTTTCGGCCAGGGAATGGAAAAACCCAAGTGTCAATCATAGGCTTTCAGACCTGGCAGAGACTTGCGACGTCATTTAGACTGATCCTGCAACATCGTTTAGACTGATCCTTCCTGCCAACAGATGGAAAGACACCGGAGATGTACAAGAGAATACAGATAGCTCAGAGTGTCTCTCAATTTAGAGGCACAATCTGAGCCTCCTGACTCAGGTAGGAAAAGGTAACCAATATTCTCCAGCACCTGGAGGCTTCAAAGGTTCTTTTGGTGTGTGTAATTTCATATGATCAGCACGCTGTCCCTGAGAGGATAGAATTGCTAGTCTTACTTCAGAATTGAGGAAACAGAAGCTCAGAGAGATTACGTGACTTTCCCAAGGTCACACAGCTGATGAATGGGGACTCTGGATGTTCTGCTCTTCCTACCACCTATGCTGGACAGGGAAGTGTCTTTCATTCCCATGGATCCCTGCAGATGAAGCCCTGTTGTGCTCCAAGGGGGACCTACGTTCTGGAGCATCCTGATTTCCCTAGGATGTCAAACTCCTGGCCCCCTCGGAAATCTCTGTCCAAGGTGAAGAGCCAGGGGACACCCATGAGAATGACTGACAGAAAGTGAGAGAGAAGGCAGAACTGCAAGAGGCAGCCCGAGGATATGCAGCCAGGATAGGGGCCAGGCCTGTGATCAGTGCAAAGCCAGGTGCCTGAAGTTCCTCCATTAAAGTTGAGGCCCAGGCCAGGGGACAGGAGAGCGATGGGTATCCAGAGCCTCCTGGGCAAGCCCTGACACCTGGAGCCTGGGGCTGGAGGCAGGACTGCACCAGGACAGAGCAGATGGGACACCTGGGACACCGGCCCTTGGTCTATGTGAGCACAGGTCGTGCAGTGCAGACTGGGGTCCTGGCCTTTGGGCAACCCAGGGTTCCTGGCTCCAGCAGGAGTCTGCAAGTGACCACTGGACCTTCCACAGGGACACGGAGCATTCAGTGGCTGCTTCAGGCTGCAGGAAGGATGCTCCAAGGGGCTGCTGGACAGCCCTTCTGGAGTGGGGCTATGGACACTCGGGCATGCCCATTATCAGGAAGGACTTGGGTAGTCTAGCCTGATCCTGGAACACACACTCCCCTCTGAAGGTGGCTCTCGCATGGGAAGGATCTATCTGGGTGGATAGCCTCACATTTGGCGAATAAGTAACAATACCACAAACAGTAATAATCATAGCGTCAGCCGCCACCCACACAACCCTTATGTTGTGCCAGGCCCCGTGCTAGCCCATGCACCTTCTCATTTCACAGATGAGGGATCGGAGGCAGAGGTGCATCCAATAACTCACCCATCATGGTGCTGCTCATACACGGCAGGGTTGAGATGCAAACCCTATTCTGTGAGACACAAAAACCAGGGCATCCAACTACCCCGACACTGTCTCCACCCCAACAGGCTGTCAGGTACCCCAGGAAGACCTGGACAATTTGATTTGTATTATACCCTCTACGGATCACTGGCTCAGAAGGGGTAAGAAAGGACAGAGAAGGAGAAAGAAACACATGTGAGATGAAAGCAGAGGAGAAGCCCAGATACTTGGGATTTGGACCGTGGAGTTTCTAAGATTGTAGCAGGAGGTGCTAGAGGAGGAGAAGGGAAAAGAGGACATGGGGGAAGGGAGAGAGGAGGCTCAAGGGGAGGAGAGGGACAAGCAGGAGGAAAACAACAGCTTCAGAAGGGATGGACCATCTGCTCCTGGCCCACTCCTGGGCCTGGTGTGTGCATTTCCGATCATGGTACCCAACTCACCCTCACATGCCTTTGTTTCATCCTCCTTCAACCTCACACCAGAAAATGCCACCTTCACACAGCCCTGGCATCTGCCCCTCCTCTTGCCCTGCCCCCATCACTACCTGCACCCAGGCCTGGCATCTCCCACCTGGACCACTGCCACCCCTCCACGCTGGTCTCAGCTGCCCACAATTCTGCCATCTTCTCCTTCCTGCAGCTCTCATCCCATCCGTCCTCTGCTCAAAAGCCTTCAGAGCCTGGCCACTGCTACAAAATCCAATCCAAATTCTTTACCCTAGAATTCAAGGCTCTTGGCAATTGGCCCCCACCTTCCTGCCCTCCCTTCCCTCTGCCTGTCAGGTTCTCCTCTCCCCGTGACCATGCCCTCTCCCTTCCTGGAGTCAGATTTCAGCTTACATGTCATCTTATCAGAGAAGATGTGGAAAGAGCTCACCCCCTCCAGTGAGCTCCTCACCCTTCCCCTCCTTTATTTTTCTTCAAAGCACTATCAGCAGCTGACATCTAATATGCTGCTATTTTCTATCCTCCTGCCCCCCCATGAAGCAGGATAGTTTTATCCAGAGCTGTAGCATCACAGCTTAGAGCCATGCCAGCCCCTCACAGCTCCTGATACTTGTTGAATGAGAGAATGACACCCCACCCCCTCCACAGTATGATACTTTGCTGCAGTGATCAGCGATGGTTCATGGCCATCTCCGTGGGTCACCCTCACTCTCTACACTTGCCTTTGCACTTTTGCTGACTTGAGAAACTTGACTCATCTCCAGGACCACCTCCTCCAAGCAGCCTCACTCCTTACCCCTGCCTCAGTCATAAGTTATTTGTAAAGGGGTGGTATTTCATCACTTGGCTGTCGGTTCTTTAAATAAGAATAAAAGGTTTGTGTCTCCCTTACTCTGCTCCCCCATGCAACACCTGGTATCAAACTGGGGCAGTACTAGGTACTCAGTACATATTTCTTGAGCACAGTGAAGAGAGAAGGAAAACTTGACCCAGGGGACATTTTTCTGAAACTTGCCTGCTCTGAAGCACACTCTAGGAAGGCTGACGCCCTACTATGTGCCAATGCTGGAGGAATTTCTACTGTGTGCCAGATCCTGTACTGGGAGAGGCCTACTACGTGCCAGGCTCCATGCTGAGAAAGCACCTCCTGTGTGCTGATCTGAGTTGGCTGAAGCCCTACTGTGTATAGATCTTGTTTGGATGAGCTTCTAAGATGGAGGGGGAACCTATGTGCCTGGCTTCCTGCTGACAGTGCACCTACTGTGTGCTAGGTCCTGAACAAGGCACTGAGCATCAAAGAAAGAGGCAACCCCTGCCTCCATGCACCTCACAATCAACCTGGGAAAATCAGAAAAAGGGAGAGGAAGGGTAAGAAGGAGAGCACAGGGGAGATTAATAATAACTACTTATTCTGGCAAATTATGAGCGCATGTAGGGCCATCTGTGCACACAGCTCCATGCCGGCTCCTCACCAGCAAGGCCCAGTGTAGGAACCCAGGTCAGCTCAGTTGGGCCTTCCAACAGCTTGTCAATGCCTGGGGGAAGGAGCGCCTGGCCTCCTTGTCTCCAGCCCTCCAGCCCTCCAGCCCACTGCCCGCCAGGTGGACAGGCAGGAGCTATTCTAAAAATATAGCTAAGGTTTGGCACAGGTGCTGTGGAGGCTGCCCCCTCCTGCCAGGTCTGAGCTGGCTGCTCCTCAAGCTAGAAGACGCTCAGGGACCAGGGCACCAAGCGCAGCTCCTGGGGACTCCCTGAGCAGGGGTCAAGGGCACTGCTGGGTGGCTCAGACTGCCTGGGAAGAAGGGCAGCACGCAGTCTATGGGGAGGCTGAAACAGGCCCCAGGGTGAAGGTGGGACCCAGGGAAAGGCCATCCAGGAGCACAACCCAGCCCTGCACTGTGGAACAGGCCCCAGGACCTGCCTGGCTCCACAAGAAAGCAAGAGACAAACTTGGGCCCTGGCCCCAGACACAGACCTGGTTCCTTTCTCAACTTCATCTTGATCTTGATCCAGACTGAACCTTGACCTTAAACTCTATTCTGATCTCTGATCCTAGCTCTACACTGAACCCTAGTTTTCATGGTGGCCTCCAGTCCCCCTACTGAAGCTACTAGAGGGCCCTCACTCTGTCTCTTTCAACTCTGGAACAGCCAAATGTGGACAGGGCTCTCCCCAAGAAGGCAGACCCACAGCTCACAGAGGGCTTTCAATCCCAACAGCCTGGAAAGAAAGCAAAAGAACATGTACTCAATAATAAAGTAATAAGAGCAATAATAACATCTTTATTGTGCTCTTATTGTGTACTTTGCATGTCTTTCTTTTCTTTCTTTTTTTTCTTTCTCTCTCTCTCTTTCTTTTTTTTTTTTTTTTTTTTTTTGAGTCTCGCTCTGTTGCCCCAGGCTGGAGTGCAATAGTGCAACCTTGGCTCACTGCAACCTCTGCCTCCCAGGTTCAGGTGATTCTCCTGTCTCAGCCTTCTGAGTAGCTGGGATTACAGGTGTGTGCCACCATGTCCGGCTAATACTTTTTGTATATTTATTAGAGACAGGGGGGTCACCATGTTGGCCAGGATGGTTTCGAACTTCTGACCTCAGGTGATCTGCCCACCTCGGCCTCCCAAAGTGCTGGGACTACAGGCATAAGCCACCACGCCTGGCCCTAATTCTTTTAATTCATATCACAACCCCACTTTACAGAGAAGAAACAGAGGCACAGAGTGGTCAAGCAACCTTCCCAAAATCTCACAGCTGGTAAATATCAGAGCCAGGATTTGAATCCAGGCCACCTGGCTCTAGAGTGTCTGTGTGTGGCCATCATACTGGAGTTGCTCTAAAAGTGTGCCAGATCTAGCTTCAGGGTACACACATACACAACACACACACAATACACATACACATGATCTCATTTTCTTTCTCAGAACAATGCTATGAAAATGACTTTATTACCCCAGTCCTAGAAGTGTAGAAATTGGAACTCTGGAAAAGAAGTGGCTTGCCAAAGATAGCACAGCTGAGACACGATCAAATTGGCATTCAAACTCAGATTTTTAAATATAATCATTCCTGCTCACAAAATGCATGTCCATTGAATAACATAAAGAAGTTAACAACATTTATAAATGCACCATCCAGAAAAAGCACCTTTAGTATTTTGGTAGAGGTCTTTCCAGGCTTTTCTCCATTTATAAAATAATATTTTTCCAATAAAATGTGGATGCTCCATAATTTATTTGACAAATCCTAACAGATTGGCAGTTAGGTTGTGGCCAATGTTTAAGCCCATCTTTCCACACTCCCAGACAAATCAGATTTCAGGAAGATGAAGCTGGAATGGCCTTTGGACAACATGCTCTGGGCTTGGCTAAGCCAGTCTTTGGCTGTGCAGACGGTGGGGTGACACAGCAGAGGCACAGAGACTGTGGCCCAATTGGTACCCACATCCTGCTGCACAACTTGCTTTGGTAAAGGCAAGAGGCTACATGCGATTTATCTGTTTGTTTATTCTTAGAAACTGTCTTGTTGAGAACTTGATGTTTTCTGTGCAGCTGAGCAGAACTGTGGCTTTGGAGGTTCATGATTTGCGCGGGAGCTGATCTCGTGAGTGATCACATGCTGTCACCCTACCAATTCTACACTCACTCCCCTGGGATGATAGAAGCCTCTG
Organism: Homo sapiens; assembly: GCF_000001405.40. NCBI lineage: Eukaryota > Metazoa > Chordata > Mammalia > Primates > Hominidae > Homo > Homo sapiens. The sequence goes on from NC_000001.11 coordinate 36,950,884, forward strand.
AAGTTACAGCAACGGGGAGCGGAGGGTCTGGAGTGGGGCAGGAGGGTTTGGGGTGGGGCATGATGCAGCCTCTGCTGCAGACTGGGGCCCCAGGTTTTTCTAAATGTTAGCAGAGTTAGGGTGGAACAAATGTGCTCAGACCCAAAGGGAAATTTTCCCAGAGCAGGGCCCAGGAAAGGAGAAGGTCTGGAGCATGCAAATGACCTTTGTCTTTCTGGCTTTGTAGAGGAGCTGGCTGGGCCAGGAGGCCAAGCTGTTCAGTGTCACCTGCTGCAGAAGCTTACAGCAGGGGGCTGGACATTAGAGTCCTCTGAGGGTCAGGACATGTGAGCAGAGACTGAGACTAGTGACTCCAAGTCTGGCAGCACCCTCTGAAGGGAAGGACCAACAGAATGCCGGACTCAGGGTGAAGAAGAGTGATCACGATCAAGGACAATACCAGCAAGGGACAGCAAATACTTAGGGGTCCTTGGGCCGAAATCTAGGACATGTGGAAGAAGGGACAGCAGATGCCCTGGGGTCTTTTGTTTCTCCTTCCTTCTCCTTTGTCTTCTTCCCACTGCACACTTGGGGGGTGGCCACGTGACTGCTGGGGGACCAAGTGGCCAGAGCCCAAGGCCCCCTCTCCTCGGCAGCATGGCTTCTGTCCTACTTATGTCGAACTGGCAATGCTGGTCGCATGCAGATTAATGAGGCCACGGCTGAGGCCCTGCATTGGGGGACTGGCCTTGTTTCTAGGTGACCAGGTACTTGAGCCTAAATTAACTTTGACTACCCTTTGTGCTCTCCCCCTTGGGCAGGGCAGCAGGAAAATAATGGGGGAGAAAGAAGAGAAGGTGAGGAAGAGGAGGAATAAAAGGGGGAGGGAGAAGGAGAAGAGGATGAAAGGGGCTGAGGAAGACGAGGAGGAGGGAGAGGAGAGGGCAGAAATGGGGGGAACAGGGAAGAAGCAGAGAGAAGGAGGTTGGAGGGCGGAGGGGCGGGAGGACCACAGGAGGCAGGGCAGGTAGAGGGCAGCTGCCCCATGCTCTGCCCACTCTGCCAAACAGCCAGGGCCTCTGCCAGGTGGGTTCTGTCTTGTGGGGAGGAGCATCGAAGGGAAATGAATGTTCCTGCCAGTCAGCCACCTCAGCCCACAGACTGTCAGCACAGGGCCTGCCCGGCTTTGCAGATGCAGAAACAGGGTCAGCAAGGGAATGTGATTTTCCCAAAGTGACAGGGAGTGGGGATGACTGGAACACAGGCCTCCTGATTCCCTGTCCAGTGTTCTTTCTGCTGTACAATACGTACCACTCAGCCACGAGAGCCTACTCATCCCTCAAAACCCTACTCAAAGAGCCCTTCCTCCATGGTGTCTCCTCAGGGCCCACGATGTCCGTTAGGGCCTCCTCCTGACCACTGTCTTCAGTCCCCTCCCCTCTGGACTGAGCTGTCATCCAGGCAGCAGCTGTGATGATCCCATCTCTGTGCCTCTGTTCCCAGCACAGGGCCTCTGCACAGAGCAGGTGCTGAATGAATGAATGAATGAATGAGAGTAAATAGGATCAGTCAAATCTGGATGTGAACCTCCAGACCACCTCTCTCATTAGTTTTGTGACCACTAGTGAGTTTCTTCACTTCTCTGGTCCTCAGTTTTCTCATCTCTAAAGTGGATCCCTGACAGGGTTGGAAAATAAGTTACATAATGCAATCCTTCATTTACACACATAATGAACACGCACTGTGTGCCAGCAGGCTCTGATGGGTGCCGGGTCAACAGTGGGGAGGAACTTGCCTCCAGGGAGCTTAGAGTTTGGTGGGGCAAACAGATAATGAGAAAGCATATGAATGAATGAATGAATGAATAAATGACTATTCCATTGTGATAAGTGCCAGGAAGGAAAAGCCAAAAGGAGATGATAGGGAATACTGGGTGTTGGGGGGTCTAATTTATACATGGTGTTCAGGGAAGGGTTCTTCAAGGTGAGAACACTTGAAGCCAAATCTGGAGGAGAGGGAACGAGCTATGTGCCTGAGAGAAATGCTCCAGGTAGAGGGAACAGCACGTGCAACACTTGTACAAGGCAGCTGACAGGGAGAATCAGCATCACCATCAGGGTGTCCATGCTGTGTCCTCCGAAGGGCTCTGCAGGCTGACCCAGGACTACTTGGGTGAGGAGGAGCGGGAGGAGGAGGAAGAGACTGTGCTCAAGTGCCCTTTACTCATGCATTCATTCAGCACACGTCTGTTGGGCTCCATGTCTGTGCAGACACAACACTTCACTGCTAGCACTGAGGACAACGTGTGGACAGCCCTGTCCTTGCCCCTCCCCCTGCCCCTGCCTCATAGCACTTAGTCAGGAGGAGCTGCCCTTGGGCTCTGGCAAGTGCGGAGCGTTCCCAGCTTGAGCAGAACAGATGGCAAGAGGACCTGGCCTGGCACAGGTAGAGGGCAAGAGGAGTGAGGTCCAAGGGGGCCTCCCTGCAGATATGCTGTTGAGCCGAGACCTGCAGGATAAAGGAGTTAGTGTGCCAAGTGAAGGGCAGGAGTCATCCTAAAAGCAATGGTGAGCTATTGATGGCTTTAAGCAGGAGAGTGCCATGATCAAAATTGTAGATCTCACATGTGGAACAGATTGAAGGGTGAGGGCTAGGGCATACGTAAGGAGAAGAGCTTAGGTGGTGATGACAATGGCCTAGGGCAGGCTGCTGGCAGACAGAAGAGGGCTTGGGTATGCTTAGGTGGTGAATCTGCACAATGGGGCCATGGACCAGGCAGGGGAAAGGAAAGGTGACTAGGAAGGAGTCGGTAGGGACCCCACAGGTTTCCAGCTCACGGAAGTGGCACCCGAAGGTGCCAGCTGGGGCTGAGTGCCTTTGAGATGTCCAAGCAGAGATGCAGGGCAGGTGGTGAGAGATGCTCAGAGGGGATGCTCACACAGGCTTCACTCGCTCCGCAGCAATCAAAGCATGGCCCTGAAGAAGCTCCCCTGGAGGGGAAGCACAGAGGGGGCCCTCAAATCAATGGCTTGATTGAGGGAAGCTGCCGGGAAAGGACAATTAGAGGGCAGAGGACCCCCAGCCCCTGTCTCCCAAGGGTACTGCCCCTGCAGTCAGACTGCCCTTGGCCTCCTTCCTTCGTGCCAGCTGAGCCAAGCTCTGATGATGGGAAACCGTTAGTCCTAAGAGGAAAGGGATCTACTAGGTGCAAGGGGTCAAGGGGGACGAAGGGCATCCTTTCCGCTGGGGAACCAGATGAGGGGCTGTGCCAGGGACTCTCAAAGACAAGAATGCTTCTCAGGGTGAGATAGAGGGGGGCATTCCTGTTGGGAAGCTCTCACCCCTCACCAAGCTCACCTCTCTCTAGCACACCTTACATCTGAGCTCCAGGATCTTGCCACTGCACTAGCCTAAGACGTCTTGGAATGCTGGCCCATGATTACCCCTGCTGCCTCTCCTGGAGCCCAGCACACAGCCTCAGCATCAGAGGACTTGCTCAGTGAAGAGTCACGGAATGCCTTTCAGTAGAGGAAGCCACATGCCAATCAGAGCAGCCAGAAAGGTCATCTGCGGGAGAAGTGAGAGTGGCCTGGAGGAGGCCCCCGACCCTGAAGGCCAACAGAAAGCATGTGGGGAGCCACTCCAGGGTTCTGGGCAAGGCAGCATTGTGTGGCATGTGTGGGTCTCCAGGACTCTTGGGGTGGGGACGGGGGCTGAGGCCAGCAGCAGGAGCACAGGTAGCACATGTCTGTGTTCCAAAGGACAGGTCCCTGAGGTTCCCCTGATTACTGTAAGGAGGCTGGGGAAAGAGTGTGCATGCACATACATATGCATACACAGGTCCACACACACGCAGAGAAGCACATGTGTACACACCTGTGCACGCACAAGGACACACACATGCATAGACAAATCACAGAAAAAAACCAGCTACAGACACATGAGTTCAGGCCACAGAAAGGTGCCCTTCCTCACACAAGTATAAGTGCATAGTGGGCAAGTGCCTGCAGGTGTGGACCCAGGGACACATGCCTGTGTGTACCCACCTGTGCACATGCACGTTCACACACACGAACACACACACACAGGTCCATAGGAGCCCTGGGTAAGGGCCTATTCCTTTGAGAACAGGCAGGAAGCCCAAGCCAGCTCTACATTGGATGGTGGTGCTATAAGTGGTGTCAGGGTGGTAGACAGAGGCCTCAGCCACATGGGCCTCCAACCCCAAGCAGACTTCAGCAGTGAGGGGCCACCCCAGAGTGGGTCCTGAGCTCACTGATTTGCTGAGGCTCAGATGAGCAGCCCGCCAGCCAGCTGCTTCCCCTCCTGAAATAGCAGCCCTAAATAAGTGACAGCCCACCTGGCTAAGGGTAGGGCCTGGCATGGCTGTCATCAACCCTGCCAGCAGGACAGGAAGGGGCAGGTGTGGGGCGGTGGGGTACAGGGGCTGGGCCTGACCCAACACCACCCAAACTGTGCTTCCCCGTCCACACACCGAGCAGCGCACACGTGCACACAAACACGTGGATGGATACACAGAGGCTGACAGGCACACTCACAGCACCCAACACACAGTGGAACACAGGCACTGAGTCACAGGCCCTCTCTGGGAGGCCCCGCACATCACTCAAACCCAGAACCACAGACACAGCACACACAGACATACCCCCGCCCCCGGAGAACACGCATGCACACACAGGCTGCCCTGCTCCATACAAACACAGGGCACATGCACATACATTCACACACAAGCATATCTGGACAGCTGCAGCCAAGCATACTGAACAGGCTACCTCAAGCACTCACACATGTGAACACAACAACAGAAGGCTCAGAAACACCCTGGCACATGCTGTGTAGACAAAGACACAACCAGCACACCAAGGCGTTCAGGACCAGACACACTTGCACACATTCACGCAAGTGCTCATGCACACATCCAGAGTGTCTGTGGCCTTTCTGACTCACAACCTCATCCCTGTCAGTAAGGATCCCCCGCTGGCCACCAGGGCCAGGGTCTGGTGTTTTGGCTGGCCAGCCATGGCCTGTGGCCAAGGCCTTCTTAACAAAGGCTCGGCATCAGACCAGATTCTCAGAACTGGTAGGTGACGGTGAGGAAGACAAGGTTCTTGGTGACACCTCCTCCTGCAGGCCTCCAGGCTCCACCAACAGCCAGAGCGGGGCCTGTGGGGGCTTCAGTGGCTCAGTGGGGGAGGAGTCCTGAGCCGTGGGGTGCTCGGCCTGGGGGACGGCAGGCCCTAGAACTCTGCTCCCCGCCCTTTTCAACATCATCCTCTCCCCTTCTCAGACTAAGCCAGCAAATGGCTGAGCCAGGGAAGCAAGAGAGGGGAAGAGGCCCTTGGAAGACAGGGCTGAGGGTGGGAAGCAGGCAGCGTGATTGGTAGGAAGGGGTGGCCACCTTGGCTGGGGACTGGGCCAAGGTGCTGCATAGGCAGAAGCCCAGAAGAGAAAGTTACTTAGGAAGATGAAATGACTCAGGGCAGCATCTCACCAGCAGCCATTTAAATGACTCAAAGCCTCATCGTGAAACTGCCACAATTTACCCAGACGGCAGCATTCCGCATGCCCACCGGAGAGGGAAAAACCCGCTAACTCCTTCCACGCTGGTGTGTGGGCAGCCAGGCTTCCCAGCTCCCAAGAAAACAGCTGCCCAGGGCCATGTCCACCCCACACCACTCTCGACCATCACATGCCATGGCCAAGCTGAATCCTTGCAAGGCTTCCAAAGAACTGAGAGAGGCGGACCCTGAGCCCAGCATCCTTGGGAAGGTGAGGGGAGCACAGAACAAAAGCCCCCGAGGTGCACAGGAAACATTTCAGGTGAAATGAGACAAAGGCAGTGGGGAAGTATGAAGCCAGACTGGCCCCGGGCCAACAATTGACTCTGGGGGATGAACACATGGTACTTACTGTTCTATTCTCTCTACTCTGGCATATTTTGAAAATTTGAAAATTTTTCTGAAATAAAACATTTTTTAAAAAGCTTTGTGTCCTCTGTTTTACAGAGAGCAGTCATTCATTGTTCGTTCACTTACCCATGCATTCATTCACTGTCCTGTGAGTAAAGCACTCTGTCTCCACCCGCATCACTCTGGGCGATGCCCAGCACCCAAGGGAGACCAGGAGCAAGACCCCCTCTGCTGGAGCAGGCCACAGAGCAGGAGGCTTCGGCAGATGCCACACAGCTATGGAAACGGAGGCTCTGACAAACAGCCTCCAGAATAAGGCTGGGCTGAGTCCTGAACCCTCATCAGATTGGCTGATTGGGGGCCTGTGCTCTTATCAATAGAGAGAGAGGGACATGTGTTTACTGCAGGGAACTTTCCACAGCAGGTGGGAGTGTGATCCTGAGGAGCTTCCATGAGCCTCTGTGCTCTGTGAGCCTACCTGTTCTGTGAGTCTGTGTGCCCCACGAGCCCGTGTGCCTCATGACTTTGTGCCCCGTGAGCCTGTGTACCCAGTGAGCCTATGCCCCCTGAGTCTGTGCCCTGTGAGCCTGTGTGCTCTGTGAATCTGTGCCCCGTGAGCCTGTGTGCCCCATGAGCCTCTGTGCTCTGTGAGTCTGTGCCCTGTGAGCCTATGTGCTCTGTGAGTCTGTGCCCCGTGAGCCTGTGTGCCCCATGACTCTGTGCCCCATAAGCCTGTGTGCCCCGTGTCCTGTGCCCCGTGAGCCTGTGTGCTCTGTGAGTCTGTGCCCTGTGAGTCTCTGTGCCCCGTGAGCCTGTGTGCCCTGTGACTGTGCCCCGTAAGCCTGTGCCCCATGAGCATCTGTGATCTGTGAGTCTGTGCCCCGTGACTCTGTGCCCCATGAGCCTGTGTGCCCCGTGAGCCTGTGTGCTCTGTGAGTCTGTGCCCCATAAGCCTGTGTGTCCTGTGAGCATGTGTGTCCCATGAGTCTGTGCCCCGTGACTCTGTGCCCAATGAACCTATGTGTCCCGTGAGCCTGTGTGTCCCATGACTCTGTGCCCCGTGAGTCTGTGTGCCCCGTGACTCTGTGCCCCTGAGTCTGTGTGCCCTGTGAGTCTGTGCCCCGTGAGCCTGTGTGCCCCATGAGCCTGTGTGTCCCATGACTCTGTGCCCCGTGAGTCTGTGTGCCCCATGACTCTGTGCCCCCTGAGTCTGTGTGCCCGGTGAGTCTGTGCCCCATGAGCCTGTGTGCTCTTTGAATCTTTGCTCCGTGAGCCTGTGTGCTCTTTGAATCTGCGCCCTGTGAGCCTGTGTGCCCCGTGAGTCTGTGTCCCATGAGTCTGTGTGCCCCGTGACTCTGTGCCCTGAGTCTGTGTGCCCTGTGAGTCTGTGCCCCTGAGTCTGTGTGCCCTGTGAGTCTGTGCCCCGTGAGCCTGTGTGCCCCGTGAGCCTGTGTGTCCCATGACTCTGTGCCCCGTGAGTCTGTGTGCCCCATGACTCTGTGCCCCCTGAGTCTGTGTGCCCGGTGAGTCTGTGCCCCATGAGCCTGTGTGCTCTTTGAATCTTTGCTCCATGAGCCTGTGTGCTCTTTGAATCTGCGCCCTGTGAGCCTGTGTGCCCCGTGAGTCTGTGCCCCGTGACTCTGTGCCCCGAGTCTGTGTGCCCTGTGAGTCTGTGCCCCCTAAGTCTGTGTGCTCTGTGAGTCTGTGCTCCATGAGTCTGTGCCCCATAAGCCTGTGTGTCCCGTGAGCCTGTGTGCCCTGTGAGTCTGTGCCCTGTGACTCTGTGCCCTGTGAGCCTATGTGTCCTGTGAACCTGTGTGCCCTGTGAGCCTGTGTGCCCTGTGACTGTGTGCCCAATGAGCCTGTGTCCCGTGAGCCTGTGTGCCCTGTGAGTCTGTGCCTTGTGACTCTGTGCCCCATGACTCTGTGCCCCGTGAGCCTGTGTGTCCCATGAACCTGTGTGCCCTGCGAGCCTGTGTGCCCTGTGACTGTGTGCCCAATGAGCCTGTGTCCCGTGAGCCTGTGTGCCCTGTGAGTCTGTGCCTTGTGACTCTGTGCCCCATGAGCCTGTGTGTCCTGTGAGCCTGTGTGCCCTGTGAGTCTGTGCCTTGTGACTCTGTGCCCCATGAGCCTGTGTGCCCTGTGAGCCTGTGTGCCCTGTGAGCCTGCACCCCATGAGCCTCTGTGACCTGTGAGTTTGTGAGTCTGTGCCCCGTGACTCTGTGCCCCATGAGCCTGTGTGCCCTGTGAGTCTGTGTGCCCTGTGAGCCTGCACCCCATGAGCGTCTATGACCTGTGAGTCTGTGAGTCTGTGCCCCATGACTCTGTGCCCCATGAACCTGTGTGTCCTGTGAGCCTGTGTGCCCTGTGAGCCTGTGTGTCCCATGACTCTGTGTCCCGTGAGCCTGTGTGCCCTGTGAACCTGTGTGCCCCATGACTCTGTGTCCCATGACCTGTGTGTCCGGTAAGTCTGTGCCCCGTGAGCCTGTGCCTGTGAGCCTGTGCCCTGTGAGCCTCTGTGCCCCATGACTCTGTGTGCCCGGTGAGCCTGTGTGTCCCGTGAGCCTGTGTGCCCTGTGAGTCTGTGTGCCCTGTGAGCCTGCACCCCATGAGCCTCTGTGATCTGTGAGTCTGTGAGTCTGTGCCCCGTGACTCTGTGCCCCATGAGCCTGTGTGGCCCCTGACTCTGTGCCCTGTGAGCCTGTGTGCCCTGTGACTGTGTGCCCTGTGAGCCTGTGTGCCCTGTAAGCCTGGGTGTCCCATGACTGTGTGCTCCATGAGCCTGTGTGCCCCATGACTCTGTACCCCATGAGCCTGTGTGCCCCGTAACTCTGTGCCCTGTGAGCCTATGTGTCCCATAAGCTTGTATGCCCTGTGAGTCTGTGTGCCCTGTGACTCTGTGCCCCTTGAGCCTGTGTGCTTTGTGAGTCGGTGTGTCCCATGAGTCTGTGCGCCCCATTGAGTCTGTGTGCCCTGTGAGCCTGTGTGCCCTGTGAGCCTGTGTACCCCATGACTCTGTGCCCCATGAGCCTGTGTGCCCTGTGAGTCTGTGTGCCCTGTGAGCCTGTGTGCCCCATGAGCCGTGTGCCCCATGATTCTGTGCCCCATGAGCCTGTGTGCCCTGTGAGCCTGTGTGCCCCATGACTCTGTGCCCTGTGAGCCTGTGTGCCCTGTGAGTCTATGCCCCATGAGCCTCTGTGCCCCGTGAGTCTGTGTGCCCCATAAGTCTGTGTGCCCCGCGAGTCTGTGTGCCCTGTGAGCCTGTGTGCCCTGTGAGCCATGTGCCCCATGACTCTGTGCCCCATAAGCCTGTGTGCTCTGTGAGTCTGTGCCTCGTGAGCCTGTGCCCCTTGAGCCTGTGTGCCCTGTGAGCCTGTGTGCCCTGTGAGTCTGTGCCCCCGAGCCTCTGTGACCCATGAGCCTGTGTGCCCTGTGAGCCTGTGACCCATGAGTCTGTGTGCCCTGTGACTCTGTGACCCGTGAGCCTGTGACCCATGAGCCTGTGTACCCCGTGACTCTGTGCCCCATGAGCCTGTGTGACCCGTGAACCTGTTTGCCCCATGAGCTTGTGTGCCCTGTAAGCCTGTGTGGTCTGCAATTGCAGCTCCGGTATTTAACGCAGTACTTGGCACCTGTACTTACTCAATAAACATCACTGGGTGAATGGAAGTTAGAGGCCAGTGGGGTACTGGAAGCCCCTGGAGAAAGCAGGGGACACTGGGAACAGAGTGAGGCATGTGAAGGGACCTGGGATGGCTAAGCAACCGCCTCTAGGCACGGGGTCCACTCCTGGGCTGGGCCCATGTTCTTCTGGCCCACTTCAGAGTCTCTGAGAAATAGAGGAGCAGAGCAGAGCCCTGTATCCAGCCTCAAGGCCAGTCCAATCAGCACCTCCCAGACTTCCGCTGCTAAGCCTGGCTCCTTGGAGGCTGCTCCATTCACCCCCTAGACACAGAACTGCCCTCTGGGCCTATTTGGTCAGCTCTGCTGCCTGGTATATCAGCATCCCTCCTTCCCCCACCCTGCGATGACCAACCAGGCCGAGGGAGTAAGCATCTCAAGGTCCCTTCTAGCCTAGGACAAGCTGGGGAGATGGGGTGGGAGACAAAGTGCAATCCCTCAGAGAGGAAAGAGTGCTGATTTGGGATTCATCAGGGAAGCACAACACATAGGTCACCACCAAACAGCTTTGGGGTGGGTCAGTGGTCATTCCACTGCTAAAGCCACATACATGGAGACGACCTGTCTTCAACTCTCATATCCCAGGAACAGCAGCTCTCTTGTTATCCTGTCCCTGTTTCGCTGGTTTCTGCAGACATCCGGTGATGCCTCTTCTCCCCTGCACATGGAGGTAGGCTCCATGCAACACACTGCGTGCACACACGTGCCCACCTGTGCACACACCCACATCCTCACTCAGCCGCCTGCCCTCAAGCACCCACCATCCCTCCCTCCACAATCCTGCCTGGCTCAGGCCCAGGCTAGGGGTGAAGGGGCATACGGAGGCAAGCAGGAAAGGGGCCTTGGCCTGAATTCCAAAGTCTGAAATAGCCCACCACAAATTATCTTTGTTCTGACAGGCTGATTAGCATAATTATCCCATCAGAGGAAAAAAAAGCAGAAGAGAGAGGACGAGGACAGTGGTAGAAAGAGAGACAGCCAGGGGCAGAGACAAAGAAAGCAGCAGGCACTGAGAGGGGTGGCTCTCAGGAGGCCACAGCCCACGAGCAAGCACAGATGCCCACCGGGCCCCAGGCACAGCCCTGGGGGAGCCCCTTCCCTCCGACAGGCCAGGCTTGCTGTGGGCTTCAGGGCCTATCTGTGAGACGGGAGGGCTCAACAAAGTGATCTCCAGGGTCCTGCTGGCTCCGACATGAATGTCTCGAGATGGCAGAGCCAGGATGTGTTCGATGAAATCATTTTGCCGAAGGATGCAAAGACCCGTGAATGAAGGTTGTCCTGCTTTCATTCAAGTCACATCTCTTTGTTCTCCAGCCCACCTTATCAAGAGCCCAGAATGTGAGTGCCCCTGCTCTGCAATGGCACTGTCCTAGGTGCGGGGGACTCAGCAGTAATCAGGACAACCAACCACCCTTGCTCTCGAGCTCACAGCCTGGTGGAAGGGGACAGAGAAACCCAGCCAGATGATTCCACATGTGGTGAGAACTGGTCTAAGAGCCAGAGTCCAGGGTGCTCTGGGGATGCAGATGAAGGACCCCTGATCCAGACATGCTGGTGGGAAGACACAGAAAAATTCAAAAGGAAGGGAGGCTCACAGAAGGACTGAGTGATGGGCAGTTGCTGGCCAGGCGGGGCAGGAGCACCGGCCCTGCACAGACAATTCCAGACATCACGAGGCATGGCTTCTGCCCCTGGCCACCCAGTACCTGCTTCTGAACAGGTTCGCATGTATCAGCTTCTCCTCTTCTACTAGATGCAAAGATCCTTGCAAAGAGGCACTCTCCATTCCTCTTATCTCTGTCACAGTCCTGGGCACACAACAGGCTTAATACATCCTCACTGAATGCATGTTCGGTCCATTCCCAGAAACAAGCCACAGATGGAAGATCCTAGCCTCAGGTCCCTGGGGCTCCCTCTGGTATCCCCTAGGTACATGCATGCCCCAGGGGTTAATCTCAGCCCCACGCCGCTTTTCAAGAAAGAATTAAAGGGATGGGTCTAGATTCAGGGGAAGGAGACAGGAAAGGGACTGAGGGCCAAGAAACCCAGAAGACCTGGAGACTCCTAAGCCAGGGCCCTGGGTTTGTGTGCAGTGGGGCCTGAGGCGAGCAAGCAGACGGTGGCTGAAGTGGTTAGCGGTGGAGGAAAGTGAGAGAGAGGGAGAGGAAGAGAGAGAGAGAGAGAGAGAGAGAGAACAGAAGTGAACAAAAAGTCAGAGGGAGAAGGAGATATGGAGAGGCAAAGAGAGGGACCAAGCCAGGTGGATAAAGACCAATACAAACGGATAAAAAATGAAGGAAGGAGGGAGGTTGAGGCAGGAGGATAGCTTGAACCCGGGAGGCGGAGGTTGCAGTGAGCCGAGATCGTGCCACTGCACTCCAGCCTGGGCAACAGAGCGAGACTCCCTCTCAAAAAAAAAAAAAAAAAAAGGAGGAAGGAAGGAAAGAGAAAAATCTAGAGGGACATGATGAGGAGAGAGATGACCTGGGGTGGGTAGAGGTGGCCAAGGGCAATGCAAAGGACAGAAAGGGTGAAGGAAGACAGAGTCAGACAGCTTCCATTCCAGGAGGAGAGAGGAACTTGGAAGGGGGAGGAGAAGGAAGGACAGACATTAGCCAACCCCGAGGTCAGGGACCGAGGCAGGGAGCCCAGGGGAGGGGTCGGCTGCATGCCCAGTGTCGTCTCCCCATCTGCCTCTCCACAGGAGCTAATCCTTGGTCTTCCACTCCATCAGGCTGGCAGGACTCTCTCCTTTGCCTCCTGCCCACTTGGCTCCATAAGTACGTCTGGGGGAGGCAAGCGGCGGTAGCAGGCAATAGAGAAAACAGCTCTGGGAATAAACAAACCCCCCGCTCAGCCTCCTGAGACCAGGACACTCGAGACGCCAGGCAGAACGTGAGAGTCACACCAATGCTTCCCAGTGATTTCCTGCATGCCTGGGAGGAGGCTTGGGAGTTGCATTAATAACTACGATGGAGAGGAACGCCTTCTGTGTGGCACGCACTTGCTGAGCTCCTTCCATGCATTATCTCACTGAGTCCTCACAACCACTCTGAGCCGCATGCCATTACTCGCTCCCTTTGAACATCTGAGGCTCAGAGAGGTCCAAGATCTCACCCAAAGTTGCACAGCTGGGAAGTGGTGGAACTGGGATTTGAACCCCTGCTTTTAACTTCTATTCCTTGTGATCTATAAAGAGGAGTGAGAGTGTGCTGGCCTCTCTGTGAGAGTTCCCCACCTCTGAAGGCCCAGCTTCCTTTAGGAAACAATCCCCAGTGAGATATCCCCCTCAACCCCCAGCAGCCTCCTGAATGCTTTCCAGGTTGGTGTGACCTCAGAGGCACCTCTGCATTGAATGGCTGTATGGACAAGGGCCTCCCAAAGCAGGCAATGCATGGAACTGAGTCTCTGGTGACCTGAGCCTCAGATTGTTTCCATTTGTCCATCATCCCCAGGGACAAAGAAGTAGCTGGTGAGGATGAAGAGACAGGGTTTAAAGCCAGAGCCTTCTCCTAAGGACAGGCAAAGGCCTGGGAGGCCAGCTGGGGATTCTCTGTACCACCGTGGTCATGAAGACCCCATGGACAAATGCATGCAGAGGCAGGAGGTGCTAAGAAGCCGTGGGCCTGGCCTGGGCAAGAAGAGAGTCACTCATTAGTATGGGGACACCAGGCTGCTTACACAGCTGGGCGAGGTCTGGCACAGATGGACCAACTGTGTTGGGCTGCTGTACTCCTCTGGACAGCAACAGAGTCCTCCTCCAGGTCTTGCCTGGAGACAAGCACCAGCTGAGGGTTCAGGATTTCTCAGAACTCAGGTGACCTCCCTGTAGAGGGGGCCCCTGAGCCCCAGCCTGGCAGCTTCATCTACTGCAGCTGGCAAACTCCCCAAGGGGAGGAAATCAGACCATGAGGCTCCATGACTCAGGGGTGGCCTCCACACAGTGACCCCTCTCCCCTCCTCACACATGCAGCATCCATAGACAAGTCCGGCCACTGGAAACCGAACCCCCACATCTCTGCCCTTCTGATAAAATCAGCATGGACCAGGGCTCCCTGTATGTGGGGCTCTGACTTGGATACTTTCTCATGTTCATCTTTTATAGTTTTCAGTTACGCTGAAAGGGTCAGCTCCTGATGCCCATTGGATAGATAAGAAAATGGAGGCTCAGTGAAGTGACTTGCCCAAGACCATGCCCACAGTGAGTAACAGTGCCTGATTTCAAGACCATTCATGTCCTTTCCACTACCCACACCCCTGCCAAGACACCCCACGTGATATGACCAGCACAGCCATCACTAATAGCATCAAACTCAAACCTCAAGTGCCACATTGAAAAGAGGAATCCCCAAGGCATCTGACAAATGTCCTGTGGGGGAGAGAGCACATAGGAAGACCCCCATAGTTGCCAGCTGCCACCAATCACAGCCCAAGCCCATTAGCTGAGTCAGTTTCCTAGGAAAGGTTTTGAAACGCTGTTAATTCCCCCAATTATAAGACAAATGTTTGTTGATCCTCTTAAGGTTTATCACATAGCAGTGCTGCCTGAGTAACAGCTAAATCCAAGGGGCCCAGTGCCGTGGAGTGGAAGGCGTGTGGTACCTGAAAAAGCAGGCTCAAATCTGATCCCAGAGCTGTCCTCACTCAGAGTATGACTTTGGGCAAGTCACTTAACCATCCTAGACTTCTATTTCCTCGCCTGTCAAATGAACGAGTTGAATTATACGGTACCCAAAGTCCTCGCGGGCTGAACTTTCCAGAAGATGGTGATTCGTGATTCAATTAAAGTTTACCAGGCTGCCTATCAGAAAATTTAATGACTCTTCCAAGTTGACCAAGGCAGGTAAAAAAGATTATAAATGTAATTTCATTGAAATGGGAAAAGATGAGAATAAGCAAGCAAATAACATCTTAACACAGAGGCCACACTCGCCAGCGAACAGTGAGTCACTGCCTTTGCGTGGGGGAAAAAAGGAATGAAATTGGATTCTCTGGAGCTCACATGGACTTGTTTTCCCAGAGACTTGGAGAGGGCTTGCCATAGCCAGGGGATAGATGAGACTCTGGGGGTTAACTAGAAATGGGGGGAGAGAGGTCCCAGGGGAATGTGATTTAAGCCAACCTAAAAGAAGAATTTATGACAACTGCAGTCATTTCTTCTCCATTTGACCCACAGGCCTCCAGACTTGCTGAGATGTGGCTCTGAAAGATTCTGAGATAGTTTAGATTGAGTCCCAACGGGAATTTTGTTCCCAGGGAGGTTAAACGTTCTCTGTGGAACCTCAATTCCCTAAGAAACATTTGCAAGGAGGGTAATTTAAGCAAAAATACTATTTGTTTCCCAATTTACAAGCAATTACACATGATTTACAGCCCAGCTTGCCTCTTGCACAAGCAGCTCTGTAATTTACAAGACCATAAAGTCGGGGGCTCCCATGCTCCCGCCACAATAAATCTGGCCTGGATGGTGACTTGGGGCGGAAATGATTAATCTGCCCTTCGAGGGATAAGCCAGCACAGTGCTATATTAGCCAGGGAAGCATGGTGCTGAGACGGCACTTCTTAGCCCCACCCGTGACACCTGTTTTGCTCTAGAAGAGAAATATGCCCCATGGTCCCAAGAGACAGGGGTATAGGACATGCTAGCCAGGAAAGGGTGCCAGCCAAGGGTGCAGGTCCAGCCATCTGTGCACTGATGTGCACCTTATCTGTTATCCTGAGGGTTTGCCCCAATCACCTCTCCACAGGCCCAGTTCTGCATCAGCTGGGGCAGCTTGTGGCAGATTTGTGATGTCTCAAGCTGGACATGGGACCAGACAGGCTATCAGGCAAGTGTCAGACGGAAAGGTCATGGTTTGGCCTGGACTGCAGCTAAAGAGTTTGCCAAGCCAACAGGGGCCTTGGACGTTCATCAGAGCAGTCAAGCTTGGACTGGGTGGGTCTGGATCAGAACCTCTTTGCCAGGACAGAGATGGCTGGGAGGTCAGCACCAGGGACAGCTCCAGCAAGGTTCTGCTTGGCTAAGGCTGAGGATGACCTTGGTCTTTTGACTTCCCACAGTTGAAGTTAGCGGGGGAGTGAAGGTGAGAAAAATTTCTAGCTTGAGAAGCCTGGACTAAGGCAGATCCTAATCTTTGTGGATCCATGTAAGAGCCCTCTTTTCTTCCTCACGAAGCCGGGTGTCTCTGGACACCGAGAGATCACTCTGAATACCACTGAATCCTTGATGGATTTAATCATAGCTTATTTCCAAGATCCTCCTCATCAGAACCCTCTTCCAGGATACAGACCACCCCCCCAACCCCTTGGCATTCTCATACTCATATGGATTCTGATCTTCAGGCTTAGATCCTGAGAAGAAAATAATAATAGAGCCGGGCATGGTGAGTCCCTCATTCATTTATTCACCAAGTATATAATAAGACCCACTATTTGCCAGACAATGTGCTTGTTTTGAGGGATACAATGGTTTAAAAAAAGATGTATGGAATCCTTGCCCTCTTAATACGTGAGAAGGACAATTAAGTTAATGTTAACAATCATGAATATTTGTTGAATTATTACTAAGTATCAGGTCTTGTGTTGGGCCCCTTTAGAGACAACATCTCACACAGTTAGCAAAAGGAGGGGCTAAAATTTGAAGTCAGACATCCTGACTCTAGGGCCTTCCCTTTTAACCACTAGACAATGACAATATAGTTTGATCAGTGCTGTGATAGAGTGCAAGAGCCTTTCTGGTCCTCACTTCTCTTCCCCAGCTCCTGGTCCTCCCTTCTTCACTGCAAGCTGAGACCAGGGGGTATGTGCACCTCTGCCCTTTCTATTGGGACCCACAAATCTCTGAAGTGCTTCTCACTCTGAAGCTTTTCTCTGCCTTGTCCTGGATTTCTGCTCCAACCTCCATGCCCAGCAGGGCCTGACTACCCTCTGCTCAGGGATCACTCTACAGCATATAGCTCATGGCCCTGAGGGAGCATGGGAAATGAGGGAGCAAGACTCATGGGTCATCTGTGTCTCTATGGAAACACTGACACCAGGAAGCAGAACCACAGCCTATGGTCTGGAAAGGAGGAGGTAGGTGACAGGTAGGAGGTAAAGAGGAAGTAAGATGGAAAACCAGGTAGGAAATCCAGCTTGACAGACACAGAGTGATGTGGACAAAGGGTGGGGCCCATCGGCAATGCTCCTAGAAGGTAAATGACAAGAGGTGAAGGGCAGAGGGTTAAGATAATGCACTTGGGTGCCAGACACACTGAGTCAGAAGCCCAACTTTACCACCTATAGACAGGTTACTTAAACTCTCTAAGGCTCTGTTTTTTCCATCTATAACATGGGGCTAATAATAGCAAAAGCACATCCTGTTATGATAATTGAGATAACAGATCTACGATAAATAGTAAGCACTCAATAAATGATAGCAATAATGTGATAATAATGACATACTTTGCCCAGTAAGCCTGTCCTGAAGGACCTGGCCCCGGGTACCTGGGAACAGAGGCCCAGATTCAGTGCCAGGTCCTCTGGTGTGTTTGCCACTAGGCCCTCTGTCGTACTGAGAAACTGAGCTGGCAGAGCACTGGGGTTCTGTGATGGTGGCAGACTCCCTGCCCCAACCCTGCCCCAGCTACCCCCATCTCTTGCAGGTAGAAACATCCCTGGAAGCTTTTACCATGAGTGATGGGAGCACTATTATTCACTTCCTCACAGTTTCACCTGCTCTTCTCTCTCTCTTTCACTCTCTCTCTCCGTGTGTGTGTGTGTGTGTGTGTGTGTGTGTGTGTGTGTGTGTGTGTCTTCTTTGTTTCCCTCTGTTCATGCTCCCTCCATAGATTTATTTTTGTCTCCGCCCTTCCTGTCTTTTCCTCTCCCCCACCATCACTACCACTACCCCGCAGGGCAGGATAACTGGTGGCCATTGGGAGTGACACTCATTCCCATAAGGCAGGTCAGAAGCACATTGTTAAGGAGGTTGACTGAGTATCCTACCCACAGGTGTTGATACTCCCCCAAGATTAGGGAATGTTTTAACCTCTTTCCAAACAAGCTTTGGGCAGCTCTGAAAATACCTCCACCTGCCCTTTCAAGGGCCCCTTGCTGGTAGCTCCTCCACCTCTCTCACATGCACCTAGTCAGCCCACTGGTCACAGCACAGGAACATGGTCACAGTTGCTGCCCCTCTTTACAATCTGGAGCCTCCACAGCTGCTGGCCCCACCTGCCACAGCTCCACGTGGGGCAAGGCCAGGACTTGCTGGGGTCTTTGCCATGACATTCAGGCTGGCAACTGGGTAGCAACGTGGCTCCCATTTCCCCAGCAGTGGGTGTCTCAGGAGCAGATGTGCCTGTCGGGACAGCACTGACACCCCCACCTGGGAAGCACTCTCTACTGTTGTTTGACAATTGACAATTTGAGCAAACAGAATGACTCATCCAGAGACAAAGCCAAGGCAGGCAGCCTTTCCAACCCTCTCCCAAGGGAGGCAAACTAATTTGGGGGCCTTGTCAAAGTGCCAAATCCCTACTCTCTCTACTCCCATGAAGAAGCCAGATTAATGAAATTGATACCATATGCCACCCTCTCTTCCCCCAAATTACACTGGCTCCCAAGACAAAGCAACCCTTCCAGAAAACCAAACCCGCATCCTCCAGCTCATCCCCCAAGTCAAAACCTGAAGGTTACCATGCCAAGAGTGTCAACAGGGGCTGAGCAGGGCCCCACCAATGGCAGGAGCCAGTCAAGACAGCCAGGGGGAGAAATGGACCTAAACAACTCAGGGAGGTCACACCTGCCCCTCAGAAACCAGCAAGGGGCTGTGTCTGGTCATCCTCTCTCCATTCTGAGAACAGTGAACGTTTAATAAGGAGACGGGGCCCATATTCAAATCTGCCACCTGGGAGCAGAGTTAGATTTGGGTTTTGGTTTTGTTTGGTTTTTGGAAGCAAGTTTGATCTTGACAAATTAACTGCCTCCCAACACACACATAATCATTGACAGATAGATTTATTTATCCATTCATTCAACATTTGTTGGCACTAACCATGTGCCAAGCCTGTTGCTAGGCCCTGGAGGTGCAGAATGAAAATCCTAATGATGGAATAAGTACTGGAGTAGAGAGAGTAGAGACCTGCATAAAGTACCCTGGGTGTGCATGATGAGGAAAGAGTCACTATTTTCTGAGGATATTCGAAAGGGCTTCATTGTAGAGAGGACACTGGCATAAGCAACAGGATAAGTGAAATTCACCAAGGGAAGACACGGAACTCACAGAGTTCAATGCAGTCTTGGGTCCTGGCTTCAGGCCATAACACACATCTTCTCAAAGCCAGCTGGGCACAACACACCCAGAAATCACAGAGCTTTCCATGAAACCCCATGAGGATGCGAATGGACAGAACTCTATTATGTGATGTAAGAACAATTCAGCTAATCGAAACTATGACCATATGAAAAATGGCAATATGAAATACTTTCAAAAAATTTGGCAGGGGAAAAAATATATAACATCAGTGTTATCTCCAATGGCAGTGTGAAGGGCAAGGTTGACAGGTAGGGTAAGGATGCTTGATGCCAGGTGTGATATCCAAAAACTGAGCAGTCATTCATCACGTCAGCTGCTTCTGCTTTCTGGAGACCTGTGTTAGCAGCCACCAAAGGTTTAATAAACACATACAGAGGCAGAATTGACTGGGAAAATTTTATCAACCAACTACACAGTTTCTGCAATTTGTGAAAAGACCACTCTCTGCTACGAGCTGGAATGGGTCTCTCTGCTCCTGAAACTCCCTTAATGTGAACTAGGAGGTCATCCGTATGTCTTCCACAGGTGATGAGTGGGGCCACCGTACCATATCAGGCCTCATTGCCCTCAGGAAATTCCTTAAACACCGGAGTCTGATATCGGAGGTCCGCATATACTGACTCAAATGACATTTCTAGCCTTTCTCTCATTCCAATCCTCTAATCTAGCTGGGTCATTCTATGCACCATTCACCTCACATCCTTTACTCTTTTGCCCACCATTGGAAGCTCAATTCCTGGCACAAAAATTGTACTCAGTAAATATTTTATGAATGAATAAAAGGATGGATGGGTGGATGAATGGTTGGACAGGTCAGTGAATCCTACCACTATGCCATTTTCTCTGATTGGAATAAGTCTCCCCAGATCCAGCTTGTCTTGGAGAACTGGCTCCCAACACTTCTCTAGGGTTCCTCTTCCCCAGCCCACTCCACTGTACATAGATTACTTGTTCCTCTTCATTGCTGGTCATGGGTCTGCCATGCTCACTGGGAAATCAATTATGCTTTGATTCCACAGATTGCCCTGCAATGTCTCTTATATTCCTCTTGGTTTTGTAATTGGTTTTTCATGACTTTGTTCCCCCAATAGCCTTTCACTACCACAAGAAGAATGACCCTATATTTTATTCCAAGACAGTCCTGGACCATTGGGCCAGTCCAGTAGGAACTGACTAGGTGATGATGTGCTCACAACAAGCCCTTGTTGGGGAGCCATGCAAAGCTGTGAGACACCACCAGCCAGGCAAAGCAAAATTGGCCTCTCTCTGGCTTTACTGCTGTGGGACATTGGCTGACCACTTGCCTCTGGACCTCCAGGACATGCTTAGTCTGGCTCTTCTGTGGCCCTTCCCTTGGAGAACCTCCTTCACCTCCTGGTTCTGGTAGGGCTGTCAGTCATAGAGCACCTTCTCCAAGACATAGAGATGGGCAAGTGTCTAAAATGGCAAAGCAGCCTCATCATCCTTCTGACTCCAGGATAGCCACATGACCAAGTCCAGGCCAACTGGGAGGGCTTTATTCAAGAGCTTGGAGGGGAAACATCCTTCCCATACAAATGGAAGGCTGCCTTTGCCGTAGAATTGAATGAGGCTGCAGCTAGGCCTCACAGAAGCAAAGTCAAGGGATGGCATGGCTTGATTACCCAGGTCTAGCCACATCTGAACCAGTCTACCCCTAGACTGCCAATTCTGAGGGCCTGCTAATTCCCTTTTTACTTAACACACTTAGAGTTGGGCCTCTAAAATCAAGAGAATCCAGAGTCTAAGTCCTCCCCTCTGTGCCTTAAGAAGGATGAGAGATGCGCAAATTGCTCCACTTCCAGAGAGGGACAGTGGGGAAAGGTTATACTTGGATATCAGAAGCCTCTTAGAAGTTCTTGGCAGCTCCTAGAACCTTGCCCCAATCCCAGGGAGGCTTCTGGGTGGCCTTCGGCAGCTCTGATCCTCAATGCTCAAAGACTTCTAGGTGGATAGCAGAGTGAAGAAGACTGCTGCCTGCCATCTCCTCTCCAGCACAGTCATCAGCATCCACATTCCCCCACCTGACACCTTCCTTTTCTTCTGCTCTTCTTGCAGCCACATTATATAAACGGGCCCACCAATAGTCACAGAGGCCTGGAGACACCCTTTTGGAGGGAACAGGGAAACTTCTCCAGCTTACCTCTCTGTGAAGTGCTTCTGCGGCAGAACCACTCCCCAGGGCCTGGCACCATCTGTTGTTAGAAATCCCCTTTGCTAATTATTAAACTTCTCTGAATGGAAATGAATCACGGAGCCAGGCAGGAGGGGGCTTGAGGAGGCACTGGCAATTTACTTAGCGGCAGTAATCATCCCAGCCAGGCCACACGCGGAGGCTCCTGATCCATCTTTGGCATGGGCTCCGCCACGTGCTCCGCATCCCAATGAGGCTGTGATTTCTGAAGGAGAATCCACAGGGCCTGGGAGGCCTGGGAATTTCCTGCAGAACTTCAGTGGTCTGGAACCTCCTTGGAGCCCCTAAGGACCCCACTCTGCCTAGGCCCAAAGAGTCAGCCAGGGCTGAAAGTGGACAGATCCTGATGGAATGGACCAGGCCTTCCGTACTGATTCCAGCATCTTGGAAGCAAAGTAACAGGCTCACGGCACCCCAGCCAGCTCCTGGATGAGGAAATACAATGATGTAATATGATCTTGTCCCTGAATTACACCACAGAGAGAGTGGAAGGGGTAGGAGCAGGGTCTTGAGAAACGGGAGGTGGGTTCTATCCTAACAAGGGCTCCCACAACCTCCAGGACTTCCCGTTGCCACTCTTATTCCCCTTTCCCTCAGGTGGGCTGAGCCAGGTTACGTTCAGGGAGTCAAAATGAGTGTAGGGCGCTAGGAAAGAAAATCCCCATGTCTTGAGCACTTTCAAGGGTCCAATCTCTTTGCTGTTTTCTCATGGAATCTGCCCAACAACCATGCAAGACAGGCATTATTCTCATTTAACAGACTAGAAAACTGAGGCTCAGAGAGGAAAAGTGACTCACCCAATGTCCCTCAGCAAGCTGGGAGCAGAAGTCGGCCCAGTTCCATGTGACCCTTTTCTCTCTACTAGACTAGGGGCCAAAGGATGGGGCAGAACATCTGTGTCCAGAGGAGGATTCGTTGACACTCAGGGAAAGCACATGGGGGCCCAGGGTCTCCATCATCATCACCATCAGTTCTGAGCTTGTACTAGGTGCCCACTGGCCTTGAAAGTACAAAGACCTGAGAGGTTCCCACTGTAGTCCCTTGGGAAGAAAGTCAGGTATCAGTGACCCATGCCAGTCTGGTATCTGCCCCAGGACAACAGAGGAAAAGCAAATCTCCAGGCAGTCCCTTCATGCACCTAACCCTCCCTTGTTCAGATACTTCCAAAGCTACCCCCAGCCCTTAGGATAGCATACAGAGGCCACCAGGGCCCTGCAAAGCCTGTTCCCTGCCTGCCTCCTTAGAAGCAACACTCCACCCCTCCTCCCTGCGTTGGCGGCGCTGGACTTCTCTGGCCTAGGAAAGTGCTTGCTATATCTGCACACCAGGCCTTTCCTTGAGCTGTTTCTTCCACCAAAAACACCCTTCCCACACTCTTTGCCTGGCTACCTACTCCTTCTTTGAGTGTCAGCTTAGACATCACTTCTTTTTCCTTTTTTTTTTTTTTTTTTTTTGAGACAGAATCTCGCTTTGTCACCCAGGCTGGAGTGCAGTGGCACAATCTTGGCTCACCACAACCTCCACCTCCCGGGTTCAAGCAATTCTCCTGTCTCAGCCTCCCTAGTATCTGGGACTACAGGCATGCGCCACCACGCCCGGCTAATTTTTTTTTTTTTTGTATTTTTAATAGAGATGGGGTTTCACCATATTGGTCAGACTGGTCTTGAACTCGTGACCTCAGGTGATCCACCTACCTTGGCCTCCCAAAGTGCTGGGATTACAGGCATGAGCCACCGCGCTGGGCCTAGACATCACTTCTTTAGGGAAAAACTCTCTCAAAGCATGAAATGAGGCATGAAAAATGATTTCAGATGACGTAGGAGACGTTTATGATGCTGCGTGCCACATCCTCCCAGCTCACCTGATTTCAGAAGAGCTGTCATGGACAGTACCCTGCCCTTGTCTCACCTGAATTTTGGGAAGGTCACTCAGCCCCTCATGAGAAAGCAGGAAGTGTGAGGGGGAAGTAACATAATGGGTGTTGGAAATTGCAGACATGTGCCCAGCTTCTCTGTCCTCCAGTGAGATGACTCTGTGGTGTGTTTTGCTCGGTTCTTCAGGCCTTCATGGGATTGAGGCCCCAGCAAACCCATGAAATACTGGGCAGCAGCCAGCTCAGCATTTCATTGGCTTTTATCCCTTCCCTGCCTCAGTTTCTCCACACCTGCACTCCTGCTTCCTCCCAAGTAAACTACCTGCCCTCACGTCCTTATTTTAGGCTGTGCTTTCAGGGCAGGTGATCACAGAAAACTCTTTTTATTAGGTTGGTGCAAAAGTCATTGCATTTTTGGCCATTACTTTCAATGACAGAAACCGCAGTTACTTTTGCACCAACTTAATCCTTTATTAGTTATGTACCTATGGGTTAAAATATGTTAACATATATATGTTTAACACATGCATATATTAAAATATAAACAGCACAGATAATAGCCCAAAGGTGGAAACAACCCAAATGTCCATCCTTGATGAATGGGTAAACAATGTGGTATAAACACAAATGAAATATTATTCAGCCTTAAAAAGGAATGCCAGCCGGGAGTGGTGGCTCACACCTGTAATCCCAGCATTTTGGGAGGCTGAGGCGGGTGGATCACGAGGTCAGGAGATCGAGACCATCCTGGCTAACACAGTGAAACCCCATCTCTACTAAAAATACAAAAAAAATTAGCCGGGCGTGGTGGTGGGCGCCTGTAGTCCGAGCCAATCGGGAGGCTGAGGCAGGAGAATGGTGTGGACCCAGGAGGCGGAGCTTGCAGTGAGCTGACATTGCGCCACTGCTCTCCAGCCTGGGTGACAGAGCGAGACTCTGTCTCAAAAAAAAAAAAACAAAAAAAAAGGAATGCCATTCTGATACATGCTACAATATGGATTAACCTCTAAGTCATGCTAAGTGAAATAGGCAAAACACGAAAAGACAAATATTGTATTTATTCCACCTATATGAGGTACCTAGAATAGGCACCTTTATAGAGACAGCAAGTAGGACAGAAGTTACCAGGGGCTGGGAGGAGGGGTAATGGGGAACTATTGTTTCATGGGTACAGAGTTTCTGTTTGAGATGATAAAACAGTTCTGGAAATGGACAGTGGTGATAGATGTACAAGATTGTGAATCTACTTAATGTTACGGAATCAGATACTTAAAAACTGTTAAAATGGTAATTTTTATGTTCTATATAGGTATCACAATAAAACATTTTTTAAAACTTTAAATATACATAAATAGCACATTGGGACTCAGGTTTTCACAGATAACATCACCCAGGACAAGGCTAAAAAATCAATGAGCTTATCTAAAGTTGGTTTTTTTTTTTTTTTTTTTTGAGAGGGAGTCTTGCTCTGTCGCCCAGGCTCGAGTTAGTGCAGTGGCACGATCTCAGCTCACTGCAACCTCCACCTCCTGGGCTTAAGTGATTCTCCTGCCTCAGCTTCTTGAGTAGCTGAGACTATGGGTGCATGCCACCATGCCCAGCTGATTTTTTGTATTTTTAGTAGAGACAGGGTTTCACTGTATTAGCCAGTATGGTCTCGATCTCCGGACCTCGTGATCTCCCGCCTTGGCCTCCCAAAGTGCCGGGATTATAGGCATGAGCCACTGCGCCCAGCCTAAAGCTTTTAAAAAGCAAAACAATGAGAAGTAAATGATCATGGAGATCGGTATGCTGCTGGGCAAAAATTGTGAAGGAGGAATTTAAACTATCGGTTTTGGGAAGCCCTGCCCTGAAGGAGATGATATCCCCACTGCTGCGTGCTCCTGAGGCACCCTCCACTTTCTCCTTTGGTGCCGCTCATTACAGCTGCAAATTCTTATTTCCTTGTCTGTTTCCCCACTGGCCTGTAGGTCACATGAGAGGTCACATGACAGCAGTAAGCCGTCTACCCCATTCCTTTCTGTATCCCAGCATGTAGCAGGTGGGAAGTGTTAATAAACAAGTGCTAAATTGAATGACATGAAATTCGAATGAGCAGGAAGGCCTCCTGAAAGAGGAGAGTCTCCAAAAGTGAACAGGATTTGCTTTAACAGCAAAGAAGCAAAAGAAGCAGAAGAGCATCCCAAGGAGCAACCCAAAGTAGGAAGACCTGTGATGTGTTCTGGAAGCACTGGGTTCTCCTGCTTGGCTACAGCAGGGGATGGACACATGGGAGGGTGTGTGTAGTGGGGTAGTCAGAGAGGAAGCTGGATGTGCGATGGGCCCTTGAATGCCAACCTCAGGCATTTGAGTGAATCCTTGTAAGCCAACAGGACAGTGACAGGGGAGGCTCTCGACTCCTTCCCTTTTGCCAGAGTTTTAAATCTCAGCTACATTCCCCCCAAGACAGGAGGTCCTACAGGGCATCTACGACTTCTTACATTCTATGCAACTTATTATATGAATGTGCATTTTTTTTCGGGGGAAAAGCGTTTATCATTTTCATCAGGTCTGAAAAACCTTTGTGACCTCTTAAGCAGTAAGATGCTCCTGGCTCTGGGGAATAAGCCAATTGGGCAGGGTCCCACTCAAATTGTCCCCATCCCCATGGGCCATGGACCTTGGCAGACAAGAATGCCAAGGTGGACAAGGTCTACCCAGTGATCTCAGTCACTATCCGGCTTCACAACTGCCCAGATTGAGGATTGGGACCCAGGAGGTATGAAATCGACTGCATCTCAAGGTATGCTATTGGTTGAAGGGATGATCCGTGCTGATCTTTACCCCCTCCCCATGGTTCTTGGATCTCTCCATCCTTCCTGGGGCTCTGAGTCATCATCTGAGTTACAGTCCCTTCAATTCTATACCAGCACAGTCCCAAAGCACCAGAGCTCTCAGTTGACCTCCCTTATGAGCCTCACTTCAGGGGTTAGGGTGGGCTGATCGATCCCCTCCCCAGTCACCCACACTTCTGAAACACATCCCTCTGCCAAAAAGGCTTCTAGACACAGGACAGATGAGAGTCCCTCATTTCTCTGTCCTGACCCAGCATCTGGCACAGAACAGCCAATCACAATCTAAGAGTCCAAGCGGGTGTGACCAGCAGCAATCATGGGCAGTCCTGCTTGGTCACTCCCTCCAGAGGCTGGCTGTCAGTCCCCTCCCCTCCCCACAGGAAGCCAGTCCACATCATCCCTCTGGTGTTGGAGTCAGGTAGATGTGGATTCAAATCCCGCATGGACCATTTGCCAGCTCAGTGCAAATTACTTCCTTGAGAATCCTCCATTTCTTTAGCTCTGAAATGGGTTAGTAATCCTTACTTCATTGAATCCTTATAGGGTAACAAATGAAATCATGCCTGCCTCTCCCAAACCAGGTCCCATTGTCTTAAAGATTTGAGACTCATATCTCCCTCTTGGAGATGTATAAGATGCACTATTATACTAAAGGTTCTGAGAAGTTCTGGATAAAAGAAACCCAGAGCTGGACCATGAAATTCTAATATGAGAGCACTCTTACCATTGTGTGCACAGCCAGCTGAGAAGCAGAGCTGATGTATGTAAAAACAGCAGCTTGAGCTTGGCAGGCAGTAGATGCTCAATTAACAGGCTCTGTCTTCCCCTTTGCAGAGCTGGATATGCAAAAAATGTAGAAAATTAAGAGAATAAAGCCATTCCCCTGCGATGCTTCCTGTGACAGCTCTGAAGGTGGTCTTAGGGGAGGGGGCTGGAGAGACTGAGGACCCAAGGCAACAGTTTTCTGGGACCAGCTGGTTGATTCTGGGGAGGCTGCCCTGCCTTGCTGAAGAGGGTGGGTGAATCCTGACAGATTTGAATGCTTCCTAATTCTCCTGAGGGTTTCTCTTCTGTCAGCCAAGACCCACCCACCCATTAGCAGGACTCGGTTGCCAGAGCATTGAGAAGAGAAAATCAGTGAAAAGGAAACAAGCCAATAAACAGAGTCCACCCACTGCCAGAGGCCCCAGAACTCCATGTGGAGCCAACTCTGGGGGCAGGCCCTGCAGGGCAAGACCTCCCCTGCACAGCCACAGGGACCCAATGGGGCTGCTCTCTGCACATCACTCCCCCTACACTGTGTCCGCTGATTATGGCAGTGTTCCCTACTACAGCATAAACGAATGCATTATGTCTTTGTTATGCTAATGTCATAGCACGACGCAATTTAAATAGCACTTCCAGAAAAATTAAGTATGTTCATTGACACAGTGAAATGTTTTCACCCTCGATGTAACCTTCACAGATTCTGTACAAAATCCATCAGTCAGTGAGCTATTCATTTGTGAATGCTTAGCAATTATTATGCTAATGCATCACAATGCATTACAGCAAATTCTCTGTAAGTGGCAGGAAGTGCAGCTGCCTGGCACGCACTGCACCCAGATTACGGAGCATCTATCAATATACTGAGCCATCACTGCAACTTGAGTCCAACCATATTTTGAGTCTTGCCTTCCAGGAGCAGACCTCCACAGGTTTATGGACTCGGCTAGAAAGCAAACATCAACACATCCTTAAAGTTCTCCCAGCAGGGAGGTGTATCAGTTAGCTACTGCTGCATAACAAATCTTCACAAAATTCAGTGGCTTAAAGCAATAAGCATTTGCTATTGCTCAGGAGTCTATGGATCAACTAGATTAATCTACTGATCTGGGCAAGCTAGGCAGACCTAGGGTGGGCTCACTACTGTATCTGTGGTCTGCGGGGGTTAGCTGGTCTAGGATGGCCTCGTTTCATGACTGACAGTTGGCTGGCTATCAACTGGGGCAAGGAGGGTGACTTGGCCACTCATCTCTCATCATCTAACATGCACGCCAGGCTAGTCCATATGACAGTAGCAGGATTCTGAGAGAGAGTAAAAGCATGCAAGGAGCCTTTGCAGAGGTCTAGGCTTAGAACTGGCACGATGTCCCTCCTGTCACATTCTATTGGCCAAAGTAAGTCACACGGCCAGCTAGATTTGAGGGGTAGGGAAACAAACTCCGCCTCTTGATAGCAGATGGTAGTCATGTTGTATAGATCATTGATACATGGAGGAATGAAGAACTGCAGACATTTACCATCAATCTGCTATTGGAGAACTGTCTGAATTATACATATTGGAAGACCAAGGTAGGCTGGCCTTGACCATGCTCAGTTGCTACCTTACAATGTTGGAGCAGTACAGCTTGCTAAGCAGATCAGGGTTGCTACTGATTATGGTGACTTCTATAAACTGAATTGCCCCTCTAGGTATGGTATCCACCTCCAATTTAATAGACCAGTCATTGCAATAGAAGAGGGCTTCAGATCCACCAGCCCTCGCTACAACACATGCTCTACCTGCAGGATTGGCCTGCAAGGAACCATTCACACTCCTTGTTTGGACCAATGGCATGTGCCAATGAACCAACAGGCCAGGTCTTACCTGTGGTTGGGGATTGGTGTCCAGTTCTGGTCCATCCATAACTCAAAGGCTGGTTTTGGTCTCTTGACACAACCAATTGAGCAGTCAGATCTAGAAGGCTCGGGGCTTGAAGCTCAGGTGCAGGAATGCTCTCGATTTGGAATGAGCTCATACTGTGCCTGCCCTATCTGCACCCTTTCCAAGGGAACTGCCCTATTCATAGCCTTTGCTTCCCTGGAGATCAGGTTTTGTATCACATGCTCCTTAGACACAGATGATTGGGTGAAGGGAGAGGAACTTGACTCAAAGAAAAACAACCTATGACCTGGCTCATAAAGAAGAGTTGATCCAGAGTTCTTCTCTTGGGAATCTCAACTAAGAAACACAGAAAAGCCTTGCTGGTCAGTGGTGGCAGGAGCTGCAGTTGAAAGGCCATGAGGTGGAGTCAGGCCAGAGAGGGCATGATGGGCTGTGGGGCACAGAAGCCACAGATTGCAGAGGATGTGGATGGAGGGAGAACAAGCCTGGCTCAAGTTTCACAGGGTTGAAACCATACTGCTCCTGAGATGAGGGTAAGGAGGGGTTTGCAAGAGAAGAGAGAAAGAATGTTCCCTAGAGTCCCCTGGATTTCAGAAGGCTTTCCAGGTATAGCTCCAATCCACATGCCTCTTGAGAGGACACCCTCTTGAGTGGCAACTCAGCAAACCTGACCACAACACCACAAGCTCACATATTCCCGAGTGTCTGGATCTCCGGGTTTCCCTGTGTCTTTTCCTAGTAAAGCTCCCTCTGAGAATCTGACTTTATTGTAGTGGAACCAGCAGAAGCAAACCATGAACCTCCAACTTGTTCTCTACACAGTAATCAGAGGGATATTTTAAAAATGCAAACCTGATCAGGCCATAACCCTGCTTAATGCCTTCAAATACTTCTCATTGCTCTTAAGATCAAACCTAAATCCTCCCAAAGTCTACAGAGCGCCGTGTGATCCAGCCTCTGCTCAGCCCTCCAGCCCCACTTCCCGTGCTCTGCCCCTGCCTTGCACACTGTGTTCCACGTGGGCACCCAGCCCCCTGCAGCATGAAGGTGCCATGCTGCTTCTCACACAGATCTTCTCTTTGCTCCTCCCTCTGCTTGGGACACTCTCCCTCCTCCTTTTGTGGTGCCACTTGCCTCCTTGGCTACTGGGATCCAGTTTGTGTGGTTTGGACTCTGGATGCCTGGATTTCCTCACCCCTGAACCCTTCCCACCTGGACTCAGGGACCGCCCCCCACCCCACACCCAGATTGACAGGTGTGACTAACAGGCACCTGGGATGCTGCAGGCCTGGGCAGTCAGCTCTGCCCATTCCCAGGGTCCCGCAAGGTCTGGCTTCCCTCAGTAGGTATCTTCTTCCCTACCCAGTCCCACACATGGGGAACAGAGCATAACCGAAGCAACAAATAAGAAGGGTCAGTTTAGGCTCCACAGTGGCAGAGAATCCCTTCCCAAGGACCCTGATGGAATATGTCCACTCAGCAGATGAACCATCACAAAATCCCAGCCTGGAAACCGTGAGAGAACTGCCTTGCCCTTTTATTTACAGATGAGGAAACTAAAGCTCCCAGTATCTGTCCATCCCTTTGCCCCCTTCCTGTCCCATCAGCTTGGCCAAGAAACAATGAGTGGATGATTATATCCTCAAAAAACGATGACCATAGCTGAAACATACTGATTGCTGGATGTATACCAGCACTAAGTGTTTTACGTGGGTTATTTTAGTTTATCCTTACAACACATTAAACAGATGGAGAAACTGAGGCTCAGGGAAGTATTAAGTGTCTCACACTCATTACATGCAGACACTGGGATTTAAACCCAGGCAGTCTTGTTCCAGGGCTAATGTCTTCTCTGCTACCCTGAGTTGCCTTGGTCAACTCGGGTTATCTGGGGTTTCTCCATGGAAGCAAGTGGCTGGAGGGCAGGTGAACAGAGAGGGGTTTGCAGTGCCCACCCGCCATTGCCACAGGGCTGGGCTGGGCCTCTGGGAGGGTGAGTGGGTCACCCATCACCATGCCCCTTTAGTTGCCTGCCTGGTGACCAGAGAGAGGGGGCAGTGAGCCAGCCAGCCAAGGTCAGGGATGATGGAGGGACAGGTAAAGGGAAACTGCCACCATGAGAGCTCTATTCAGCAGATGCTTTGAGACTCCTTACAGCCACACAGTAAGATGGAGATCCTTGTTCCCATTTCACAGTTGAGAAAACTGAGTCCTGGAGAGAAGAATTTGTCTACAGCACATAGCCTGTAAGTGACAAACTAGGGAATGCAGCCAGGCCTGTCTGATTGCAGTCTGCTCCACTTCACCTAGAATCCAGCCTAGATGTTCCTCCAGGAGGGCCAGGGTCGGGGGAGGGGGCTGAGTCATGTGTCTCTTTATTACTCTTGTGTATCCATCCCAGGAGGCTATATAGGCTGCCTACAGCATTCCTGCTGTTAATGTTTTTGAGCACCTACTGTGTACCAGGCACTGTTCTGGGCATTGCAGATAGGACAGCCTGGAGCTTGGTCAAAGGAGTCACTATAACCCAATAAAGGCAGAAGGCAATGCCGAGGAGCAGCGCCCCAGCTGAGCTGCAGAGGAGTCATGTGTGCGTCTCAGAGCACGTGTGCAAAGGAACATGAGCTAATAAGCAAACGGGGAGCGGGAGTGTGGAGGAGGTGCTGCAGGTGGAACAGAGTCCTCCCCAGGCACCCAGCGCTGCTCCCAGTTCCTCCCTACTCCCTCCGGCTCCTGAATCCCACTCTTGCTGCCACAGCTCAGCCCACTCAGCCAGGACAGGTTAGGACATCCCACGCGGCATGTCTCCAATAAACTCTCAGGAATGTGCCAGTTTGTTACAGCTAAACTGGGTGGGAGGGAGGAGTGAGTGCGTGGTGCTGGTGAAAGGTGAGTACCTGGGACAGGACTCTGATGGTCAGGGCCCCGGGCTGGCAGCCAAAGGTGCTGTGGCTGTGGTCCTCAGGGGCAGGGTCTCACATGAGGCTACTGCTCCCACAGCTTCTGGAGGAGGCGGCCCTGCTTGGCGCACCATCCAGAGGAGCTGGGAGGACACGAGTCCTTGGAGAAGGCCACTCTGCCAGCAGCTGAAAGCCTCGCGTCCTTGCTACTTAATGTGTGGCATATGGACTGCAGCATCTGCACCACTAGGAGGCTGGTTAGGAACACACAGTCCAGGGCCAAAAGAATAGATGTGCATATGAACAATTCGTGGATTCAAGCTGGAGAAGAAGCACCTTAGGTGACTTACTTAAGGGAAAAATCCCATGGGTCTGCAGGGAAGGGGAAAGTCCCCGCCCTCAGCCAGGCCAAGCCTTCTAAGGGATGGTCAAGTCACTGGCCTTTCCAGTCAACTCACTGGTCAGGAAGGAAGGGTGGAAGGGGCAGCCCAGCGACCGGGGTCTTTAAGCAGGCAGGAAAGTGGAGGGGTCAGGAACAGAGCTGAGGCCGGGAGAGGGAGGGAAGTGAGCAGGAAGTGGGGGTGGTGGGGGAAGGAGGGGGAGCGCCTGCCAGGCTGGGTGAAGGCTGTTGGCCAACAAGTAGGGCAAGGAGCCGACTGCAGCTCTCAGAGGGCCGCTGACAGCTCCCCAGAACCCGATCATCTCCGCGGACAATTAAAACCCGGCTGTCTCAAGAGCGAGCCCTGGCCGAGCCCAGCCCACCTGCTGCAGCAGTGGCTCTGGCTCCAGCCCTCTTCTTATTGCACACACATGGGCTCTCTCACACAGCCACACAATCGCACATTCTCTACAATCCTCACACCACTCATCAGGGTGCAGCTACGCATGTGCACACCCGAGCAGCATGCGGAGTCTTCCCGACACCGACACCGAGGACTGCCTGTGCTACTGGAATCTCTGCCTCTCTGGGGCATGGTGCACACACAAACACACCCTTCCCACAAACCGGGGATACTCACATTGTAACACGTATGAAAGCATTCACACACACACTCTGGGATGTAGGGCAACATCTATTCTGCCCCATGCACACACTCCCACACGCATGTTCTACTCACATACCTGCAGGTACACACGGCACAACGGCACACTCCCACATGCATGCATACCCCTTCTGGCACCGGGTGTAGGAGGGGTGATAACTCCAGGGAACACTCATAAGAGCTTCCTGTGTGCCAGGGACTGTCCTTGGTGCTCTCCACGTCTTTATTCCTCACTGCAACCCTAGGAGGTAGGGGCCATCATCATTCTCATTTCACAGATATGGAGGCACAGAGAGGTCAAGGCATTTGCTCAAGGTCACGCAGCCAATAAGCAGCAGCAGAGCTAGGCCTTGAATCCATGCTCTTGACCACTACTCTATAATACTCTATCCCATGATGCTCATGGGGGGAAACCTTCAAAACAGGCCCTCCTTGACCCCCCCAGTTTAAATTAAGTTCCCCTGTTATACGGTCTTGGAGTGCCTCTAGGATTTTCTTTGATGTGAATTATCACAGTTAATAATATATTTATGAAATTTTAGATTTCCACTCATTCTTTCTACAAATGCTTATTGGGCATCCACGAGGTGCCTGGCAGTGTTCTGGGCACTGAGGCCTGCTCTAGTCTCTGTCTGCCCCACTGCTGCCCACCCATGGGGGTGGGGATGCCGCCCATAGTACCCAGCAGGGTGACTTTGACACAGAGCAGCACCCAATAAGAATCCAAAGAGTGAATTAGTGAGGGCATTCATAAAACAGACTAGACTGCAACAGCATGTTCTTCCACACTCGCACACACAGGCGAAGAGCCTTGGGATCCAAACCTTGCATGCCTGCAATGTCCCACTCAGCCTCGGCAACCACATACCACCACTCATGGGCCACACACATGCTTATGCTCTAACACACTCACACGTTTGCACACACATTCACTCTCTCTCATGACATCATACCCAGGCACACTCACACCCACACACGTGCACACTTGCTCTAATCTAATGCTCACACCATACTCAAAGCTACCCATCCTCACACATGCACACTATCTCCTACCACATTCACATCCCTCATCCCACACTTGTGAGGACAGGGGCCTGAGTCAGGAGCTCCAGTGGGAGACAGGGCTAGTGTAAAGACGAAAGCTGTCACTCAGGGCACCTGGCCCCAGAAAGTGACCATCTTAGGCAGCCAGAGATCCTCCTCCAAATCCACAAATGGCTCCTTCCTGCTTACCCAAACTCCAGAACTTATGAGCTCTGGGCACCATGAAGACAGAGTTAGTGTGGACAGCGAGGTGTCTTTGGGGCATTAAATGCCTCTGGGTCTAGCAGGGAGGAGTGGGGCATGGATGGAAGAGTGCACGGTGGCTACAAACCCTTGGGAGAGAAGAAAGAAGGTGGTAAATTCCTGTCGGAAACTGTCCCAATCCCCTTTTTCATGGCCCTTCGTCTGCATGGCTGAAGGGGTGCCCCCACGCTGGGATCATCTGACCACGTGGGCTGTGAGGTGCAGAGCCCAGGCCAGAAGGGCTGCAGTGAATGACAGCAAAGTTGAAAGTTAGCCAGGACATTCCAGGCCTCAGGGGTGTCTCAGGCAGAGCCTGACACATGCACAGTGGGCAGCGGAGGGGGTGGCGGGGCCAGGCTGGACAGCAGGGAGAAAGGTCCCAGCTCAGGCTGGGATGTGGCTTGAAGCCTGGGCAGGGACCAGCACAGTGGTCAAGGGCTCCGTGAAGCCCGGGCAGGAACAGAAAGATGATTCTGGGCACTGGCATTCAGAGCACCCTAAAACGGGATCATCCCTACGGTGGGGGTCCAGGCATGCGGGCAAGGGCTCTCAGTTCTGGGGCAGGCCAGAGGGGCCAAAGAAGAGGGGGTGGGAGAGGAAAAAACACAGGTTCTTAGGTGGTGGTGGCAGGCCCTTTCTCGTTAGCACTCTCCAGGAAGAGACTGAGATGGGGCTGGGGTTGCTACTTTGACCCTGCCTTGCCCCCTCCTCTGGCTCCAAAGCAGAGCAGGGTGGTCCTGGGTGTCCCTAACAAAGCTGTCCAAAGTGCTAAAAGCCTGGTCTTTCCCTGTACCTGGAGCACCCTCCCTACCAGCCCCAAGCCCTCTTGTGTCAAATTACCTCCCAGAGCTGCCATCATTCGGGGACATGGGCCTCACAGCATGATCTTCATGGAGCTTTCCTTGATCTCTGGAGTGGGGGCTGCAAGAGCAGGCAGTGGAAAGTTTATGCCCACCTGCATACCTGCCTCAGGTCCTTGTCCTGCTGGGCAAAAGATGTGGGCACTGGTCCATCCCCAAGGTGCCCTGGATGGGTCTCAGGTGTGGCAGTGGGATGATCTTTCCTGCTGGGGCATTGAGGGGCAGAGGAAAGGCCCAGGGATCCGGACCTTCCTCCTATACAACAGTGACTGCTGAATGGCAGAGGGCAACTCTTCAGAGGCTATGCCCTAAGCTGCTGTCATTTGACCTCAAAGGCACTCATGCTTCCTGCCACTCCCCAGAACTCCTGCCACAGAGTTGTGTGTGGGCTCCCCGTCTCCCTGCTGTGCACATCACACTTGGGGCCCTTCTCTGTCCGATCTCCCACAGAGTAGGACCCAGCAATGAAGGGTGAGTGTGGCCCCTTCCGGCTGAGTTCCCTCCCCCTCCTCCTCACTGTGGTGTCCTTGTAAGGAGTGTAGGGGCAGGGATGGTGGAGAGACATGCCCGCTCCAGGAGAAGGTAGAGACGAAATCTCCCTGGAGCACAGCTTCCCCCAGCTATTCCTCACCCAGCCCAAGAAGAAGGGACCCCACCCTTCAGCCTAGAGGAGCCCTCTCCCTGCCCCCGGGACCCAGACTCTCTATCTCCTCCTCTCTGAGCTTCCAGAGGGAATCCTAAGGAGCTGGATGCCCAAGAAGACAGCCACTGTAGAAAGCTGATCAGTCTTAGTTCTAAGGCCTGGCTTCAACACAGAATGCCATGATTCCTCAACATCCAACCAATGCATCCATCCACCCACTCACCCCACCAGTCCACCCATACATCAGTCTGTTCATCCATCTGTCCGCCCATCCATCCATCCATCCATCCATCCGTCAGTCCGCCCATCCATCCATCCATCCATCCATCCTGTCCCCATCTCTCTGTCCATCCATCCATCCATCCATCCATCCATCCATCCATCCATCCATCAGCCCATCCATCCATCCATCCATCCATCCATCCATCCATCCATCCATTAATTAAGGTCATGTTCCCTGAGCTCTGTCTGTACCAAGCCCCGGGTTCTAGGGTCAAAGAGATGAATAGGAACAATCTCTACCCTCAAGGAGCTCCCAGCCTGATCAGAGAGATATGAAGGAAGAGAAGTGACAAGGCAGTGTGATAAGTGCAGTTACCAAGCCCTGAGCAGGGAGCTGCTGAAGCACATCTGCCAAAGCCTGGAGGAGCTGAGGAAGGCCTGGCAGAGGAGGTGACATTTAAGCTGAGTCTTAAAGAATGAGTGGCAGTCTTCCAGCCAGAGTTGTGGGGGAGAACACATTCCGACTTACCTTAGAGGTGTCTTGTGACAGTTTTAGCTCCACAATTAATAACTTTGGGGTCAAACTAAATTCTCCCCAGCCACTGAGCTCAAAACTAATGCAGTCATTTCAGATCTCGGTCTAGGAATTGCAGCCTCACAGAAAAAAATAGTCACCCACCCAACCCAAGGATACAACCCTCCCTTAGAAATCCTAGCACATCCATTTAGGGGACTATGCTGCAGCCCTGGCTGGCTGAGCACTCCTCTGCCCACTCACAGAAATTCTGATCAAGGTTGAAGTATCAGAAGCAGATCCCAAAGCAATGAACACACCATGTCCAAAGTCAAGCCAGTGGGTTGGGGAGGCAGAGTTAAGGTCACAGCTCCAAGTCCATCAGGTGGGCAGCACTGAGGTTCGATTCCATGTCTGCTCAGCAGAGCTCCCCTGGCAGCACTGAGGTTCGATTCCATGTCTGCTCAGCAGAGCTCCCCTGGCAGCACTGAGGTTCGATTCCATGTCTGCTCAGCAGAGCTCCCCAGGCAGCAGACCCTGAGGCAAGGATCTGAGTTCAAGCGCTTTATTTGGGACTTGCTCCTAGGAAACACTGGTGAAGAGAGGGGAGGTGAGGCAGGGAAGGGAATGGAGCCAAGAAGGGGAGTGTTGCTGAGCAGATAATCATCAAGGGCAACTTGGGCTCAATCCCATGGGGAGGTGCTGGGAGACATATAGACTACCTCCCAGGATGATCCTGCCAGAGGAGCAAAGAAGCTGGGGTATTCATCCTCCAATCCCCATCCATTATTCACCAAGGCTGCTCCTGAGGCTTCAGCACCCCAGCTTCCCTGGCCTGGAGAATGTCTCCATGGACTCTTGGGTGCTTGCAGCAAAATCCTGCTGGCATGACTGGAACGGTGGGTGCATGGGTATATGGGTACAGCCCAGGCCAGGACCTCCACCGACAATAGCAGGAAGGTCACGACAGTGATAGATGGGCTGTCCTCTGAGATGAGGCAAGTCTTAAGTTCCAGACACTCAAAAGAAATCTAAGTACTGTACCTAGGAAGACCCAACTTTGCACAATGATCAGGGACTACCCAAGCAGATAAATGTCATCCAGATGGCAAGTGCCTGCTTTAATAGAACTCAGGCAGGGCACGAAAGTCACCAGGTCAGAGGGGCCAAGAGCTTTCATGCAAACGAAAACCTGAGCCTGAGGCCGAGTATGGTGGCTCATGCCTGTAATCCCAGCACTTTGGGAGGCCGAGGTGGGTGGATCACTTGAGGTCAGGAGTTCAAGACCAGCCTGGTCAACATAGTGAAACCCTGTCTCTACCAAAAACACAAAAATCAGCTGGGTGTGGTGGCACGTGCCTGGGATCTCAGCTACTCCAGAAGCTGAGACATGAGAATAGCTTGAACTCAGGAGGTGGAGGTTGCAGTGAGCCGAGGTCGCACCACTGCACCCCAGCCTGGGCCACAGAGCCAGACTCTGTCTCAAAGAAGAAAAGAAAACCTGAGCCTGGGCCCATCCTTCCAGAGTCCCAGCTCCGGTTCCAGGGCATTGCTGACCCAGTGGGGCAGGAGCAATGCTGCAGCCAGCACTTGCCCTCCCATCTCTGGGGCAGCAGGAAGAAGCATCTGCAGGCGTTGGGAACACCCAAGCCCGCCCAGAGGCCCTGCTGGCAGGGCAAGAAGCAACCGTGGCCGCCGGCCAGATGGGCAGCGACCTGAGAGCCCTTTCCGTGGGAGGACTTGGGATGTGCCCAGAGTTCCTGTAAGTGAAGAATAACTTTACTCCTGAGTGTTGCAAAGTGAAACTCCACAAAGTGCCGAGTCACAGAAAACGCCAAGATTCTTCACACATAGAATAATGAGGCAATAAAACTCAACTATAAAGTTAAATAATTTACCATAAATATCTAAAGCTCTCAAATTATTCTCTACATTAACTGCCTATGTTTAAAATGATCTTTGCATTCACTATGTCACAGATGGCAAAAGCAGACAAGAGAGTCCTTGACAACTCTAACTGCAATTAGCCCTTCCCAGCTGCGGTGATTTAAAGGCCTTTTCAGTTAAGCTGAATGAAACACCCGCGCTTTATAAATAAAGGCTTTACCAGGGCTGACAATGAAGTATTTGAAACGTACAGGCCCGAGCTGGTGGAGAGGGGGCGGCGGGGAAAGGACTGTCACTACATCCTAAAACTGAAGCCCTACACACCCTTCAACCCACCACCTCCCCAGCCTCACACTCACGTGATGCTCAGACACACCTCCCTCCCTGCACAAACACAGGCTCACGCCCCACTCCCCTCCCCATAGACACACCCTCACTCCCCCTTCACATTCCCGTACACATGCTCCATGGTCCCGCAACCAAGTACACGCATCCTCTCTCCACACACACACGCATGCACATAACTGAAGAGGTTGTGCGTCTCCAAGAAAGGTGGCTGGGGTCATGAGAAATATTCCAGCACGTAAAGGCCAAATGAGGTCAGTTGTCTTGAGTGGGACACCCAAGTGCCAGTGCTTGTGGCCAGGCCCAGGAGCCCTCGCCTGCACAGCTCCAGCTGGCAGAGGAGGAGGAGGAGGAGGAGTTCTGTCTGTGCTGGGGAGGAGTTGCCCTTCAACAACACACAAGCACCTTGGAGACAAGAGTTAGGAGGCGGCTGCGGCAGTGTGCGAAGGAGGTCAAGGTTACCCTGATTGCCGCCAAGCGCTCCTCCCGGGGGCCTGGCTGGTTAATTGCTTGGAGTCTGGCATGGCAGAGGGAGCTGTCAGCAAAATGGCCCCTCTGAATCACATGCTTGGATCTCTGGGATCCTCCTGGGGGACCAAGTCTGGGCCCCCACTGCTTCCCTGCCCAGTCTCTCCCGTGGCACAGTGGACACAGGCCAGGTCCCAGACTGGCTCAGAAAAGCTGGGTCCATGGGGTCTTCTTCCTGCATCTCCTGTGGGAACCAGAGCTTGTCCCAACCACAATCTCAGCCTGAAGTAGCCCTAACCCATAGCCTCTCCCATCCTGTACCAACAATACAGTGATAACCGTACCCCACTTTTACTGAGCAATCACTTCATACCAGGCACCATGCTAAGCCCCTCCCAGACATTATTCCTTTTGAGGCTCATTAAAATCCTATGAAGCAAATACTATTATTCTTACGCTTGATTCGGATGGGAGAATGGAAGCACAGGGAGGCTAAGGTACCTTGCATAAGGGAGGGCAGCAGGGATCAAGTGGGGCGGTGTAGCTTCTGAGTGGACCCTTCAGCACTGCACTGGACAAGGACCTCCTGCTTCATGCCCCTGAAGCAGGCCGTCCTGACCACAGCCTTCCAGAAACCCGGACCTGCCTGGTTGAGCCCTGAGCCCCCGCCCAGCCCTTCCAGTGCCTCCCTTAGGCTTGGGATCCTGTTTCTGAAATATGAGCCAGCCTTGACAGTCACGATGCCCCATCCACCCGACTGGGCACCTCCTGTCCTGACACCATCCTGCTGTATCCGCTGAGCTAGGCTGTCCCTGCATAGACATGTCTACCACTCCTGGGCCGCCATCTGGGTCTCCCATCACAAGATCCTGCTTCTCTTCCCAACTTGGAAGGGCAGTACCCTTGCACCAGGGCCAGCAATGTTCCCTGGGTCTGGGAGAACTCCCAGGAGGAGCTGGCTTCAGGCAGTCTCTGAGGCTGCTGGAGGACTGGCAAGAAGTTCTGGAAAAGCATTTGGGCTCCTGAAGGGCTCCACCCCAGACTAGCTCTCATTAATTTGCTGTTTATAATATTTAAATTCCAGGGAGCTGCCTGGGCTGGGACTCAACTTGAGAAGGAGAAAAATAAAACTTATTCTATTTCTGATGACAAATGAAGGCATTTATAGGAGCTTGAGATAAAGGGATGGGAGGGTGACTATAGATGCAGTCACAAGGGGCTGGTCTGAGGTCTAGAGCCACTGGGCAGTTGCAAATCGCTGAGCCCAGGGCCCTGGGAGTTGGTGGCCAGAGTTCCAGGGAGTGGAGAGGGTGGCCCCTGGAGATAGGACAGCTGGGGTCAGATGAGAAGGCAAGTGGCTTTGCTGCAGACTCAAGTCTCGACCTTGCTGGGGCCATGAGCCTCCTGGAAAGAGGCAATACTTTTACCTCCACAGTCAGTGTGGGTCTGGAGAGTGGCTTCAGGGCCCCACCCCACCTGACCATCCTCACTTCCCCACAACTGCTCCTTCCTTGGCAGGGGGCAGAGAGTATAAATTGATTACCCTGAGGTGCCTAAGGAAAGCACTTGAGCCCCAGAGTCTGTATCACCACTTCCTTGCTGTGTGACCTCAGGCAAATCACTTCACCTCTCTGAGCCTGTCTTCTCATCTGTAAACCAGGAACACTAAACCGCAGCTCATCCAGGATTCAACAGGCTCGTGTGCATGAGGCATCTAGAACG
Source organism: Homo sapiens (assembly GCF_000001405.40). Taxonomy (NCBI): domain Eukaryota; kingdom Metazoa; phylum Chordata; class Mammalia; order Primates; family Hominidae; genus Homo; species Homo sapiens. The sequence continues at coordinate 36,991,229 of NC_000001.11, forward strand.
GTGTAGGTATATCATAGGTGCATCATAAATGCAGTTCCCTTTGCTCTTTCTTCTTCCCTTTTCTGGACTCCCCTTCACAGGAGTCCTAGATGATCACAGATATGACCCTAAAGGGGCCACAGACACCATCTTCCTTAACTTCTGCATTTCACAGGGCCAGAGTGAGGCAGTGAGCAGCCTCAACCACAGAGTAGGCCAACAGCAGAGGCTGGGCTCAAGCCTCAGCCCAGCCTCCCTAGCACCCCAGCTGTCCCAGAGGGTCACCTCCATGGGAGGCTGCTGGATAAGCTTCCTGTCTACAACCTTCATTTTACAGATGAAATCAGGCTCGGGTGTGAAAAGCAACGTGCCTACCACAGGCCACACCACCAGCCAGGGAGAGACTGGAACGCCAACTCATGTCTCACTGACTCCAAAGGGAGCTCTTCCCAGGAACCTCACATTCCCCAGTTGAACTCCAAGATCCCTGAGGGCTGTAGCCCTGTTTCAGGTCATTTGCTTTCCCTGGCATCTGCTGAGGGTTCAGCCAAGGTCCAGGGAACAAAGAGTGATTGTAACAGCAAAGGTTCTCAGTCGGGTGGTGAAGAGGGACCAGGACCAGTGGCTGCCTCTGCACAGAAGTGCCCTGTATCCTGGCATGTCCCAAGAGGCTGTGACTGATGGACAAGACTTGGCTTGGGGCAGTGTGCTGGGCAGAGCTGGTGTGGCCAGCCCTCAGCTGTTCCCAGCAGTAGATGGGCTGGGAAGGGGACTGGGAATCTGGGCAGGCCAAGCCTGGCAGTAAAAGAGGACCTGGGGGGTGGTTCCCAGGAGAAAGCCCGACTCCTAGTCTCCAGTGGAGCTGACACTCTTCCATTGTCTGCTTCTCCTTGTGCTCAAATTTACTCATATCTCTAAGGATTTGGACCCTGGGCATAGAGATGAACACGATGCCATCTTCCGCCCTTCCCAAGTTTGGGAAAGCAATGGAGGTTGACCTCAAAGACAAAAGTGCCCAGATGAGAGAGGTCCTGAGGCAGGATGTGCAAGGAAAAAACCAGGAGTGTAGTGAGGCAAGACCCTGTGGGCCTGCAGGCAGGGAGAGGCTGGAGAGGGAGGTGTGGGTGGGATGGTGGGGTCATAGACGCCCACCTTGGGAAATCAGACAGCCTGAGGGCAACAGGGAGGCATGGAATGACTGGAAGCAGAAGAGGGCCATAATGAAATGTTCACGTTACAAAGTCAAATTCTGGTGGTTGAATGACAGAGGCTGGATGGGGTGGGCTTCCTAAAAAATACTGAGTCCAGTGAAAGATGGGGCCAGCCACAGCTGAGGTGCTGTTAAAGGGGAAGGCAAAGAGGGATGCATGGCTAAGATGTAGAGAGGTGAAGAGGAGGAGACATGATGGTTGATGGATGTAAACAGTGAGGGGACACCTGTTGAGTGCTCCTACCTAGGCTCAGTGGAGGGCAGTACTTATAAACATCGTCATGAGCAAGAATCAGAATAGCTCACATTTATGGAGTGCTGACTCAGCATCCTAAGCGGCTTCCATGCATCAGCTCAGCAGATCCTCACGACTCTGTGAGGTGAGTACACCATCACTACCCACATTTTACAGATGGGAAAGCCGAAGCACAAAAAGGCTACTGAACCAGGATTGGAACTGGACAGTCTGATCCCAGGGCCTGAACTCTTGTTACTTTACTGCCCTGCAGCCCTGAGATGGGATGGTAAGTCAGTGCTGGACATGGGGACTCCAAGCTGTCCCTTGGACATCTGGGTTCAATAACCAGGAGAAAATGGAAGTTTTAGAAACATCAGTGCGAACATGGCAGATGAAGTATTAGGGTGGGGGTAAAGGGGGCAAGGGGAGGGGCATGTTCAATGGATCAGCCATGGAAGAAGAGCCAGAGAGGTGACCATACATGGCAAACCTAGGGTGCCATGTGAATAGGTAGCGTGGGAGAGTGCTGGGACCTGATGCAAGAAGCACTCCAGCTGGAGTCAGGAGGCTGGGCCTGAGAGTACCACTTTGCCTCTTGTTGGATGTACATACTGTTTTATTTCTATTTAGATATGGAGTATTGTTCTGTCACCCAGGCTGGAGTGCAGTGGTGCTATAACAGCTCACTGCAGCTTAGAACTGGGCTCAAGTGATTCTCCGCCTCAGCCTCCTGAGTTGCTGGGACTACAGGCACACGCCACCCCACCCCGCCTGGATGTGCATCCTTGAACCAATCTCTCAACTCTCTGAGCACTTGTGCCCATTTTCAATAAAGCAGGACATTAATAATACTCAGTGCATAGAGCATTTGGGAGGATAAAACACAACATCCAAAAGACTTGTTAACAGGAGCTCTGATGGACATTAATATGCATCCTCACGGTGAAGTGATGTGAGGCTGGCAAGGTATATGCAGACAACAAGTGTGAGGCAGAGAGGGGGTGTGGTGGGCACTGTGATGTGCTCCTGGGTTAGTCCCCTAGAGCCAGGAGTGCCCTCAGCCAGCACCTGCTTTTAGGATTGCCTCAGCTAAAGAAAACTCACCCAAGGTCATGCCTCCTTCCAGGGGTGGCCCATATCGAATAACTGACCAACACAGGGGCTACAGGCCTGGCCCTCTTGCCCCAATACAACTCACCTCTGCAGGGCAATACAGCTGCAGAGCCCCACTGGGGCTGACAGAGGCCTTTTTTATGACTGCACTGCAGCTCAATCTAAGCCTAATCCTGCTTCCCTCCCTTCTTCCCCAGGGGAGGATCACAAGCACAGTCCTAATACATACCCTGCCAGAAGCCCACCACAACCACACTTCACCATCCAGACCAAAAGACTCCATCTGTCTAGGGGACCCAGCCCATGCATGGACAGTGCTGGCCCAATGGGCTGCTATGATGACCTCTCTGAGGATTCCACGCATGGTCCAGCTGTGGGGTCAACATAGATCAGGGTTACCCCCTTTTCCATTCTCAGTTCGGTGACCTAAAATATGTTACCTCACCTCTCTGAGCCTTGGTATCCCCATCTGTCAAATGGGGATAATAACCCCTACCTTACACAATTGCGGTAAACTAGGAAACTCTTCTAAAGAGCTTCACACGCTACCTGTTAGGTAATACAGGCTCTGCCTTCAACCGTTTAACCATTAAATTTTCTTATTCCCATTTATCAAACAATTTACAAATGTCCAAGTTTCAAGTTATTTAAGCTGAGTAACCTTAAGCAAGTTACTTAACCTCTCTGTTCTTCAGTTTTATTACCTATGAAATGGCATCAATCTCATAGGGTTGTTGTGAGGATAAGCAAGTTCATCTGTGGAACACTGATAGAGCAGTATCTTACACACAGTGATTCTCCATAAGTGTCAGCTGTTACCTTCAGAACTCTCCTTTTGTGAGTTGGTACCAAGAACTTAATGCAATACTCTTGGCTGTGGCCTCTCCCATGCAGAGCAATGTGGTACTATCTCCTCCTCTATTGTAGAGCCTTTATTTTTAATAATGCCATCCAGAATTTTTGGATAGTGATTCTTTTCAGCTGTCACACCACCCTGGGCATCATTCTAAACTTCCTGGCAAAAAAAATAACAATAATAAAAACGAAAGAACTCTAAATTTTTTAACACACACTTCCAGGGTACGTGTTCCCTTTTTGACTCAGGTTAGATTCTGAACCTGCATTGGGAATCACACCTTTCTCTCTGTGACAGTTCTCCTTGTTCAACTTCATTCAGCCCGGTGAGAGACCTTCACAAACAGCAGACCAAAGAGAGCTCACACATGAGACGGACAGACGCTGCCGGTGACCTTTGCAGAGCGGCAGGCCTGAGAGCAAGCTGCGGAAGCCTGGAGCTTCACAGATGCCCACCAGAGGGAGGGAGTGGTTTCATGAAACCTACAGAGCCATCTAGATCCTTGCAAATGTTGCTGCTGTCATCCGATGTAATTGCAATTTCCCACAATTTGACACTACACATGAATTTAATAAGCAGACGTATACCTGCCACCCCATCAATAATAATCATCATCATTATTGTTCATGGTGATCATGTTCAGTCACCACAGATTGATCATGGTCAGTCCACCACATCTGTCGAAGGAGCAGCCCTTGGGCACCTTTGTTTTGCATTTTAAGACCCCTGCTCTCAGCTTCAAATGATTGACTAAGCCTGGGGGCTCATCCACGGGATGGCCAGGGTCCACAAACATGGCCTCCATGTGAAAAGTACTAGGTAACAGCCATTATGGTTACTTCTGGCTATTTCTCTAAGCCTGTTCTGTACATTGGCTCAATGTCTCAGCATTTGAAACTCCTGGGGAATGATGTCTTCCAGGAATCACATCACTTCTCACAAGCCTTCATCATCAACCATCACTCCTTTTCCATCCTTGGAATGTGTCTGCCATAAATTCAGTCTCACCCAAGAGCTTCCTAAGAAACCACACAGTTTCCTCAGGAACCAGCCTGTTGCCTTATCTTCCCCTGGGTTGGTGTGCAGCCACACTGCCAGAAACAGGGGCCTGCAGTTTTCCCAGTTCTCTGAGATCCCCGTCTCAGGCCATGGAACCCTGCTCCCGTGTCCTCTGAGCTTCAAAAGTTCAGGCTGCATCCTTCCCAGACCTCACAAACAGAGCTGGCAAGGCACTTCCTCCCAAGTTCTCATCATGCCCCTTCACCAGCCGCCTTCTTGGCCAGAATTAGATCCTAAGTAGCTCTTTTGGTCACATTCTCTTTGTGCTGGGAGCTGGGCTGTGATCAGGTGAGTCAAGAATTGATCAGAGGCTCTGTGCTGGGCTGAGTATACTCGTAGCTGATGTCTGGTGGCCCGAGATCCTCCACCACCTGCCTCTGTGTTAGCCTGTGGTCAGCACCATCCACTTCTTCCACGTCAGGCCAAGGTCAGAGAGAGCACCTTCATGGACCAGATCCAAAGTGTCCAAGGCCCTGCTTCCAGGATCTTACGGAAAAAGGCTCCTGACAACAAGTGGGAAGAGATGGCCTGTGTTGCCGCAGGCAAGTCTGTCTAAGCCTTGATTTCTTCACCCATAAAATCACACCTAGCTAATCACGCCTAATCCACCAGGCTGGAGGCTGAAATGAGATGACGCACATTGAACACAAGGCTTATGGGTAGCAGCTCATTCTAAGACTCTTACTCCCTCTGGGACCACTTGGTGAGCTGAGCAATGGACAGACCTTCCCTGTTGGCCCACTCTGGTCAGGACAAATGGCATTCCCAAGACCTGGATTCTCAGTGCCAAAACCGGGACAAGCCAAGACACGCGGGGCAGCTGACCTGCAGGTCCTAACCAGAGGACAGGGCTACTCAAAGAGACTTGACTCCATGTCATCCTAAGCTGAGAAGGAGGTGGGAGAAGAGGTGAAGACCAAAAAGATGTGAGAAAAAAGTTGGATCTTCACACAGACAGGTGTGTCTGTGGCCTCTACCTGTCAGCTTCCCCACCGGGCGCTTTCCTCATTCCTGGTGGGGAACAGCGGTGTCTCTGTCTGTAGCTCCCATTCTGCTAGAACTTGGTCACGTGTGGAGGGATAAGAATGAGCTTCCAGGGGCTGTCCAGCTCTCCCCAGCTCCGCATATCCAAGGATGTTGGGCTGGCGCCTCCCTGTAGGACAGTGGCTCTCAATCGGGGATGATTCCATCTCCCCAAGGATATTTGGCCATGACGGAAGACATTTTTGGTTATCACAGTTGTGGGGGAGGGTGCTACTGGCCAGGGATGCTGCGAAGCATTCTACAATGCACAAGATAGCCCCCACAACAAAGAATTATACCTGGCCCCAAATGCCAAGAGTGCTGAGGCTGAGAAGGCTGGTTCTAGGGACAGCCAGAAGAAGCCAATTCCATGTAGGGAATTGGGACCCCAAGGGTTCAGGGAGCCCATCCCTCTATCTCTAGGAGCTCCACCTCCAAGGACTTACAGATTGGGCCTCCACCCAACCAAGTCACAACCAAAAGTAGACAAATGTCAGCGGCAGGCCCTGGAAGCAGGAGACAGAGGGTAGGGGCAGGCACTTTGGGCGTGAGGCTGGCAAGGAGCAAGGTTTATGGCGCGTTCTGTTCAGAGTTTTAATTACGTGTCTCAAATCAGGATTTAATTGGGCTGTAACAAGCCAGGCTATTGTATGCAAGAGAAACACCTGGGGATTATTAGAAAACATTTTTAAGGCAGTAAAGCTGCAGCAAACACTCGCAGTTGTTAAATCAAGAAATATAATTCCAGAGCTCAATGACAAACACAGAGAGAGGGAGCTGGCCCCCCTATACTCCATGGCACTGGGCAGGGGGGCACGCGAGCTCTAGAGAGATGGACCCAGGTGGGTCAGGTTGCAACCACATCTGGAGCGGTGGAGGTGCCCCCAGGCAGAGGGACTCAGTCCAAAGCTGTTGCCAGCTTCTGGGGAAAGTGAGGGTGGCCAGGCCCACCTTGGGAGGGGCCGGGGGTGACCACACTCAGTCTGAGGAGTGCCGTGGTGGTCAGGCCCAGTCTGAGTCCTAAGAGGGACCAGGAATGACCAGGCTTAAAGCTGAGTGGTGCCCAGGGTGGTCAAGCCTAGCCCACATCCTGGAAAGGACCAAGGGTGACCAGATACAGCCTGGGAGGGTTTGGAGCTGACCAATCCAGTCTAGGAGGAGCCAGAAGTGGCCATACCAGGCCTAGGGAGAGCTAGAGGTGACCAGGCCCATTTTCCTGGCCATCTCTATCTCTCCCTCAACTAGAATTTAAGCCCTATTAATCCAGGGTCCAGGGTCTGCTTTATTTCCTGCTGTGACTTCAGAGCATAGAACAATGCCTGGCACATAGCAGCAGGCATAGCTGACTGACTGACTGACTGAATGAATGAATGGGAGGGGGCAGTGTTGTCCAGGCTCATCTTATAGGGGCCAAATTTGGGCCTCTAGTCCAAGTCTCTGACTGGAAGACACTGGGACACCAGCAAAACAGGTAGACATTAATCTGATCCATATTTGGGGACAGAAGGCCCTGGCTAAAATGCAGCTGCCTTCTACTAGTGAAGAGGCCTAGCACCCCAACATCAGTGGCTCTTCCCGTCAGGTTAAAATAGGAATCTTCCCTGACCGTGTCCTACTGCTGGACTCCCCAACACCCTGTCTCATGTCTGTTAGGGCCTGACCATAGGGCTTGTAACTTAGCATTGCCTTCCCAGTAAGACTGTGGACTCCACAAGAGACAGCCCATGTCTAGTTGACTCTGTATCTCTAGCATCAGCCAAGGGTATAGACACAGAAGATGCTTAATGAATGTCTGCTGGAGAGGTTGATGCATGAACGGGTTATTGACACGCATATGACAGCAGCGTCTTCTTCACTGTGGTCATCACTGATCGGACTCCCCATGTGCCAAGCACTGTGTTCAGCACATCATCTCACCTGAGCCTCCCGATGGGTTTGTGCCATGGGGTTATCATCTCCATTTTATAGAAGAGGAACTTCTACAAAAGCTCAGAGAAGCCCCCTTTACTTCACTCTGTTGCTCTTCCCAGGGTCCCATAGTGTCAAAGGGAGACCCTCTCCAGTGACAGTTTGAATTTCAGTTTGAGGCAGTAAGGAGGAGCATAGCAAGCCTCCAGGTCCCCAGAACCACTGAAGGGCCCCTCCAAGTGGCTAAAGCCCAAGGGGCTTCTGAGGCTCCTGCCACAGTGATTGAATGTCCATCTAGCAGGGTTTGCAGCTCCCATAAGAGCCTCTCTAACCTCTGCCCTACCCTACTCTGCAGAACTTTGGAAGTGTGTGTGTGTGTGTGTGTGTGTGTGTATGTGTGTGTGTGTTGGGGGTGGGGAGGGAAGGAGCAGGGATGGGCCCCCCAACCATGAACAGACCTGGGAGGGTGGCTCAGGGGAACAGATGGGGCATGGAGTAGAGTGGAAGGTTCAAGTGCCCAACGTTGGAGCTCAAGTACATAAAGTAGAGGGTGGGGTGAGTCAGTTACACATGGAGGGAACCCCAGGAATCAGGGAGGGATGTTCAGGAGCACAGAGTTGGGGGTCTGAGGGGCATGGTCTGGGAAAGGTGCCCAGGTGCACCGAGGTGGGAGAGGAAGCTGCAGGGGCAGGTAGAGGAGCAGAGAATCCCTGTCCGAGAGCAGATGCTGCTTTCTCAAAAAGAAGTGAACTGCAAGTCGGGAGCCGGGTTGGGGAGCCAGGTGAGCACCAGGGCAGGTAGACAGCACAGGACACAGCATCTGACCTTCCCACTTGCCTCCTGAAAAGGTCCTTTCTGGAAAGGACCCTGAGGTCCTAATTCCATCTCCCCTACTCACCACCCACAGAGGCCTGAGGCAGCTGGAAAGGGGCCTTAAGGTAATGATCATTTTAATCTGCCCCACCTCAGCCAAGATCCTTCAGCCCCCTCCCCTAGAAGCATTGATCTATCACAGGTCCAACACAGGGCCTCTCAGGGAACACTGAGCCCGCTCCTACAGAAAGCACCTGCAGGGCAGGCACCAATCACAGTGCCCCTTGTGGGGGTGACATATCCCAGCTGTTTCAGGTCTTTGCTTAAACAGTCTTCTCAATGAGGCCCTGGCAATCCTGACCCCATCTTCTATTTCTTATCCCTGCTTACTTTGTCCCCTTAGAACTTACCATTACTAAATTGGCTGGGCATGGTGGTGGGCACCTGTAATCCCAGCTACTTGGGAGGCTGAGGCAGGAGAATCGCTTGAACCTGGGAGGCAGAGGTTGTAGTGAGCCGAGATCACACCATTGCACTCCAGCCTGGGTGACAGAGCGAGACTCCGTCTCAGAAAAAAAAAGAGAACTTAATATTACTGAGCACACTCCACATTTTACTTTAATTATCATGCTTCTGGTGAATGTCCCCATAGGATGCAGGCTCTCTGAGGCCCAGGAGTTTTGCTCTTTTGCTTTCTGTTCCCTCCCTAATGCCTGGAAAGTACTGGTTCACAGGAAGCACTCAAGAAATAGTTGTTGAATGGATGACCTTCAGAAGTCCACTGTCTCATTTCAGCCCTCCTACGGTTAAGGTTGACAAGACAGGTGTTATTTTTATTACCTTCATCACATACATGAGTGAATAATAATTACAGTAATAATGGCTACTTTTATTGAGCATTTACTATGTGCCATGTCCTGTGAAAAATGTTTCATGTATAACCTCTAATTAATTCAGTCTTTACAACAATTATATGGGGTAAGTGCTATTAACCCAATTTGACAGAGGGGGAAAATGAAGTTCAGAGAGGAAAATGAAGTTGAGAGAGGAAAATGAAGTTGAGAGAGGAAAATGAAGTTCAGAGAGGTAAAATAACTTGCCCAAGGTCACACAGCCACTTGCCAGGCACCAGGCTGAGTACTTTATGTGGACAATTATATCATTCAATGCCTACAACTATTTTACAAGGCAATAAACTCTATTTTACAGAAAAGGAAACTGAGGTCCAGGGAGTTGCAGTGACTTGTTAAAAGTCACACAGCTGGCAGGGTGCAGAACCAATATTCAACTCCATGGCTGTCTGAATCCAAATTCAGTCTCCTTTCCCTTAGGCAGTAAGCATCCCATCAGAAAGGGCATTCAGAGGGACTGGAAATCACAGTGGGAGAAAAGGTGAGCTTTGAAAACAGCAGCGCAGATCCAAATTCCTTTCTCAGGTCAGAAAGCCCAAGGGAGTCTTTCATCTCCAAGATCCACATTCAACAAATATCCACTGGCAAATACCGAAGCATTGCACTGGGCACCTGATTCCACTTAATCCTCTGCCAGGAAGGTGGTCAGTGGTACCTGGCTACAGAGGTTAGGATGTAAAAGGTATAAGATTTAAGCAGTCCCTGCTTCAGTTCCCGTCAATAACTGTCCAGAGAGATTCCTGGGATTATCAACCAGCAATTTTCATTCAGAACTTAAAGAATCAAATGCCTTTAGATGCTGCAAATGTGTGCTCCATGTCCCCATCCTCACTGTCCATAGCACTCAGAAAGACGAGCTCCCATGAGCCAATGGCTTCTTTTCATTGTCACAAAGCAGGAATGGCTGTGATAGACAAGTGGTCCTTCATCTGCCTATTGTCAGAAAGAATAGTCTGAGATCAATTGTTCTAAAGCAAAAATCAATTGTATTTGGCAGTTGTCCTCTCAAATTTAACAAGTTTATATTCAATAACTCCATACATTAGGGAACTTAACTTAGTTACTTCCAGGATGTTCTGCAGCCAATTCCCCTGGCAGGAAACTACACTGTACCAGTCCTGGCCTTCCCCAGGTGCACGATGGAATTTCTCCCTGCTCATGGTGGGGACCTGGAATGTCTGGTAAGGAAATCTTCCAGGCTAGAATCATCACACCAAGCAGAGGCCTGGCCATTTGCTCATTTGTGGGAATAGACTGAGTTACTGTCTTAAAGAAAAAAAAAACGTGGATCCTCCTCCTTGCCAAAGTGAGAAAACCAGATCCTTGAGAGGTTCCTCAATTTCCTCAAAAGAAAACTCTTAGTTTGGATTTTCCCAGAGGCAAAACCTGAGATAAAGATTGAAGTGGAGGTAGTTTATTTGGGAGGTGATCTCAGGATACACAGGTAGGGGAGAAGGAAATGAGAAAGGTGAAGGACGGCTGTGCATAACAGGTGTGTTGTCAAGCAAATTACCACTGTGGGTGACCGGAGCTCAGTCTTACCACTGGGGACCTCTAGGAGACAATGTGGAACTGCCTCAGAGGCCTCACAACTAGGGAGAGAGGAAGCTGGGGTTGTGATACACTAAGTCCATCTGTCATTGGATGAGGCACCAACTCTGCCCCTTCCAGCAGGATGTTCCTGAAGCCAGAAAAATGCTCTCAGAGAGCAACAAGCATCCAAAGGGGAGTGTACCCAGCCTCAGGACTGCAAAAGACAATCCCCTGCAGAAGAGAAAGAAAGTACTAGCTTCTGCCAATGTTGATTTGAATCTCATCCCTTTCAATTACTTATTTTGGGGTATGATTTACAAAATACATAGTAGATTAAGCTAGTTGCATATAACAAAGAAAAAATTAGATTTACTGGGGGCATACTAAACCTTGTTACTGGTTGGGCATATAGTCAAAGAAGCCTGATGATGGCTGCTCTAAATTAAATGAGAGTTTCCTCCAACCCAACAACCAGCTGAGTCAGACCTTGCTGGGGATGGCTGCCTTAACCACCTACTGCCCAATATGAAGTAAAGGTGCGATGGAGAGAAAAACAGCATTTCGGAGAGTGGGTTGAGAAGCAGGCCAGCCACCACTTTCTCTAGATAGTCTAGGATTTATCCTTGGATCAAGCTGTGCACTTGAACTGCATCCTCGGCTCCTTGCGTAGTTTCACTCCCTAAACTGTGTTTCATCATCATGTCTTCAGGTGACATGGAGAAACAGACAGTACCAGACATGGTTTATGAAATCTGCTAGCCACTGGTTAGAAAGATGTTGCATTTATTTTCTTTCTTTCTTTTTTTTTTTTTTTTTTGAGATTTTGAGCCAGAGACTTACTCTGTCACCCAGGCTGGAGTGCAGGGACACAATCTTGGCTCACTGCAACCTCTGCCTCCCGGGTTCAAGTAAGTGTGTGCCACCATGCCCAGCTAATGTTGGTATTTTTAGTAGAGATGAGATTTTGCCATGTTGCCCAGGCTGGTCTCAAACTCCTGGCCTCAAGTGATCCACCCGCCTTGGCCTCCTAAAGTGCTAGGATTACAGGTGTGAGCCACTGCACGGCCAATGTTGCATTTCTTACAGCCTTTCACATAAAGCTCCAGATAAGAAAACATATTTTAAAATAAAGGGTTAATAAAAGCTGTTGTTTTTTTTTTTTTTTTTGTCCCAGAGGTACTAGGGTGACTTTTTCCCCATAGGAAAGATACAGTTTCCCTTTTCCCTTTGGCCACCAGGGAGCGTAGAGTCAAATGTTTGGCCCGATTATAGCAACTATTGGACATCATGACTTAACTATAGCATTTTAGTTTTGCTGCTAAGAAATATAAACTTTCTAGTTTATATTTTTCCTAGTATTAAATTATTTGAATGAAAAGTGAGCTATCATATTAAATGTAATTCATGTAAACAACTTTAAATCATTTTTGTGAAATGAAATGGAATAGTTACTATTTCATTCATTAAAAATTAAGCCCAGCCAATGGCCCAAATTATACTTTCAGACACTACTATGAAACATTATCAATGCCCTCCCAGGTCAATCCCATATTTCAGCTCAGTTGGCCTTGGACATGCATATCTTTCTTCAGCCTCCATGGTATCAGCCTCAAAAAGTGAAGATGTCTGAGCTTCTGGATCCGGAGGTGGTGGGGGTCTGTCTGGCCAAGTAGCTCCCAGCCTCTCCTTCCTGCCCCTGGCCCAAATGGCACTGCCACTCACTTTGTTTTCATCTGTACCCTTAAGTCAGCTTCTGGCTTTTCTGAGCACTGGCTACAAACCCATGTCTCTCCCCAAACTCATCTTGACCTCTCCTTAACTTGTCTTGCAACTTTTCCTTTGGTCCCCAAGACAGCCCCTTGGGTGGGTACTAGAGAGCCAGGCTGTCCTTCCTCTCTGCTGTCTCCATATTTACAAAGTCTGAGTCCAGCTCCATAACCTGCCACCCTGCTGGGCTGAAGGGGCCATCTCCCACCTCCTGTGCCCCCCTCGTCACCCCACAGGCTCCCCAGCTCCCACACTCTTCTGCTGGATGCTGCCCCACTGCAGAAAGAAGGGAGAGGAGGGAGGGGGCTGGGAATGGTTCCTGCCACCTGTTAGGAGCCCCAAAACGAACTTGAGGTAGTGGGGAGGAAGATGAAATACTCGAGGCAGCACTCGGCCCAATCTCTGCCTTGGCACCCCTCTTAGACACACGGACCCCAGAAAACATCAGGGCCTTGTAGACAAAGGAAGCCACCTTCTAAAAAAAACCCCACACATCAGAGGGCAGAAGAAAATGCAACAGGGCAGGAAGTCACATGCTTCTGTTTCGATCTAATCCCTGCTCCAGAGCCCACCCTCCGAGGGGGCTCGGACAAGCCACAGCACCTTCTCTGAGTCTCAATGTCCTTATCTATAAAGCAGAGATAATAATACCAGCCTATCTCACAGGAGGGTGTATCAAATGGAAAACTGCATAAAAGGGCTTTGAAAAGGATAAAGAATCACACAAAGAGGTAGGGAATTGTTACTGCAATTGTTCCCTCTGAGAGCTAAGTGACCCCAGAAGAACCAGGGAGAAATTGAGCTTCGGGTTGTGGAGGGCAGTGGGGGTCTGGGGTCTGATCAGCAGACTCCCAGCCCCCACTTTCCTGCCCCTTGCCCAAACGGAATCACCACTCACTTGGTTTTCATTTGTGCTCTTGAATCAACAGGCTTTAAGTCTTCACAGCAGGTCTTACGGGGACCATGGCAGGGAGGGACATCAGGTCCCTCCCCAAGCTTCATGCCTGGCATGCTATGGTCATAGCTGAACTCTGTGTTTGCGTATGTGTGTCCTCAAAAGCTGTCCAATGGAAGAGATGGCACATGTGTGACTTAGGCAGGGTGACAACAATGGGGACAGCGATTAACTGCAGTGCCTGCAGCCCACACTGAAAATACACCTGTTATGTGTAACTTGACTTCCTCATCCCTCTTCCCACTCTTGAGACCGCTGTGTTCCCACCTGCAGGCCCAGCCAAGAAAAAAGGGACTTGACCAGCCCGGCCCAGCACTGCAGGAAGTCAGCACCATCAACGGCCCCAGTTGGCCAGCTGGAGCCCTAACTAGGCCCCTGGGTGTGATGCAGGGTTCCTGCCTTGTTTCCTGGGCTTAAGTGCCTGTCTCAGACACCTATCTAACAGCCTCTTCCCTCTAAAGACAGTTTCTCTAATGAGAGAACCCTCAATTCTATTTTCACCTGCTGAACTTAACCTACTCCTGCGACTCCCACTCTGGGCTCTGTTACTTTCTGGCCATTGTATGCCCCATGCTTTGCCTCCCTGATGGCCCTGCTTGCCTGGGTCCCCACCTGATGCCAGATGCCAGCCTCTTTGGACATCATAATCTGTCTGAAAGGACCAGGCCCCATACCTTACCTGTGGCTGCATCTCTGTCCCCACCTTGCAGCCCACTAGGGCTGACTCTGGCCTCCTGGGCAGCTCCAGTCCCATGTTTCCCATCACATCCACTGAAAGCCACAGAGGAATGCTGGGCGCTGCTGGGAGGCCAAGGAGGTTAAGGCATGCTTATGTCCTAGATCTCAAGGGGTGTGTAGCCAAGTCCAAAAGCAGACACAATCCCCAGAAAGTCAGAGAACAACAAAGGCACTGGGTCCCTAACAACAGTGCTGGAGTTAGCAGGAGGGATCGCCAGGGGCTGGGCCAGCCAGGGGGAAGTGGGCCAAGCCTTAAAGCACAGAACGATGGTGCACAATAAAGACGGGAGGGCTGGCCTGGCTGCAAGTGGCTGTCAGAGCAAAGACGTGACAGTGGGGAAACTGCAGATCATGGCATCGTTTGTTCACTTGTCAGTCATTCATTTGTTCAGCAAATATTAATTGAGCACCTACAATGTTCTAGTTACTCTTCAAGGCACTGGGCAACCTGGAATAAATAAAGCTGACAAAATCCTCTGTCCCCGTGGAGTTAACTCTCAAGGGGATTTAGGGCTGCTTCTGGGGACACAGAGGTAGATGGGGGCCAGATTGTGGAAGGCCTTGAATGCTGAGAAGGCTGGACTTCATCTTATAGGCAGTGGGGAGCCCTTGAGGGTTTCTCAGGGAGGGTGAGGTGACCTGCAGAGACATACTGGAGACTGTCAGAATCGCTAGCCTGAAAGGGGATAAGGCCCGGAGTTAAGGAGGATGCTGTAGCCACCGGGAGAAGGCGGTGCATTTGAATCTGTGGGAGTGAGATGATACTGACTCAAGGAGGCCTGGTGCTGGGAAGCCTCCTCCTTTTGAAGGCTGTCTGCATCCTTGGGGACTGTGGCTCCCTGGGGTCTCCTGCTAAATGCACAATTTTCAGAGCCATGTATGAATCCTAGACCTTGGAGGGCAGACTCCAGCGGTGTTGACTGGGGCAGAGCTTCTCCTCCTGCCCTCCAGGCCTTAGCCCTCTGGCACCCACAGTGACCTCGATAACGCAACGAGGGAGGAATTCAAAGGCCTGGCAAGGCCTAAATATAGCCAGCAGGCCACGTGCAGAAATGCTCCCCTGATTTTACTAAAGAACAGAGGTTGCCACGTTCCACTGGGGACTGCACTTTGTTTCAAAATCATGCCAGCCAGGCTGAGCCTGATGGGCCCTTGGAGCTTTCTTTAAACACAGAGAAAACATTAAATGATTTTCTGCAAAAGCCTCAGCATGAGAGGAGGAGGCAGCTAATGGGAGGTTTGAGTCAATGCCCCACAGGACTCAGGTGAACTTACTCTTTAAAAATGTAAATCCCTCTGGACAAAGGGCAGTCTCCATGCAAACCAGGCACGTGGGCTAGACATCAGAGCAGGAGCTCTGTTCTGAGTTACCTGCGGGCGCCGCAGAGTGAGGGAGGTGGGGCAATCAAGACCAGCCTGCAATGAACTGTTGGCAGCTATGCGATGGATCCTGGAGGGGCTGGAGCTTGGCTGTGCTCAGCACCTTAGGAGGGGGGTACAATTATTGTCTTCACTTCACAGGTGAGAAAATTGAGGCCTGGGAGGCGTTAAGGAACTTTCCAAAGGCCAGGGAGCAAGCTAGTGGTGCAACCAGGACTGGAACTCAGGTCTGCCTATCACCAGACTCGCTTCCTATGACCCAGATGCTGCTCCATGGCCCGAGTCCAGCAGCCGTCTTCCCTCTGCTGTGCAAGGCTCTTAGATGGGAATGGAGGCAGGGAGTCAGAGGACAGGCCCACATCCCTGCCTTCCTGAGGCCACTCCTAGGGGGCACAGCTAGCAGAGGCTGTAGCCTAGACAAAAGAAAGGGAACACGGCATAGGGCACCACTACATGCAGGCACTGAGCAGATGCTCCCCACATCCTAACTCATTTAGGTCTCCCAATGAGGTGGGTGCTGTTATTACGCCCATTTTGCAGGTGAGGAAACTGAGGCACAGAGAAGAAAAGTAACTTACCCAAGGTCAGGTAGCCAGTAAGTAACAGAGCTGGGAGTCAAACAGAGCTGGGAGTCAGGCTGGCACCTGACTCTTTGCTTCTAACACTGAGTTCAGGTGCTGGAGAGTGGAAGAAGAGGGAAGAGTCCATTCCTTCTGGGAGTGTCTTAGAAAACCTGCTAGAGGAGGTGGGATCCGATCTTGATGGGTGTTGGGAAGGGCCCTCCAGAGAAAGAGGACGAAATGAACAAGGCTCAGGAGAACTGATGCATGGTGGCATTCGGGAGCCACCGGGCCTGGCTGGGGATGGGGTATCAAGCTCCTTGGGAAATTCCAGATGAGGACGCACAAACGCTCCCGCACTATGTGCCTACTATGCGTCAGGCCTTGGGCTAGGCACTTTTGAGGCGTTTTCCCAGCACTATCAGCCACTTACAATTGGTTCAACAATGACTTCTTTACTTCATGGCTGAAGAATGGTGATCCCGCAAAAGCAGTGAAGTGACTTGTCTGAGGATGGTTGAGCACAGTAGAAGCCATAGAAGGGTTATGAGGAGGGCAGTGATGGGACACAGGCTTCACTGTGGAAAACCGAGCAGCAGCAGTGGGAGGTGGAAGTGGGGGCCCTAATGCAGGGAGCATCATGAGCCCAGAAGCCACCGCCTGTGCTGAGGGCTCGAGTGCTCTTCAGTGCCCTGGATCCTGCATTCCCAGAAGCCCCAGGAGTAGAGTCATTGCTGCAAAGGTGAACGTGCCCAGCACAAACCTCCAAGAGAAACACCTTGTGTCTCACCTCCACCTCTTCTTCTCTGACCACCACATATGTCCCCTCCCAGCACGCGGAGGGGCCTGGTTGAGAGGCTTTGCCTGCCACTGCCAAGTGGACTTACGGGGTCTCGCAGGAAAAGCAGAGGCTGGGGTAGAAAGGAAGAGCCAGACTTGGGGCTCAGAGGGCTCTAGGTGCAAAGGCTGGCTCTACCCTTACCGAGCGGGGTTCCCCTGGGCAAGTTTCTTCATCTGCTGAGCCTCAGCATCCTCATCTATAAAATGGGAGCAAGAAGCCTCCTTCCATTGGGTTTGTGTGAGGACTGAAATGATTGCATAAAGAAATCGCCCAGGACAGTGCCTTCACAAGCTGCAGATGGAGAGCGAACAAACGCCATGTGGGCACAGGGGCATTCACTGTAAAAGTCTTTCAACTTTACTGTGTGTTCAAAATCTTTCATAATTAAATGATGGAGAAAAAATAAATACCACATTTTCCCTCCCTGACATTGGCCCAGACAAAGCAATCTACTTTGCCACATCTTCCTGGCTGTTCCACATGAAGAGACGGGGACACAGGAGGGTGGGCAGGTCACAGGGAGGGCCTGGGCAGTGCCAGGCCAGTGTCCTGTCTCCCTGGAGAGCTCCATGCACTCACCACCCCTGCTCCCAGACAGGGATGGCCCCGCTTGCCTGATGTGGTCTGAGCTCCACTGCCTCCAGGACAGCGAGGTCAGAAAATTCTGACATACTGATTTCTGAGAAATGCCAGGGAGATGAATGGTAGCCAATATCTTGCCCTGAGTCAGGAGAGAATTAAGTCATTATCATAGAATTACAACAATGGAATAATTCCAGCCCATCTCCCTGATTCTTTTCTTGCTAAAAAGGAAGAGGCAGCTGTGATATCGTTAAGACCACGGACTCTGAAGCCAGACTGTCCGCAGTCAAATCCAATCTCCACCATTTACTTGCTGTGTGACCTTGAGAAAGCTACTTACCCCTCTGAGCCTCAATTTCCTCATCTGTAAAATGGAGATGTAATAATAATAATAATAATAATAATAATAATATCAACCTCGAACTGTTGTTGTGAGAATTAACTAGTTAGTGCATGTGAAATGCCTGACAGATGGTGAGCACTCAGGAAATGTTAAGCTACTTTATTTGGCTTGATTAAGGAAGAAAATTTCCAAGGACTTAATTTCAGAATGAGTGGGAACAAGGTGAGGATTATGGTATGATGTAGGACTTGTGATTTTTCTCTTCTGATGATCTCAAGAGGAAGAGGAAACTGAGGCCTGGGCAAGCTCAGTGACTCAAAGAGAAGGGGCAGGTCAAGGCCAGGCCAGAGCCTGGGCCCCCTCACACCCCCAGCCCCAGATTCTCTGTGGAGCTAGGCTCTGGCAGCCTCTCCAGGCTCAACTCCCAGGGAGCTCGCCGAAGCGAAGTCTGCATATAAATCGCCTTAGAGGAAAAATACTTCTTCATTTTCTCCCTTTTCATTTAAAAAAAGAATCCACAGCACTGGGGCTGAAACGGCAGTGTGTATGGCTGGAGGGGTGTGTGTGTATGTGTGTGTGTGGTCCATTCGTGGGGAGCCCATGTTACCAGAGTTCAGGGAAATGTCAGACTCTTGGAGAAGGAGATTTTAATTAGGCTAGAGTTGCCTCCAAAAAGTACTAAAATTAAATATGAATCCATAATGCATCGCATCATAGCTAATGGTATGCAAATGGGGCTGGGCTGGGCTGGACTGAAGTAGGGACTTGGGCAATCGTGGTAATGAGGAAAAATGGCCCCTGGCTGACAGCGACAGTCCTGAGGATGCTGTGGGAGGAAGCAGGGGTGGGGACTGTTGGGGGGAGCTTGGAGGGGGTGGCCTATGCCCTGTTAATGGGAGAAGAGGAGGCAAGTACTGGGCCAGCTGAGCAGGGGAGGCCTCGGCACCAACACAGACACCTAGAAAGAGGGGGGAGCAGAGTCTTCAGAGAGGCCAGCTCTGCTGTATTTACCGACATCTTTGGGGGTGGCTGGGTTTCCAAGCACGGGGCACTTGGAACAGGAGGGCAACTGTAGTGCAGGAGAAAAAGATCCACAGATGTGAATTTGAGTTGTGCTTCTCTTCTAGCCAGCTGTGTGACCTTGGACACGTCACCCAAGCCGGGCCACTCCTTGCTCAGCTGCAAATTAAGAAAGACAAACTCAAGGCTTCAATCTCCCAGAGTTGCCTGAGGCTCAGAATGAGTTGTAAATATGTTAAGAGCCATAGAAATGGATACTTATTCTTTTTACTTTTTACATTTATTCTTGAGAAAAATAAATAAGAGGTAATGTCTACTGAGTGCTTTCTGTTCACCAGGCCTCTTATCCCACAAGATCCTTTCTACAATCCTGGGGAAACCAAGGCACAGTCAGGAAGTGGTGGAGCCGGGATTCAAATCCAGTGATTTTGATTCGTGAACCTACTCTGGTAACAGCTGTGCTACAATGATGCTCCTGGAGTGAAGGGGGTGCTATTCATAATTACACAAGGCAACAGACAGAGCCAGGATTACCCCAGCAGTCTCCAGTGTGCAGTGTCCGGCTGTAATGCTTGTAGAAAGCACCCAGGAGTTGCCCAACCTTCCCGTCTGTGTGCGCTCCAGCGAGTCACTGCGCCATCGCAGGTGTCAGTTTTCTCACCTGTACCACTTTTTTTTTTTTTTTTTTTTTTTTTGAGATGGAGTCTCGCTCTGTCACCCAGGCCGGACTGCGGACTGCAGTGGCGCAATCTCGGCTCACTGCAAGCTCCGCTTCCCGGGTTCACGCCATTCTCCTGCCTCAGCCTCCCGAGTAGCTGGGACTACAGGCGCCCACCACCGCGCCCGGCTAATTTTTTGTATTTTTAGTAGAGACGGGGTTTCACCTTGTTAGCCAGGATGATCTCGATCTCCTGACCTCATGATCCACCCGCCTCCGCCTCCCAAAGTGCTGGGATTACAGGCGTGAGCCACCACGCCCGGCCTACCTGTACCACTTTTGTCCCGCCAGTCCAAGTGTCTTCCATGTGCTTTCCAACTCCAGAGCACTATGATTGCACCAGGAAGTCCAGCACTATGGAAAAATGCTCCGAGCTGGAGTCAGGGTGGCCACGTTTAAATCTCTGCTCTGAAATCCTGGGTAAGATGCTAGACCTAAAGAAGTCTCAGTTTTCCCATCTGTAAAATGGGGAGACTAACGGTTCTTGTCTTGTAACATTGTTGTGACAGTGAAATGAGATGATGATGATACTAGCTTACAAGCCCTGAGCTCTATGTAGCAGACACTGCTCTGAACACTTCACACTATTAGTTAATTTTGCCCTCAGCAGCGAAAGGCAGCTAACATGAGCCAGCACACAGTGCTTCCCATAGTCACTCAGTTCATCTCTTCCACAACCCTATGGGGTAAATGCTTTTCTAGTCATTTTACAGGTGGAGAAACTCAAGCACAGAGAGGTTAAGAACTCGCCTGAAGTCAGGAGTCAGGATTCAAAGATAGGCAGTGGCTTCATCCGAAGCAAGTATGCTCAGCCCAACACCTGCCTTTTATTAGCATGCAGTGGAGGCTGGTGTGAAGTCTAAGGGGGTAAAAGTTAACTTCAAACATTTGCCCTTTGGTAAGGATCCATTAAGATTACATACACATGGTAAACTCCCAGCACAGTAGAAGGGCTCAAAAAATGTACATGAGTGAACAAATGAGTGAATTTCAGGGAAGACCATGGGCCTGTTATGACTCCTAGCTCTTCCATGCAGAGACGCATTTCTCCCAGCAAGGCTACGAATGATGGGTCTTGCAGGCACAAGGAGGATGCCAAGCAACAGTGATGCCAGGGCTTCCAGAGTGCCCTGGAAAGCAAACCTTTTTGGGGGGACGTGGGCAGATGGATTAACTCCACCTCCCATGCACCACCTCCCCCATGCCTTGGGCCAGAATAATCTCTGTCTATGGCCCCAGAGATCTCCAAGTCCTGTCTGGGCAGGTGCTGGCCGAGGCAGCAACACCTGGGAGTGATACACAGAGGAGAAAAATGGGACAGGAAATGGCACCAAGGTTTTTGAAATGGAAAAAGTGTAAAAGTCCTTCCTTTGTGTGGGAACGAGTGCCAGGGGGCCATTGCCTATTGAGTTTTCATCAAAGTAATTTATTGATCAATACAGCTAACATGGCTAGTTCAGCGATTTTGTAAAAAATAACCATGTGTTGGATGCGAGAAGCACTTTGCTGGATTGCGACAAGCAGGGCCAGGCAGGATCACTGTATTTTATGGCCTTCTGGGAACTGGGCCCTGGCAGCTAAGTCTCTGTGGCTTTATCTTCATGACACCAAAACATTTGGCTGAAGAGGAAAAAAGATGGGCCAATCTTCCAGATGTTTTGTCTACCTGGCAGCAAATATCAAGACGTTTCCTGTGCAAGGTCACAATTGCAAACCACGAGGCCAGGAAGAGGGTTACATGTTAAGAAACGTGCTGGCCCAGAGTCAGAAGGCCAGAGTGGAAGGGAGTTTTACATTTACTAAGCACCTACTGTTTACCAGGCCCTGAGCTAAGCATTTTGACACCACATTTCTCTGTGTTTTCAGATGAGAAAAACGAGGTGGGTACTGTGTTCCCAAGGTGACAGAGCAACTAAACGCTAAAGGAATGATTCACCTCCAGATGTGACTTCAAGACTTTCCTAACGCAGCTTTTACTAGTTTGACCTGGAATAAGCGATGTGACCTTGCTGAGCCTCAGTTTCTTCATGTGCAAACTGGGGCTCCTCAGTCCTGCTCTGCCTACCCTGCTCACTGTTGGGAGGATCAAACAAGACACTCATATGAACACACTTGGCAAGTCAAAGAGAATTCCACTACTGCAGACGGTGGTTTCTCTTCCTGGGATACCCCAAAGCACCTAGCCTGGCCCCTGTATTAGTCTGTTTTCACACTGCTGATAAACACATACCCGAGACTGGGTAATTTATAAAGAAAAAGGTTTAATGGACACACAGTTCCACATGGCTGGGGAGGCCTCACAATCATGGCAGAAGGTAAAAGGCACGTCTTACATGGTGACAGGCAAGAGAGAATGAGAGCCAAGCAAAAGGGGAAACCCCTTATAAAACCATCAGATCTCGTGAGACGTATTTACTACCAAGAGAACAGTATGGGGGAAACTGCTCTCATGATTCAATTATCTCCCATTGGTTCCCTCCCACAACATGTAGGAATTATGGGAGCTACAAGATGAGATCTGGGTGGGGACACAGCCAAACCATATCAGCCCCAGACACAAATATGTGTTAAATAATTCAGCAGTGGATTGAGCCAGACAGCCCGGCATCTTGTCCTCCAAACATCTGGGTGCTTGGATGAGTGTGTGTATGCCCTTCCTTCAGATGCCTGGGCTACTCCTCTGGCATGCACTTCATGGAAGGAGCCAACCAGAACTTTTGCCACTAAACTTCCCACTTGTCTTCAGAATAAGTAGGCTCCCTTAGGGCTCTACAGTTCCCTCACCTGGATTGAGGACTGGCCAAAAGACCCTGGGAGAGAAGGCCCCTCCGCTGCCGAGAGCTCTGCTTCTTAGCCGTGCAATGCTGGATCCTCCATTGCTGTATCAAGCACATGTTTGGACCAGGCTTTGGTGAGGTCCCTAGCTGGAAGGGGTGTCACTCACCAAGAGCAGCTCCAGGGAAGAATGCAGAGGAGGGAGAATGAGGCTGAGCCCTGAAGCCTGAAAGGGCCAAATATATCAAGGGTCTACAGTGTGAGGCTGGCCTGTGCCTCAGACCAGAACCTGGGCCAGCTGGGGAAAGCCCCAAGACAAAGTTGGAGCAGGGCTTTGGAAATCCACCTCATCACATGCCCACCCTCATCGAATGCCTTGCCCCAGCCCCTTGCACCCCAAGCCCTAGCCACATGGGCCTTCTTTCTGTTCTTTGACCTTGCCAAGCTCTTCCCACCTCAAGGCCTCATACGCTCTGTTCCCTCTGCCTGGAGTGCTCCTGCATTCTTCACAAGGCAGGCTTCTCTCATTATTCAGGCCTTAGCCACCTCTCCAGAGAGGCCCTTCCTACTCCCAAACCATAGCATGGCCTTCCAATTGTTTCCATGCATAACATCTGCTGTAATTAAGAACTATGCATTATTTGTTAATTGTTTGTTGCCCTAAGTAGAGTAGATGAGGTCCCATGAAAATGGAAATCTCACCTCTTTGATCATCAATCTATATTCAGCACCTAGGAATGTGCCTGGCACATAGTAGGTGCTCAACCAACATTTATTGAAGGAAAGAAAGAAGAGAGGAGGAAAGAAAGGAGGAAGGGAGGGATAGGGAGGGGGAAAGAAGCCAGGCAAGCTGAACCGCAGACCAGCTTCTGAGAGCCAGCAAAGACAGATGTATTCCATCTATAGAGTTCCTTTTCTGGCAGATTCTTGGACATCTTTTCATACCTGAATGGAGTAATGAGGTCTTATCATGTGTGCCCCATCTGGTTTCTCCAGGAAAACTCCACCAGGTAACCTGTTGAGCCCCACTCTGTGCCAGGCAGGCACAATCTTAAGCATTTTATGGTACTTATCCAATAGAAGATAAACCACACCCAGTGGCCTTTGCTGGGAAGCTAGAGATAAGCAGAGGCCAGAAACACAGGTTGGGGTTAGAGAACAGTTATCCCAATTGGGCTCCTAGGACATTCACACCTGCCATTTTGACCGTGAGGATGCTTTGACTCCACTGGGCATTTGAGGACTTGGTCATCCCAGTAACAGAACCCATTTAGCCATTTAGCCTCTTTTCTTATCTTTTCTTTTCTTTTCTTTTCTTTTCTTTTCTCATCTATTCTCTTCTCTCTCTCTATCTCTGTTTCTCTCTCTCTCTCTCTGTTTTTGTCTCTCTCTCTCTCTCTCTCTCTCTCTCTGTATCTCTGTCTCAATCACTGGCTCTCACTTTCTGACTCATTCTTCATCTCTCAATAAGAATTCCCTACATTGGTTCATTCAGGGGTTAAAATAGCAGGGTCAGAATATCCTGGTCCCATCTCTGCATCAAGAGATTCTGAAGCCTAGGAAACTTCTGCCCAGATTCTATCTGGTTGGTGCAATGGGGAAAGATATTTCTGTCCACCTTGGGTAGGAGAGAAAGGAAAAGCCACATCTCCCTGGAGATGATGTGCTAAAGCAGAGACCCCAAGGGGCA
This sequence comes from Homo sapiens, assembly GCF_000001405.40. NCBI lineage: Eukaryota > Metazoa > Chordata > Mammalia > Primates > Hominidae > Homo > Homo sapiens. The sequence goes on from NC_000001.11 coordinate 37,015,241, forward strand.
GACAGCAAAGGGAGCCTGTGGGGATAACTCACACACCCAAAGTAAACCCCAGCAGGTGGGAAAGCAAAGCCAGCCCCAAATGTCAAGAAAGTAAGAGCCCTTATTTTATCCAGAACTTAATCCACTTGCCTAGAAAGCCGGAGGTTCCGCAAAGAAAACATCTCCCAAATTAATCTGAAGCTTCCCACTGCCACCTGGCTCCAAAGGGCTGGCAGAATAATAAAATCTCAGGATTTGAGCAAGGTGGGATTTACAGACACTGTTCTGGGCTGGGGAGCCAGTGCTTTGTTCATTACTAAATCTCCCTTCTGCAGCCACCTCCTGACAATGTCCACAGGGGACTCTTGACACCAAAGAGCCCACACTCTTGCCACAGGGGCCCCCAGGTCCATAGCCTAGCCAGGGAGAGGGTGCCAAGCACCCTGTTCCTGTCTAGGGTGGGCAGGTCAGCCTCTCCCCATTTCCCCCAACTCCGGCTCCAGCAGAAGGTGGCAGCTTTGGAAAGCCTCCCACGTTGCAGTCCAGGAGGGGAATGCGAAGGGGCTTGTGTCTGTGTGGTTTGTTATCCAGGCCCAATTAGTTGCTGGGTCTGTGTTGGAGAGATGGGCCTGCGGCCACTGCGAGGACTACAGGGAGCGAACAAGGACAGAGGTTGTTAAAATGCTCCTGCCAAGATCTGGTGCCTGCACCATGTCCACACACCTCAAAGACATGGTAATGCAAAACGGAGCCACAGCAGATTTCCTGCCCAGCACATGTTAACTGAACTCTGGGTAATGCCACCCAAGAGACACACAGCAGCCACTTGTGCCCAGGCAGGCACCAAAGGAAGGAAGGAAGAATCAGGAGTATCCTAAATGTGCCACTGTTCACTTTAAGGTTAGAAGTTTCCCACCTGGCCCCATCCCATCTGTGACTCTGGAATTCAAGTTGACTTGTCTGGCACTTATTAATTGCCAATTGTGGGCATTGCTAGGGGCAGCTGCTAGGAATACACAGGGGATTACAATGGAGTCAGGCAGACAGGAGTTCAAGTCTTAGTGACACCCATCACTTACTCACTCCACTGGGTACCTTCACCTCATTAAGGCTCAGATTCCTTATCTGGAAAGTGGGAATGATTAGACTCACCTTAGGGTTAAATGAGCTCAGAAAAGGGCTCAATAAACAATTGCTGTTATCATCACAATAAACAGGAATGGGACAAGATCCCTCCCTCTGAGTTGCTCTTTGCCCATGTGGTAGGTCAGTGGCTCAATGCCTGCAGGGCCAGCAGAAACCTAGAGTGAAACAGGGCTGGTGAGAGAAACAAATTTGAAAAAATTGGCCCTCCTAGTCTGTCTTTTGTTTACTCCTGAAAATAAAAACATTTTACTTTTCCTTCTTAACTTTACTGAAAGAAAAACAGCAGCAGCAGGACAGTGACTGGCCCTGGAACAGGAAATGACTATAAGGAGGGGTGGGGACTGAGGCATATGTGAATGTGGGAAGAGAAGCTGGAAACCCAAAATTTCATATGAAACGTCCCAATTTTTGAATGTTGGCTGATTCAACTTAAAAAACCAATTAAAATTAAAATGATGAGGGTGTGGAAGGGGTCATAACCCAGAAATAGAGTTTAGAAAGAGAATTTCTTGAATTCCAAGCAAAGAGGTTAGTCTTCAGAAGAGTGAGACATCAAAAGATGTTGAGGGCCAGGCGCGGTGGCTCAAACCTGTAATCCCAGCACTTTGGGAGACCAAGGCAGGTGGATCACCTGAGGTCAGGAGTTTAAGACCAACCTAGCCAACATGGTGAAACTCTGTCTCTAATAAAAGTACAAAAATTAGCTGGGTATGATGGCACACACCTGTAGTCCCAGCTACTTGGGACAGCTGAGGGGGGAGGATCGCTTGAACCTAGAGGTGGGGGTTGCAGTGAGCCGAGATTGCACCACTGCAGTCCAGCCTGGGACACAGAGTGAGACTTTGTCTCAAAAAAAAAAAACGAAAAAAAGAAAGGTGTTGAGCTAGGCTGGGTGTGGTGGCTCACACCTGTAATTCCAGCACTCTGGGAGGCCGAGGCAGGAGGATAACTTGAGCCCAGGAGTTTGAGACCAGCCTGGGCAACATAGTGAGACCCTGTCTCTTAAAAAAAAAAAAAAAAAAAAAAAAAAGAAGAAGAAAAAAAGGTGTTGAGCTGTTTTCTTTAAAAAGATTTCTAAAAACCATAAAAAAGAAGCTTAAGAGTATTCTTCACAACCACTACCAGGCTTGACCTTCCTGGAGTTTGCATAGCCAGGAGCAGGCACTGGCCTTTTCAGGGAGCTCGGAAAACCTGGATTTTTATGGCATCTCTTGCCGCACAGTTGGGCGTGCCTAGAATTTCACAGTGAAAGGAATCCAGGGCCCCTTGATAATACCCCTGGCCAATCTGTGCTTGAGAAGCCGAGGGCAAACCTGAATAGGCTTGTCAAACCTTAGCCAGCTTTGCTTGCTTTTAGCTGTTTTTTTAAAAAGACTCTCTCCAACCTCACTAGAGATAACACCTCTGACGTATGGATCACAATGCTAACGGTTGTCTAAGTTGTTTTTCAGGAATTTAGAGTCTGCTCCTGTCCAGTTCAAACTGAGTGAGACCACTGACCCTTCAACTGGACCTCCACAAATGATGGATGGGTAATGAGTCCTCTTTTGACGTCACAGGGCCAAGAGCTCCACCCTCAGGTCATGCTGATGCTGCCATTTTTTTCAGACTTTGTCCTATGAAGGGCCATGAAGCTTGACTACGCTTGTGCAGAAACTGATTGCCTCACTTCTCCTTACCCCCAATCACCTTTCCCCATGCTTCAGACCACTCTGCTTCTCTATCCCATAAACAACCCTAAACCTCATCTTTGGGAAGGTGGATTTGAAACCTGTTTTCCTGTCTCCTCGCTTGGCTGCCACATGAATAAACCCTTTCTCTGCTGCAAAACTCATCGTCTCAGTGATTGGCATACTGCACGGTGGGCAAAACAGGCCTGGTTCGGTAACACCAGAATCTGGCCCATAATAGGAAGCCCACTAGGTCCCAAGGCATCTTACTGAATCTTTAAAAAGCACTGAATATGGATAGCTGGTATTGAATCAAAATCTGCCTTCTCGGACCATCACTCACTGGCCCCGATTCTACTGGGACCTTTAACACCAGATCTGCTCCTTCTCATACACCGCAACCCTTAGAGATTTACAGATGGCCACTCCCACCTGCATGCCTCCAAATTCTGGTCTCTGAGCACTCTTTCTGGTCCTTTGTCTCTATAAACTGCACAATGGGGACAGAGCTTACTGCACCTTATTTCTCTCTGGCAGAGCAGAGACTAATAAGGAGAAAGCATTAATATTTTTGCTGAAGAGCCCCTGACCCTCCTTAACTGCAGGCCTCAGATCCAGGATCAGGGAGCAAAGTCACTTGTAGAAAAAGCCACCTTTTGCCAGATGAGTCAGGCTCAAAGGCTGTCTGCCCTCACACAGCCCCAGGGGGAGATTGATGCCTGCATTGATGGATCACTCCAATGTATTAGGTAGATAAAGAAATTGATTATTCCATAAATCATTGTCTCCATGAAAAAAAAACTCCAATTTTTTTAAAAAAGAAAATATTATAAATCTACCCAGGCCCCCAGGAGCAAAAGTACAGCCATTTCAATTTAATTGCCTGAGAGCCTCTTTGCTGCAACCCCAGAAATAAAAGCCCCCGAAGCGACTGACTTCCAAGCTAGATTTTCCCTCCCACCCTCCAAGAACAGCCATGTCCAGGAAAATCCACGGACGAGATGGATTTACACTGCATCAGGAATGATCTGGGTTAGTCAGAAAGAAGAATTTCCTCACCAGAGGAGACAGACTATGTCCCTTGGAGACTTACAAATTGGGTACTAACCCCTTCCTTTAGCTTTCACCCCCTACTTACACATGCATCCATCCATCTAGAAAAGTTAAGGTTCAGTTCTGCTAAAAGACAGGGAACTGGCCAAAGTGAACCCTGGAGGGGGATAAATGTGACAGCTCAGGGGTGAAAGAACACTCTCAGAACAACGTAAGTGATAAACTGATTTAGAAGGGGCAAGGGCAGGAAGGAGGGCAGGAGTGAAGGGTGAAATGGAGATGCAGCCTCCCTGCCAACTCGACTGTGCGACTTTCAGTTCGTCTCTTCATCTCTCTGAGCCTCATTACTCCTCCCCAGGACTCCAGGGAATGAGGAAGATCCAAGTGCAAGACTCTGGTCTAAACTGTACATACTGAAATGTTCAAGGAACCACAGCTATTTCTAAAGGTCACCTAATTGGACCTACCATGAGGACATTCAAATACCACCAAGCCCAGGAGTGCTGTTTCATTGCCCCCGCATCCTGGAGCCCCCGCAAATCCCCTGACCCTATGTACTCTGCAGTACACAGAGTGGGTGCTCCATAAATGTTTGGTGAATCAATGAGTCAGCCCAGAACCCATGTGAAAAAGACAGGAAATAAACACAAAATTACAAACAGCATAAAAATAACCACAATTTCCAAAGCAGATTTTTCTGATTCTGCGAATCCCAGCAGGAGCATCAAAAAGCCCCAAATCCCCTCATACTGAGAAATCTTCAGCCAGAGCCCCTGAAGTAGCCCTCACTTTGTAGCTACCATAGCTCACTTCCTCCCTGACCATCTGGATTTTTCTATTTGCTGTGTGACGTCCAAGATGCCATCTTACCTCTTAAATCCTTGGGGTCCATTTGCCTAAACCTCATTTCTTGTTCAGAGGCAAATTCCTCAGAGGCAAGTGAAACAATTCCTCTGACTCTATCATTCTAACACTCTTCACCTTCTCTGGTCCTTTGAGCTCTAGTCCAGGTGTTCCCAGCCAACTCTCCATACCCCAGTGATGGATAAAAGTGCACCATTTTTCTGAGAAACACTGAGGTCACTCCTGGCACGACTTTTCTGTCTGGGAGAGGCTTTGTCAATGCCCACCCCCACCACAAGCCTTCCCAGACACATCCAGGTGGTAGAGCACCTGGAACCGCTGGGGTTGTTTAGGGAATGCCACCAAGCTGTGACACATTTAATTCCCATCACCTGAATGAGGAATAATTTTATTTACTAGCAGAAAATATGGCTCTATTATAGGTATGCAGGTCTCCACAACTCAGGAAATAATAACACACAAAATACTTTTAAGAAATCACATTTGGCAGGATAAAAATACAGAACACAATCCTACTTACAAAATGCGATGTGAAAGATGAGGCTGACAAGCCGAACCAAGATGCTTGGTATCAGGTGTGACATTTGACAATGGAATGCTCACTCGTTTTGTCATCTGCTGCTGCTCCCTAGCAGACAAGCCGTACAAGGCACCAAAGGTTAATGAACAATTTATGTGGAAAGGAAAAAAAAAAGGAGAAAATTCCATCTATTACCTTGATTTTCTTTTACCATGCGTTATTCTATTTGAACAACAACAAATAACAGTTCTTACTAGCCTACCAGAGTTCTAAAGGAATAGCATTTGAAAAAAAAGAATGCCTGTTTAGCAAGACCTTACAATAACCCCACCACCCATACTAGAAAAGCCAGCATGCAGATGGCGCCACCGGCTACCCCCGGCCCTGGCTGCTCTCCGTGGTGCTGAACACAGAGGTTGGGGTGTCTCTCAATCTCCCTGGCTCTTGCTGAACCACACGGTGCATCTGTTATTTATGACTTCTTCTAAACACATATGAATACAATTTGTATTTCTCTCGCAGTGTGGAAGAGTGTTTCACAGGTTGGTTTTTCCACATTGGAAAAGTCTAGGCTCTTTTGTTCTCTTAAGACTGCAAATGTAAAACTTCAAATTTGCAAGTGTGTGTGTGTGTGTGTGTGTGTGTGTGTGTCTGTGAGAGAGAGAGAGAGAGAGAGAGAGAATAGGAGCGTAGATCAGGTTTTCTTAATAGGATGAGGGTCAGAGGACCCATACAGTTGTCTGTTTTTTTCCCATGGCTCACCAAGGGACATGACACAAGTCATTTTCTCTTTTCTGTCTTCAGCATCCCAACCCGTGAAAGAAAAAAAAATGGGGACAGGTAGTGCTCCTGTAGCCCCAGCATTTGGGGTGCCTCCATTTGTGTTCTGGTTCTTCCATGGGCTCGGAGACCACCAAACAAGATTACCTTGCTGGCCTGGCTTCCTCAAGTGCTGAAAGATTTCCTGGATCCAGAAGGAAGACGCAAGGCTCTGCTTCTCTTGCAAGAAGACAGGGATTCAATTTCTTTGCTCAACTCTCCCCCAGCCCACAGTCCCCATAGACCAGCCATAATTCAGCTAAACCTGAGAGTTCACCCATATTTTATTTACTGATTCAATGTTACGAGACAAGTAAAATAGACGGCTGTCACCTCTATTAAACTGGGCAGGAAAAATGGTCATGTAGGCAACAGGCTCTTTCTGCTCATGATGTGTCATGTTTCCCCAGGGAGGGAAGCAAGAAAAGGAGGGGCCTGGCCTCAGGGGAGAGCTCAGTTCTGTTGTGTTCAGGAGGGGAAGCTCAGGGCTCCATTGCAAACCTGCCCCATCCTCACTCTCAGTCACATTGGTACAGTAGACAGATCAGCCCAGTCAGTCAGGAACTGGGACCAGCCTTTAAGTCCTCAGTTTCCCCACTGATACAAAGGAAAGTCACTACTCACTCATCAGGCTTGGGATAAAGAAAGACTGTTGAGCCCCAGTTTGAGAAGTCTGTGCTAGAGAAGCAAACTTCCATATGGTCATCTCCTGCAAGGACACAAAAACATGTGCACACACTCACTTTCCTCAGAACCTGGTGTGGAGGATGCATATATTCCCAGGGCTAAATGGCCTCCGTTGACTGTCTATACAGCCTGAATCTCCAGGTTAACTGTCAACACCTCTGCTTTACACCAAGCTGTCATGTTGACCAGTTGTCTACATACCCTTGCAGGAGCCAGTGATGTGGTAAAGACAGAGACCTGACCTATGATGGGCAGCAGAGCAATGGCCCAGCCACATTTCTGCCTCACAGCTGTCCTGAGTGCTCAGCCTATTAACGACAGCACAGCAGAGGTTCTCTTCCTTGGTTCAGCTCCCAGAAAGAGCAGCCGAGATGCTGACGGACAAGTGGGAAGGAGAGAGGGGTGAGGTCAGAAAAGGCAGGAGGACTGTGATCTCTCCTCCAGTCTCTTCTTTAAGAAGACAGTTTGTCTCTCTCAAGAAATTCATCATGATAGGAACAAGACAATGAATGTAAAGTCCAATCCTAGGCTTGAGAAAGAAGGGCTCACTCCCACAAATATTCCAGCTCTGCCCAAAAGACTAAATCTAAAAGGTCCTGGCACAGAAAAAGTTGCAGAACTGGTGTGTCAGAAGACCACCATAGACAGCATGAGCATCTTGACTTCGTGGAAGAATCTAACAACATCCTTCATAAAATCCTCATTGACAAAATGGAAAAAGTGTTGAGCTGCATGCCGGGGCAGTTAGGTGGACTTACATTCAAATGACCATATTCACCATTGCATTCATTTATTCAACAAATATTTATTAATTATCTACTAGGAGTCCTGCACTGTGCTAGAAGCACTGGATAAGGTGGTGAACAACCTGGCTATGGCCCATACTGGTACAGCACTTATCTCTAAAGTAACTAAGAATTATAATACAGCAAGTGCTACAACAGGAAAAGTAGAGGGTGCTGTGGGACTCAGAAGGGGATGGAGGTTGAGAAATGCTTCCTGGAGGAAAAGACATGTTCATTGAAACCTTAGTATGAGTAGAAGTTGGCCAGAAAGAAATAGAGTGCCGGCCGGGTGCAGTGGCTCACGTCTGTAATCTGAGCACTTTGGGAGGCCATGGTGGGCAGATCACGAGGTCAGGAGTTCGAGACCAGCCTGGCCAACATGGTGAAACCCCATCTCTACTAAAAATACACAAATGAGCCAGGCATGGTGGCATGCACCTGTAGTCCCAGCTACTTGGGAGGCTGAGGCAGGAGAATCACTTGAACCCAGGAGGCAGAGGTTGTGGTGAGCTGAGATCACGCCACTGCACTCCAGCCTAAGCAACAGAGTGAGACTCTATCTCAAAAAAAAAAAAAAGAAAGAAAGAAAAAGGAAAGAAAAAAGGAAATCCAGTGCAGAGTCCCAGAGTGTGGGGGAAAGCACAGTGCCTTCTGGGGACTTAGATGTTCAATGCAGTGGATCAGAGAGGGTGAAGCAAGGAGGGACAGTCTATGAGTCCAGAGATGCCAACCATGGCAGATCATAAAGGGCCTGAGGGCATAAGGAAGCCAGTGGAATTCTGAAGCTCGTTAAAGTGTAGGATAGTGGATCCAAGACCATTTGAATAAAGCCATCAGACTCTGACATTGCTCATTTTCTTTTTAATGTGTTTATGGCAGACCTGGCTGAAGGGAGGGAGGATATGTTTATCCCAGGCTCAGATGGCAGGAAGCATGCGAGACATCAGAATGGGAATCCCCAAAAGCTTCACTATTCAGAACAGTGATTCCCAACCCCAACCATACTATAGGCTAATAACCACTTAACCTCTCTAACACAGACCCCAGGAGGGAGGCAGTGGTTAGAAGAGGGTGTAATCCATACCTGCTTTCCAAGCATGGAGACATGGTAATAGGCTCTGGTGGTCCAGAAACAATGAGTAAGAATAACTGCCTGAAGGTTCAATGATAGAACTTACTGGGAGATAAATGATAGGTTCTGCCTTTAGGCTCAAAATATCAACTACTAAAGGGAGGATAAGAAAAGTTATAGATCAGCAGCAATACTTGTGGAAAAGATCTCATGTATCTCATGAGAACAACAGCTTAGGATAAATCAACAGACTGAATGGCTGCTAAAAAGCCTGAAACAATCTGGGGTTGTATAACTAGACACCAAAGCTGAGATCTGAGGAGGTGATGATCTTACTGGTTTCAATAAATAAGTAGCACTGTGGTCATCTTTTGATGCCATGCTGGAGGAATTAAGCCTCTTTAGTCTGAAGAAATAAATGCCTTTGTGTTTCTGCAGAGCTCTAGTGTAGGACAGGGAACAAACTCAAGCCAGAGTCAGTGGGCATGGTGATCATAATAGTAGGAATAATAGACAACATGTATTGAGTGCTTACCACGGCTGTGTTCTAAGCACTTCATATGCATTAACTCATTCAATCCTCACAAAAACCCTGTGAGGCAGGTACAACTATTATTATTATTATTATTATTATTATTATTATTTTGAGATATTAAATACTTTGCTCTTGGGAGGCTGAAGCGGGCAGATCACAAGGTCAGGAGTTCGACCAGCCTGGCCAATATGGTGAAACCCCATCTCTACTAAAAATAGAAAAATTAGCCAGGCATGGTGGCAGGTGCCTGTAGTGCCAGCTCCTCAGGAGGCTGAGGCAGGAGAATTGCTTGAACCCAGGAAGTGGAGGTTGCAGTGAGGTGAGATTGTGCCACTGCACTCCAGCCTGGGCAACAGAGCAAGACTCCATCTCAAAAAAAAAAAAAAAAAAAAAGAGTTTGCTCAAGATTACACAGGTGGGAAGTGAGGGAGGCAGCCTTCAATCTCAGGCTGTTAGATCTTAGAATCCATGAGCTTATCCTCAAGATTAGATTGAGAGCTAAATGCATTGAGAGCTTCGTTTTTGCCAGGCATGTTAATTCTCACAATAATTTCATGAGGTGAAATCTGCTATTATTCTCATTTTACAGGTAAGGAAATCTAGACTTAGAGAAAGTAAGTGACTTACCCAAAGTCACACAGCCAGGAGGGAAGGGATCAAGAGTTGAAACTCAGACAGAGGAATTTCAAACCCACACTCAGACCCCAGTTATATTGCCCTCCTAGAACTGCAGGGAGACACATGTTAGCTTTTTAGAGGAAAATTTGCAACAAAGATTAGCATGGGCAAAACATCTGCAGTAAAGCATGGATGGGGCCTACAATTGGTGAGCTTCCCATTACAGGTGGCATTCAATCAGAGACTGGCTATCCACCTGTATGTAGTGGGGTCCTCCATTGACCTAGAACAGCAGTTCTTAAAGTGTGGCTCCCAGATGAGCGGCATCATCATGATCTGGGAAACTGTTAAAAAGGCAAGCACTCAGGCCTCACCCCACACCCACGGAATCAGAAGCTCTGCGGATGGGGCCCAGCAATCTGCATCTTAATGAGTGCTTTGGGTGATTCTGGCACATGCTAATATTTGAGAACCAGAGGCCTAGAATGACCCCCGGGGTCTTTTCAGCCTAGATTATTTGATTCTTCACCATAGACAGGAAATGTGATGCCTGGAGCCCTGGAAAGTCCTTGGCTCCCCGCTCCTGCTTTTCCGCCCAATTGGGCAGCTTTTTGGAATAGCATATTTCAGTTCTGCAAAGCAGATGCAGAAAGGCTTTGCAGAAGTCTCCCTCATTCCCATATTTAAAGAGCTCATCCCTGCAGTTGTTCTGAGAACTCTATAAACCCCCTTCCATCGGCAGCCTGTCTGCATCAGTCCCTTTAATAGCACAAGACTTAATTGTCTCCTATGAATTGGAACCCTTTTAATACAAACCAGAATCTTAGTTCCTTCTTGCTGCTTTTCCCTGCTCTGCTATCCTTAACTACCATTCAGCATGGCACCAAAGAATTTGGAGTTGAAACCACCACTCCCCCAGGATCTCACTCCATTTCATCATCTCCGATCTGTATGATCACCATGGGGACTCTCTCCTCCCTGCCTTTTGCCTCTGTCCTCATTACCTGCTGTCTTCTAGGAGAGCTAAAGTGTCTATCCCCTAGGGCCTCTAGCCTCAGACCCTCTCCAGTCTCCAGTGGCCTGCCCAGGAGGTGAGATTGTACTCCCCATCTGAGAAGGGCTGATCAAGACTCTCTGGACCAGCCCCTTAAGAACATCCCATAACCAGGGTCTTCCCAGCTCTGAACATATGCAAAATGCATTTTAATCAAAATGCTGCAAAATCAGGGAAGAACAAGCACCCCATAAATAATGGGCCAGGCGGTGTCTGGGAGCTGACATTATGAGCATCCAAGAAAGGGTACCTCTGTTGCTCCCTATCACAGTGAATAATTGGTACAGACTGCTAGGCCCACCAACTCCAGTGCAGGGCCCATGGGTATGTGAGCGATGGGCATATGCCACATACAAGGCTGCATGGAGTATGGGGCACTAGGGGTTAGCACAAAGCCAAGGGCACATGAGATGCAGACAGCCTCAGAGCTCAGAGTCGGTGGAGATGTGGCCCCACCCTTGGGGAACTCTCTTTTTTCTCCTAAAATTTATTAAGCATCGGGCACTATGCAAAGAGCTTTACGTACTTTATCTCCTTTAATCCTCACAATAACGCTATGCAGACAATACTGTAAGGGTCAACCACAAGATTTTTGTAGGTCAACAATAGCTGCACGTGGTTCAACCTAACGTTAATACTTCTATTTTATAGATGAGGAAATGGAAGCTCAGAGGTGCGGTGACTTCCCCAAGGTCACACAGCAAGTACACATTGGACTCACGTTCAAAAATAGATCCACCACATTTCATCAGACCCAAGACATGCCATTCTTTCTTGGAGTGCCAAGAAAGAAAAAATTCTGCAAGTAAACTTAGACATGACATGTGAGACACGAGCTGATGTCAGAGATATGAAAATGTGAAAAAAAAATCCCATCTTAGAATCAATGAAATATATTATTGACTCCAAAAAAAATCATTCTGTTTCTTGGAAGTGATGGGGGAGAGATGGCCTGAGACACCCTTGGGTAGCTCCTTGTCTAGTGGGGGAGGCACAATGCACATGCATTAGAGAAAGCCTAGATACCGACTCACCCCCAGAAAACCATGGCCAAGGTCAATACTGTTAGTAAACAAGGCATAAAGGTCAAAGGAAGCAAGGAGAAGGACCTGGGCAGCTGAGCTGTGACTAGGGAGAGGCAGTGTGGACCCTGGAGGCGATTTCCAAAGGAAATAAAACAAAGGAAGGAAGGGCAGACGGCTCTAGGGGCATGGCTGCTATGAAATGTGGCTATGAGAAACAAAAGAAAATCTGAACAACCTGTTGTCCTCAAACCCAGTCCCCTGGCCCTCAATTTGGTCTGATCTCTCCAAATCATGCTCAATTAGGATTTGTCTCTGGAGCACAAAGATAAGTGGGAGGAAAAGCATACTCCAGAAGCAAATTCAGATGCTGGGTCAGGGCCAGGATTTAAGGAGGCACCCCCTCTCATGGTCAGTCATGCAAGCAAAGGGTCCTCATTTGAGGGCCTCCTTAGAGTCAGCTCCCTGGAGGTCTCCCTAGCATCACCCTACACCCAGCCCTGTGCACAGACTCCTCCAAGGGCAAAAAGAAACGCTCAAGTGTGGACAGCATGTAAGCTCTTTTGAAAAGACGTCACACGTATTTAACCCAATGGGCAGTATCATCCCCATTTTACAGATGGGGAAATGGAGGCCCTGCAAAGTAACATAACCCTTCTGACCATGCCTGTCTCAAATCTGTCACCTTTGTAGTGACTTTGGGCAGTGCAGCTTCCCCTCACTTCCAGACAGCTCAGTCCCTGGCAGCCACCATTATCCCAGGCTCCCCTGGCCCCATGGGAGAAGGAATACTGCAGACAGAGAAGGGTAAGTCTGGGTTTGCCTTTGCTCTTGTAGACGGAATGGTGGATTAGGAAGACTCTTGCATCCAGGTCCCCATGCCCAACCCACGGTGTCTGTGACACAGCAACACATGTTCCAGGACCCAGAGGCAGCAGGCCCAATTTAGAAGGTCAGGATGTGACTCTTGCTTAAAAATAAAACGACCATAAAAACCTATTAGCCTTGAAGGGATGTTGGCAAGAAGGAACAGGACTAAGGAAGGAAAACGGGAAGTGAGGGAAGGAAGGAATAACAAAGACAGCTAATTCTCCAACCACCTTCTCTTTCCAGGTCCCTGGGTGAGGAGGATGGAGGTGAAGGAGACACAGACACGAGGCCCTTGGGTTTCCTCAAGGCTTTGACAATGTCTTTGAGGACAGCCTGGTGGTTCCAGTGGGGACATGTAGACTACAGACCCCAGAACAGTGGGATCCCTGTAGGTGAACTGGCCTCACCCAAGGGTGAGTCCGTCCTTTATTTAGGGCTTAGATTAAAGCCTCAAGCAGAGTCCAGAAGCCAGGACAATGTGGGATGTAGTACATGGAAGGATGTGTATTGGTAGGAAGGCTGGGAAAGACCATCCACACCTGGGCCCTGGAGGAGGCAAATATGCCACACAGCTCATCAGCAAGGCCAGTCTGACACTGAAAACTAGTGCTAGTGGAATTCAGAGTGGTAGAGCCCAGATGGCCATCCTCCCAGAGGAGGACCAACATAGCCCAGCCAGTGAGACCTCACTCAGCAACCAGAATGGGGAGTGGGGGTAGGGGCACCGCATTCAGCCCCTTAAAAACTGTTTCTTGCCATCTCCAGATGGCACAGCCAGCTAAATGCATGGGATCCAGAGGCAGGCACACCATACTTCTTATCCCACTTCTACCGCTCACTGGCTGTGCGATCTTGGGCAAGTGACGCCACCAAGCTTAGTTCCCTCACCTGTAAAATGGGATAATGTCTGTAGGTTGTGAAGGCTACCTAAGATGAAGAGAAGAGCCCTATGGCTCCATTTATTGAGCACTTACTATTTACCCACACTATGAGTCATTGTTTGAAAAGCATTTGGCACAGTGCTTAGTGGCTAATAATTGCACAATAAATTGGAGCCATCATATGGCTGTTGTCATTGTTGTTTCATTATTTTGATTTTGCTCCAGACCCAGGTGGGGCCCCAGGCAGAAGACACTGCGGTGGCCGTCTCAGCACAGGCACACTGCCCTCTGGTGCTGCTGCTGAAGAATCAGCACCTGGGAGAAGAGCGATTCCAGGAATCAAGCCCAAGGCCAAGGCGCCAGCCCCATCCGCATCAGCTCCGTTTCCATACCAGGCAGGCCCTTAGTGCATCTGTCTTCCCAGAGCTGCAGCCCTACCACACTGGCCTCTGGAGGACAAGCGAGTGCCTGCTGGGTGCTAGCCTCAACGAGGGCCCTGCTCCTGCAACATTGGTCCTCTCTGTTGCCAGGCGGGGTGTGCAAAGTCCCCCAGTTCCTCTCCGTGCTGCCCAGTGGAGTGAAGCACCCGCTGTTTCAGTTCCCTCTGGAAGGTCCTGAGCAAGCAAGGCAAGCCAGGCTGCAGCTGCAAGGAAGAGACAGGGGCAGCTGCTGTGGCAAGTAGAGGAGGCGCCACCTCAGCAGACCAGAAACAGTCCCAGTCACTGAGATCAAACAGGTCTCCTGCTAAAAGAACCCCCTTCACCAAGCAGGCCTGCAGTCTGTCCTACATATGGCCTTATACTTCTCTCAAGAGGAGGGGTAGTTCCACAGCCCACGGGGGCATCTGTGCTTCCTCCCCCATGGAGGGGACTGTTTCCTGGGACAGGCACAGAGTGCCTGTGGGAACGTGGGGATTCAGGAAGGCTTACAGCCCCACAAAGGATCCTAAAAGCCACTAGGCAGCTTGCATTTCTGGAGTGGTTGGAGGCAGCTTGCATTTCTGGAGGGGTCGGGGATAAAGAGCCATCCTGCAAAGCCCTTTGAAAACAGCACATGAGCTGGACTTCTGAGGTCAGCCATCCTGCCGGCTACAGGAGGATGCAGGTGACCTTGGAAGAGCCTAGTGAGGCCAGGGTGCCTGGCTCACCTTGCATAAACCACCTCTAAAGACCCTAGGTCATTCTGACATCAAAAGACTGTTTAGCGAAGTGCGAGGCAGGCATCAGGAAGAAAATTAAACTCCAGTTGAGAAGGAGGAAAGCTGGGGCTAACAGCAGCAGCTGGGCTGAAAAGTGGAGGTAGAAATTCCTCAAGTTAATGCTCTCTAAGGCCCCGCGGGCCACTCCCAGGTCTTGTCTGAAGCTATTTACTTCCAGGGGGGAAAACCCTATTGATCTTCATTCAGCTGCTGTCTGCTCCTACAAGGCAGCGATGTTTCAGCGCATCACCAGTCACTGTGAGAAATTTCTCATTGTTTTATACACAGCGGCTCCCAAACTCAAGAGATGAATGTTTAGGATAATTTGGGTGAACCAGTCATAGGAGTTACAGATGAGGCCGGTTTGGGAACTCTGAGGGAGGGGGTGTCTCTCCCCAGGGATCGGCTGCTGTTGCCTGCTGGGCCCCTGTATATTCAGGAAACTCAGGACCTTGCAGCTCAGTTCTGCTCTATCTGTAGATGCTCAGAGTCCAGAGCTGGGCCAACCCTTCCTTTTCCCCACCCCCCACCCCCTCCCCCCCCCCAACACCTGCTTTATGTCTCTGCAGTCATTTGGCTTCAAACCTCCCCACTGGCTGGCTGGAGATCGCCACCATCCACTTGAGCTCCTCAACACACAGAAGAGCTGGCCAGGCTTCCCCAGCTGCTGCCACCACTGTCTAGTTCCCTTTTCAAATTCCAGGCTGGCCCTCAATCCTACATATGCCCATAACATGAGGAGAGAACTAACCATGAAACCTACAATGGCATAACAGTGCCCGCCAGCCTGCACTAAAGGGAACTTTGAAACCACAGAACATACCAACCATTAAGGCCAACCAAATAGTTTACAGATGGAGAAACTGAGGCCTGGGGTGCCAGGGAGAGGTGTGATTTGATGGAAATGGCCCAACAAACTGGTGGCAGATGCAGCAGAAAACCCAGACCTCCTGGCTCCAAGTCCAGCAGCCCCTCCACTACAGATTTGGGGTCAGGTAACCTGGAAATTCAGGTCCCCACGGGAGGTCACTGAAGCCCGTTTGGCTGAGAGAATCTATGCATTAAACTGCCTTCCGTAAGTTAAGACTGGGATTCACCCAAACAATAATAACGACGATAATAATAATAAAATGCCAAACAATATGGCTTGAAAACCTTCAATGCACAACATTTGATAATCATACATAGAATACATCTTCCACATATTCACATAAAATAATCAATGATCATTTTTTCTCGCAGACTACAATCCAATCATTCTCTCTCCCTTGCTCTCTCCCTCACTCTCTTTTGTTACTTGCAAACCATCCAAGCAATCAATGCCTTGACCTCTCCTTCTGATAGACACAATTACAAAAAGACAGAGCAATGCAATTCATCTATTCAAGACGGATTGTTTGAACACTCTGTCACACTGCTGAGCTATCCATCTCCTTGTCTAAGAGGAAATTTCAGCCCCCAAAAGAGGCACAAAGAGAGGGGGTGGGTACGATGCTCCTCAGCCCAGAGAGCCCCTCTGGCACCTGCAAGAAAGCCCTCTCCGGGCTGGTGCTCGGCGATGCCTGGCTGCTGGAGAAGCATTCAGCTCCAAGCTCAGCCGGCTCAGGTGCCAGTCTTGAGAATCAGAAGCACCTAGCACACTCCAGAGGGCCTAAATTCTTAAAGCCCCAGCCAGAACCCTGAGATCCCAGGGATGGGGGGGATGGGAAAAGGGAGAGGGCACTGGGCCCAGCCAAGGTGGTGTGTTTGGATTTTAGCATGAGATTCTCTCTCTCTCGCTCGCTCGCTCTTTCTGTCCATGTCCACTGTAGCTCCCTGGCTCCAGCTGGGGTTCAAGCAGGGGCTCAGAAGGACAGAAACTCAGCTCCCCAGGAGTCTCCAGAGGCCTCAGAGTCCTCCCATCCTCCGCCCAAACTGGCACAGCTCTGGCAGTCACGTTTGGCGCAGGCACAACACCCCAGTCCATGGGCTGAGAATCAAATGGGGCAGGGCTCTTGGATATAAATGACCTGGGCTGACACGCTAATTAATCCTGGGGCTTAATACGAAGAAGATTAGAAGAGAGGAGGGCTCTGCCATCCTTTAATTTCATTATTACACGCTGAACCCAAGAAAGGGCGGGCAGGCTTGGGGATGCTCTTCCTAAGGGCTGGGAGGAACTCCCTAACCCATTCAATTTCACAGTAAGGATACATCATCCTGCGCCTTCCCAGCTTATCCCTCTGAGGCTGCCCTTACGGTAGCCTGTCCTTCTGGGCCTCCAAAGACTTCCATCCCTGAGGCTGGGCTGGGAGCACACCCATCCCACCCCTGTGGAAGAAGGATCAAGGAAAAGGGAACTGCAATCCGTGCGATGGGCAAATAGCACCCTCTCAGTCCCCCCACCTTTTTCCCCAAGGACACCCTACGACGCAGGCCCCCAAAAAAGCAGAGGGAAGGAGACAGGGAATAAAGGAAGTGCTGGTCCATTACTGGGGGGGGAAGGGGAGGCTTCCTGCCCCTGGAATGGTGCCAGGCTGGGCTTGGGGCAGGCAAAGGCACAGAGATAGAAGACATTTCGGTTGTCAGGAGCAACCAGGCTGGGCTGCAAAGGGTTAAGCCTGACCATAAGGGTTGTCCCCAGTGTCCCCTCCCGTGCCTGGCCTCCTCTGCCTCCGGTGCTGGTGTTTGCCTGCCAGGGTCCTGGGCATGGACCGAAAGATCTCAGCGTGGGCAGAGCTGAGGACTGTGCTCTGCCCCATCCAGATGGTGTTCAAGAGGGTCCGGCTCCCGGGCGGCCGCCCAGGAGGAGACCCACCCGCTGGGTTTCTGACCGCCTCCTAGGAAAATCTCAAGTACGGAAACCAAGCCCGACACCGGTTCCGGCACCTCTTTCACGCCGCTGGCAGCCCAAGGTCCGCCCTGAAGAAGAGCTGTAGAGGAGGAAGGTGGCCCTGGCTCGGCGGAGTCCGGCTCGCCTGGTGCCAGGCGCTGGTGCTGGCGCCGAGTGAACCCAGGCGGCCCAGGTGTCCGGCCTGGTGGCGGGCGCAGGGCCTGCGGTGATGGAGGCTCCGTCTTAGCCCGGCCAGGCCCAGCCCTGCCGGTCGTCGGCCCGGGACATGCGCGGCGCTCAGGCCTGCAGGGTGCCTTGGGCGGCCACAACAAAGTTAAAGACCGGAGTAAGAGTCTCCGGCGAGAAGAGACGCGGAGAAGCCGGAGCCCCGGAAAGCCGCGCGCAGCCCCGCCAGCCGCCGCCAGCTGCGGAGGAATTCGGGCTAACTTTAAAAACCGCTGGCGTCCCTGGGCCGCCTGCCCGGGCCGCACTGGGCGGCCTCCATCGTCCCTTCCCTCTACCTGCACTGCCCCAGGCGGGAGAGAGGCCTTGGCCCCGAGGGACCAGCTGCAGCGGGCAGCGGGGTCCTGCTCCCCCAACCCCCGCCCCATGGCACGGGGCTGAACCGGTACCACCGAGGCCAAGGGCGACCACCAGGAGAGAAGACCGGCTGCCCTCGTCATGCGAATCTGTGCCCTGCGACCTCGCTGCGGCTGCTCGAGCTATGCCAGAGGTGGGGACGAAGGGCCCGCGGGGAGTGAGGTGGGCAGAGGAGAGAAGTTGGCGCCTTCCCCAGGGTCCCCACTCTGCGGAGAAGCCCGATCGCAGAACTCGGTCGGCTGCGGTTCATGCTGGCAGTCACCGCGAAATGCGCCCTCGACTCGGGATCGCACTGGAAACCTTCGCCACACTGTGCCAGGTCTGACCTCCCAGGAGCGCGCCAAGGGCCCCTCGCCCACTGCGGCCCGGCGGCCTCCTCCCCAATAAGTAAGGCCCGTGACCCCGACTCTGGAACTTTGTCCTCACAGGGAGGAGCTCCTGGTGGTCACCGATCGGCTCAGCAGCTCGGAGAGAGGTTAGGAAAATCTCTCCGGAACGCGTTGGGAGGCCCCCTCATTCCCGCCCCCTCCCGGGCGCACGGAGACCCCCGGCTCCAGGGAGCGCTTACCGATCCGGATGACGTGGGGCATCCCGCGCGAGTCCGGGATCCAGAAGGCGCACACGAGGAGCCCGGCCCAGTATTCCCAAACCAGACTCCGGAGGCGCCGCCAGGGAGCGGTCATCGTTGGGCGCCGCCGAGCGTGCCCGGGGCGCGGCCGTGGCGGGCTCCCTGGGGCGGCAGCTCTAGGCGCGGGCGCGCAGCAGCCCCGAAGGCGCCGCCTGGCCCAGCCGCCCGGCTCCCGAGCGCCGCTGCAAGTGGGGGGCGCCCCGCGGCGCCGCGCACATCTTACTGGGGGGCCGCCCCGCCGGCGCCCGCCCCGCCTGGCTGCCGCCCACGGGCTGCCCGCGAGCGAGGCTCCTGGGCTCCGCCCGGACTCCGCTCGGACTCGGCTCCGGCTCCGACTCGCGTCGGCTCGGCTCCCGCGCGGGCTCCCACCTGCCCCGGCTGCCGGGCTCTGGCGGGCGGGCTGCACGCGTCTCCGGCCGCTCCTCCTCCAGCCGCCGCCGATGCTATCGCCCGGGCTCGCACAAAGCCCCGGAGTGGAGTTGCACGCGCGCACACTCTCCCTCCCAGCCCCCTCCCCTGCGCCCTGCCTCCCGCCTCCCGCGCCGCCCGCCGCCCGCGCTCCCTCCGCGCACTCCCCCGCGCACACACACTTCACACTCACACTTGCCGAGGCGCACACTCGCGCGCTCACACCTGCGCGGGGGGCGGGGAAGGGGACCCTGGCCCCATTGTAGGGGGACGCCCGGAGAACGAGGACTCTCCTCGCTTCCCAGACGTCCCCACCCGCCCCGCCGGCCCCAGTCCCTTCTACTGCGAGGGCACGGAGCCCGGGAGCCAGGCGTGGAGCGCGAGAGCTGGCACCGCGAGCTGGGAGACGGCGGCAGCCCAGCGGCCGGACCAGCTGGAGGAGACGCGCCCGCCGGGAGCAGCGAGACCGGGAGCCCGCCGTCTGCGGAGCCTGGCCTCGCGGCTCCCACGCGGCGGGCGCTGGCTGGACGGCGGTGGCAGCGGGAGACTGACCCGGGAACCGGCTTCCCTCCCCAACCCCATTCCTCCTGGCAGCAGAGTTGGGGCTGGGGGTTCGGAGAGGCAGAATTCAAAGCGAATTGTCTACGCTGGGCCAGGGGAGCTGAGGGAGTTGGTAGAGGTGGGAGAGCCCAAGTCAGACCCCCTGCTGTGGGAAGCTGGACTTGACCGCGCACAGGTCCTGGGGCTGCGGAGGAGGAAGACCGCTCACGCCTTAGATGTAGGGGGGCGTGGGCGCCGGGCCCGCTCCCTCTCAGCCCTCTCCCGTAACTGTGCAGGAAGGGCTGGTGCCCCCTCCCTCATTCTCCTGAGAAAGAATAAAGAGAAACTGTAATTTGTCGTGGGATGGAGTAGGATCCGTGGGGGAGCAAGCTAAAGGGGTTAAAAAGAAAAACAACGTTGTTTATTAGCAATAATAATTTTTTTTCAAGTGGCGCTGGGTGTGAGGGAAGGGAAAGGCTGTGGAGCGAGGCTGGAGCAGGAGGCTGCGAATTACTCAGTTAGGCGAGTTTAATGACCTTTTTGACAGAGACAAAGCGGTGCCGATACAGTAGATAAATAAACGGATCTGTCACCGGGCAGCGGCTAGGCTGTGTGTGAATTTATTTTTCTCATTTAAATAATTTGATCTATTCTATCATTTCCAATCTTTCCCATTTGCCAGCTGTCTGGTAAGAGCATGGCCCCCAACATCTGAAGAGCAAATCTTTAATTTTCTTACAAATATTCTATGAGCCGAGCTCTCACCCGCCTGTTAATTTCCCTCTTTTTTCCCCTCCCTGTCTGGGTGCAGAGGCCCGTGGCATTGTGTGGGGATGTGAATATCTCAGTGTGGCCAATCCTGCCAATTAGGAAGGGACGCCCTCCCACCTGAGGTGGAGGCCACTGTGGCTGTGGGAGGAGGAGAGACTCCCTGGGCTCCTCACAAAAGAACACAGAGGGGTGCGCCCGTCCTGAGGACATCCTCAAAAATCCAGCAAACAAACTGAGGTTATTGAGTGTCTGTCTCTGCCAAAGTTGGGCCTCCCTCGCCCTGGAGCAGGAGCGGCTGGTTTCCCAAGCAGCCACTGGAAAATGTTGCCCGAGGGATCGGAGGGAAGGACACGCAGACCAAAGCTAGGGAAGCAGCAGCTGCCACCTCTTGATAAAAAGTAAGGGCTCCAGTGGGCGCCAGTAAGGAGGAAGTGCAGGAGAGGGCAGCAGAGGGCGCGGCCTCCCGGATATAGCTGGGGGAGCCCCTTCCTTGGGGACGCACACCCCTCCCCATCGCCTGCCTATCAGCTTCCGCAACAGGTTTGGTTGCCCCAAGGAACCAAAAGGCCTAGCTGTTCTCTAAGGAAGAAAATTTCGGTGCGCTGATAGACAAACGGAAAGGGACCTGAACTTGAGGCAAAGGACACAGGGCTAAAACGGCATTGCCCAAGGCTGGTCTGGGGACAGGCAAGGGGAGTGCCTGGATGCTAATTCTGCCTGGGTTGTCCTGCAGTCAGCCTGCAAGTGGCTTGGCAGAGAAACAGAAGCAGCAGAAAGGTAGAGGTGTGGCTCCCAGGAGGGAGCAGATCCAAGGCCTGTGGAAGGGAGGGATAAGGGGAGGGGAGCAGGAGGAGAAGCAGCAGCCTCCAAAAAAGCTAGCATGAAAGTGGTGCTAGAAACGCGAAGGGAGGAAGGCAGAGGGGGATGCTGAGGCCCCCAGAGGGTGAGAGTGTGGCTCTGCCACCTGCGAGCCCCCTCGGCGCCCCAGGGAAGCAGCACAGGCTGGGCCTGCTCCTCCTGCATCCCAGAGTGGGCGGGAGTTACCCAGCACGCTGCGGATCGAGGCTTTTTTCTGCTGCCACGTAGGGCTGCGGTGGGAAAGAGCCTCCCAGCTGCAGAGGCTGTGGGGCCCAGTCACTGGACTTGGAAGGCAGCTGGAACCCTGCCTTCCAAGTTGGGGCCAGAGGGAAGCTGCCATCGCCAGCCTGGGACTGGGCCTTTTTCTTGACCTGGCTGCGAGCCATTTTGTGACACAGAGGTTTCCCCAAAACTAACAGCAGCGTGTTCCCTCCCGGTCTAGGGGAGGGTGGGATGCATTGCAAGAACAGAAACAGCAGCAACGATCCCCATAATGACCCCTAGTATTTATTACATGTTTTTATGTTCCAGACAATATATTCACTACCTTACACGCATCACTTCACCTCTTGCTCTCCACACCCACTGCGATAGGATCTTTGTCTAAAATAACAAATCCATTTTACAGATGAAGACTGAGCCTCAGCGGGGTTAAGTAAGAGGTCCAAAGTCACATCGCTGGTATGTGACCTTTCTTTCTTCCCTCCATTCCCCTTCCCTCCCTCTCTCCCTCCTTCCTTCCCTCCTTCCCTCCCTTCCTCCTTCCCTCCCTCCCTTCCCCCCTTCCTCCCCTCCCCTCCCTCCTTCCCTCCCTTCCTTCCTACTTTCTTCTAAAACATATTGGGCATCACCATTTGCCAGGCACTGTGGGTGAGATGTCAAGGTTCACATATAGGCTCAGCCGACTCCTGAGCTCATAGAATTAACCCTGTCCTCTACCATCTGGGCTGAGTAGGGGACAAGCTGCAGGGGCCAATTCTCATCACTCTTGTGGAGCCCCACTGGGGCTGCTGCCTGCGGTGGAAGGCTAAGAGCAGAATACTCAGACACTTTATCAGGGCAGATCGGGGAGCCCAGTCATCCCTAACTCATGAAGAGAGACCTACAGCCCTCTCTGCCGGTGGCATGACATGCCTCTCCAGGCTGCCCCGCCACCAGCAGGCACCAGGGCTGGCACTATCTCCAGCCGCATCTCCTCCGGGCATTGGGAGCCGCCAATCCTGGCTTTTCGCATTGTTGGTAAACAAGTCTACCCACCAGCCAGGCCTAGGCTCCCTGCTCCCCCACGAGGCAGCCAGCGCCGGATTTATGAGGCCTCCAAACCTCATTCAGACTAATGCAGCTTTTCATTCCCAAATAAAAGGGGCCGCTGTCTGAAAGGACAAGTGCTCCCGCATTTCATTAACATCCCTGAAAACGGCTGAGCTGGCCCGAGTTCCTGCCAGCGAGATTCATGTCTCCCACTGGCTCACAGGTGGGTGGTGAGGGTAGGATTTCCAGGAAGAAACCCAAGACTCCCAGCCCCCTCCCTGGCCTCGTCCCCCCACCCCTCCCCAGCTACTTTGGGTGAGGGACGGGGCACCCAGTGGTGGCCGATCATGCTCTTTGGAGGAGCCCCCTGTGCACGTGTTTTGTTTAGACTGATCCACTCTGGCTCTCAACCCCCCCCACAATCGCAGTGAGTGATGATGCCCTGGGCTCGAGTTACCGAGATTCATGTTCTCTGCTTCCCTGGGAAACCACGGAGTAGACGTGTGCAGTGGCTGAGTGCAGATTCCTAGGACTTGAGTGCCCTCTGCCGAGGCCTGCCTACCTTCAGCTCCCTTCCTGCTACCCAGTAGGCAGGCTGCTGGTCGTGGCTGGACGCTGAAGCCCTGGGGCTTCAGCCACTCCCTTAAATGTCCTACCATGGGGCCAGGCTGCTCTACAAGCCTGCACCTGGGGTGCCTTGCTGAGAATGGGGGAGGGGCTCCCTTGCCCCATCTCACCCCAGCATGGGGCCATGATGAGAGGAAGGCAACCGCCAGCCCTTGCCTGATCTTTGCCAACTGCCTGAGCAGGGAGGGAAGAGAAGAGGCCTTCCCTGTAGCCTACTCTATTGTACAGTGTTCTCTCAATGGCAAAGTGCGTGCTCACCACAAAAGCCGTGCCCCAGCCCTTTGCAGGACACCGTGACCTGCCTTTTGGCTCAGAGACAGGGACCCTTTCATCACCCTGGGGCTTTTGTCCCTCATCCCAGTCCCAAGGGAACAGCACAGCCAGGCTGCCACCTGAGCAAGCAATAAGCCCAGCGAAGGTTGCGTCACCTTAGATTTTTGTCAACAGTCAGGCAAGCTCCTTCCCACTGAAGTCAATTCCTGTGTTTATTGTCAGCTTAACCCACTGCTGTGAGTTATTTCTCAGCAGTGAGGGATACAGGTAGACAAGCCACCGGAGATATGTTATTTTACTGACATCTGTGTTTCAATAGTTCGGGTGCGGTTCTGGTGGAGGAAGAAAGGGATACACAGCAACCCCATTTGTATCTATACATAATGGAACAGAAGCTGATGGGCTGGAAGCAGAGTGGGTTCTGCTGCCGTGTGAGGAGCACTGTGGGGAGAATTATGCACAGGGAACGAACCAGCACCTCCTGGCCTCCCAGGTTCTGGCAATAGGCTCCCTTTCTTCAGCACCATGGGTGGGGACCAAAGTTGCTTGCTCACTCACTCGCTCATTCATCCATTCCCTAATTAATTTATTCATGTACTCATTCATTCCATCACATCCATTCACTCATTCATCTGTTTATAGGATCATCCATTTATTTTCATCCACTCAATCACTCACTTGTTCATTTACTCAGTCCCTTACCCATTCATCTACTCACCATTCAGTGATTCTCTGATTACTTCTTCTAATCCCTCAATGACCCACTCATTCACTTATTCTTCCATTAATTTTGCTTATTTGCTCACTTGCCCCCTCACGCATTTTCTTACTTACATTCATCTGCTTACTTATTATTCACTCATCCATTCATTCATTGACTTAGCCATCTATTCTTTCTTCAATCACCCAGTTGTTCATTCATTCATTTACTTTCAGTCCTCTGCTTGGTCACCCACTCACTCATTTACTCACACACTCATCCATTCACTTGCTCAATCACTCTGTCCCTCATGCACTGCCTCCTCACCACACCCAGCAAAGACATCTGCCTGCTCCTCCTGTCCTCAGTCACTTTGGGGTCTGAGCCTCAGACACTGCTGCTCCCGCCAGCCACCAGGTGTCCTGGCTTCTTCAGAGCCCCACTCTCATATCCTCCACTTTATGATGAAATTCAGCAAACTTCAAGATTCTGCCAACATCCCTGACCCTGGAGAGGGTCTGGGCATTTGTCCTACGAGCAGGGACCAAGGCCCAGAAAGACCCAGAGTCCACGTCTGGTGATGGGCATAACATCCGAGGTGTCCCACAGTGCCACCTCACTGAGCCAAGAGCCATCCTGGCTTCCACTTACATCATCTCTTGTTGTCTTTGGAACAACCCAGGGATGCAGGAGGGAAGAAATGGGCTCAGAGGAGTCAAATATTACTGGGGAGGGCAGAAGTAGGCCCGTATTGTTGTTCAGATGATGGGGAGAGAACAAATACATGAATGAATGTGAGAATGAATAAATGAGGTAACATGAAAGAATGAGCAAATGAATTAAAAAGTGGATGAATGAATGACTAGATGAATGACTCCTGCCCAAAAAGTAAGTGGCAAACAGCTTCTGACCCAAGTGACTGAACTCCCAGTCCAGTACTCTCTCCACTGCTTAACAATTGCTGCCCTGGATCCCTGACCTTGCAGGAATCGGTGGGGGGAGGGGAGACAAAACTAGAGCATGAATTAGCCAACAATAGATTTTTGTAGAGAAGTGTCTCCCTCAGAGGCTGCGGTGAGCCAGTTCTCGGCTGCACCTGTCCCCTCATGGGCAGGAGGCTGCCATCATCCCTCCTTAGAGAGGCAGAGAGAGAGAGACAGAGTGATCCTTGAAAATCCAATCACTCAGTGATAAGAAAATAAACAAGTGAACTTCTCCAAGTTTGCCAGACTTCCCTGCCCGAGGCCAGCTTAATTAAAGTTGATGTAGAATTTTAAAGTGGGAAAATAATTAGGGCAAGTGGCAGAAAAGAGAGAGGAAAAAACACATTGTTTTGTTCTGTGTTTTGCTCACTCTTAATTATGCCACAGACTGTCTCTCCTGTGGATCCCATCCCAAGTCTGCCCTCCGCCAAGATTCCAGTAGGTGGTACACTGTGTGAGTGGCACAGGCACACCTGTGCCTCTCTGGCACACAGGTATGGAGCTTCTCTGCCTGCAAGACAGGCAAGGCGCCAGACAGCCAGGCTTGGAGTGGAGATGAGCACGTGTCCCGGACACTCAGGAGGAGGAGCCAGGGGGAGATGGAGACAGAGGCAATGGGAAGAGATGCTGCCTCCCTGCCCCAGGTCCAGAGGGGAGTGGGCACTGGGTTCCTCCCTCCCTGTGATGCCAGACATGGGCCTTAGTCAGGACATTTCTAACCCCAACCTTGAGGGACGGCAGATCCCTAATGATACAGCCTCTGTCCTGCCTTGCTCCAGGGAGACAAGATTTTCCAGCAACCACCAAATGTTGGAGGAAGTACTTGGTGTTTGGCCCAGAATGGGGCTGGGGCTGGTTAGAATGCTGGCTGCAGCAGGTGCTAGGACTCAAGCCTACCCCACACCCAAGCACCTCTGTGTCCAGATGTGCCTTGCTTTGTTGCTGTTCTTCCTTCTGGCAACAGGGCAGACAGGCTGAGCACCAGCTTCATGAACTGATTAGAGGCAAAGGCAGCCTGGGCAGGGGAGAGTTACAGGCTCCTTGGGGGAAAGAAAAGGAGGAAATTCCTTTAGGTTTCATTGAGGGGAACTGGGCATGAATGAATACCTGTCCCTGGTGCTGTGCCTGTACACACACAAGCACACCAGTACAGGTACATGCCCATACTACTGCACACACACACACACACACACACACACACAGAACTACCAACATCCACCCACGACTCGGGAAAGCATGAACTCTGCAGCCAGACAGCCTGTCTTCAAATCAGCTGTGCCTCTTACCAGCTGAGCATCCCTGGACAATTTACCTAATTTTCTGTGCCTCTATTTCCTATCTATAAAATGGGGATAATAATAGTATCTGCCCTGCAGGGCTGTTGTGAGGATTAAATGAGGTAATACATGTGATATGCTTAGAACTGTGCCTGGCACATTGTAAGGGCATGTCACACTTAGCGATCAACTGTCTCTGCTGCTTGGAAGTGTCAGACTCCTGAGTAGAGCCTTGGGGGAACTCTCTCCAAGCCTCCAGCAGGAAGAACAGTGTGTTTGTGCATGCACGCACACACACACACACACACACACACTCAGATGGATCCCTGGCCTCCAGGTTCACCAGGTTGCATGTGAGTGGGGTAGAAAAGGCTCAGAAAGACTGACACATGTCAGGCTGCTCCTCTACTCTCCCCCATCCCTGACCACATGGAGCGGGTCTGCAGAAGCTGTGGGGTTGCTGAGTTGAGGGTCTTTGTGTTCATCCAGCAGGCTGGCTGGCTGCCTTGAGGGAAGGAAATCCTATGGCTTGCACCCCAAACCTGCTGTCAGATTTTGACATTTCTCCAGGATCCCTCCTCCCTAGCAAGCCCTCACCCCTACCCACCTTGGCTTCCTCTTGGTCCTGACCTTAGTGATATTCCCCGCTTCTCCCTGCATCTCTGTCCAAGATCTCCCCATCCCCAGAGAACCTGCCCAGTATCTGACCTGAGGGAACAACTCAGGAGGATCCATTTAAAAAGAAGGACATGCCCCTCCCAGAGCTACCCAGAACTGGGACCCTTCGTAAGCCTCGGGGCAGGGGGTGGGGGGCTGGGACCCTGAGGACTCAGAGGCAGCTCCGAGGCCTGGGTGCTGAGTGTTGCTCTGTCTCCCAGGGGCCAGAAGGAATGCAGCTGTGGAGGCAGGCAGTCAGGAGAGGCTTGGGCTGGAGCCTGGGCAGGGGATGGAAGAAGCTTAGCTGTAGGAACCAGCCCCAGCTCTGTGTTATCTCCGAGGCAGCAGGGGGACTGTGCGGCAGGGATCCCAGTTCTGCCAATCAGTTAATCCCAGGCTCCAGCCTTCCACCTGGGTTTGGTTGGGTTGAGTAAATGAACCGGGGACAGGTGCCAGTGGCCACAGCCTCCTTTCTCTGAGTTGCCTTCATTTCATTCTATTCACTCAGCCAGCCAAGTCCCTTTGCTCTCAAGCTTACACACATGTCTCTTCCAAGCACCAGGACACTCAGAGAAGCACAGAGGTTGAGGACAGACAGGAACCAGGTGATGGGGATGGAGAATAAGCATCTGATTAGCCATTCTTTAGGGATAGGAGGGAATCCAACAAGGCCCAGCGACCCTCCCTGCCAAAAGGACAGGAGGCTCCCTACGCTTCAGGTCAGGGCACTTGGGCCATTGATGGTGGCCTCACTGCCCCAGGGAAGAGAGGAGCATGAAGGAGCAGCTGGGATGGGGCCACTGATGGCTTTTTACAGGACTCTTCTTCTGGGCATACCCCCACCCCCACTCCAGAGAGCCCACTGGGAAGGACATGCTCCAGGGAGTCCCCAGTTAGGTGGTCATTATCTTGCTAATTTATGCTCTGTAGCCAGAAGCCAGGACATAAAGGCAGGGGTATGGACTAGAATTCCACAGCCTATGGTGGGAAGTTTGGGGCTGGTCCTGCGTCCACACAGCACACATACCATTGAGTGAAACATAGAGACAATTTTCTAGATAATGCAAAGGAACACTCTTACACCAATCACACTTCAAGTTAGTCCCAGAACTCTACCCAGCTGCTTCCCTCAACCATGTCTTTATGATTTTTTTTCAAGCATTCCTGGTGACCCACTGTCACAGGGGGAGTAGGAGGGGCCGAGATGGCACAGGAGGGCTGTAGGGTCATAGCTGAAATCCAAGGGGACAAATGGGAGATGCTGAGGGCACAGGCAGGAAGAGAGGGGATGTGGGTAGAGATCAGGGAGACTCAGAGAAAGATAAAGGGAATATGTATAGGGTTTGAGGGGACGGATGAGAACTTGAGAACCCACACAGGGGACAAAGGACAAACTAAAGGTCATACACAAGGTAGGAGTTTTCGACCCAGACTGAAGTTGGAGGAAGATGGGTAGGAGTTATAATGACCTAGAGAAGAGCAGAAGGGAGAAAGCTGGGGACTTGGAGGACAAGGAAAGGGACTCTCCTCTATAAGCAGCTCCCAGCCTTGAAGAGAGAAAAAGCACAAATGAAGGCTGATGGTGGGTGGAGGAGGAAGAGGAGGAGGAGTAGAGGATGAAATATATTGCCAAGAATAGCTGCTGAAACAACCAAGAGTTGAAGGCCAAGTTTAGCATATGCTCTTGAGAGGACATTTGCAGAGCCAGATCCCTGAGGCCCCACCTAGGTCCTGAAGCATCATCCACACACTAACCAGGAAGCCAGGGATGGTGCATTCCCAGAGTACCCAGCGTGTGCTCAGGGGCCACCTACTCTGCCCAGCTCTGTGTCCTCGCTTTTGAGGAGCTCGCGGGACACCAGGAGAGCCAGGCCTGGAAACGGAGCATTCCACGTATTGGGACAAGCATTGTACTGGCAGGCAGACGTGGGCACTGTGGGAGCCCAGATGAGGGAGAGCCCTCAACAAAATCCAGTGGCTTCCTTGATCAAGATGAGAGAGGAGTTTAAGCCCAGGGAAGCAGCCTCAAGTCCAGGTAAGCATTGAACAAGCTCCTGTAGGATTTACTGTCTCTGTCCTTTCCCCACAGCACCACCAGCCCTGAAGTCAGGCTCTGAGTTCCCCTCTCCAGCCCCACTCCACCTCCAAGGCTGAATTGTCTCACTAGGATCACCTGGGGACTTTTTTAAAGAAGGCGTTATTGCAGTATCATTTACATACCATAAACTTCATCCATTTAAACTGTACAATTTAATGATTTTTAAGTAAATTTGCAGACTTATGCACCCATCACTGCCATCCAGTTTTAGAACATTTTAATTTTTAAATGAAAATATAAAGGTGAATGAGGTGGCACCTAAGGAGGTGATTAGGAATGGATCCTTGTCACTATCTTGGGAATGGGCTTGTTATCGTGACAGTGGGCTGTTATAAAAGCAAATTCCGCTCTCTCTTGCGCCCTGCACTCTCTTGCTCTTCCTTCTTCCTCCGTGGGATGACGCGGCATGAAGGCCCTTGCCAGATATAGTGGGCCCCTCAATCCTGAATTTCCCAGCCTCCAGAAGTGAAAGAAAGAAATCTCTGCTCTTTATAAATTACCAAGGTTCCGGTATTCTGTTATAATAGTACAAAACGCTGTATCTCAGCCACTGTTGGAGGGACCTTTCCAAAATGCAAAATGCAAAGGAAGCGGGGGCTGTTCCTCTGCTCAAAACCCTCTAATGGCTCCTGGACAAGTGTCTCGGGGTGGGATAGCCATAAGAAGTAAATCATAAGCAGAGGCACTTGGGGACTTGGGGGACACGGAAGGGGAATCTCCTCTATAAGCCCCTCCCACCCTTGAAGGAGAGAAAAAACACAAATGAAGGCTTGCTACGTGCTAGGCAGCATTCTAGGCACTTCACATGCATTAATTCTCTTAATCCACACAACTGCCCTTTGAGGTAGGCACTGTTATTATTGCCACTGTTATTATTGCTACTTTGCTGATGAGGAAATGGAGAGACAGCTAGTAAGTCGTGGAACCAGGTTTAGCATCCAAGCAGCCAGGCTCCCATTCTCTCACCCTCTAGGCCATACCACACTGTGTGGGCTGCCCATGATCTCTTCTCTCTCTCTCTCTTTTTTTTTTTTTTGAGAGGGAGTCTCACTCTGTCACCCAGGCTGGAGTGCAGTGGCACGATCTCAGCTCACTGCAACCTCTGCCTCCTGGGTTCAAGCAATTCTCCTGCCTCAGCCTCCCAAGTAGCTGGGATTACAGGTGTGCACCACCACACCCAGCTAATTTTTGTATTTTTAGTAGAGATGGGGTTTCGCCATGTTGGCCAGGCCGGTCTTGAACTCCTGACCTCAAGTGATCCACCTGCCTCGGCCTCCCAAAGTGCTGAGATTACAGGCCTGAGTCACCGTGCCTGGCTCATTATTTCTTCTCTAATGTTACCTGACCTGTGACTCCCCACCCTCTCCACCTCTTCCACCTGTTTCCACTTCAACCCAAACAGCCCATCTACTTTCATGCCTTTGCACGTTTACACAGTCTCTCCAGGTATGACACCTAGATCTTCCTGCACCCTTTTCTCCACTGGGAATTTCTGCTTATGCTTCAAAACCCAACTTCAATGTCAGTTCTTTTGTGATCCTTTCTACAACTTCCCCAGACAGTTAACTGTTGCAGTCCCTGTGTTTTCCCTGGACTTTGCACACATCTCAGTTAAGAAGTGGGTCTCTGAAGGCTGCAATTAGTGCTGTGTCCCAGTCCGTCTTCCCAGTCTATGAGCTTCTCTGGGTCAAGGGCAGTGTCTGCCTTGTCTCTATAACTCCCACAGTGCCTGAAATACATCATAGGCTTGTTAAATTGCAATGGTCCAGTCAGAAAGGTGGGGTAGGGTGGGAGGGTCCTGCCATCTATTTTCAGTCTCCAGCCCGGTCTTCTGTCAAGTATAGCAGGCCCTCCCTTCACGGGGCCACAGCTGCCATTTTTAAAACTGCAAAGGACAACGTGTCTCCAACTGCAGAGGCAATATTGGTTTATTCTCCTCTATTTCCCAAGCACTACCACATGGTCTATTACAGAGTGGGCACTCAGTAAATGCTCCTATGAATGGGTGTGTGAGTGAGGGAGTGAACGAGGCCCCATCCTCCAGGTTCCCTGACAAGGACTCTGTCTGGCTCATGTCCTCTTTCCACTTAAAGACGCCTGGATCTTTCCTAACTCCACTTATGCAGGAGGTTAATTCAAGTGCTTTCCAGCTTAGCAAGCAATAAACAATTTGGTGTTGCAGTGAGTTGTTCTGCATGCCATATTTATGGATCGAAATTGGGGGGAGGGGTTGGGGGCATTATTAAGTTCAGTGTTAACGGGGATGTTATATGCCCTTCCTTAATTACTTTCCTCTCTTTAATTAGATGTTTGGGGGAGGGGTGCTCCAGGGAGGGGGACTGAAAGTTACAGCAGAGAAGAAAAGCATTGGTGGCATTCTGCCATCTGATAGGACAGCAGTCATCCGTGGGGGGTCAGAAGGAGGAGGGGGAGGGGGCCATCTCCTCTCTAGAAGGGACCCTGAGCGTGGAGAATTCTGAGAGCATGCTTCCTCATGGTTCTTTTCTCCAGGGGCCCTGTTTTCCCTCTTGTTTCCCCTCGAGTTTCTCTCTTTGCACCAGCCAGGAGCGGTTCCAGCCTCCTCCCTGCTGAGCAGGCACCCCTCTCCTTTCTGACTCCAGGCAAAGGTCACAGGATGAACTGTCTGTAACACAGATGCCCCTTTGCAGTGGTGCAACTGGGGGACCCTGGGCACCTCTTCTTCAGCCCAACAGGCCATAAGCTTGAGGGCAAGGTCTTCTTCCCAACATCCATCCCCTGTGGAGCACTTCCAAGTCCCTTCTTGTGGGCATCCAAACCAGATAATAACCCATGCAGACACCGTGCTAGGCGCTTCCCATTGACCTCATTTGAGCCTCTTGATGACTCTGGGAGGCACTGTCAACGACCCACGGTGAATGACTGGCCTGAGTGGCACAGCTACTCGGCAAGTGTTTGATCCCCTCGAATCTTTCCCTGGCACTGATGCTGCCTGAGTAGAGCTTCTGCAAACTGAGAGCATGAGCTGCTGTTTCCCATAATGGACCAGAAGCCACAGGGGCAGCCAACGCACCTGCTCTGGCTGAATCAGGCATCTGAGGGTGGGGAGGGTTCCTCCAGGACCCAGT
The DNA here is from genome assembly GCF_000001405.40 of Homo sapiens. NCBI lineage: Eukaryota > Metazoa > Chordata > Mammalia > Primates > Hominidae > Homo > Homo sapiens. The sequence goes on from NC_000001.11 coordinate 37,047,604, forward strand.
TGATGGGGACCCGGCGGGGCCCCCCATCTCTCACACATGCCGGCTTCCCATGCCAAGTCGCTTCCTCTTCTCCCCACTGCCTGTGGGGAGACGAGCTCCAAACCCAGCCCATCTGCTGCATTTTCCTGAGACTCCCGAGACGATCCAATTCCGCACACCAGATGGGAAATAGCATGTACATTTCGGATGGTGATTAGTGTTTTTGTTTTTTTCCCCGAACGCTCACGTTAATGGCGCTCCTTCCTGAAAGCAAATTGGAAAGACTTCAGTTTGACGGAGCCTTGTCGACTTCCACCCCGCCGCCCCCGCTCAAATGCAAGCATGACTTTTCCAGGTTCTGTGCGCAGGGCTCTCGCCCCACCTCTGCCCCTCTGCCTAGGCCCACCATCTGCACTGACGGGGCCTCACGCTCTGCAGTGCAAAAACAGGGCAGGGGACAGGATTTCCAGGCTGCAAAAGGATTCCTTGTGGAGCCTGGTGATTTCCAAGGCAAATAACTCCAGCCAGGCCTCCTTGAAAACACCATGACACCCTCACGAACCCTGACTGAGACAGGGAGTTAGGACTTGATGGATAAACCTGGATTTTTCTCAGGGCTTGTGATTTGAGAGGAAGTTCATATATAGTGCCAAATTCGTAAAGGCTAGAATTCATATCTTTCCATATATTGGAGCCAATACATAGCACGTAATAGGTGTCAACAGATGCTTGCTGAATGAATAAAAAAATGAATATAAGATAGACCTGTAATCCCAGCACTTTGGGAGGCCGAGGCAGGCGGATCACGAGGTCAGGAGATCTAGACCATCCTGGCTAACACGGTGAAACCCCGTCTCTACTAAAAATACAAAAAAATTAGCCGGGCGTGGTGGTGGGTGCCTGTAGTCCCAGCTACTCGGGAGGCTGAGGCAGGAGAACGGCGTGAACCCGGGAGGCGGAGCTTGCAGTAAGCTGAGATTGCGCCACTGCACTCCAGCCTGGGTGACAGAGCGAGACTCCATCTAAAAAAAAAACAACAACAACAACAAGAAAAAGAGAATATAAGATAGATAAATAAAAGTATTTCTGTGCATGCAGTCATATACAATACTCATTATCCAATATATTTGTAACAATACTCATTATCCAACATTTTTGTAATACACACACACATCACTGTTTCTCTCCCAAAGAAGTGACATTAAGAAAATACATATTTTATATAACACATATGCATATTTATAAAGTATATCAAAACATATTTATGTAACATACATATTACATAAAAGACACTCTGCAGTACTTTCACATGTTGCGTTGCTTGGCTTTCATAATAACTCTGTGGAAACCATGGTGTGGCTCTGAGAGGCCCCATAACATGGCCAGGTTACCACAGGTAGCAAGTGCTAGAGGGGAGATTTTGGTCCAGGTGTAGCTCACTTCAAAGGCCACAGGAACCCAGCAAAAGGTTTGGAATGGGAAGTGAGGTCCAGATTGTGCTTTTATAAATGGCTCCACTTTCCCTGAACTGCATGGATTGGGACCAGAGGGCCTGGAGGCTGGAAGATGAGCTGGGGCCTATTGAGTAGAAAAAGTTTGTGCTGATAAAGTCCTGGCCCTGGATGACGGCGGTGAAAACAGAAAAGGGAATATTTCACAGGGAGGAGCCACAGGCCTCCAACAGACAAGAGGTTAGAGATGAAGGAGGCTGGGATGGTGATGAATGCGATCCCAGGAATACTTAGGTCTGGAGGAAACACTGGTTTAGGGAAGAGGGTGATAAGGGACAATGGGACCATAGGGCTTGAGATGTACGTAGATCATCCATTGGAAGTAAGGCTTGAGAGCTCGGGAAAGAGGGCAGAGATTGGCCAGATAGATTTGGCAGTTTTATCTTCATGGAGAAGGAAGGAAGCAATGATCAAAAATGAGATCTTCTATAAAGTGTAGACCCAGGAGAAAAGAAGCCAAGAATAGACTCTGGAAGCCCAGTTACCTAGGGAGGAAAAGGAGTTTGTAGGAGGGTAGGTTAGGGATACACACACAACATGCAAGCATGTGGACCTACGTGTGTGTTAAACACTCATGTGCATGCACACATACATGTCACACACATCAACATGCTCACATTTGTGTATGCATATGCACACATACATATATATGTGTATATGCAGTATGTGCATACACACACACCCATGGGTGCTTGGGGCAGAATCTCTCACAAAACACGGTAAGAAAGACTTGCAGGGCAAGTGAGAGAAGGAGCTTGGCTGCTCTGCCCCTGGGGGCTGAGCAGACAAAAGGGAGTGTGAAGCTTCACCCACATGGTGGCTTCCAGCAAGCTCATCTTCAGCAACCTGACCAGCTCCCCTCCAGTGCCCTGCCTTTCTCTCTCCTGTGGCCTCCTCCAGTTCTAGGATAGATGATCAGCAGATCATCTTCATGCCCTTTTCTCACTTGGAATGCACAAATCTCCATGTGCCTGTAGCCGGGACATTTCAGTATGGAAGTGACAGACTGGCAAGCTGGGCACCCCTCCCCATCCCCTATAGAGAAGGCTGCAGCTTTATTCATGGCTAGGATAGGGGAGGAGAGGGTTGTGATTTGGAGTGGGCATTCTGCTGCCTCAGTCTTCCCAGGTCAGCCTACACCTGGTGGCTTCACCATGAAGTGCCCAGGCCCTTGAGACATAGGAAAATCAGCCTTCTGGCTACCTGGTCCTCTTCTCAGAAAGCCCGTTCGTGTTTTCTCCATGATCCCTGACTCAGGTATAAATGGAGTAAATGTCCTTTAGCCTAGTCCCTGGGAGAACTGACCTGAGAGTCAACAAGACAAAGGGTGGTTAGATACAAGAAGGGGTTGGGCTGCTTCCCTTGCTTTCTGGGTGGGCTGGAGCCCTGCAGAAGGGTCAGATATCTTAGGTACCCTATTGTTGACTCTCCCCTCTGCCCTCAAGGCAATGAGTTCTCAGAAATTCACCACCTTGAGTCTTCCCAGACATTGCCAAATCTGGCTAGGGGTGCTTCTCCCACAATGTGTCAGTTGCACTCTTTTTCACAAGGAAGAGAAAATGTCTCAAGTTACTAGAGTAGGATTTTCATGGTAAGAATATCTATAATGCTTTCTGCTTGTTCAGTCTGCATCTCGAGCCTAGAATTTAACATGGACAAAGAGGCTTAAAACTCTCAGGGAGTAGATCTATTTGTCTGTCTGCCTCTACAGCTCTAACCTGCCATCCTCACAATAATTTTATGTCCGAGGAAGAAGAGGTGTAAGCTTCCATTTTGCAGATGAAGAAACTGAGGCCCTGGGAAGGCCATTGGTTTCGTAAGTGGCAGAGTGACAGCGCTGGCTTGTGTTTGGGCTGGAATCTGACAGACCTGGTTTCAATCCTGGCTTTGCCCTTTTGTTGTACAATGTCAAGAAGTTACCTGATCTCCATTTCCTGTTCTATGGAATGGGATAATAATACCCACTTGAGTGTTTGTGGTGAGGATTTGAGGGGATAAGGCAGCTTACGTACACGGGACAGCATCAGGGGTACAATGATACCCAGCAAATCTTAGCTGTTTGCTGGGACTTGATCCCGGGTCTCCTAACTTTGGGTCAGTGATCTTCCTCTGTAACTCTCTAGCACCTTGTGGTGTAGCAGCCCCCAAACAACTCCCTGAGGGTCTTTAGTTGGGTTTGGAGGTGCTTTTCCTGCCACCCTCACCCAGGCATTGGGTCGGAACCCAGCCCAATGTGCCTGCCTCTGTGGGCATGTGCAGTCGTGTATGCATGTGTGTGTGCCCCACCCAGCAGGCCAGGCTACTGTCCTTCTGCATTCTGCGTGTTCATTTCACTAATGGGAAATCACATAGTGGCCCAGAAAGGGAGCGGCAAGGCCATGCTGAGTATCCAAGCCAGACCCTGCGGGGCCTTGTCATTAGAGTTAATGCCAGACTCATGAATACCAGATGAATGCGCTGCACAGACCAGTCACTTAGGCTAAAGTGGGCCTGCTTTTCACTGGGAGACCAATTCTCCACCCTGGGGAGGCTGGGAAAAGGCCCCTTCCCTTTTAACCCATCTACCTCCACCACCTCCCCACCCGGGGCTCTCTCTGGGGCTGCTAATCGTCATCTGGGCCTTCTGGGAGATGGTTTAAAAGGAGGATTTGCAGGCACTTCACCGGGCTGTTTTTCTGGTGCTGCCTGCCTGCTCTCACTCCCTTCCTCCTCCCTACCAGCTTCTGCCTAGTTACAGGGAGTGGCTGGGGGCTGCCTACAAACCTTGTTCTGGCTTTGTAGCAGCTTGGCTGTTCCAGTCCCACCTCTGCTTCCCTGTGCAGGAGCCACATCTTTGGGAGATAATGAATCATGGGCTCCCAGTCAGGTTGGGTGGCTTGGGCAAGTAGAGGAACCTAAGTCTGGGGCAGGGAGGAGACGAAGGGTTAAGGAGAGCCTGCAGCTGGGTTCTGAAAGCCTCCATGATACCCAAAACAGAGATCCCAGCCTGATTCTGGAAATAAAGAACATTTTCAGGGGATAGGGATTGGGAAGAAAAGGTGCATGACCTACAAACCTGCCCAGAGGACATCAACCAGCAGGTCCCGAGCCCTTGACACCCAGAGACCTTCTCTCTGAACACCAGGAAGAGCCTCCACACAAGGTCTTGCTGTCTCAACATCTCTGCCTCACCCCTTGGACTTAATTTTTAAAGCCCTAGTCATTAAAATGTAAATAACCCCAAGAATGGAATCCAGTTAAGTCTCAGGGACTCCTGAATGAGTCAGATCATTTCCTGAATGCAGGATGGTTTGGGGTGAGGAAGACAAGAGCACAAGATTGCTATTCAGTGGGAAGAAGTGTTGGGGCAGGGTTGCAAAGACTCAGAAAAGGATAGGGCATATCCAGGTCTCCATGGCTCCATCCTGTTGCTAGTGGCAATGCTACGAGCTGGAAGGAGGCCTGGATTTTGATTCGAATATGTGATGCCTCCCAGACACCCTCAGAACACTGACCTCTGGATATATAGGGCTCCATCCCCTTCCACCTTCCATTGAACTCACACCTATAAGGGGCTGGCTCTGTAGAAAGTTTTTTACTCTCCTCTTAACCTATCCATCCATCCATTCTTTTGTCCATTCATCCATTCAATAAGCATATATCAAATACCTACTATGAGGGGAGGCACTTGGAAAGGAGCTGGAAATGCAAGGGTGAATTAAGCCAGTTCTATGGCCCCTGGCCTCATGGAGCATGCAGTCTGGTGAGGAAGTTAGACTTGAATCAAAGAGTCATATAACTAAATGGGTAAGAACAAACAGTGAGAAGTGTACTCTAAAGAAAGGTCACCCAGTTCTCTGGGAGTGATATCAGGGGACTTGAACTGAAGACAACACTTGGGTGGCCCGGCAGGGCCAATGAGCAGCGATGGAAGGGATGATCCCCCGTGGCCAGGAGGTTCCAGGAAGTCCCTACAGACAATGAGCCCTACATTTCCAAGGGAAAGGAGGAGGCAGAGGAGGACACTCTGCCTTTGCCTGTGCTGTTTCTTCCCAGTGGTCCACCCTCTCCATCAAGCCACACCTGGCAAGACCCAGTGTCAGCTACAGGAAATTTCCTCAGCAGTTCATTAGATAAGTTGAGTCAACTAGAGTCTAGACCACTGGAGATCGTCGAGTTCAATCTCCAGTTGTATGTTCAGGGGAAGTGCTACTCAGAGAGGGAAGGAGGCTTAGCCAAGGTCATACAGCATGTCCATGACAGACCTTGCATCATGCGATTGTGTTTTGCCTCCCCATCCCCCACCACTCTGCCACAGTCTGTTATAAGCACGATTATCTGGGTCATTGGCTCACCCTTAGCCACAGCCCAGTCCTGGGAAGATGGGAGGTGCCCAGGACACAACGGGTAACATTCATTAGTGACAAATATTAACAATCATAATCATAACATACATAATCATAACAAACAGCTACTATTGATTGAGCACCTACAGGTCTGAATAAATGTATCCAGGTCTGAGCTAAATGTGTCACACAAATCCTTTTAAATAACACTTCCTACAAAGCATCTGTGTGGTGGGTCCTAGTATGTCCAATTTTATAGATGCAGCATAGAGAGATCACCTCTATGACTTTAGCTATTTCCAATTAATTATTATTCGTATTAATAATGATACCAGTTAATGTTTATTAATCACTTACTACATGCTGCACACATGGATTAGTGTTTCTCATGGATTATCTTGTGAGGCTGTTAAGTAG